>NC_000012.12:94335128-94960128 GCF_000001405.40 Homo sapiens
CCTGAACCCAAATAACTTTAATTATAAACACAAATTTCCTTCCATAAATACAAATCTTGGATTTCATAGGGATATAGCAAAAAATACCTCATGATATAAAGTTACAAGTCAATCACACAAGTAACTTAAAACCTGGATGATATTTCTATTGAGTTTTTAAAATTCTGAATATTAAAATACTGTCCTTATAACTGTAATTAAAAATTATCATGGGCCACAGCATTTAATAAATAAATATATATATCTTAAGAATAATAGCAGTTAGCCAAAGAAGCTTATTAAAGTATAGAAGTTTAAACATTTTAAAACATTTTATCTTTACATATCACCTCCAACAATATGTTACCAATTGTGGTTAGATTCTAAAAATACTGATGGCAAAATTTTTTTAAAATTTGCAAAACATAAATTTAAAGAAGCACTTGAAAAAATAAAAGGAAAATCTTCGCTAAAATCATACCTGTTTTAGGTCAGAATTTTCATTTTTTTCCTTCTCTGCATTTTCAATAGTCACAATTTGTTGCTGAAGTTTTAACCTAAAAATCACAACCCAACAAAAGGCATTATTAAGAATCCATGATTCATTTATTTCACTGAATTAAAGAGTCATTTTATTGAATGCCTGTTTGACACCAGAGCACAAACACAACCAAAGATTGAGACTTCAAGAAACTAGGTTGTGTTCACGTATAACAAAAATGTAAAACAAATTACTGCTATTGTGATAGGAAAATCTACAAACTAGGGGCATAGAGAGGATAAGAAATCAAGTCTGTCCAGGGGTACTGGGGAACGCTACATGGATAAAAACCTGACAGGTAGGATTTTGATATACATAAACAACAGCCTGAAAAAGTGGCCTTTCATGGAAAATTATAGAATGTGTTGCTAAGGTATCAGAAAGTAGTCTAGTTTAGGAGAGGCCAACTTACATCCATATAGTATTTTACAATTTGCAAAATTCTTTCAGACACACGCTACTTCATTTTCCTTCTAACAAGGCTACAGATTTAAAAGAAAACTAATACAACACACCATCCTGTATTCTATAAAATATCTTATGGAGCTTTTCATCCCTGAGATGAATGAATACTTACACATTTGCAGACTCTTCAAAGGGAATAATACATCTACAGCCAGAGCCTTAAAAAGCAGAGCAGCTCTAGTGACCAAATGAGTAACCTCATGAGGAAGACATTACACTAATTAGGTTTGGCAGGATAGGCCCTTCAGCCTCCTCCCTTTCAAAACTCTTCAAACGCCTATCTCAAATATAATTCACTTGGCACCTATTTATAGCTTGGTATTATTAGCATGTCTTATCTGCCCAAGTAGAATGTGTTTATCTAGACAACACTCTCAAGACCCTAGGTCTGTGCTTTAAACACAATAAGGACTCAATAAACATTTGTTGGCAGACTGAACGAACCAACCCAAATCATGGATTAGCTGTTTAAATGTGTGAGATGATTGGATAATATAACATAAAAAACCTGAAGATATGACCCATTGCTTCCTGAGACGTTTACATACAAATGCCAGAAACGATAAATCTAAAGAGGGCCAGTCCTTTTCCTTTTGCTCCACCGTCAGTACCAGTCACATTCTTATTTCATAATTCTAGCTACATGATTACTCATTCAAACTTTCTGTGCACTTCCTCCATTAAATGTTTATGAATGTTATCAACTGGGTGCCTTCTTTTTTTTTTTTTAAATAAGAGATGTGGTCTCACTATATTGCCTAGGCTGGGCTCAAACTCTTTGGCTTAAGCAATCCTCCTGCCTCAGCCTCTCAGGTAGCAGGGTGGCTAACTTGGGGCTTTTAGGTTACTGACTTATAAAGGTTTCTTTCCACAAAATCATGAAGATGAAAATGGAACAGAGAACACTGTGGGTCCCAGCTCAGGTCCACAGTTAGAAAACTTAGGCCCTAAGTATATCCTAGCTCCAGTTGAGAATCTGGATACAATTGGTAAATTAACAAGAAACATGACCCAGTTAAGAAAGTTATGGCCTAATGCTTTCTATATAGGTTACACAGACATGAAGAGAAACAATAGTGCCCTACATACAAAAGCTGAAGCCAAAGAAACCAATGGTAGAGTATCTGAAAATTCATTAAAATATGAAAGGATGGGGAAAACAACTAAATGAAAATATGAACTAAGTAAGAGCACCATTGTGGTAGACTATAGAAGATGATATACAACAAGACCTTCCTTCAGGTCATTTTGTTGAAGCAGTACTGGGTTAGAATCTAAAACTCATTTTTTTTTGGAGAAAATTAGTCCATGATTTAAGATCATTACATTTAGGATTCTATGGGATAATGAATCTTAAGATAAATAAGATAGGAATAAGACTAATGGTATTAAAGTTCAAAAAGGCAGATAGTTTCAAAAGACAGTGCTGTAAATTTAGGAGTAAAGTACAGTATCTCTTTTTATTAGGTTTTGAATACTCAAGGTGTGTCACAGTAAGTCAAAAGAAAATATACCTTATAACAGACGTACAAGGAACAGAAAAAACTGCAATTAACTTTCATTAGAGGATAAGTTAAGGCTACATAAAAGAGATGCAATTTGAACTAGATCTTGAAGGAAAAATAAGAGTCCGAGATAGAGAAATTAAAGATACAGGTGACGAAGAGTATAGAGGAAGTAGAGAGATGGGATTAAAAGCACTGTTCACTTAAGAAGTAAAGGGGAAAAGGACATTTTCAAAATAGAAAGGGAGGAGAGAATGGATGAAGGTACCGGAATTATAAGATGGCAAGAAGTTGAGAAAATTCATATCCTTAGCTTATGTACAAGTAAGAACATCGAACAGTTTCCAAGCTGAAAAGGAAGCAAGGGAGCCAGGTTAATAGGCTGGAAGAAAAAGAGAAGTCCAAAGACTGCTAATTTCAGTATCTTCAGTGACAGGAGCATGGATAAGAGAAAGAAAAGATATTTATGTCTTTGAAGTGATCAGTTCTAGGTGACGACAAGGTCCAAGAAGCGTCTAGGTGTACAAGATGCTAAAGTAGAATAAAGATAAAAGAATGCCAGAGTGCAGATAGAATAAACTGTAAGGCTAAGGTGTTGGGTAGTTCAACAATATGAATACATAGTCACCAAGAATGATGGTAAGAGAAACAGAAAACAGAAAAAAGTTGAGCCAGATATCAAAGTCCTCAGCGACTGTTAAGGAATACACTGTAGGTCATTAACTGCAAGAGATAAAAGACAGGTATAAAACTGGATGCCACAAATATCAAAGAAAAAAATCACTTTAACCATACTCAAACAATGAACTGGAAGCACAAACGGGGCTTACAAATGCTCATTTCTCTTCTTGGTCTCTTGTTGCAGGAGAGAGGAAGGAAAAGTAATTTCTACTTAAAAGGCATTCCAGGTTATATGCCATGAGAGGAAGAAAGCAGTTTTCAGCAGGGGGAGAGGCATTAAAAAAATGTTGAGATTGCAAAAAAAGTTATTGGTATCAGAATAGGGATTCCAGAGGCTACAGTGGAAACTGTTAAAAGTTTTAATGAGTAGGTGATAGGGAGAAATCAGAGGGTGAAGGATGAGTAAGTTGGGGGAAAAGTTAACTATGAGATCAAGTACTTTATACTTTTGAAGTAATTATGAAGGCAGAAATAGTAGGTGAACTGGAGGGCCAAGTTACAACAGAAAATGTAGCTATAAATAAGTTTAAATGGAAACTTTGGAATAACATTAAGATGGAACTATTTCAAGTTCCCTTCAAAGTATAGGGAAGTCAACCGTAAGGATCATGGTCTAGGTCTTCTGTGGCAGGCAGCTGATATACTGATATATACTATTTCTTTTTTTTTTTTTCTTTTTTTAGAGATGGAGTTTCACTCTTGTTGCCCAGGCTGGAGTGCAATGGTGTGATCTCAGCTCACCGCAACCTCCGCCTCCTGGGTTCAAGTGATTCTCCTGCCTCAGCCTCTCAAGTAGCTGGGATTACAGGCATCCACCACCACGCCCGGCTAATTTTTTGTATTTTTAGTAGAGACGGAGTTTCTCCATGTTGGGCAGGCTGGTCTTGAACTCCCGACCTCAGGTAATCTGCCCGCCTTGGCCTCCCAATATATGCTATTTCGACATTCAACAAATATTTATTGAGTACCTATACATGCTAAGCCCATTCTAAGTGTTGTGGATACATCAGAAAATAACAAGGACAGAATGCCTACCCTTGAGTTTATACTCCAACAGTGTTGTCTGATAGAACTTTCTTTGATGGTGGAAATATTCTACAATCTGTGCCTTCCAATATGATAGTCACTAGCAACATGTTGCTAGTGCACACTTGAAATGTACTTCATGTGACTGAAGAAACTGAATTTTAATTTTTTAAAATTCTAATTTAAATTTAGGTTTCAACAGTCATCTGTGACTAGTAATATCATATTGGGCAGCAAAGGCTCTAATGTAACTTCTTGGCTTCATTTAATGTGAGTCCCTGCTATCAAAGGGAAGCAACATACAGGGCAAACAATAGAAGTTGTATTTTTCTACTGTGATTTCTCTACTGTCAAAGAGTCCTACAAGTCTCATGAGAATGGCAGTAGCCTTCTTATACCAACCTTCTGAAAGCATGGTTCTTGCTTGTGAGCACTGGAAATTGACACTGGCCATTATTAGCAAAAATAAACTTTCCTGAAAGAATATAAGAACCCACTCAAAAGAGAACTAGAAAACTGAAACCAGGATACAATAATTGATAGGAATCACAGGCAAAGACATGCCACAGCCCTGCCTGGTCCTTCAAACATTGACACATATCCTTTCATCCCTTACTTCACAGTTTAAATTCTTGGGAGAAAATGTGTCCAATGGGCCAATATAATTCTTTTCAAGATGGAGTCTAAGTAGAAAGGTGGATATATTAAATGATAGTTTTTTGGTTTGTTTTTAAAAAAGCAAATATCCAACACTGGCAGCAAAGAAATCCAAACTGATGAAATGTAAACGTTCATTAAAAGCTCAAGAAAAAAACAGAAAGCCCCAAATGGGAAATAAGAGCCCTGGCTTTAAGCCATGCAAAAAATAAATTAAGGGGGTATTGACTACAGGATATCATAAATGTTCAGCTTCCCTTTCCCTTGGTTATTGCTATTCCCCTTGGTTATTTGCTATTATATCAAACTGCATATCATTTACTTCCTCCTCCTTCACCCACTCCACACAGAGACATGGGCATATAACCTTGGCTGAGCCAGAGTGCCTGATACCACGGTCGCAGTGGTAGGTCCAGGGATGAGCATGTGAACTAGACCCAAACTTGTCTCTAGATTTTTTTTTTTTTTTTTTAAGACAGAGTCTCACTCTGTCACCCAGGCTGGAGTGCAGTGGCACAATCTTGGCTCACTGTAACCTCCGCCTCCCAGGTTCACGCAATTCTCCTGCCTCAGCCTCCTGAGTAGCTGGGACTATAGGTGGCTGCCACCACACCCCACTAATTTTTGTATTTTCAGTAGAGATGGGGTTTAACCAAGTTGGCCAGGCTGGTCTCAAATGCCTGACCTCAGGTGTTCCACCCGCCTCGGCCTCCCAAAGTGCTGGGATCACAGGCGTGAGCCACCACGCCCAGCCTCGACTCTAGACTTTTTAAACTTGAGTTTGCTAACAAGAACTTTGTCCTCTTGGCTTCAACATATGTTCCCAGCATCACAGAGATAGGACAGCAGACAAACGAGAGAGATAATAAGAGAGGAGAGAGAAAATAAGAGAGGAGGAATAAAAGAAAAGGAGGAGAAAAGTCACTATTATCTAATTGCATTTGAGTTCCTAGATCCAGGTGTCCCTGAAACCAGCAAAACCCTTATCTTTCCCACAATTGTGTAAACCAAGAAAGTCCCTTTTGTTTGCTTGCATTAGTTGGAGTTGCGTTGCTGTCATAACCAAAAGTTGACTACATATTCTATTATATTTAAACTCCTTTAATTTTTACATGGTTTTAATTTGCAAATTGAATAAATGTGCAGCGGAGCAGCCTTTTGAAATACAGTACTTTTATAAAAATAATTTTTATTACTCTTGGCACTATGATAAGCTAGTGGTAAAAAAAAAACACTTTCATCAAAAGAAAAGACTGGTATATAATTAATAAAGGATCTGTCAAAGCAGTGATTAATATGTAATAGATTAATATCTACTTATCACAGATATATATTATTTGTAAATAAATGGATATTTCTGCTTTGCATGATTTATACTTTCCATTTCCTTAGTAAGACCTTTTGCTTCACAGATAAGTCTCCAATCTGTCACGGGTTATCTAAATAGGAGGTGCTGCAATTATGACCATTTTAATGAATGATCAAAATAGACCTGGTTGATGTAGCTGGACTTATAAATCAGTAAATCATAACTGTCAAGGAAAAAATACCACAATTGTTGAACATTAAAAAAAAAAAGCCATGCAAATCGTGTGAATTTAATCCTGCTAGATTTTATGTTGGTTACTATGTCTTTATTTTAAAATAAGTTGAGGTCATTTACACATTGTAAGTGAAACTCCAGAGGAATCAAAGAAAAATTATCAATGTGACTAACAGAATAGAAAATTATTCACATTTAAGAAAAGCTAAAGGAATGAAAGCTGTTTTATATAGCAAAAAACTAAAAAACAAAACAAAACAAAACCTAAGGGTCAAGTTCATTATTGTGTTCAAGTAATGACAGAATGCTGAACATTTTATCACTATGGCAACAGAAACCCAAAGCAGGAGAAACAGGCTTAAATTCTAACAGAAAAGATTCTAACTGGCCAAACTGTGGGATTATCATAGGATAAAACATTAGAGTAGGATGCCTGGGGAGGGTCTACCCCTACTTTCTGGAGACTGTCAAAGAGAGATTTAAAAACGACCTGTCTTGAATATGTCCTAAAAAATGTACCCATCTAAAAGCAAAAGGACAGACAAGATTGGTTCTTAAAATCTATTACAGATTCATGCTTTTAGAATCACAGCCACTAACAATTTAAATAAAGTTATAAAACCTAAGTAAGTAATAAGTATACCTCTGCCTGAAGTAATTCTTTCCTAAGTAATGCAGATCAAGAACTCTGTCTCAAAACATAGCCTACCACTTAATGAACATGATTTTTAAAAGCCACTCAAACTTTATATAATTAGAGACGTCACTAAGATATTAGAATTTGAAAAGCAGACATAAAGCATTTCCAAGTGTTGAGGATAACAGCAGATGTCTAGCTCTGTGTTATCCATATATTCTGCAAAAACAATACAGAAAAAGCAAAGAGAACAAATAAAGCCACACAAAACCATACCCTTAGCATAACTGGCAGACAGAAAATGCCCAAAACCTCAAAGTAACTAAGTAAAATGAAGGAAAAAATACCAAATCCCAGCAAGTGATCTCTCCCATTCCCGCCTGCACATCTTTGCAGGCAAGGGCTCACTGCATGTGAATGTACTTAATTCGCCCATTAAAATAAAATGTTTAATTTATTAAAATTTGGCCCACAAAACAAGACCCAACTAAACGCTACATATAAAACACACATTTAAAAAGCAAAACGATTCAGAAAATTTAAAAATAAGAGGATAAAAGTATACCAGGCAAATGGAAACTATATGAAAACAGAAGTGGTGATGGTATCAGACAAGTCAAGCAAAAAAAAAAGACAAAAAAAGCAATTTTTAATGCTAAACGCTACAATTCACACTTAAAATAGAACTGCTATGAATATTTATATTCTGTACCAAATACCATGAAACTCACCTTTATGAAACAAAAACTACAAGATATACAAAGAGTCACATACAGAAACACAGTAATAATAGGAGACTTTAATATATCATTCTTTGTACAAGACAAATCAAGTGGACAAAAAATAAGCAAGTATACAGAAGACCTAAACATCGCAGTTAACAAGGCAGATCCTATGTGTACAGACACATATGTGTGTATGTATGTCTGTGTGTGTATGTATATATATATAGAACTTCATATATATATATATATATAGAACTTCATACTCTTATAAGACTCCATGTGTTTACGTAACACAATAACTGACATATACTATGGGACTAAGTGACTATAGTTCTATAGTCGCTGGGCATGTGACATGTCCAGAATGCGAACTTAAGAAGACACCCATTCTAAGACTCCTGCAAGTGCAGGGTCAGCACCGTGAGACTGTCGCCTTAAATTTTTTGCACCCTGGGTGCCTCAATTGCTTTACCCTAGTCCTACCCTTGATAGATTAGGTTACAAAGAAACATCAGAGTGTTCCACAAAGCAGAAAGAGTACAAACAATATTGTGATCACAATGCAATAAAGCTAGAAATTAACTTTTTTTTTTTTTTTTTTTTTTTTTTTTTTGAGACGGAGTCTCGCTCTGTCGCCCAGGCCGGACTGCGGACTGCAGTGGCGCAATCTCGGCTCACTGCAAGCTCCGCTTCCCGGGTTCACGCCATTCTCCTGCCTCAGCCTCCCGAGTAGCTGGGACTACAGGCGCCCGCCACCGCGCCCGGCTAATTTTTTGTATTTTTTTTTAGTAGAGACGGGGTTTCACCTTGTTAGCCAGGATGGTCTCGATCTCCTGACCTCATGATCCACCCGCCTCGGCCTCCCAAAGTGCTGGGATTACAGGCGTGAGCCACCGCGCCCAGCCGAAATTAACTTTTTAAAAAGGTTCTCCTACCTGGAAATTAAAAAACCTTCTGTTATAGACTGAAACATGTTCCTTCAAGATATGACTACATTTCGAGATAGGGCCTTTAAAGAGACAATTAAGGTTAAAGTCATATGGGTGGGCCCTAATCCAATATGACTAGTGTCCTTACAAAAAGGATAGACAAGAGGGGATGCAAAGGCACAGAGAAAAGGCCATGTGAGGACAAAGTGGGAAGAAGGTGGCTACCTGCAAGTCAAGAAGAGAGGTCTTAGGAGAAACCAAGCCAGGCAATACCTTAATCTATGACTTCTAGTCTCCAAAACTGTAAGAAAATTAATTCCTGTTGTTTGATCACCCAGTCTGTGGTATTTTATTATGGCAGACTTAGCAAACTACTACATCTTCTGTTAAACAACTCTTTGGCAGAAAGAAAAATGCAAATTAAAATTAGTGAATTTCTTTAAAAATAATAATTAAAACACTATATAATTTATGGGATACACGTAAAGCAGTGATGAGAAGAAAATTATTAGCACTAAATACTCTTACCAATAAGAATGAAAGAATAAACTGTAGTAAAATTAAATTCTCAACTCAAAAACAACCAAATGAACAAAGTAAACTAAAAGAAAGCCCAAGGTATACAACATGACCTTAGAAAACTCTAAGAAATCAACAAAGCAGCTATTAGAAAATATGTGACTTTAGTAAAGTCACAGGATTCAAGATCAATACATAAAAGTAAACTATATTTCTATATGCAACGAACAATTAAGAAGTCAAATGAACTCCATTTATACCATATTTAGAAATAAAATTGAATCAAAGATGAACATGATATATACAATGAAAACTGCAACACACTGATGAAAGAAATGAAACCTAAATAAATGGAGAGATGTATGATATTCATGGATTGGAAGACTCAATATTGTTAAGGTAACAATTCTCCTCAAATTGACCTAAAAATCCAATACAATCCCAATTAAAATTTTAACAAGAATTTAAAAAGATAAAAAACTGATTAAAAAATTAATATTTGAAAGGCAAAGGACCTAGAAAAGCCAAAAGAATTTAGACAAAAAAGAACCAGGTAGAGGACGTGCACTACCTGAACCAAACTTACTATAAAGCTACAGTAATCAAAATGGTATGATACTGGTGTAAAGACAAGATCAGTAAAATAGAATAGAGTCCAGAAATAGACTCACACCTGTAATTCAGTGAGGGAAAAGATAGTCTTCAAAAAATGGTGCTGGAACAACTGGATACCTACATGAAAATAAAAAGCATATGTGTGCCATTACCTTACACCACATAAAAGTTAAGATGAATTAGACCTTAAAACCTAAAGGTAAAAACCAAATATTAATCTTTTAGAAGAAAACAAATATCTTTTTAACACAGAATTAGGCAAAGACTTCTTGAAGAGAACACAAAAAATACAAACAAGAAAAAAATTGATAAAGTGGTGTAGTATTATGATGTATATATATTGGTTTACATATACATATGGGTTTACATTCATGGTTCCTGGCTCGTAACTTCCATAGCCCTTGTCCACATTTCCTAAGTGACTAAAACAATACATGTATCTTTGTTACCGTATTAGGCCCTTTGTTTATGGCTCGGGAGGCAGCTTCAGAACAGCTTCAGAGTGATAAAGGCGAAAGACAGTCTTTGGTTATAATACTGGGGTGCTCTGGGCCTCAGAAAACAGAATCTCTCTCTGACCTTCTGTCCTCCTTTTACCTGCGCCTTTTTCTCTCCAAGGCAGGCCACACACACTAAAAATATACTCCAATCTTCCCCCATCTTTCTGTCTTGGAACTGGTCATAAAAAAATCCTCTGAATTACCTTACCCGACAGCAGGTCATAAGACCCGCATTTCTGAAGGGGTCCTGCCCCTTCCTTATCCAGGAGGAAATAATGCTACACAGAGGGGCCAAGAAGAATCTAAATGCACAGGACTTGTTACAATTCTCTGCACAGTCTATTAGTATTAGATCATGCCCTTTTTGTCCAATAAGATTTCCATACGATTGTCCATTCTTCAATCATGTTTATCCAATGAAGTCTCCAAAAAAGACTCAAGAGGACAGGGTACCGCAAGCCTCCAGACAGCTGAACTCATGGAGGATTACATGAAGGTAAACAAGAACTCACCCATGTGCTAGGAGAATGGCACACTCCAACTTCACAGGAACAGAAGCTCCTGAGCTCTGGACCCTTGAGATCTCACCCTATTATTTCTCTTTCTTATTGTTTTTTTGAGACGGGGTCTTGCTCTGCTGCCCAGGCTGGAGTGCAATGGCCAATCTCGGCTCACTGCAACCTCTGCCTCCCAGGTTCAAGCAAGTCTCCTGCCTCAGCCTCCCGAGTAGCTGGGATTACAGGCACCTGCCACCACGCCCAACTAATTTTTTTTGTATTTTTAGTAGAGACGGGGTTTCACTATGTTGGTCAGGCTGGTCTCAAACTCCTGACCTCAGGTGATCCACCCACCTCAGCTTCCCAAAATGCTGGGATTATAGGCGTGGGCCACCGCACCTGGCCTATTATTTCTTCATCTAGCTGTTTATTTGTATCCGCAGTGAGCTGAGATCACACCATTGCACTCCAGCCTGGGTGACAGAGCGAGACGCCGTCTCAAAAAAAAAAAAAAAATCCTCTTCAATAACCTGGGAAACATAAAGTGTTTCCTTAAGCTTGTGAACCACTCTAGTAAATTTAGCTGAAAGAGAAGGTTATGGAAACCCCAACTTAAAAACCTGGTCGATCAGAAGTTCCAGAGTCCTGAAAGTGAGACTGGTGTCTGAAATGGTGGCAATCTTGTGGGACCAAGCCTTCAACCCGCAGGATCTGATGCTATCTCCATATAGAGAGCAGTAGAATCAAATTAGATTAGAAGATGTCAGACTGCTGTCCACTGCAGAACTGAATGCTTGCTTGTTGATGGGTAGAAATCCATACATTTGGTCACAGAAGTTTTCTGTGTTGTGGTGTGAAAACACAGGAAAAAACACCACTCAGGAGTTCAAGACCAGTCTGGGAAACATGGAGAAACCTTGTCTCTGCTAAAAATATAAAACTTAGCCAGGCACGGTGCCATGCACCTGTAGTCCCAGCTACTCAGGAGGCTGAGGTGGGAGGATCGCTTGAGCCCAAGAGGCAGAGGTTGCAGTGAGCTGAGATGGCACCACGGCACTCCAGCCTGGGCAACAGAGCAAGATCCTGTATCAAAAAATAAACAAATATATATATATATATATACACATACACACACACACACACACATACACACACACACACATACACACACAAGTAAATGAAAAGGAAAGTCATAGATAAGGAGAAAATATCTGTAAAATATGTATCTAAGAAAGAGCTTTTATGCGTAACACATAAATAACTATTATAAATCAATAAGATAACTTCTGAATGTAAAAAGTGGCCAAAATATTTGAACAGAAACTTCACAAAAGTAGCTTATAAGCACACAAAAAGATGCTAACCACCACTAGTCACAGAGACAATAAAATTAAGACCACAGGTGACATGTTACAACATATCCAATTAGAATTATTATTAAGACTGAAAATAACAAGTGTCAGTAGGGATGTAAAACAAACAAAATCCTCATATATTGCTAGTTGGAATGAAAAAACTTCTCAAGTGTTTCCACATTGGAAAACAGTATTTCTGTATGTTATAAAATTAAATATATACTTAACATATGACTTAGTAATCCCATTTCTAGGTATTTAACAAGGAGAAATAAAAACATATTTCCACACAAAGACTTGTAAATGAATGTTCACAGCAGCATTATTCATAATAGCCCCCAACTAAAAACAACCCAACATTTGTCCAACAAAAGAATAAATAAATCATATTACGTTTATACAATGAATACTAATCAGCAATAAAAAGACATGGGCTACTGATACACTCAGAGCATGGATAAGTCACGGGTTGCCTAATGTTGGGACTCAGGAAAGGAGGTCAACTATAAAGAGACATAAAGAAACTTTTGGGGTGATGAAACTATTCCATATTTTTATTATGGTGAGGATTGTACAACTGTATACAAAATGGATGAATTTTATTTTAGGTACATTAAATGATAACAATAAAACTATAGAAACTTTTTAAGGGCAAAGAACCAGAAGATAAAAGCAGAAATTAATGAGTTAGAAAATGGGAAACCAGTCGATCTAATAAATAAACCAAAATCCTAATTTAAATGAATGTACTGAACTGTATGTTTTAAAATAGTTAAAATGGTAAATTTTATGTATATTTTACCACAAAAAAAATATATATATATACACAAAGCAGTGGCTGACTTGACCAAGAAAGAAAGAAAGCACACGTATAGAACAAAAAATAACAAAGGGGAAATAAGCATTGAAACAGAAAAAAAATTTAAAAAAAAGAGGTCTACTTTTCAAAAGGAGGAGCATAGTGGCCAGCCGTCAGAAGTTGACAATGACCAGTTGAGAGCAATCATTGGAGCTGATCCTCTACAACTACACAAGAAGCTGCCAAAGAACTCAATGTCAACCATTTTATGGTCATTTGGCATTTGAAGCAATTCGGAAAGGTGAAAAAGCTAGATAAGTGGGTGTCTCATGAACTGAGTGAAAATTTAAAATATCGTCATTTTGAAGTGTAGTCTTCTCTTATTCTATGCAACAACAAACTATTTCTCAAGCAGATTGTGACATGCGACAAAAAGTGGATTTCATACGACTACCGGCAATGACCACCTCAGTGGCTGGATGGAGAAGAAGCTCCAGAGCACTTCCCGAAGCCAAACTTGTGCCAAAAAGGCTCATGGTCACTGTTTGGTGGTCTGCTGCCGGTCTGATCTACTACAGCTTTCTGAATCCCAGGGAAACCATTACATTTGATAAGTATGCTCAGCAAATCGATGAGATGCATTGAAAACTGCAATGCCCGCAGCCGGCACTGATCAACAGAAAGGGTCCAATTCTTCTCTACGACAATGTCCAACTGTATGCCACACAACCAATGCGTCAAAAGTGGAACGAACTGCACTACAAAGTTTTGCCTCATCTGCCATAGTCACCTGACCTCTTGCCAACTGACTATGACTTCTTTAAGCATCTCAACAACTTTTTGCAGGGAAAATGCTTCCACAACGAGCAGGATGCAGAAAATGCTAAGTGTTTGTCTAATCCCACCAGGTGTGGTGGCTCACACTTGTAATCCCAGCACTTTGGGAGGCCGAGGTGGGTGGATCACCTGAGATCAGGAGTTCAAGACCAGCCTGGCCAACATAGTGAAACACCGTCTCTACTAAAAATACAAAAATTAGCTAGGTGTGGTGGTGGGTGCCTATAATCCCAGCTACTCGGGAGGCTGAGGCAGGAGAATCGCTGAACCCAGGAGGTGGAACTTGCAGTGAGCCAAGATTGCGCCACTGCACTCCAGCCTGGGTGACAAGAGCAAGACTCTGTCTCAAAAAAAAAAAAAAAAAGAAAAAAAGTTTGTAGAATCCCGAAGCATGGATTTTTATACTACAAGAATAAACTTATTTCTCATTGGCAAAAATGTGTTGACTGTAATGGTTCCTATTTTGATTAATAAAGATGTGTTTGAGCCTAGTTACACTGATTTAAAATTCATGGTCCAAAACCACAATTACTTTTGCACCAACCTAATAATACACCATATTAAAAGAATGAAGAAAAAAATGCATGATCATCTCAACTGATGCAGAAAAAGCATTTGACAAAATTCAACACCCTTTCATGATAAAACAAACTAACAAACTCGGAATAGAAGGACACTACCTCAACATAATAAAGCCATATATGAAAAAGCCACAGTGAGTATCATAAGCAATGGTGAGAGACTGAAATGTTTTCCTTTAAGATCAGGAATAAACCAAGTACTCCCACTTTTGCCACTTCCATTTGACATGAAACTGGAAGTTCTAGCCAGAGCTATTAGGCAAGAGAAAGACAATGAATTCAGCAAAGTAGCTGAATACAAAGCCAACAAACAAAAATTAGCTGCATCTCTATACACTAACAATGAATACTATGAAAAGGAAAATGAAGAAAATAATTCCATTTACAATAGCATCAAAAAGAATACATAAAAATTAACTGAACCAAGGAGGTGAAATACTTAGAAAACTAAAAGACGCTGCTAACAGAAATTAAAGAAGATATAAATAAATGGAAACACATCCCATGTTCATAAATTGAAAGATTCAATATTGTTGAGATGTCAATACTACCAAAAATAATCTACAGAATCAATGCAATTGCTATCAAAATCCCAATATTTTGCACAGAAATAGAAAAATCTATCCTAAAATTCGTATGGAATCTCAAGGCAACCCAAGTAGATGAAATAATCCTGAAGAACAAAACTAGAGAACTCATACTTCCTTATTTCAAAATTTATTGCAAAGTTATAATAATCAAAATAGTGTGACACTGACATAAAGACCAACATATAAGCAACTGGAATAGAATACAGAATGAGTAAATAAACCCTCCCATATACGGTCAAATGATTTTTGACAAGAGTACCAAGGTCATTCAATGAAGAAAGGGCAATGTTGTCAACAAACAGTGTTGGGAAAACTGGATACATACATATAAAAGAATGAACTTGGACCTCTCTTTATATAGGAAAATTAATTTAAAATAGATCAAAGGACTAAATGTGCAACCTAAAACTATAAACTCTTAGAAGATGGGGGAAAGGCTTCATGGAATTTGATTTGATAATGATTTCTTGGATATGACACGAAAGGCATAGGGCAATAACAACAACAACAAAAAAAAACAGACAAAATGAACTCCATGAAAATAAATTTTTCTGCAACAAAAGATACTTATCAACAGAGTAAAACCCTACAGAATAGGAGAAAATATTTGCAAATCATGTATCTGATAAGGCATTAATATCCAGAATATACAGAGAAAAACTAAACAAGAATAAAAAATAAAATTTTTAAATGGACAAAAAACTTGACTAGCTGTTTTTCAAAAAAGATGCATATTAAAAGATGCTCGACATCACTAATCATTAGAAAGATGCAAATCAAAACTACAATGAGATACTTACTACCTCACACCTATCAGGATGGTTACTATCAAAAAAACATGAGGAAGACATCATTAAGATGACTGACTAGAGGACCAACACTCTTCCACAAAGGCCCAAAATAACAAGTAAATAACTGCACTTCAGGTAAGAGTTTCTAAGGGAGAACAACAGAATTCACATGAAAGAGAAAAAAAAAATCCACTTAATCATGGAGACTTGAGATGGCAGCATAGAGAAGAAAGCAAAGCACCCAGCCAGGATTGGCTCAGAACCAAGAGAGACTCCCCATTGTGTGAGAAATGGTAGGTAGGAGTTCCTTAGCAATCCCTAATACCACTGTGGACATGTGTAAACCTAGCTACAGAAGAGCCCTAGAGTCCTAACAGGCCCTGAATCCGGTACAGGGAGCTGCTTGGAGTCCACATGGTTACATTGCTCCAGAGAAGGAACACACACTGGGTCCCCCCACTCCCTGTGACCCAAGCTGCTACAGCATGGCACCATTTTGAGAACCGAGCCAATGCTGAAATACATGCTGCCATGGGGTTCAACAGACCTGGTATTTCCATATCTGAAGGGTCCCACTGTAATCATGCCACAATCAAATAAAAGGGTCCAACACCACAACCTCAGCTACACAGAGCAGTAAAGCCAAAACTCCAGAACCTGAGCTGATATAGTAGACCTAAAGGAACAAGCAATCTAGCACAGCAGGGAGGCCACCTCCAAGACCAAGGGCACTGGTGCATGCAGTCCCTAGGGTTTAAGAACTAGCTGCCAGCCACTGCCAGCAATCCCATTCCCATAACTGGTGAAGCAGAAATGCACCCCACATACCTGTAGGGACCAATGATGGGCCCATATGGCAACAGCCACCACTGGCAATTCCACCCCACAACTGGCAAAGCCACCATACCCAATGAGCACCCAACACCCAAGGCCTGAGAACTGTTCCACCTAGAGGCCCCTATCAACACCAAAGACATGAGATTCATTCTACAAAAACTCACAGCAGAGACCACTGAGGTACTTGCAGACACTGCTGACACGAATTACAGCCAAAGATCATATGGAGACTACATTACTGTACTAATATAGAAACAAAGCCAAAGCAACTACCCAAACAATACTGCAGGACAAATATACAGGAAAAAGTCCTTCTTTACAAAAGCTACTCCATAAAATAGAAAGAGACAACTATTCTACCAGATGCACCCATAACATAGGGACACAAGAAACATGAAAAAAGTTGGGCGTGGTGGTTCACGCCTGTAATTCCAGCACTTTGGGAGGCCAAGGCAGGCAGATCACGAGGTCAGGAGTTTGAGAACAGCCTGGCCAACATACTGAAACCCCGTCTCTACTAAAAATACAAAAAATTACCTGGGCTTGGTGGTGGGTGCCTGCAATCCCAGCTACTTGGGAGGCTGTGGCAGGAAAATCGCTTAAACCTGGGAGGCAGAGGTTGCAGTGAGCCAAGATTGTGCCACTGCACTCCAACCTGGGTGACAGTGTGAGACTTTGTCTCAAAAAAAAAAAAAAAAGAAACATGAAAAAGAAAACATGACACCTCAAATGGAACCCAATAATACTCCAGTAATAGACCCTAACGAAAAAGAAATCTAAAAAATGCCTGAAAAGAAATTAAAAATAACAATGTTAAGGAAACTTGGAAAGATACAAGAGAATACAGATAGAAAATTCAACGAAATCAGGAAAAAATGATATGAATGAGAAATCTGAGAGACACAGATATCATAAAAAAGAACCAAACAGAATCCTTGGAGCTGAAGAATTCCATGAACAAAATTAAAAATACAATCAAGAATTTCAGGAACAGTCTAGATCAAGCAGGAAAAAGAATTTTTGAACATTAAGACAGGTCTTTTAAAATAATCCAGTCAGACAAATAATAATAAAGAATAAAAGGGATGAAGAAAGCCTATGAGACTTATGTGACACCATTAAGTGAACACATATTCACATTATAAAAATTCCAGAAGAATAAGAGATGGGAAATGGTATCAAAAACGTTGTAAACAAAATCATAACTGTAGAGTTCCCAAGTCTTAGGAGAGAGATGAACATCCAAATCCAAAAAGCTCAAAGACCCCAAACTGATTCAACCCAAAAAGGTCCTCTCCAAGGCATACTATACTCAAACATCAAAAATCAAATCAAAGAGAGAATTCTATAAACAACAAGAAAAAAGCATCAAGTCATATATAAGAAAATCCCCGTGAGACAAACAGCAGATTTCTCAAGAGAAACCTTACAGGCAAGAAGAGAACAGAATGTTATACTCAAAAGTAGTGAAAGAAAAATAACTTCCATTCCAAAATACTATACCCAGCAAAACTATCTTCAGAAATGAAGAAGAAACAAAGTCTTTCTCAGACAAGCAAAAACTGAGACAATTCATCACCACTAAACCTACTCAACAAGAAATTCTTAAGGGAGTCCTACAACTGAAAATGAAAAGACAATGACTAACATCATGAAAACATGCTAGTATAAAACTCACTAGTAGAGCAGATAGATATACAAATGAGAAAGAAATCAAACTTTGTCACTACAGAAATCCACCAAACCACAAAGATAAACAATTAAGAGAGCAAGAAAGAAACAGAAGATCTACAGTACAACCAGAAAACAATTAACAAAATGACAGGACTAAGTCCTTCTCTACCAAGAATAACTTTGAATGTAAACAGATTACATCCCCCAATTAAGACATATAGACTGGGTAAAGGCATAAAAACTCAAAGCCCAAATATAAGCTGCCTAAACACAACTCACTTCACCCATAAAGACATACATAGTCTGAAAACGAAGTGGGGGAAAAAAAAAAAAACACTCCATGCAAAGAGAAACCAAAAATGAACAGAAGCAACTTACTTATATCAGATAAAATAAACTTTAAGTCAAAAACTGTGAAAAGTTTGTCACACTGTAAAAAGAACTGTAAAAAAAAAAAGTTTTTAAGCTGTAAAGAGACAAGGAAGTTCATTATATAATGGAAAAAAAAACCCAATTCAGCAAGAGGATTAGCAATAGTAAATATGTATGCATCAAACACCAGAGAACCAAGATATATTAAAGCAAATATAATTATTATCTAAGGGGAAAGATAGACACCAATGCAATAATAGTAGAGGATTTCAATACCCCACTCTCTGCATTAGAGAGATCACCTAGAAAGAAACATAGATTTAAACTACACTGTAGACCAAATGGACTTCACAGACACTTGTAAAACATTTCATCCAGTAGCTGGAGAATGCAGAGTACTCATTCTTCTTCTTCTTTTTTTTTTTGAGATGGAGTCTTGCTCTGGCACCCAGGCTGGAGGGCAGTGGCACAATCTCGGCTCACTGTAACCTCTGCCTCCTGGGTTCTTGTGCCTCAGCCTCTCGAGTAGCGGGGATTACTGTCACGCACCACCAAACCCAATCAATTTTTTTCTGTATTTTTAGTAGGGACAAGGTTTCACCATTTTGGCCAGGCTGCTCTCCAACTCCTGACCTCAAGTGATCTGCCCACCTTGGTCTCCCAAAGTGCTGGGATTACAGGTATGAGCCACCATGCTTGGCCAGAATATTCACTCTTTTTATCAGAACATGGAGCATTCCACAGGACAGACCATATGTTAGGCCACAAAACAAGTCTCAATAAATTTTTAAAAATCAATATATCAAGTATATTTTCTGACAACAGCAGTATAAAACTAGAAATCAGTAACAAGAAGAACTCTGAAAGGTGTACAAATACATGAAAATTAAATAACATGCTCCTGAATGACCAATGAGTCAAGGAGGAAATTAAAAAATTAACTGAAGGCCGGGTGTGGTGGCTCACACCTGTAATCCCAACACTTCAGCAGGCTGAGGCAGGAGGATCACAAGGTCAAGAGATCGAAACCATCCTGGCCATCATGGTGAAACCCTGTCTGTACTAAAAATATAAAAATTATATGGGCGTGGTGGCACACGCCTTGCTACTCGGGAGGCTGAAGCAGGAGAACTGCTTGAATCTGGGAGGTGGAGGTTGCAGTTAGCTGAGATCGTGCCACTGCACTCCAGCCTGGCTACAGAGTGAGACTCCGTCTCAAAAACACAAAACAAAAAAAAACAGAAAAATTTCTTAAAAACAAATAAATAAAAATAAAAATGCAACATACCCAAAACCTATGCAATGAATACCACAAAAGCAGAATTAAGAGTGAAAGTTTATAGCAATAAATGCCTACATCAAAAAAGTACAGAAACTTCAAATCAACAACATAATCATGTTCCCCAGGGAACTAGAAAAACAAGAACAGGCCGGGCACAGTGGCTCACACCTGTAATCTCAGCACTTTGGGAGGCCAAGGCGGGTGGATCACGAGGTCAGGAGATCGAGACTATCCTGGCTAACACCGTGAAACCCCATCTCTACTAAAAATACAAAAAATTAGCCAGGCATGGTGGCAGGTGCCTGTAGTCCTGGCTACTCAGGAGGCTGAGGCGGGAGAATGGCGTGAACCCAGGAGGCAGAGCTTGCAGTGAGCAGATCGCACCACTGCACTCCAGCCTGGGCAACAGAGCGAGACTCCGTCTCAAAAAAAAAGAAAAGAAAAACAAGAACAAACAAAGCCCAAAGTTAGTAGAGAGAACTAAAACGTAAAAATCAGTACAGAAACTTACAAAAAGATGTTGGGAGCAAGCCCCCCAAAGTCTGGCCATAAACTGGCCCCAAAACTGGCCATAAATAAAATCTCTGCAGCAATGTAACATGTCCATAATGGCCATAATGTCCAAGCTGGAAGGTTGTGGGTTTACAGGAACGAGGGCAAGGAACACCTGGCCCGCCCAGGGTGGAAAACCGCTTAAAAGCATTCTTAAGCCACAAACAAAAGCCTGAGCATCTGTGTCTTAAGGGCGTATTCCTGCTGCAATTAATTCGGCCCATCCTTTCGTTTCCCTTAAGGGGTACTTTTAGTTAATTTAATATCTATAGAAACAATGCTAATGACTGGTTTGCTGTTAATAAATATGTGGGTAAATCTCTGTTCAGGGCTCTCAGCTCTGAAGGCTGTGAGACCCCTGATTTCCCACTTCACACCTCTATATTTCTGCGTGTGTGTCTTTAATTCCTCTAGTGCCGCTGGGTTAGGGTCTCCCCTACCAAGCCTGTCTCGGCAAGTGGCGCCCATTCATGGGGGCTCGAATCCAGGTCGAAGGGTCGCCAGAGCGACGGCTGGGAACAGAAAACTAGCTGGAGGACACCCGAGTACTCTTAAAGCAATCCCTGTGGTGAGTAAGAAGGGGAGCTCTGAAGCATCAGGGTAACAATGGGATAGGTATGGGGTCTGGTTCGTTTCATCTTAGAACTTTTTCACACTGATAACAAGGAGGAACAAGAGTATAGTGAAGTAACAGAAGAGGTTACAGAGCATGTTTATTTGCCAGCTAAAGCTAAAGCGGCAAAGGAAGGACAGGTTCATCCCTACCCTTCTGCACCCCCTCATTATTTTTTGAGGAAAATGACCCCCCAGATCTTTCTTTTCCAGAGGACACTGGGTGAAAAATAGCTGCCCCAGTGACTGTTCGAGCAGCGCCTCGAGCGATGGCTCTTAGTTCTATTAGGCAGGAATTCGGCAAGCTAGACAAGAGGGTGATTTAGAGGCTTGGCAGTTCCCTGTTAGAATACATCCCCCAGATCAAGAGGGAAATATTACAGCTATATTTGAGCCTTTTCCTTTTAAATTACTTAAAGAACTAAAACAAGCAATAAGTCAATATGGACCAGGTTCTCCTTTTGTAATGGGACTGTTAAGGAATGTTACTGTTTCCAGTCGGATGATTCCTACTGACTGGGACGCTCTTACTCGAGCTTGTCTAACTCCTGCTCAGTTCTTACAATTTAAAATTTGGTGGGCAGATGAAGCTTCCATTTGGGCTGCTCGCAATGCCCAGGCCCAACCTCAAATTAATATAACTGCAGACCAACTTTTGGGGGTTGGCGGCTGGGCTGGTTTAGATGCACAACTGGTCATGCAGGATGATGCCATAGAACAACTTAGAGGTGTGCACATTAGAGCTTGGGGAAAAAAAATCACTTAATGTGGGGAACAATACCCTTCCTTTAGTGCTATAAAACAGGGACCAAGGGAACCATATGTTGATTTTATAGCTCGGTTACAGGAGTCTCTTAAAAAGATGATTGCAGATTTGGCTGCTCAGGATATAGTGTTGCAGTTATTAGCTTTCCACAATGCTAATCCCGATTGCCAGGCTGCTCTGTGACCTATCAGAGGGAAAACACATTTAGTTGATTATATCAAGGCCTGTGATGGTATCGGAGGTAATCTGCATAAAGCTACCTTGTTGGCACAGGCAATGGCAGGACTGAGAGTGGATAAAGGAAATACTCCATTTCCTGGAGCTTGTTTTAACTGTGGGAAGCATGGTCATACTAAAAAAGAATGTAGAAAAAATCAGCGAGTCAGGCCACCAGATAGGGGAAAAAAGAAAACTGTTGAGCCAGAAATATGTCCAAAATGTAAAAAAGGAAGACACTGGGCTAGTCAGTGTCACTCTAAGTTTGATAAAGAAGGGAATCCGATTTCGGGAAATGCCATGAGGGAGCCGTCTCGGGCCCTGTTCTAAACCGGGGCATTTCCAGCACAGGCCATTCCCTCACCCCTGTACAATGTCTGTCCCCTGCCACAGCAAGTAGTTCCACAGTAGATTTATGCTGCACAAAAGCTGTGAGCCTTCTGCCTGGGGAACCCCTGCAAAAGGTCCCAACAGGAGTCTGTGGACCCTTGCCAGCAGGGACTATAGGATTACTTTTAGGAAGGTCTAGTGTAAGTTTAAAAGGTGTACAAATACATACAGGAGTCATTGATTCAGATTATAATGGGTATATTCAAATTGTTATATCTACTTCTGTTCCCTGGAAAGCAGAGCCAGGAAAGCACATAGCACAGCTCCTGATTGTGCCGTATGTGGGAATGGGAAAAAGTGAAATTAAACGAACAGGAGGATTTGGAAGCACAAATAAACAAGGCAAAGCAGCTTACTGGGTAAATCAAATTACTGATAAATGTCCTACCTGTGAAATAACTATTGAAGGAAAGAAATGTAAAGGTTTGGTAGATACAGGAGCAGACATTTCAATCATTTCTCTACAGTACTGGCCATCCACGTGGCCAATTCAACCTGCTCAATTTAACATAGTTGAAGTTGGTAAAGTCACTGAAGTATATCAAAGTAGTTATATTTTGCATTGTGAGGGGCCCGATGGACAACCTGGGACTATTCAAGCAATTATAACTTCTGTACCTATAAACTGATGGGGAAGAGATTTATTACAACAATGGGGAGCACAAGTTCTAATTCCAGAACAATTATATAGCCCTCAAAGTCAATATACAATGCATGAAATGAGGTATGTCCCTGGTACGGGACTAGAAAAAAAAATTGCAAGGTTTGAAAGAACCACTTCAAGTGGAAAAAACAAAGTTCCCGCCAAACATTAGGGAAAAATTTTTGATGGCAGCCATTGTTAAGCCTCCAGAACCTATACCTTTCAAATGGTTAACAGATACCCAATTTGGATAGAACAATGGCTGCTAAGTAAAGAGAAACTGGAGGCTTTAGAGAAATTAGTTGCTGAACAATTAGAAAATGGGCACATAGCTCCAACATTTTCTTCTTGGAATTCTCCAATTTTCGTAATTAAGAAAAAATCAGGAAAATGGAAAATGTTCACTGACTTAAGAGCCACCAATTCAGTTATACAACCTATGGGAGCATTACAGCCAGGATTGCCTTCTCCTGCTATAATTCCAAAAAACTGGCCTGATTCCTGCAAGAAGTAGCTCACCATGACAAAGCTGCCCTTGCTTTTATCTCTTTGCAAATCTAAGAAGGGAGACATGTTGGGAGCAACCCCCCAAAGTCTGGCCATAAACTGGCCCCAAAACTGGCCATAAATAAAATCTCTGCAGCAATGTAACATGTCCATAATGGCCATAAAGTCCAAGCTGGAAGGTTGTGAGTTTATGGGAATGAGGACAAGGAATACCTGGCCCGCCCAGGGCAGAAAACTGCTTAAAGGCATTCTTAAGCCACAAACAAAAGCCTGAGCATCTGTGTCTTAAGGGTGTGTTCCTGCTGCAATTAATTTGGCCCATCCCTTCATTTCCCTTAAGGGATACTTTTAGTTAATTTAATATCTATAGAAACAATGCTAATGACTGGTTTGCTGTTAATAAATATGTGGGTAAATCTCTGTTCAGGGCTCTCAGCTCTGAAGGTTGTGAGAAATCAGGGGATTTCCCACTTCACACTTCTATATTTCTGTGTGTGTGTCTCTAATCCCTCTAGTGCCGCTGGGTTAGGGTCTCCCCAACTGAGCTGGTCTCGGCAAAAAGGAGACTAAAAAACTATAAAATATCAACAAAACAAAATGTTGGTTTTTTGAAAAAACAAAATTGACAAAACATTAGCTAGACTAACTAAAAGTGAGAAGACCCAAATAAATAAAATCAAAAATGAAAAAGCAGACATTACAGCTGATGCCACAGAAATACTAAAGATCATTAGAGACTATTATGAGCAACTGTAGGACAACAAATAGGAAAACCTAGAGAAAATGGATAAATTGCTAAACACACAAAACCTATCAAGACTGAACCAAACAGAAGGAAATACAAAACCTGAACAGATCAATAATGAGTAACAAGACTGCATCATCAATAAAAAGTCTCCCAAGAAAAAAAGCCCAGGACCAGATGGCTTCACTGCTGAATTCTACCAAACTTTTAAAAAAGAACTAATACTAATTCTTCTCAAACTATTCCAAAAAATTGAAAGGGAGAGGATTCTTCCAAACTCTACGAGGCCAGCATTACCCTGACACCAAAACCAGACAGGGACACAACAAAAAAAAGAGCACTATGGCCAGTATCCCTAATAAATACAGATGCAAAAACCCTCAACAAAAACACCAGCAAACCAAATCCAGCAACACGTTAAAAAGATTATTCACCATGATCAAGTTAGATTTATCACAGGTATGCAAGGATGGTTCAATATATGCAAATCAATAAATGTGATACATCGTATCAACTGAATGAAGAAAAAACGATAATTTCAATACATGCAGAAAAAGCGTCTGACAAAAATTCAGCTTTCCTTCATGACAAAAACTTTAAAAAAAATTAGGTATAAAAGAAACATACCTCAATACAATGAATACCATATATGACAAAACCACAACTAACATCATACTGAACAAAAAAACATTGAAAGCTTTTCCCCTAAGAACTAGAACAATACAAGGATGTTCACCCTTGTCAATCTTATTCAACACAGCACTGGAAATCTCAGCCAAAGCAATTAGGCATGAGAGAGAAATAAATGGCTTCAAAATAAAAAAGGAGAAAGTCAAAACTGTCCACTTGCAGATGACATTATCTTATATATAGAAAAACCTAAAGATCCCACCAAAAAGCTCTTAGAACTTTTAATTCATTAAAGTTTCAGGATAAAAAAACTCAACATACAAAAATCAGTAGCATTTCTACATACTTAAACTAACTGGAAAAGAAAGAAATCTTCTTTATTATAATTATAAAAATTAAAATACCTATGAATAAATTTAACAAAGGAGGTAAAAGATCTCTAAAAGGAAAACTATAAAATACTGATTAAAGAAATTGAAGACACCAAAAAATGAAAAGAAATCTCATGCTTATGGATTGGGAGATTAATATTGTTAACATGACCATACTACCAAAAGTGATCTACAGTCAATGCAATTTCTACCATATTACCAATGAATTTCTTCACAGAAATTGAAAAAAAAAATCTTAAAATTTGCATGGAGTCACAAGACTCCAAAGAGTCAAAGCAATCCTGTGTAAAAAGAACAAAGTTGGAGCTATCTATCACACTATCTGACTTCAAAATATGCTACAAAGCTGTAGTAACCAAAACACCATAGTACTGGCATAAAAACACATACACCCACAAATGAAACAGAAGAGAGAAGTCAAAAATAATTCCACATATTTACAGATAACTGATTTTCAACAAAAGCACCAAGAAAATACATTGGGGAAAGGACAGCCTCTTCAATAAATGATTATGGGAAAACTGCATATCCAAATGCAGAAGAATAAAACTAGATCCATCTCTCATCATATATAAAAATCAAAAACTTAAGTATGAGACCCCAAACTATGAAACTACTACAGGAAAACACAAGGAAAAGACTTCAGGACATTGCCCTAGGGGAAGATTTTACGGGTGAGACCTCAATAACACAGGCAACAAGTTGGGCATGGTGGCACGTGCCTATAGTCTCAGCTACTTGGGAAGCTGAGGCAAGAGGATCACCTGAGTCCAGAAATTTTGTGCTGTAGATGCTGTAGTGCGCTACTGCAATTGGGCATTCACATTAAGTTTCGCATCAGGATAATGACCTCCCAAGAGTAGAGGACCACCAGAATGCCTAAGGAGGGGTGACCTGACCCAGGTCAGAAATAGAGT
Source organism: Homo sapiens (assembly GCF_000001405.40). Lineage (NCBI taxonomy): Eukaryota > Metazoa > Chordata > Mammalia > Primates > Hominidae > Homo > Homo sapiens. The sequence goes on from NC_000012.12 coordinate 94,361,436, forward strand.
GGGTCAAAACTCTACGCTGAACAATAGTAGCATTGCACCTGTGAATACCCACTGCAATCCAGCCTGGGCAACACAGCAAAATCCCATCCCTTATATAAATACAAAAACAAAATAAATGAAACAACTATAACAACAGAAAACGCAGGCAACAAAAGCAAACATAGATAAATGAGATCGTATCAAACCAAGTTTCTGCACAACAAGGAAACAATCAACAGAGTGAAGAGACAACCTATACAATGGGAGAAAATATTAATACCTGCAAACTAATTTTTTTTTTTTTGAGACAGAGTTTCGCTCTTTTTGCCCAGGCTGGGGTGCAATGGCATGGTCTCGGCTCACCACAACCTCCGCCTCCTGAGTTCAAGCAATTCTCCTGCCTCAGCCTCCAGTGTAGCTGGGATTACTGGCGCACACTACCAGGCCCAGCTAATTTTGTATTTTTAGTAGAGGCAGGGTTTCACCATGTTGGTCAGGCTGGTCTTGTACTCCTGACCTCAGGTGATCCACCCGCCTTGGCCTCTCAAAGTGCTGGGATTACAGGTGTGAACCATCATACCTGGCCCACCTGCAAACTATTTATCTGACAAGGGATTAAAATTTAGAATAAACAAGAAACTCAAACAACTGCAAAAAGCCCCAAGTAATTTCATTTAAAAATGGGCAAATGATCTGAATGGATCATTCATGAAAAATTGTTCAACATAACTATTTATCAGGGAAATGCAAATCAAACCACAATGAGATTTCATCTCACCAGCTAGAATGCCTGTCAAAAAGACAAAACAAATGTTGTCAAGAATGAGGAGAAAAGGGACTCTAATACACTGTTAGTGGGGATGTAAATTAGTATAGCCATTAAGAAAAATAGTATGGAAGCTCTACAAAAAAAACTAACAACAGGCCAAGTGCGGTGGCTCACGCTTATAATCTCAGTACTTTGGGAGGCCAAGGCAGGTGGATCACTTGAGGTCAAGAGTTGGAGACCAGCCTGGCCAACACAGTGAAACCCCGTCTCTACTAAAAATAACAGTCAATCAATTAATCAATAAATTAGCCAGGCATGGTGGCACACACCTGTAATCCAGCTGCTCAGGAGGCTGAGGCAAGAGAATCACTTGAACCTGGGAGGCAGAGGTTACAGTGAGCCGAGATCACACCACTGCACTCCAGCCTAGGTGACAGAGTGAGACCCTGTCTCAAAAAAAACTGAAACAGAACTACCACAGGACCCAGAAATTCCACAACTGGGTATATACCCAAAGCAAAGGAAATTAGTATGTCAAAGTGATATCTGCACTCCTATGTTTACTGTAGAACTATTCACAGTAAGCAAGATATGGAATCAACCTACGTGCCCATCAACGGATGGATAAAGAAAATGTGGCATATATAAACAATGGAATACTATTCAGCCATAAAAAAGGATGAAATCCTGTCATTCATGGCAACATGGACAAGTATGGAGGACAATTGTTAATTAAATAAGTCAGGCACACAAAGATATATACTGCATGTTCTCACTCACATGTGTAAGCTAAAAAGTTTATTTCATAGAACTAGAGAGTAGAATAGTGGTTACTAGAGGCTGGAAGGGTAGTGAGGAGGGAAGACAGAGGTTGGTTAACAAATACAAAATTACTATTGGATAGGAAGAATAATTTCTGGTGTTCTACAGCACTACAGACTGACTACAGTTAGCACTAATTTATTGTATATTTGAGCTAGAAGAGACGATTTTGAATGTTCCCAAATCAAAGAACATATGAAATGTTTGAGGTGATTGAATATGCTAATTACCCTGATTTGATCATTACACATTGTATACGTGAATCAAAATATCACACTGTACCCTGTAAACATGTACAATTGTGTGTCAATTAAGTTTTTTAAAAACATGAAATAAGTGCTGGTGAAGATATGGAGAAATTAGAAGTCTTTTGCATTTTTGGTGGGAATTTAAAATGGTGCAGCCACTGAAGAAAATAGAATGGCAGTTCCTCAAAAAATTAAAAACAGAATTACAATATAAGCCAGTAATTCTTCTTCTGGATATACACCCAAAATAACTGAAACCAAGGTCGTAAGGAGATGTTTGTACACACATGTTCATAACAGCATTATTAATAGCTAAAATGTGGAAGAAATCCAGGTGTCCATAAACAAATCGATAAATATAGTATATATGTAGAACTGAAATATTATTAAGCCTTAGAAAGTAATGAACATTAGGGCAGGTGCGGTGGCTCACGCTTGTAATCTCAGCACTTTGGGAGGCTGAGGTGGGCAAATCACCTGAGGTCATGAGTTCGAGACCAGCCTGGCCAACATGGTGAAACGGCATCTCTACAAAAATACAAAAATTAGCCAGGTATGGTAGCAGGCGCCTTTAATCCCAGCTACTTGGGAGACTAAGGCAGGAGAATGGCTTGAACCTGGGAGACAGAGGTTGCAGTGAGCTGAGATCATGCCACTGCACTCCAGCCTGGGCAACAGAGTGAGACGCTGTCTCAAAAAAAAAAAAAAAAAAGTAATTACATCATGCTAAGTAAAATAACCCAGTCAAAAAAAAAAGACAAATACTGTTTGATTCCACTTACAAAGGTATGTAGAGCAGTCAAAAATCCTAAAAGACAGAAAGTGAAATGGTGATTACCAGGGTTTGGGAGGATGGGCTAAAGGGGAGTTATTGTTTAATGGGTACAGAGTTTGTTTTACAAGCTAAAAAGAACTCTGGAGATAGATGGTAATGATGGTTCCACAATATGAATGTATTCAATACCACTGAATTGTACACTTAAAAATAGTTAAGATGGTAGATTTTATTTTTACATGTATTTTAACAATTTTCAAATATTGGAAAAAAATTAATGGAATCCCAATAAAACTGCAAACAAACTTTTTAATGGAGCTAGACATTAATATTCAAGTTGATATGAAAAAACAAACATATAATTATAGCTAGGAAAATACTGAGAGAAAAACTATAAGGACTGAGTACCACAACCAGACATTAAAGCATACTATAAAGCCTCTATAATTAAAGTATCATAATAATGGTACAGGCGCCTAAAGTTCCAACTACTTGGGAGGCTGAGGCAGGAGGATTGCTTGAGCTCAGGAGTTCAGTGTTACAGTGAGCCATGATCGCTCACTCCAGCCTGGGCAACAAAGAAAGACTCTGTCTCTAAATAAAAATTAAAACAAAAAAAATTTTTTTAATGTAAAATGGCACATGAACAGACAACCAGATGAGTGAAACAGAATAGAAAGTCCAGAAATATACCCAAGTATATATGGAAATTTAAAATACAATAAAAGCATCATCATGAATCACTGGGGCAAAGACAGGTTTTTAATAAAAGTGTGGGACAATCAATTAGCCATTTAGAAAAAACTGATCAAATCCATACCTCACAGCATACAAAAGAATACACTTCAAATAGATCAGAGAACTAAATGTAAAAAATGAAACCATACAAGCAAAAAGAAGTGAATTCCTCTTTAACCTCAGTTCAGGGAGAGAGTACTAACTCTGACTTAATACCCAGAGGCAATAACAGATTAAATTTGATTACATAATAAAAATTTTTGCATGGCAAAAAAATAACGGAAGCAAAATCAAAGGACTGCTGACACACACTGGCAGAAAATATCTGCAGCATAATCCTAATATATAAAGAACTCTTAAAAAGTAAGGTAATTTAAAAAAAATTTTTAAGCAAGGGAAAAAAGGCCAAAAAAACCAAGTATAATAGGGAAAGACAAGAACAAACAATACATACAAAAATGATATAAAAATGGCCCTTAAACACATGGAACATTGTTCAATCTCATTTGTAATATGAGAAATGCAAATTAAACTACACTAAGATGCAAAGTGATATAATTCTCTTGGATGGAAATTTGGCAATATCTAACAAAACTGCGTATGATTTACCTTTTGACCCACCTATTTACTTCAGGAATTCACCCTGAAGATACACCTCCAGAAAATGAAAATATTTACATGTACAACATTATTGATTAGTTGTAATCACAAAATACTGGAGGCCAGGTGCAGTGGCTCAACACCTATAATCCCAGTACTCTGGGAGGCCGAGGTGGGCAGATCACCCGAAGCCAGAAGTTTGACAGCAGCCTGGCCAACATGGTGAAACCCCACCCCTACTAAAAATACAAAATTTAGCCAGTTGTGGTGACATACACCTGTAATCTCAGCTACTCAGGAGGCAGGAGAATCACTTGAATCCCAGAGGCAGAGGCGGAGGCTGCAGTGAGCCAAGATCGCCCCACTGCCCTCCAGCCTGGGCAACAGAGCAAGACTGTGTTTGAAAAAAAAAAAAAAAAAAAGACAAAATATTGGAAATTAAATGAACATAGGAGACTATTTCACTAAACACTGATAGATACACATAGTGGAGTGCTATGCAGCCATAAAAAAGAATGAGGCTAATCCCTATGAACTAATCTGAAGCAGTTTCCAGGGTGCACTGATAAGAAAGAAGGAAAAATACAATGACATCTGGTATTTGTGAGGAACAAAAACAAACAAACAAAAAATGTAGGAAGTCTAAACCAGAAACTAATGAGATTAATCTCACATGGGGCAGGATAGATGAGAAAAGATGAGGGAAATGGGAACAGGGTAGAGGAGATGTGGGAAGTGGCATTTTTTTGAAGGTTTTGTTTTTTTGTTTTTGTTTTTTTTTGGTGTATTATAGTTCTGTCCTTTAGAACCATGTAGACATTCCAAATGCCCAACATATTAATAAATAAATAAACAAGGATGAGGTATGGACTCAAAACAGAATAGAATAGAAAGAATAAACCTGCTTTATAAGTGAATAACAAACCACATTAAAGGAGAATTTGGTGAGAAAAATCCTAAGTAACTTTGGAAAATAATATTTTGACTATATACTCTAAGGCTAAAGATAAAAACAACTATACACAAATATTACATGTAAGTTAATAGGTTTGTTTTTCATTGAGTGATGAGTTAGCAATTCTAAAACAACTTTATATTTTAGGACTGAGGAAATAAGTAAATATGGTAGGAATAATGAATGCCAGTTTTCTCACTGTCAAAAGAATTGCAAGTATGAAAAGAGGAAGACCAGAATGAACTCCACGGTGCTGGAACAGAACTGGAAATATCAATGTAAACTCAAGATTATTAATATAGAGAAAAAATAAAGAAATAGATGTAAATGTGTAATTTTCAGTTCACTGGGAGGACCTAGAAGCAATGACTCTCTAGTACCAATAAGCATACCTAGAGTTGAGATTTTGGTTTCTAAATGCCATTCTCCAATTAAAAAGGAATCAAAGCACCTCAGATAAATGTTTAATTCCAGGGCTGGGGCAGGGAAAGTGAAAGAGAATCACAGAACATCCTGTAATGACAGAAAAAAGTCACAATAAATGGTGGGATTATGTCAAAAGGACATGGGATTCAACTTGAAAGATCTTCCAATAGCCAAATCTGAGAAAAGTTAAGCAACAAAAAAAATAACAAAATCTTATAATCTATAGAAAAAATATGAATGTATAAATCCATAATGATATAAATATATTTAGAGGAGAAGGGAAAGCACTTACTTTCAGGAGAATTCCAACTAATAAATGAGGAAGGATCATAGAAATGGAAAGATCACCATTTGGCAAATGCTAGAGTTATAACTGTTTCAGATAAGAATTATCAATGGATACTAAAATTAATGGAAGATTATATAAAGGCAAAATATGAGAATATTTACACAGACTTGAAATATCATATGGGCAACCACAGATAATTATATATTACAAAGGGAAAAAATAGTAATTTTATAGGGGAAAAATGTGGCAGATACCACCTTAACCAAGTGATCAAGGTTAAAATCACCAGTTAAGGGGCCAAATCATGGAAATTCACTGAGGACACATGACTTTGATGTTTTGCTAAAAATGCCTAACCTGAATTTAACCATGAAAAATGCAATACAAAACCAAAATGAGAGAGGATATACAAAATACTGACAAGTATTTGTCAAAGTGTTCATAAGTTCCAGATTAAAAGTAACTAAATGCAACATGTGATCCTGAATTGGGTTTTAGACCAGAAGAAAGACATCAGTGGGACAACTGGTAAAATTTAAGTACAGTTAATAGATTTTATAATAGTAATGCCTGATTTCCTGATTATATTCATGTTAATTTCTTAATCTTGATTATTATAATATGGTTACATAGGTATTTGTATTTGGGAGATCAGGGTGAAGAGCACATGGGAATTCTTTGTACTAGTTGTACATCATTTTGTTAACTCTGACCTTATTTCAACATGAAAAACTTTAAATATATATGTATATATAACCTAACACTCTGAAGCTCCTTCCTGGTGATCTCTTCTGCCATCTGTGAAGCCCGCAATTTCTCTTCATACTGATCCTTTTCAGATTGCCTCCAGACATCATGTTCCACTTTCATTTTCTCCAAATCTGCTAATCTGTTCTCGAGTTCTAACCTAAAACAAGAGATCATAATTATGTTACAAGAACTATAATAAAGATGATATGACAGCAAAATGTTTTCATTTGCAAGGATATTTAAGTCAAACTAAGGTAATTAAGTACTTACTTTTCATCTTGTAATACCACAAGTTTTTGATAACCTTCTTCTTTGGCAGCTTGTACTTTACGTATTAATTCACGATCCTTTTCTACTAAGAGCACTTTGTGATGTTCAACAGCTGCTTTGAGAATTTCATTGTCTGACTGTAATCCTAGTGTTTTTCAAGGAGAAAAGTGTACTATATTCAATGTTATTAAGATGAAAAATCACATTTAACAGCAAGCATTCATAAGCTGGTAAGACAAATGAATGTAGAAAGTCTCTACAAATATATATTCTCAACAATACTCACATCATTAATAAACACTCTTAAAATAAGAATGAAACAGGCTAAAACTCAGAGCAAATTTTCCTGTCACTGTTTATTTAGTGCATACACATATAAAAACTTTAATAAAAGCTGTATACATTTACTCATTCGAACATTGAGAGTTGAGATCAAACTGGATGATAACCAGAGGTTTACTTACTTCACCTCTAAAGAGGTTCTGTGACCTAAGCCTCATAGAAAAAGCTGGCTGATAGCAGAGTGAAATAAATCACAAAACCCTTCAAAACCTATTGATTCTAGCAGAATTGCTAGATCTCTAGCAGAAGTATAAATAACATGGACACTTTCAAGTTTGTACAATGAATTCAGAAATCTTTGCAATGAAATGGCAAATACTTTGCAGATGGAATAACTAAAGCAAATTCACATCTAACTCAAAGTGAAAACAAAATGCAGCATTCTTTAAGTTCCTAAAAAAATTTACTTCTTAACTCTATGGAAATCCATGAGTCAATAAATAGAAATTAACAATTGGAAAAAATCATTCATAGCAGCCAGACACGGTGTTAGCACCTGTAGTCCCAGCTACTGAGGAGGCTTAGGCAGGAGGACCATTTGAGCCCAGGAGTTCAAGGCTAGCCTGGGCAACATGGTGAGACCCCATTTCAAAACATGAAAGGCATTCATCATAAACTCTGTCTGAAATGAGTTCAACTACAGATCAACTCAAGCATAGCTACAGGCCAAAGGTAAGCTTATTTAAATACTTCAAGTTAGAAACAACATAAATAATGAGGAAATCTGATGAGACAGATGTTCCAAGATTAAACTGGAACTTAAAAATAAGCCTACTCGGCTGGGCGTGGCTCATGCCTGTAATCCCAGTACTTTGGGAGGCCGAGGCAGGCAGATCACGAGGTCAGGAGATCAAGACCATCCTGGCTAACACGGTGAAACGCTGTCTCTACTTAAAAATACAAAAAAATAGCCAGCCTGGTGGTGGGCGCCTGTAGTCCCAGCTATTTGGGAGGCTGAGGCAGGAGAATGGCGTGAACCTGGGAGGCAGAGCTTCCAGTGAGCCGAGATCACGCCACTGCACTCCAGCCAGGGGGACAGAGCGAGACTCCATCTCAAAAATAAAAAATAAAAATAAAAAATAAATAAATAAGCCTACTCTGCACTAGGCTACAATGAACTGGCCTGAGGTCTACATAAAAAAATCTTTTTAATTGAAAAAAATTAAGCCTGGAACCCAATTATCTTCCTCACATTCTCCAGACTTAAAATGTCCTGGGACTAATAACTACACCATAAATAGATTTAAAATTTATAAATCAGGAAGTATGGCATCCCATTTACAAAATTCATTTATGTATCCAATAACTATGATAAAAACATAAGACTGATTTTTTTAAAGTTATTAAATCTTACAATGAACAAAACACTCAACATATAATAAACATTTCATATGTACTCCAAAATTAAAACTAAATTAAGTTGAAAATTTGGAAATAAAAATTCAGATTCAACTATTTTAATAATTTGAGTTCATATCTGAAAATAAGCAGCAGCAGCAGCAGCAAGGGAAATCACATATTACCATCCAGTTCACTTTGAATCTTATTCCTTTCTCTTTCTAGCTCACTCTTAGCTCTTGCTGTCTCCAGTTTGATGTCTGTTATTTCCAGTTTGTTTGAATGTTTAAGTTCTTTTACCTGTTGATAATTAAAAACTGAAATTACTATTGGTCATTTTCTTGCCATTCAATACTTACCCCAAAACATAAGTGGAAACAAGAAAACGCTCTGGTAGTAAAGTAGAGTCTAAGTATCTTCCAAGAAGAAAGAAGTGTCAGTGCCTGCAACAGTACTTCAAGTAAGGAGACATTAAGAAAATACTGTTCTTTCCTAACAGAACAGAGGCATTTCTTTACGAATATCTGTGTATGGTCCTTTGGCTTAATCTTGCCTTAAAGACTTAATTACAAGTATCTAAAATCAACTACTCAATGATTGGAAAATCTGCAGGGGAAAAAACCCTGAAACTTTTAAAATTTGTTAATATTTCTAAAAGACAGGGTCTTGCTATGTCATCCAGGCTGGAGTGCAGTGGCACGATCATAGCTCATTTCAACTTCAAACTCCTGGGCTCAAGTGATCCTCTCTCCTCAGCATTCCAAGTAGCTGTCAGGACTATAGGTGCACACCACCACACTCAGATAATTTTTCAATTTTTTTGTAGCAATAGGGTCTTGCTATGTTGACCAGGCTGGTCTCAAACTCCTGGCCTCAAGCAATCCACCTGCTTTGGCCTCCTAAAGTGCTAGGATTATAGTTGTAATCCACTGCACTTGGCCTGAAACCTTCCTTTTAAAAAGTGTCCACAGCTGGATACAGTAACTTGCACCTAAAATCCCAGCTACTCAAGAGGCTGTGGCAGAAGGAAGTGTTTGAGGCCTGGTGTTGGAGACCAGCCTGGGCAACATAGTGAGATCCTTTCTCTAAAAAAAAATTTAAAAATTAGCCAGACATGACATGCCCCTTAGTCCCAGCCACTGGGGAGACTGAGGTAAGAGGATCACTTGAGTCTAGGGGTTTGAGGCTGCAGTGCTATGATTGTGCCAATGTATTCCAGCCTGGGCAACAGAGTGAGACCTTGTCTCTAAAAAAAAATTAAAATTAAATTTAAGAATAAAAAATGTGCTGGGGACAAAGAAGGTATTCTAGGTAGAAGGAACAGCATACAAAATGTTATTATATGTATAACATCACATGGTCTGCTCTTAAAACAAGCTAAGCATTACATGTAGAGCACCGGAAGATGTGAAATCTGTGGAGGAATGGCAGGGAATAAACTTTATATACCATACAAAAGGGTTGTTTTTCAGGTTAGCTGTTGAAGGTGGCACAATTAACTAATGCGAATCTGTTGGCTTAAGAAACTGAAGGTAAATAAATCAATTAAGAGGCAAGAAATGAATAAACGGAGGGGGGAAGGAAGAATCAATTGAATCTGGTGACAAAATAGTGTAATGTGTATAGACTGTGTCTGTGTGCGCATGTGCACAAGTATTAGGTAGGGGATTGGGGGCAGGAACAAGTATAAATCATATAAATTCATTTTCCATAGCCCTTCTCTTTGGTAAGGAGCTTCTAAAATTAGATATAGTCATATAATAAGGATTTAATCAATACAAACACAAAGGTTAGATTAACCCATTTTCTGATATATTATCCAAATATATAAAAGTATGGAATCAGAGTAGGAAACTACAAATACATACACATCAAATACAGAAAATGTGAGATGGCAGAAACAGGAAAATAAAAGACAATTTACTTAAGAGTCCAATAAAACCCCATAAATACTGGAGTTGGGAGTCAGACACAAATCAAAAAAAGGTCCTAGAGCCAAAGAGGGCAAGGATAAGAAATAGAAGTGTCTTATTGGAAGATATTCCATCAACAAAAGGTCCTGAAAACGTTTCAAGGAATAGTTTCATGCAAAATCCTCATCCAAAGGAAATAAACAGAAAAGTGAGTACTGCCTTATGTACTGGTAACTACAATAAGACATCCCTCCAAATTAACTCGTAGATTTTTAAATGACCGTACATAAAATGGTGACCCTGTGCTGACATCAGTTTTGCATTTTTATTTATTTATTTTCTGAGACAGAGTCTCGCTCTGTCGCCCAGGCTGGAGTACAGTGGCTTAATCTCAGCTTACTGCAACCTCTGTCTCCTGGGTTCAAGCAAATTCTCTGCCTCAGCCTCCTGAGTAGCTAGGATTACAGGCATGCACCACCACACCTGGCTAAATTTTGTATTTTTAGTAGAGATGGGGTTTCACCATCTTGGCCAGGCTGGTCTTGAACTCCTGACCTCGTGATCCATCCGCCTCGGCCTTCCAAAGTGCTGGGATTACAGGCGTTAAGCCACCACACCTGGCCTGTGGTTTTAATTTCCTTTTGGAAGTTATTTTCTATAAAAGCAAGTTTTATAAAATGATGTTTACATGACAACAGCTGATAATTTGTTTTAATACTTAAACTTTCTGTAGATTGGATTTTACTACATTATAATTTCATGGACAGATAGAATTTAAATTATAAATACTTTAAAATTTTGAAGAAATATGATTACAAAGAAAATCCAATCACTATGACAAATGTAATTATAACCTGCTATTATATACTAACTGTAAAAGGTTAAGAATGACACAGCATTTCATTAACAAACATACTATAGCTGCATGAGGTGGAAAATTAGAGCCATCTTATTTCATAGGAAGTTGATTCATCTCATGGTAAAAGATCTACAAAAACTTATTTCTTATTCATTTCACCCTGAAATTTACTGAAATGAGACGACATTTTTAACTAAACTACAATTATTGAAACTGAAAGAACACCGAATAGGAAGTCAAGCAACAAGTGAGGTCTGTCTTCAGGCCTACTTTTGCTGTTAAACCAGTGGTATATGCTCAAGCAATTTACCTGTCCTCTCTGCATTCAAATGTACTCATTTATGGATCTAAAGTTTTTCTTTATTGCCTTATTTCTATTATCCTAACATCACTGATGCATCACTTATATGAACACTGTTAATTTCCTAAAAATATACTAAAAGGAATTTTACTTAACGTATGAAAATGTATTACCCAGTAATGACAAATAATAGCACTTTTCTATGAGTAATCTGAACCAAATTCCAAATGTTACAGTAAAGTTTCTTTCTGCCCCTAGATCCTTGGTTCTTAATCTTCTTTGTGATCAAGTCCCAAATCCTAGGAAAATTAGGGATTTTTTTTTTAAATAAAATGCTCATGTTAAAATGTTGCATAAAATTTCAAGCAATTCATGGTCTCCTAAAGCTCCACTGGACCAAGTCACCCTGTTCTTCACAGAATGTTTGCCATATAGATTCTGGCCTTTATGTTGTGAATTTGCTTTATGTTTTGACACAATGGAAGTATTCAGATATTACTAACAAAACTTTAATAAATGTCAAAACTGGCAAAACTGGGCATTTTACAGGGGGTCAGTATCTGTTAAAGTACACATACTCACAGAAAGACACACAAGAGCACAGCATAAATAAGCAAGAAATGGAAATATAATTGACAATATGTATTACCTAAGAAGCTCTGGATACAGATTCCAAAGAGATGGTACTTAAATCTTGATCTTTTTCAAAGTTCTGAGATGTAATTACCCAATTAATTTAGGTAAATAAGGACAACTCTGTTGGGTGGCTTTCTTAAAACTACCTTTTATTGGCATTCTGAAAATGAAAAACCTTATGAGGGAACTAGAAGAATTTACCTCACTGAATGTGAAATCTCTTTAAGGTCATCATTTTCAGGCCATCTTTGGTAATACCTTTTAATCCAAGACACTGATACTCACACTGACATAACTTTGTTCTAAAATCTGACAAACATTTATGAATTTGAGTAACTAAGACAAACACACCCCAGGTGTTCCTTTGCACTGCAAACAACCATTTGCTAGAATTGCAAAATGTTGATGAAAACTTCAAGTTGCAAAGAAAACTGTGGCAGTCATGTTTGAAATATTATTTTAAAATCTACCCTTCCAATGGAATCTTTACATACAAGACTTCAAATGAAACTTGGTTTGTTTAAAGTTGAAGGATGGTATTTAATACTCCATTTATATGCAAAATAAGGCAAGTGTGCCTTTAAAAAGACAGGCAACTCTTAGCAATGTGTATTAATAAACAAGCACAGAGAAATAAATACTATACTAGATTGCTGTTCTTTCTTCAGCGGAGTAGGAGAAATCACCTAGGCTCTAACTCTAAGAGGAAAGAGCAATAGGGAAGAGTATATATATATGGAAAAAAAGAAGAAAAATCAGGGTCAGCACACAGGTGAGCTAGGGAGCTCAGGTAAAATGTACTGCATGAAAAGTATTATACTTGGTGGCCCCCCCAAGAGAGAAGCCACAGCAGAAGCCAGCACATCCCATGTCCTATTGCGACATCTGTGGTTCCAATTATTCCAGCAGTGTAGTCTGGCTACTCAGGTCAAGAACAATGTGCTGCAAATACTACGTACTCAATATTATTTCACAAAATTGAAAATAATTTATACTGGAATTGGAAGAAAAGCATGGAAACTCCCCATATCCTGAATTTACTTGTGTTTTGTATCTATTTTTTTGTATACTCTATAGTTATAAGCTTTCAATGTGTATCTGTTGAATATATAATCTACTTACAGTTAATCAGGAGGCAATCAAATTATTTCCTAGTAGTTCTTACACAGTCTTAGTAGGCTGGAAGGGTTCTTACAGATATAAGGAAATTGGATCCTAATGATATTAGGTAACTTGCCTTAGGTTACACATAGTTATTGAGACAGTGAGACACAGACTAGTCAATGGACTAAAAATTCTGTATTCTTTATGTTACAATATTTTCTTATTTAAGGATATCACCAGTGTATAATCACTGCTATTATCATTTTCATCATCAGCTACATTTAATTTTTGCCACAACTCTGTAATGTAGGTATTAGTCCCATTGCATAGACAAAGGCACTTAAGTTTCAGAGAGACAGTGAACTGCCCAAGGTCACACAGCTTTTTTTAGTAATGAAAAAATCAGAATTTGAATCCAGTCTGTTAAGGAGAATATAAATGTAGATCATGCTGCTACTACTAATTTATTCATTGAAGAAATATTTGAGTACCTACTATGTGCCGGCACCATTCTAGAAGCTGGAAAAGCAGTAGTGATGAAAACAATGTCCCTGCTCTCTTGGAGCTTACATTGGGTTGAGGGGAAGGTGGTGGGAAAGAAAAGGAGAGACCAAAAAATAAAAACCAAATAACTATATCAGATAGTATTAAGAGCTATGAAGCAGGTAAGGAAGACAGAGAGAAAGACAGAGGAAGAAGGAAGATGCTGTTTTACAATGTGAAGACAAGGAAAGCCTCCCTGGTTAGGCAACATCTAGGTGGTGAAGAAGCAAGTTATGTGGATACGTGAGGGAAGACTGAGCCAAACTCAGACAAGTGCAGAAACCCTGAGCAAGATGTGAGTTTGCTCAAAGAGTGAGAAGGCCAAAGGGAGCAAAGTGAACAGGAGGAAAAATACAGGTCATGGCTGTGAAAAGACTGCAGGATCCAGATCATACAGAGCTCTGAATGGGTAGAAAGCAGAAAGACCAGTTAGCAACCTAGCACAGAAATGGAGCCTAGAAAAATCATGGCTTGGACTGGAATAGTCACAGTGGATGTCATAAGAATTGATCAGATTCTGCATGTATTTGGAAGGTAGAATGATAAAGGATTAAAAATATTTCAATACAGAGAACTAAACACAAAATTTGTCACTGTACAGTATCAAGCATTCTAAAGAATGAAATAGAGGCATAAGATAACATACTCTACTGATCAATGTATTTATTTCTTAGAAGGCAGAATGATATAATAAAACATTTCAGTATAAAGAAATCAATTATTAAAAATAAAATTTATCATTATATACTAACAAACATTCTAAAGAATGAAACAGAAACATAAAACAACTTACTTTACTGGACAATGTATTTATTTCTCGTTCAGCTTTATGCAATTTATTAATTAAAAAGGTATTTTGTTCACTGCTTGATTGTAGCTCTTTTTCCAAACGTTCTGCCCGTAAATTAGCTGATTGTTTTTCAGCCTTTCATACAAACAAAATAGTTTAAAATTCATCATTTTTCAAGTATTTCAAAATCAAATAAGCACTATTTAAAATACATTTATAATTATACTAAAATTATTCAAAACCTCAACTTAACATATACCAATGTAACAAAAATTTTCTCAAACTAATTGGCAGAATTCAAACGAAAGATAGTGTTCCAGGAAATATGCAACAAAGGCATCTAGACAAACAACATATGAATGACCATCAATAAAATAAAGTTTATACACTTCTCTCACGACAGAAAGTACCTAAGGCATTCATTTGATGTCTATTTACTCTTAACACTGACTTATTTCAAACATTTTGGAAGTTTCCAGTCTATAACAGATAAGAAAAAGCATATTAGAAACTAGAAGACAGGGCTCATTGATAGTAACAAGTAAAAATTGAAAATCTAAAATCAATGATTTTAAAAAAAGAAACAGGGAAAGATATGATTTCAAAATCCTCAGCTCATCTGCAGACTTTTTAAGTACGAGCAAAGAGGCTCTTGATCTCATGACACAATTAAGATTGTTAATGAAGTCTGCAGGTTGTCAAAAAAGTTTCTGGATGGTAATATCGATAGTACTCTTTCATGAGGGGAGGGAAACTAAAATCTTTTTTGAAAAAACATGTCTATTCAACATAATATATATACATATATACACACACACACACACACACACACACACACACACACACACACATATATATATATATATTTTTTTTTTGAGACAAGGTCTTGCTCTGTCTCCCAGGCTGCAGTGCAATGGCACGATCTTGGCTCACCACAACCTCCGCCTCCCAAGCTCAAACAATTCTCCTGCCTCAGCCTCCCGAGTAGCTAGGACTTCAGGTGCACACCATGGCACCTGGCTAATTTTTGTACTTTTTGTAGAGACAGGGTTTCACCCGTGTTGTTCAGGCTCATCTCAAACTCCTGAGCTCAGGTGATCCAGCTACCTCAGCCTCCCAAACTGCTGGGATTACAGGCATAAGCGACCACACCTGACCTCAACATAATTAAAATGAAGACATTTTGGCATTTAAAGGATAAATTTCAGTTTTATAACATCTCATTTCGTACATATAGATGCTGTTCGACTTATGATGGGGTTACATCCTGATAAACCCATCACAAATTGAAAATACCTAAGTCCATAACTTAGACTAGCCTAACTTAAGCATCCTCAACACACGTGCATTAGCCTACAGTTGGAAAAAATCATTTGGCGACACAGTACTCTGTAAAGAGGTTATTTACCCTCATGACCACATGACTGACTGGGAACTGTGGCTCAGTGCAGCTACCCAGCATTAAGAGTATCACACCACATATCAGTAACCCAGGAAAAGATCAAAATTCAAAGTACATAAATGCATATATGGCTTTCACACCATCGGACAGTCAAAAAATAGTAAGTCAAACCACCTTAAGTTGGGGAACATCTAGCTTAAATGTGGTAAGGACTATATTCGACAAACAATTAGGGAAAAAAACTATTTTCTTCATATATGAAATAATACTCTCTGGGCACAATGATAGCCAAGAAAGTTAAAGAAGAAAGAAATGCTTGCTGTCATACGCTTATTTTCATTTCATCTGACAAATAATAAAATTAAATATAGGCTCTTCTGAAAATGTCACAAATAAATCTTCTGTCATCATTCAACTTGCCCTGAAAATAATCACTCTAAAGGACCTCAATGGAAAGTTTCACATCAGGACTGTATGCTATATTCAACTGCAATCATCTCACTTATTCTGTCACTGTGTAAAATACATTAAGGATGGAAGGATGGCAACATAAATAGTCTCACAATGAACTGCTTCATGTTTAAGGTACAATGATACTGACAACTTTTAATTCAGAAAACCAGTAAATACTGACAGAGCGTCATGTAACAAAATAAAAAGTAACTTCTACTCTTCAAAACATACCATTGTACTCCTGTACCACTGGCTGGGGAAAAAAAAAATCACCATCTTGGATTTGGATATTGATTTTAACTACAAATTAAATGCCCGCTAATGTCCCCCCCACCCAAATCATTTTATAACTATTCCAAAGGAAAAAGAAACACTTTGAACTATACAAAATAAATAAAAACAATTAAACAGGTATGTTTGCTACAAGTTAGGCACTAAGAACTAAGAAGAATAAGTGTATCTGAATAAAATGGAAACCAAGAATTTTCATAAGGCAATACCCGTAGGAGTACCAGTCAGGTCTGCCAACACTTATCTTTCTCTAATGAACCCAGGGAAATAATTCTGTAAAGGCATGTATACCTTTACAGTTGGATTTTACTACTCTGGCAAGAAGCTGTCGTAAGATACATCAGTATGGTATTTCTGTTCAAACAGGATTTGTGACTTTAAGACCTCAAATCCCAGTGTAAGGAATGTACTATCTTGAAAGAAATTATTCTTTCTGGTTTGAGATGACTTTACGCTCAGAAACTCAAATACATATATTTTTATTTTGCATATTCTATTATGTGGCATTTTAAGAGTTAAGACATTTCAGATAGGTGACTTGACTCCCAAAGAATAAATACCCCTTTGTAAATGTGGTAGCATACGTATTGCTTATGAATCAATAGCTTTCTTCTTTACTAAAAGAATAAATACTCTTGGGATTACACAAATGCATCAGCATTAGCTTGGGGGGCATACATTTATGCTCTAAAAATCAAAGGCTTGTCAACTGCACTTTAAAAAAGTATGCCATACTCTACTGGGAAGTAATTAGAATCTTACCTCCAGGGATCTGACTGTAGCCTGCATCTCAGCCAACTGCCGCACCTGTATTCTTTGGGCATTTTCCACCTGAGCCTCAGAATTCTCCTTTTCAGCCTTTAATTCCGCTACTTCAGCCTCTAAACCTTTTAATTTTTGACACAAATAGACTTTTTCTCGAGCAAGTTGTTCCACTCGTTTGCTGTCTTTTGTGAGATCAACATTAAGCAGCTGGTTACGTAGTTCTTCTTTATCTTCCTCCAGTCTTGCAATCTAATAATAATTTTAAAGAAAGCATACAAGGTTAAATTATTAAATTTTCAGTCATGAACATGCTTTACAAGTCAGTAAAATTAAAAAATGCACAAAATCAAAGCTCAGGTGCTGAAACAAAGTACAAAGGAAAAAATTTTAAGTATCACTATCTTTTTGTTCTTAGTGGGACTCAAATGTGAGGTCAAGGACTGTGTCCTGTTTTCCCTGTATCTCCACGTGGTGTCTAGAACAGGGCTTAATCAGTTGCTGACTAAAATTTAAAATTATAATACTGTAAGTACTAAACATACATCAAGTATTTTAAAATTCATCATAACATTATAGGGGTTCATGACCAAAACTCTGACTACTCCAAAGCTTTTCCTCACATGACTGTAATTCTTGAGCTAGTCTATACTAATAAAATTATCTATGTCAGGGCAACTTAATTCACACAAAAACTGCCTGTCTGTGTACATAAAAGCAAATGTGATTGATGAGAGTTTTTAAATGATAGCTGAGAGTTTATTAAAGTCCTAATTGTAATGATGGCCTAGTTCTTAGTTCTTAGATTCAAGAAGAATTGAAAAATCATTACTCCAGGGCAGGTGTTAAAGTCACTGGGGAACTTGCAGAGCAGAGACACCAGTGGTCTTGTCATTCATGCCAATTATCACTGCTGGACTTCGTGGGCCTCCAAATCAGTGGGTTTCAAACTGTTTCCTAACCTCTGAGGCATTTCAGAAGCTCCTCACCTCTGGAGACCAGGGGCAAGCAATCAGGGTCTAGAACTCATTCTTTCCCTTTCCTGATCTCCCCAACTATCTATCCCCTACCACCACCCCCACCAAATTTCTGGCATTAACCATACGCTTCTATTTTTAGTCTCTTTCTGGGGTTTCTTCAAATGATTCAACTTAAGTAAATGATTCAGCTGGGTTTTTTGTTTGTTAAGAAGAAGTTGAAAACCACTGCTCAAAACAGGACAAGAGGTTGTTTGTAGCCAGGATGAACATCAAAGACTCACTGTAAGCTCCCCGGCCCTGCAAAAAAAAAAAAAAAAAAACAAAAAACAAAAACAGAAAAAACTAAAGAAATGCTCCAAAACCTTAGGCAAAAGTGGTCCAAGAAACAACTGTTTGATCACAGCACTATCAATGAATCTAAAAAGTTTAAGACCTCCACCCCAGGGCAGGATCTGTTCTCCACACCTGTAAAATGGGAAACTGAATTACATGCACTCTAACAACCTTTTTAGTTTTAACACATAGTGATTCCAGTTTGTTTTTGGACATGCTGAATTTAAATGCCAATGAGAAATATAGGTAGAGCTATCCAGCAGACAAATATTATTTTGCAGAGAATAAAATTTATCCTTGAAGGCAGCTGTGGCATTTAGAGTTAAGTCCTCAAAAGCCCAACTAATTAGTATTTCTCTCCTATTTTTCCTCCCACGCTTTACAAATAACTATTACTTCCTGGTTTGGTCCCGGATTACTTTTTTATCCACTGTATTCTGTCCTCAGTTTAAATGAAGAACTTGGGCTAGCTGATCTTTAAGATACTGTTTACCTTTTACATGAGGTAACCTGATATGGTTTTAATGTGCTATATTAGAGGTGTGATGGCTCATCTAAGGTCAGGAGTCAATGTGTAACTCAAGTTCAGACAATGGTGCCCTTTACTGAGTACTTACTATGGATCAAATACTGAGCTAAGTGCTCTACATGTAAAATCAACATTAACAATAATTTCTCTTGTAGTCCCCATTTTACACATAGGGTCACACAGTTCACAATGTTCTTGACCTGCATACTTCCCATATTATTGCTTTCTTTCCACGTTTTGGGAGGCATCTGTGTGATAGCTGAAGTGATAGTTGAAGCTATGAGACTGGATGACAGCTAGCTGATGACTGAAAATTAGATTCCATGTTTATAACTCCTAAACCAGACATATCAAATCATTCTTACAAAACTGCCATCTAATTTTGCTATTCATTTATTTATTCAGGCAACAAATATTTACTGAGTACTTACTAAGTACCCAAAACTGTTTTAGGTAGTAAGGATACAACCCAGCAGATAAGCAAACACAAAACCTCTGCTGATGCAGAGCTTATTACATTCAATCACTGCCATAACACCACTTGTGTCCCAGACATTTGGCACAGATCTTGGATACAGCCTCAGCTCTTTCTTTTTCCGCCATTCTCAATCAGACTTACATGTCATCTTCCTTGATGTCCTCAATTTCTTGTGCTCTCAATCTTTCCTCTAAATTTCCAAAGGGCTTTGTTTAAATTTCTCTTTTATGAACTTTATTTAAATCTGCCTGTATTGCAGCTACCTCTACATTTACTCTATTCTATTCTAAATACAAACTTACTTGACAGATAAGACAATGTGTTAACTAATATTACTTTTTAAAAAGTTATTGAAGTAAAGGAAACTAAACAGAAACAATAGGGACTAGGAATAGTGACTGATTTCCTTTTCAAAAAATGATAGCACTTCAATTCCCCAAGGCACACAAGAGGGAAAGGTAGTGTTACCTAATTACTCCATCCTTCTTTGTTGTTATTACCTTTACGATATAACATAGGGATATGGGTAAGAGAAAAGGCTCTGGAATCAAACTGCCTAGGTTTCTTTTTTCTTTTGGTATTTTAAAGATATTGCTTTACTGTCTTCTGGCTTTTATTACTTGTAAAAATAAGTCTGTCGTCATTATCTGTTCCTCTGTATAAGATGTCTTTTCTTTCTTCAGTTACTTCTTTTAAAATTAAACTTTTTCAGATAATGGCAGGTTCACAAGGAATTATTATAAGGATTAATATAGCGGGATCCTGTATATCCTTTAACCAAGATTCCCCTATTGGTAACATTCCTCTTCCCTTTTTGGGGAAGACATTATGTAGAATTGGTACTGATACTTCTTTAAACACCTGGTAAAATTCTCTAGTTAACTATTCATTTTGGGAGTTTTAAAATTACAGATTGAATTTCCCTAACAGTAATAGGTCTATACAAACTGCCAATTTCACATTAAATGAGTTGTGGTCGTTTGTGCCTTTTAAGAAATTGATTCATTTCATCTGCATTGTCAAATTTATTAGAGTAGAGTTGTTCAAAGGATTATCTGATTTCCCTTCTAATGTCTGCAAGGTCATGAGTGATACTCTTTCATTCCTGAGATAGGTAAAATTTTTATCTTCCATCTTTTTTGTTAGTTTTGCTAAAAGTTGGTCAATTTTATTGTCTTTTCAAAGAACCAGCTCTTTGTTTCACTGATTTTCTCTATTATTTTTGTTTTCAATTTCTGCTATGTTTATTATTTCCCTCCTTCTGCTTGCTTTACTTTTATTTTGATACTCTTTTTCTAGGTTCTTGAGGTGGGAGCTTACATTACTGACTTGTTCCCTCATTTCTAATGCATGTATTTAGTGCTATAAATGTTTCTTGGCACTGCTTTAGCTGTGTCCTAAAATTTTTGATATGCTGCATTTTCATTTTCATCCAATGTATTTTTTGAAATGTAATCTCATTGAAATGTTTTTCTTTGAAATTTCCACCTTGACCCATAAATTTTTTTAAGTATGTCATTTCATTTCCAAGTGTTTGAAGATTTCCCTGTTATTTTCTGTTATTAATTTCTAGTTTGATTCTATTGTGGTCAGAAAACTCACTCATTATGATTTCAAGTTGTATAAGTTTGTTGAGGTTTATTTCATAGCCCAGGATATGGTCTATCTTGTATATGTTCAGTGAGCATTTATATACATTCAGCGAATACTTCAAAAGAACATGTCTGGGTGTTCTCCTTGGGTGGCATGTTTTATAAATGTTATTTAGGTTCTGATGGTTGATGGTGTTATTGCGTTCTTATTTATCCTTGCTGATTTTTAATTGTTCTATCACTTGTTGAGAGAGGGGTATGAAGTCACCAACTATAATTATAGATTTGTCTATTTCACCTTTTAGTTCTTTCAATTTTTGCTTCAAACATTTTGCACCTCTGGTGCACATACATTTAGTATTCCTGTGTCTTCTTGCTGGGTTGACCTCTTTTGTCACTATATAATCTCTTTCTATATAAATCTGGTATTTTTCTTTGTTATTTTCCTTTGCCCTGAAGTCTGCTCTATCTGATATTAATACTGATGCTCCTGCTTTTAATTAATGATTCCATGATATAGCTTTGTATATCCTTTTATTTACAAACTGCCTATACTGTTATACTTGGAGTTTCTTATAGACATCATACAGTTACCCCTTGACTTATGATGCAATTACATCCCAATAAACTCATGAAAAGTGAAAAATGCAGTTTATGCCGGCAACACAGCATATGGACCCTGACTTATGATGGTTCAAGTTACAACTTTTCAACTTTACAATGGTATAAAATGACATGCATTCAGTAGAAACCATATGTCATAAGGAGCACCCTGACTTACAATGGAGTTACATCCCAATAAACCCATTGTTAAGTTGAAAAATCATCCAAGTTCAAACACTGTAATCTGGGGACTGTCAGTACAGTTAGGTCATTTTTAAAAATCTACACTGTAAATATCTGTATTTTAATTCATGTATTCAGACCATTTACATTTATTATGATTGATACGTTAAGCCATTTTGGTCTGTTTCTTCTCTTAGTTTCTCTGTTTTCTTTTTCTTGCCTGTTACATGAACATATTTCAGGATTCCATTTTATCTATAATGTTTTAAATGTATCTCCTTGTATAGCTTTCTTAGTGGTTGTTCTAGTTATTATATTTATGTAACTTATCATGGTCTACTGAATTCATTTTGTCAGTTTGAGTGATATG
Source organism: Homo sapiens (assembly GCF_000001405.40). Lineage (NCBI taxonomy): Eukaryota > Metazoa > Chordata > Mammalia > Primates > Hominidae > Homo > Homo sapiens. The sequence continues at coordinate 94,383,859 of NC_000012.12, forward strand.
TAGAAACTTCACCTCCTTTTATATCCCTTTGTCCTTGCTCATTTATAATATAATTACCTAAAATATTTTCTCTATATATTTAGAACCACATCAGAGTTAAAATTTTTACTTCAACCACCAAACAAAATTTAGAAAATTCATGAAGCAAAAGGAAGTCTATTACATATACCCACAGTTCTGTTTACCATGTACATTTATCCTTCCTAATACTTTGAGATTCCTTCTTTTTACTGTTTTCTTCCTATTTAGACAAACTTCTCTTTTGGATAGGTCTACTGGCAAAAAGTTCCTTCATTTTCCTTCATTTGAGAATGTCTTGATTTCCCCTACATTCCTGAAGGATATTTTTGCTGGATATAGAATTATGAGTTGACAGTCCTTATCTTTCAGCACTTGATAATGTGCCACTTCCTTCTGGCCTCTGATTTCTGATGAGAAATGAGCTAGTTTTCTAATTGTTTTCCCCAATGGGTAAGATATAATTTCTTGGGCTGCTTTCAAGATTTTCCTATAGTTTTTTTTTAAACCTGACTATGGTATCTCTTGCTGTGAATGTGTTCAGCTTCTTGAAGCTACATGTTTGTGCCTTTACCAAACTTGGAAAGTTTTTAGTCATTATTTCTTCCATTACCTTCTCACCCTGCCCTCTTTTCTCCTTTCAGGGACAGAAATCTTAGATCTTTTGTTATAGTCCTACAGGATACTGAGAATCTGTTTATTTGCTTTTTAAATCTATTTTCTCTAGTCTGTTCAGATTGGGTAATTTCTAATGTTCTACCTTTAAGCTCAGTAGTTTTTTCCTCTATCCCTTCCATTCTGCAGTTGAGCCTGGCAACTCAGGCTTTCTTAGTCACTCTTTCAGTTCTAAAATTTCCAATTTTCTTCTCTTTATTCTCTGTTTCTTTGCTAAGTCTTTTGGGTTTTGTTTGTTTGTTTGTTTCAACCACGTTTATAATTCCTCATTGAATCATTCTTACCATGGCTGCTTTGAAATGTTTGTCAAATAATTCTAACACCTCTGCATCTCAGTGTTGGCATCTATTAGTGTGTTTTACATTCAGTTTCAGACCTTCCTAGTTCGTGGTGTGACAAGCAATTTTCAATGGAAACTTGGACATTTGGGGAATTAAGTTATGAGACTCCAGATCTTAAACAAAGTTTGTATTAGCTGGCTTTTTGTGATATTGCTATGGTAGGGGATGGGTGGTGTTGCCACCTCATTACTACCACGAGGAGGTAGTAGTCCCGATTCTCCACTCTACTTCTGTTGATACCCAAGGTGGGAGGGCTTCTCATGATACCCATAATGAACAGGGGTGGGAGTTCTGGTTCCCCATTAGGCCTCAACTGACACCTCCCTGGATGGGAAGCGTAGGAGTAATTTATTATTGCTCCTCATGTTACCTCCATCGATACCACAGGGCCAGATGTGGCCTCCATTGATAACACGCAGCTGGGTAGTGGTTAAAGTCCTGACCCTGTACTAGGCCTCCTCTGACATGACCCAGGATGTCATGTCAGAGCAGGATGAGGGCAGGGTACCTCATTACTGCCAGTTGAGAGTGGATGTCCAAGCTCCTCATACTGTCTCTAGTGACAGCATGGCAGAGGATGGGAGCCCTTGTTATTACCCAGGTGAAGATGTCTTTGTCTGGTTTTGGTATTAGGATAATGCTGGCCTTGTAGAATGAGTTAGGAGGCATTTCCTCTGATTCTGTCTTCTGGAAGAGATTATAGAGAATTAACATAAATTCTCCCTTAAATGGCTGATAGAGTTCACCAATGAACCCACCTGGGCTGCCCAGTCATTTCTGATTGGATGTCAGACATTGTGAATTTAATGTTTTTTTCAGAGCTGGATTCTTTGTTTTCCTTTACTTATTTCTGAATCTTCATTCTGGAATGCAGCTAAGATATAGTAATGAGCCACATAATGAAGTTTCAGTCAACAACAGTCCACATACATATGACAGGGGTCCCATGAGTATAATATTGTATTTTTACTGTTTAAACCTTTTCTATGTTTAGATATGTTTAGGTACACAAATATTAACCATTATGTTACAATGCCTACAGTATTCAGTACAGTGATATGCTTTACAGGTTTGTAGCCTAGGAGTAATAGGCTGTACCATATAGGATAGGTATGTAGTATACTGTGCCATCTAGGTGCATATATGTATAGTCCATGATGTTTGCACATGACAAAATCGCCTAATGACACATTTCTCAGAACATATCCCTGTCATTAAGCTACACGTTACTGTACTTAGAAACAGTCTGATCTTTTCAAATCTTACTTTTATTCTTGTTAACCAGAACCAGAATAGCCTTTAGTCTATGGCTAATTTGGCCCTGCTACTGAGGCAAAATCCTTCTGAGATTTCTACTCAAAGTACTATGCATTAAGAGTATCTTTCCACTCTGTCTAACGGAAAAATAAATTTTCCCAGTCCCATGTGAACTCTAGAGACTGTCCCACCTAAATAATTTTCTTTCTCTGGCCTTGTATAGTTTCCTCCACACATGCGCTAATCAATACTGCAAAGTTACCCTCTGCAGAACTCTGGAGCTCTGCAATACTCTGCTTTTCAAATTCTAGTTTCCTTGGCCTCTCAAATTCTGAACTCCAACTCCTCAGCTCAAAGATCATGTAGCTCAATTTAGGTTTTTTATCTCTGCACAGTGGCCTGGAAACTCTCCAGAACCTAAGATGGGGCAATCATAGAGCTCTTATCATTTGTTTTCCTTCCCTCAGATCTGCCCTGTGCTGCCTATTTTCCAATGTCTGAAAACTGTGGTTTCCTATTTTTGTCCCAGTTTTCAGTAAACGCCTTAAAGTAAATTCCATCCCTATTCCATCCTAGCCAGAAGCAGAAATCCCCAGACTACTTAGATTTGAATCCTGACCATATACTAGTTGTGCAACCTTGGGCCAGTCTCTCAGTGTTTTTATCTTCTCATTTATAAAATGAAGATGATTATCTAACTCCTAGCATTGTTGAGATGATTTTTTAAAAGTATATATAAAGATACTGGTACAAAAACAGACACACAGCCAAATGGAACAGAATACAGTAACCAGAAATAAAGCTGCATATCTACAACAATCTGATGCTCAACAAAGTTGACAAAAACAAACAATGGGGAAAGGACTCCCTATTTAATAACTGGTGTTGGGAAAACTGGCTAGCCATATGCAAAGGAATGAAACTGGATCTCTACTTTTAACCACACCCAAAAGATAACTCAAGATAAATTAGGAAATACCATTCTGGACATTAGCCTTGGCAAAAAATTTATGACTAAATTTATGACCCTCTAAAGCAAGGGTCCCCAAACCCTAGGCCATGGACCATTACCAGTCCATGGCCTGTCAGGAATGGGGCCACACAGCAGGAAGTGAGCAGCAGGTGAGCGACCATTACTGCCTGAGCTCTACCTCCTGTCAGATCAGTGGGAGCATTAGATTCTCATAGTGGTGTGAACCCTATTGCGAACTGCACATCTGAGGGATCTAGGTTGCATGCTCCTTATGAGAATTTAATGCCCTAATGCCTGATGATCTAAGGTGGAACAATTTCATCCTGAAACCATTCCTCCCAGAGCCTTGGTTCATGGAGTAATTGTCTTCCACGAAACCAGTCCCCAGTGTCAAATGGCACCAGGGACTTTGGGGACCACTGCTCTAAAGCAATTACAACAAAGACAAAAAGTGATAACTGGGACCTAATTAAACTAATGAGCTTTGGTTTGGCAAAAGAAACTATCAACAGAGTAAACAGACAACCCACAGAATGGGAGAAAATACCTGCAAACTATGCATCTGACAAAGTTCTAATATCTAGAATCTATAAGGAATTTACATAACTCAACAAGGAAAAAACAACCCCATAATAAAGTAGGCAAAGTACATAAACAGACACTTCTCAAAAGAAGACATATAAGCAGCCAACAAACATGAAAAAAATGCTTAACATCACTAATCATCAGAGAAATGCAAATTAAAAAACACAATGAGATACCATCTCACACCAGTCAGAATAGCTATTACTAAAAGGAAAAAAAAAATAACAGATGCTAGCAAGGCTGCAGAAAAAAGGGAACATTATACACTATTGATGGCTACGTAAATTAGTTCAGCCACTGTGGAAAACAGTTTGGAGATTTCTCAAATAACTAAAAATAGAACTACCATTCCAGCAATCCCATTACTGGGTATATACTGAAAGGAGAGTAAATCATTCTATTAAATTGACACACACACTCATATGTTCATCACAGCACTATTCACAATAGCAAAAACATGGAATCAACCTGGGTTCCCATCAATGGTGAACTGGATAAAGAAAATATGGTACATATACACCACGGAATACTATACAGCCATAAAAATGAATGAAATCTTGTCCTTTGCAGCAACACAGATACAGCTGGAGACTATCATCCAAAGCAAATTAACAAAGGAACAGAAAACCAAATACCAATACCACATGTTCTCACTTGTAAGTGGGAGCTAAACACTGACTACATATGGACATAAAGATGGGAACAATAGAACTGGGGACTACCAGAGAGGGGAGAGGATGAGGGGGAAAGGGCTCAAAAACTTCCTATTAGGCACTATGCTCAGTATCTAGGTGACGGAATCTTTATTACCCCAAAGTTCTGCCTCAGCATCATGCAATACACCTGTGTAACAAATCTACACATGTAACCCCTGAATCTAAAATAAAACTTGAAATTATTTTTTAAAAAAAGAAAAGTTAAGTAGAATAAAGTATTACAAGTAGTGAAAAGAGAAAATAATTTGGAAACTTTTTTTTACACTGACTTTAATTTGTGCTTTTGATGAAAATACATTTCACTTTTTACATTTTGAATACAATTGCATTTTAATTCTGTGTGTTATTATTAATGGAAAACAAACATGTAAAAAGCTTCTTTACAAGAGTATAGTGATTTTGCTAAATTGAAAAAAAATGTGGCTGGGTGCAGTGGCTCATGCCTGTAATCCCAGTACTTTGGGAGTCTGAGGTAGGTAGATCACTTGAGGTCAGGAGTTCAAGATCAGCCTAGCCCACATGACGAAACCCCACCTCTACTAAAAATAGAAAAATTAGCTGGGTGTGGTGATGCACACCTATACTCCCAGCTATTCAGGAGGCTGAGGCAGGAGAATTGCTTAAACCAAGGAGGCAGAGGTTGCAGTGAGCCAAGATCGCGCCACTGCACTCCAGCCTGGGGAACAGAGTAAGACTTTGTCTTAAAAAAGAAAGAAAGAAAATGCCATGAAATAAATATGTAATAATCTTTAAACTATATATAAAGTGTTTCACTGAATAAATTAAAGGTAAATGGGTCTCCTGTCTCTATTTCTTTCTTTCACTTCTTCAACTTCTGTAAATTCTGATTTACAAATCTGAAATCAACTTAAAAGTATCTGTATATTTATTATGTTAATTGGTACCATGATAATAACTGTGAGGTATGAATGATACTAATACCATTAATTAAGTATCTACTATGTGTCAGGCATTATGGTAAGTATTTTGCACATTAAGTTTCAAGTTCCCAGATCTTAGTTTTTAAATTATTACATTAACTTTTTATATTACTTAAGAAAACAATAGGAGACGGTTGGTCCAAGATGGCCAACTAGGAACAGCTCCGGTCTGCAGCTCCCAGTGTGATGGACGCAGAAGATGGGTGATTTCTGCATTTCCAACTGAGGTACCTGGTTCATCTCACTGGGACTGGTGGACAGTGAGTGCAGCCCACAGAGGGTGAGCTGAAGCAGGGCGGGGCATCACCTCACCCGGGAAGTGCAAGGGGTCGGGGTATTTCCCTTTCCTGGCCAAGGGAAGCTGTAACAGACTACCTGGAAAAACAGGACACTCCTGCCCAAATACTGCATTTTCCCAAGGTCTTAGCAACCAGCAAACAAGGAGATTCTCTCCCATGCCTGGCTCGGTGGGTCCCACGCCCACGGAGCCTTGCTCACTGCTAGCACAGCAGTCTGAGATCGAACTGCGAGGCGGCACCCTGGCAGGGGGAGGGGTGTCCCCCATTGCTGAGGCTTGAGTAGGTAAACAAAACGGCCAGGAAGCTCGAACTGGGCGGAGCCCACTGCAGCTCAACAGGACCTACTGCCTCTAGACACCACCTCTGTGGGTGGGGCATAGCTGAACAAAAGGCAGCAGACAACTTCCGCAAACTTAAACATCCCTGTCTGACAGCTCTGAAGAGAGCAGTGGTTCTCCCAGCATAGCATTTGAGCTCTGAGAATGGACAGACTGCCTCCTCAAGTGGGTCCCTGGCACCCGTGTAGCATAACTGGGAGACACCTCTCAGTAGGGGCCAACAGACACCTCACATAGGCAAGCTGACCCTCTGGGACGAAGCCTCCAGAGGAAGGATTAGGCAACAACATTTGCTGTTCTGTGACGTCTGCTGGTGATACCCAGGCAAACAGGGTCTGGAGTGGAACTCCCGCAAGCTCCAACAGACCTGCAGCTGAGGGAACTGACTGTTAGGAGGAAAACTAACAAACAGAAAGAAATAGCAGCAGGATCAACAAAAAGGTCACCTACACCAAAACCCCATCTTTAGGTCAACAACATCAAAGACCAAAGGTAGATAAAACCAAAAAGATGGGGAGAAACCAGAGCAGAAAAGCTGAAAACTCTAAAAATCAAAGCGCCTCTTCTCCTCCAAAGGATGGCAGCTCCTCGCCAGCAATGGAATAAAGCTGGACAGTGAATGACTCTGACAAGTTGACAGAAGTAGGCTTCAGAAGGTCAGTAATAACAAACTTCTCCAAGCTAAGGGATGATGTTCGAACCCATCGCAAGGAAGCTAAGAACCTTGAAAAAAGATTAGATGAATGGCTAACTAGAATAAACAGTGTAGAGAAGACCTTCAATGACCTGATGGAGTGCAAACCATGGCACGAGAACTTCGTGATGCATGCAGAAGCTTCAATAGCTGATTCAATCAAGTGGAAGAAAGGGCATCAGTGATTGAAGATCAAATGAATGAAATAAACCGAGAAGACAAAGTTAGAGAAAAAAGAGCAAAAAGAAACGAACAAAGCCTCTAAGAAATATGGGACTATGTGAAAAGACCAAATCTACGTCTGACTGGTGTATCTGAAAGTGACAGGGAGAATGGAACCAAGCAGGAAAACATTCTTCAGGATATTATCCAGAAGAACTTCCCCAACTTAGCAAGGCAGGCCAACATTCAAATTCAGGAAATACAGAGAATGCCACAAAGACACTCCTCGAGAAGAGCAACTCCAAGACACATAATTTTCAGATGCACCAAGGTTGAAATGAAGGAAAAAGTGTTAAGGGCAGGCAGAGAGAAAGGTTGAGTTACCCACAAAGGGAAGCCCATCAAACTAACAGCGGATCTCTCGGCAGAAACCCTACAAGCCAGAAGAGAGAGGGGGCCAATATTCAACATTCTTATAGAAAAGAATTTTCCATCCAGAATTTCATATCCAGCCAAACTAAGCTTCGTAAGTGAAGGAGAAATAAAATCCTTTACAGACAAGCAAATGCTCAGAGATTTTTGTCACCACCAAGCCTCCCTTACAAGAGCTCCTGAAGGAAGCACTAAACATGGAAAGAAACAACCGGTATCAGCCACTGCAAAAACAGGCCAAATTGTAAAGACCATCGATGCTATGAAGACACTGCATCAATTAACAGGCAAAATAACCAGCGAACATCGTAATGACAGGATCAAATTCACACACAACAATATTAACCTTAAATGTAAATGAGCTAAATGCACCAATTAAAAGACACAGACTGGCAAATTGGATAAAGAGTCAAGACCCATCAGTGTGCTGTATTCAGGAGACCCATCTCACGTGCAAAGACGCACATAGGCTCAAAATAAACAGAAGGAGGAAGATCTACCAAGCAAAGGTAGATCAAGCAAAAAAAAAAAGCAGGGGTTGAAATCCTAGTCTCTGATAAAACAAACTTTAAAACAAAGATCAAAGGAGACAAAGAAGGCCATGGTAAATGGATCAATGGCAAAGGGATCAATTCAACAAGAAGACCTAACTAACCTAAATACATATGCACCCAATATAGGAGCACCCAGATTCATAAAGTAAGTCCTTAGAGACCTACAAAGAGACTTAGACTCCCACACAATAATGATGGGAGACTTTAACACTCCACTGTCAATATTAGACAGATCAACGAGACAGAAGGTTAACAAAGATATACAGGACTTGAACTCAGCTCTGCAACAAGCAGACCTAATAGACATCTACAGAACTGTCCACCCCACATCAACAGAACATACATTCTTCTCAGCACCACATTGCACTTATTCTAAAATTGACCATATAATTGAACTAAAGCACTCCTCAGCAAATGCAAAAGAACAGAAATCACAACAAATTGTCTCTCAGACCACAGTGCAATAAAATTAGACCTCATGATTAACAAACTCACTCAAAACCACGCAACTACATGGAAACTGAACAACTTGCTCCTGAATGACTACTGGGTAAATAACGAAATGAAGGCAGAAATAAAGATGTTCTTTGAAACCAATGAGAAGAAAGACACAATGTACCAGAATCTCTGGGACACATTTACAGCAGTGTGTAAAGGGAAATTTATAGCACTAAATGCCCACAAGACAAAGCAGGAAAGATCTAAAATTGACACCCTAACATCACAATTAAAAGAACTAGAGAAGCAAGAGCAAACACATTCAAAAGCTAGCAGAAGGCAAGAAATAACTAAGATCAGAGCAGAATTGAAAGAGATAGAGACACAAAGAACCCTTCAAAAAAATCAATGAATCCAGGAGCTGGTTTTTTGAAAAGATCAACAAAATTGATAAACTGCTAGCAAGACTAATAAAGAATCAAATAGATACAATAAAAAATGATAAAGGGGATATCGCCACCGATCCCACAGAAATACAAACTACCATCAGAGAATACTATAGACAGCTCTATGCAAATAAACTGCAAAATCTAGGAGAAATGGATAAATTCCTGGACAAATACACCCTCCCAAGACTAAACCAGGAAGAAGTTGAATCTCTGAATAGACCAATAACAGGTTCTGAAATTGAGGCAATAATTAATAGCCTACCAACCAAAAAAAGTCCAGGACCAGATGGATTCACAGCTGAATTCTACCAGAGGTACAAAGAGGAACTGGTACCATTCCTTCTGAAACTATTCCAATCAATAGAAAAAGAGGGAATCCTCCCTAACTCATTTTATGAGGCCAGCATCATCCTGATACCAAAGCCTGGAAGAGACACAACAAAAAAGAGAATTTTAGACCAATATCCCTGATGAACATTGATGCGAAAATCCTCAATAAAATACTGGCAAACCAAATCCAGCAGCACATCAAAAAGCTTATCCACCATGATCAAGCGGGCTTCATCCCTGGGATGCAAGGCTGGTTCAACATATGCAAATCAATAAACATAATCCAGCATATAAACAGAACCAAAGACAAAAACCACATGATTATCTCAATAGATGCAGAAAAGACCTTTGACAAAATTCAACAGAACTTCATGCTAAAAGCTCTCAATAAACTAGGTATTGATGGAACGTATCTCAAAATAATAAAAGCTATTTATGACAAACCCACAGCCAATATCATACTGAATGGGCAAAAACTGGAAGCATTTCCTTTAAAAACCAGCACAAGACAAGGATGCCCTTTCTCACCACTCATATTCAACAGTGTTGGACGTTCTGGCCAGGGCAACCAGACAAGAGAAAGAAATAAAGGGTATTCAATTAGGAAATGAGGAAGTCAAATTGTCCCTGTTTGCAGATGATATGATTGTATATTTAGAAAACTCCATCATCTCAGCCCCAAATCTCCTTAAGCTGATAAGCAACTTCAGCAAAGTCTCAGGATACAAAATCAATGGGCAAAAATCACAAGCATTCCTATACACCATTAACGGACAAACAGAGAGCCAAATCATGAGTGAACTCCCATTCACAATTGCTACAAAGAGAATAAAATACTTAGGAATCCAACTTACAAGGGATGTGAAGGACCTCTTCAAGGAGAACTACAAACCACTGCTCAACGAAATAAAAGAGGACACAAACAAATGGAAAAACATTCCATGCTTATGGATAGGAAGAATCAATATCGTGAAAATGGCCATACTGCCCAAGGTAATTTAGATTCAATGCCATCCCCATCAAGCTACCAATGACTTTCTTCACAGAATTGGAAAAAACTACTTTAAAGTTCATATGGAACCAAAAAAGAGCCTGCATTGCCAAGACAATCCTAAGCCAAAAGAACAAAGCTGGAGGCATCACGCTACCTGACTTCTAACTATACTACAAGGCTACAGCAACTAAAACAGCTTTTGGTACTGGTACCAAAACAGAGATATAGACCAATGGAACAGAACAGAGGCCTCAGAAATAATACCACACATCTACAACCATCTGATATTTGATACACCTGATAAAAACAAGCAATGGAGAAAGGATTCCCTATTTAATAAATGGTGCTGGGAAAACTGGCTAGCCATATGTAGAAAGCTGAAACTGGATCCCTTCCTTACACCTTGTAAAAAAATTAATTCAAGATGGATTAAAGACTTAAATGTTAGACCTAAAACCATAAAAACCCTAGAAGAAAACCTAGGCAATACCATTCAGGACATAGGCATGGGCAAGGACTTCATGACTAAAACACCAAAAGCAATGGCAACAAAAGCCAAAATTGACAAATGGGATCTAATTTAACTAAAGAGCTTCTGCATGGCAAAAGAAATTACCATCAGAGTGAACACGCAACCTACAGAATGGAAGAAAATTTTTACAATCTACTCATCTGACAAAGGGCTAATATCCAGAATCTACAAAGAACTCAAAGTTACAAGAAAAAAACAAACAACTCCATCAAAAAGTGGGCAAAGGATATGAACAGACACTTCTCAAAAGAAGACATCTATGCAGACAACAGCCACATGTAAAAATGCTCATCATCACTGGTCATCAGAGAAATGCAAATCAAAACCACAATGAGATACCATCTCACGCCAGTTAGAATAGCAATCATTAAAAAGTCAGGAAACAACAGATGCTGGAGAGGATGTAGAGAAATAGGAATGCTTTACACTGTTGGTGGGAGTGTAAATTAGTTCAACCACTGTGGAAGACAGTGTGGCAATCCCTCAAGGATCTAGAACTAGAAATACCATTTGATCCAGCAATCCCATTATTGGGTACATACCCAAAGGATTATAAATTATGCTACTATAAAGACACATCACACACTGGGGCCTGTCAGGGGGTGGGGGCCTGGGGGAGGGATAGCATTAGGAGAAATACCTAATGTAAATGATGAGTTGATGGGTGCAGCAACCCGACATGGCACATGTATACCTATGTATCAAACCTACACGTTGTGCACATGTACCCTAGAACTTAAAGTATAATAAAAAAAAATCAGACATATGAAAAAGTAACAAATTAAAAAAAAAAATAATCACTATTATGATGAGTTTCCTCTTTTTCCCTTTTATGTACTATAATTTATTTTTCCTAAATTAATGATGGCATGTTTTATACAAAAATATTTTGTCATTCCTTACATGAAGAAAATATCACTTAAATTACTTACATACTTAAAGTTCATATTTTGGCTGGGTGTGGTGACTCGGGACGCCTGTAATCCCAACACTGTGGGAGGCCAAGGTGGGCAGATCATGAGGTCAGGAGATCAAGACCATCCTGCCTAACACAGTGAAACCCCGTCTCTACTAAAAACACAAAAAAATTAGCCAGGCATGGTGGGTGCCTGTAGTCCCAGCTACTCGGGAGGCTGAGGCAGGAGAATGGCATGAACCCAGAAGGCAGAGCTTGCAGTGAGCCAAGATGGCGCCGCTGCGCTCCAGCCTGGAGGACAGAGTGAGATTCTGTCTCAAGAAAAAAAAAGAAGAAATAAACCCCAGCATTTCCAGGGAACCAGGGGAGTTCTCTTTTTGCCATAGGAACTTTGGCTCCTCACCTGACACATAAAGCCAAGGAAGAGCACAACCAGTTTGCGAAGCATGATGGAAGAAACTCAGTGACCTGTCATTATGGACTGTCACTTTGATGGTTTTTCACAGGATGTAGTGCTCCTCGTCCCTCCCTCTCTCCTGAGATCTTAGTATTTTGTCTCCACTGAATTACCATTGATTATTTCACTCAGTCTACCATTATAATTACCTGCGCCTACAACTCTGTATTGTCATTACTATTTCCAGAAAATATGAGTCCTAATATAATAAAAACAAAATAGTCCCACTTTTGAATAATGACTATATATGCAACTTCAGCATTTCACCTGTATGAAGTCCCAGACTTAATATGTTCTTACAGTCACATGAAAAAGCATGACTTTTTTTTTTTTTTTTTTTTTTTTTTGAGACAGAGCCTCATTCTGTCACCCAGGCTGGAGTGCGGTGGCACAATCTTGGCTCACTGCAACCTCCACCTCCTGGGTTCAAGCGATTCTCCTGCCTCAGCCTCCAGAGTAGCTGGGACTACAGGTGCGTGCCACCACACCAGGCTAATTTTTTGTATTTTTAGTAGAGACGGGGTTTCACTGTGTTAGCCAGGATGGTCTCGATCTCCTGACCCCGTGATCCACCCGCCTCAGCCTCCCCAAGTGCTGGGATTACAAATATGAGGCACCACACCTGGCCAACACTGTATTTATTCGTAAGATGAGATATGTTCTTTCACATATTATTTCATATATTCTTTTTAGTTTATAATATCATCAGGGACATGTGTATTCCTGGAGTCCCTCTCAGGAAAAACTTTAAAAATCTTCCTAAAGTATTCCCCTAAGAACCAACACACTAAATAATATTGTTACTTTCATCTGTGTAAGTAAAAATGTGCAAGTACTGTGTAAGTCCTAATTAACACAAGAAAATCCAATTATTTTTATTACATGAATCCCTTTTACACTAGTTTAAATTGTAAAATTGGAAGATGACAAGATTCAGCTCTACTTTGAAGTTTTCAAACTAAATTTGTTGTTTCTATAAAGTATATTTGAAACTATTTGCTGTTTCATGATCCACAATCATCTCACCAGGTTTTACTGTTTTTGTATATAGAAAATGAAGTATGAAGGTGATTGAACAAAAGTAAATCCACAATTATACACTCAGTAATACTGCTCCTACATAATCAATTGGGAAGTAAAATGAAAGAAACTTCAGTCTTATTTTTCCACCCTCTACTAATTATGGCTTCTTAACTTGCAGTTTATCTTCAGATTCTTAAGACTATCATAAAACATCACATATGAAAATTAATGATGGCCAGATGTGGTAGCTCACCACCTGTAATCCCTGAACTTTGAGAGGTTGAGGTGGGAGGATCACTTGAGGTCAGGAATTTGAGACCAGCCTGGCCAACATGGTGAAACCCCATCTCTACTAAAAATACAATAATTAGCCAGGCATGGTGGCACCTGCCTGAATCCCAGCTACTCGGGAAACTGAGGCAGGAGAATCACTTGAACCTGGGAGGCAGAGGCTGCAGTAAGCCGAGATTGCATCACTGCACCCCAGCCTGGGCGACAGAGCAAGACTCCATCTCAAAAATAATAATAATAATAATGATAAATTAATGACTATACCAACCCCTTAAAAATTTTAATGAGAATCACTTAGTCCTTCATAAGTGAAAAATAGATTAGTCATCAGATTTCGAATGCAGGTTTCACTATTTCAAAAACAACAAAACTAAGAAACTAGAGAATACAAATAATCCTTACCAGATAAGTATCATCATTAGATTTTAAAAGGAAAGTACAAAATAAAGCACCACTATATGAAACCTTAGGGTTTTCTCTTCAATATACTAAATCTTCGTTTTAGGCTAGAAATCTTTATCATTCCTATTTTCCACAAATTTTTACATGCAATTCCTTTAAGTCTATCATAATTATGGATTCAAAACCCTTCATACCACATGTAGTGTATATATTACCAGCTATTTAACAAAATTGCAGTTGCTGGATGGCCCATAATCAGAGTGGCAACTTCAAACTGCCGGTCACCTTCGAATGGGTAAGGTCCAGGTTTTGTGTTGACCACACACTGTCGAGACTCAGGTATAGGGCATATAGAATACGAGTGGTGGACTGGTTTGTGGGTTTGAGGGTCTGGGTGGAAGATTACAAATTCTTCTTTGTGCAAAGTGTAGGAGTACAACATTGAACATGGACTTAGCATATGTATGGTCTCCCCCACTCCTTCTTAAGCCGAAGCTGGAGAGAATGGGCATTTTGTAAATGTTATGGCATATGCAAATATAATATAATGGCATTAAATAAAAACAATAAGGGAACTGACTAAAACAAAACAGGCTGTGGGCTGGGAGTTGGTATATCTGAGTTCTACTATAACCTGGCTGCTGACATTCTCTGAGACTTTGAACAATTCATGTTGTGGGAAGTCAGGGACCCCAAATGGAGGGACCGGCTGGAGTCATGGCAGAGGAACATAAATTATGAAGATTTCATTTTAATATGGACATTTATCAGTTCCCAAATTAATACTTTTATCATTTCTTATGCCTGTCTTACTTCAATCTCTTAATCCTGTTATCTTCATAAGCTGAGGATGTACATCACCTCAGGACCACTATAACTGTGTTAACTGTACAAATTTGATTGTAAAACGTGTGTTTGAACAATATGAAATCAGTGCACCTTGAAAAAGAATAGAATAACAGCGATTTTCAGGGAACAAGGGAAGACAACCATAAGGTCTGACTGCCTGCGGGGTCAGACAAAATAGAGCCATATTTTTCTTCTTGCAGAGAGCCTATAAACAGACATGCAATAAGGAAGATATCGCTAAATTCTTTTCCTGGCAAGGAATATTAATAATTAATACCCTGGGGAAGGAATGCATTCCTGGGGGGAGGTCTATAAACGGCTGCTCTGGGAGTGTCTGTCTTATGCGGTTGAGATAAGGACTGAAATACACCCTGGTCTCCTGCAGTACCCTCAGGCTTATTAAGATTGGGAAACCCCACCCTGGTAAATTTGGGGTCAGACCAGTTCTCTGCTCTCGAACTCTGTTTTCTGTTGTTTAAGATGTTTATCAAGACAATACATGCACCACTGAACATAGAGCCTTATCAGTAATTCTGCTTTTGCCCTTTGCCTTGTGATCTTTGTTTCTGCCCTTTGCCTTTTGATCTTTGTTCTCCTTTTTGCCCTTTGAAGCATGTGATCTTTTTGTGACCTACTCCCTGTTCTTATGCCCCCTCCCCTTTTGAAATCCTTAATAAATCTTGCTGGCTTTGAGGCTCAGGTGGGCATCACAGTCCTACCAATATGTGACGGCACCCCCAGGGGCCGAGCTGTAAAATTCCTCTCTTTGTACTCTTTATTTCTCAGCCGGCCAACACTTACAGAAAATAGAAAGAACCTACATTGAAATATTGGGGGTGGGTTCCCCCAATAAATTCACTTATCTTGTGCCTTAGTTTATTCATTTAAAATGAAGAAAATAAGGGCTGGGCACGATAGTCTATGCCTCTAATTCCAGCACTTTGAGAGGCTGAGGCAGGAGGATCACTTGAGGCCAGTAGTCCGAGATCAGCTGGGGCAACATAGCAAGGCCCCATCTCTACAAGAGTTTTTGTATTTTTTGTTTATTTGTTTGTTTTATTAGCCAGGTGAGGTAGTACATGCCTGTGGTCCTAGCTACTTGGGTACCTGAGGCAGGAGGATCACTTGAGCTGAAGTTATAGTGAGTTATTATTGCGCCACTGCATTCCAGCCTGGGCCACAGAGCAAGACCTCCTCTTGATCAATCAATCAAAGAAAATAAGACAGTCTAGCCCCATCTCACTGACTATTGTAATAGAAGTGAGATAATATGTGAATAAAGCACTTAAAGCCTTAAAGCTATAAAGAGTTTTTTTTAATGTGAAAAACTATTATAAATATTTATAGTGTTCTGGTACTACACTGTCAATGGACACAAATGTTCCAAGGTTCATATAGCTTCTTACAGATGAAACACTCATGGCACTTTGCTCACTAATAAGAATAAATCAGTCCGATCCAAATAGAACAGTTTTAGTTTTTATTAGATGCCTAGAACACTGTAAATATTTAGTAATTGGTAAAGGAAGGTAAGTATATTTTAACTCTTAATTCTAAATAAAGACAATGCAATAAATTTAAAATGTAGATATGTTTGTAAACAGAATATTTCACATAACTATAGATACCAACCTATTTTTTATGAATATGGCAGGATAAAATTAGTATTCCTCTCTTTCAATTTGAAAAATATTCCAAAAGCAACACGACCAATGAAAAACAGAAACCCCATTTTGGGCAAAACTAGGAGACAAACCACAAAACGAGTAGAAAGGCTGCCAAAAGCAATGGAGATGAAGTGGGAATGTATGCTGTAGGCAGCATAAAGAGAACATTCCAGTTGCAAATGGCAGAAAAAAACAAAGTCTATTTCTTGAAGTTGATGGGTACACTTTAAGGTATAAACCCCTTGTTTATATCAAAGTGCACAGGCTGACAGCTAGTGCTTTCCCATATGTGGTTTGGTTCCAAGAAGCAGAAAGAACAATGCTAAGTAAGGAATCACACTAACTATATTTGCAGAGAGAAGTCCATCTCTGTGGCTACATAAGACAAAAGACTTTGTACAATGAAACTCCCCAAAGTTGTCTATCTCCATTGGCTGGACAAAATAAAGGATAAATAGAATTTAAAAGATCTACACCCAAAACAGAACTTTCACAAAAAAACTGTTGATACGAAGCTGATGAAAATCATGATGAATACTCCACCATTAATGAATAAAACTATACAATCGACTCTAATTTGAAATTTTTAAAAATATATAATTATAAAATTGTGTTGACCAGAACAATAACAAAGAAACTCGTATAATCAATCACTTACCTCTGATTCATATTTTATTTTTCCTTCATCTAAAATACGTGCATACTCTTCCTTCTGGTGTTCAAATTCTGACTTGAGAAATGTATGTTCATAGCGAAGCTTATTATATACAGCTCTATACTTTTCTACCTCCTAAAGGGAGAATGCATTTATCATAGATTTATAAACAAAATTCGTACTCACTCCAATAGTCACTTTTACAAATATAATTTTAAATTACATTATAATGATAGCCACTCTAAAAGTAAAAAATAAATTTAACAGAAATACAAATGAATTTGGAAAGGTCTTCATAACAAGTATCCTACATACAGAAGTAGTACATTCCTGAAAAGATATCCAAAAAGTAAATTACCATTCAATTAATCTTATTTCTTCACTGGTTCTCATTATGATAAAGTGTATAGTATGAGGAAAGTGTTGATCTCTGGACTTAAATAAAATAACATGTAAGAATGTAGCACACCTTTCAAAATATAGATTTTTTAAATGTATAATTTAGTATAAGTAAAACAAATTCAAAAGAGATGTAAGGTTATTGTAATATTTAGTACAGCATTTTAACATCTAATTAAATATTACAATGATAGTTTAACTCAACAGACCAACCTGAAGAATACGTGCAGCATCATCTCTACTGACTAACCAGGAACACATGCAATTCCCTGGAGTGTTCTCATCCTGCTTCCTAACAGTACTCTATGAAAGCTGCTGGCATTCTGAATACCCAACAAGAAACTCAGGCCACAAAGCAGAAAGATACAGGAGACACTAACAGGAAATTCGATAACAAGGAAAGCATGTCTCCTAAAATACCCAGCTCACCATAAATCTTTAGTTCAAAGATTTCTAAGCCAGTTTGTAAACCAAGAAAATGGGTTTCATTATTTTACTGCAGATATACTTTGCTTTGATTTAAAAAAAAAAGTTTTTATTGAACTTGGTCACTTATCTTGGGTCTGATCTTGTTTATTTACAAAAATTAAACCTACTCCCAAACCATAATGGCTTGCCATTAGGACTGTATTAGAAAGATCATATTATCAAGCCAGTAAGCCATTATAAAAGACGATTCTACAACTGTTTTGGGCAATTACCGCATCACTAGACTACAGCTCTCCAAAGGGGCCCATTTTGAAGGGGACAATAATCATTTGTATGTATAAGGCCAGGTATATTTGTTAAATAAGGTAACATATATAAAATGTCTACCAAGTATCTAATATACTTGTTATCTGCAGTCTTATCCTGTCCCCTTTATTAAGCATTTAGTCATATTATATCAACACTTCACCAAAGGAGACTAGTCTCAACCTGAAGTAAAACTGTAACAGATTTTTACTTTTATGAAGTGGCATGAAACTCATTCTCTCTTTCAACAAATATTAATTGAGCACCTACTGTATACCAAAATCTGTTCTAGGAACTTGGAATATAACAATGAACAAAACAGGTAAAGGTTCCTCCTCTCATGCAACTTCCATTCTAGAGGTGGTAAAACAGAAAATAAACACAATAAATAAGCAAATTATACAGCACAGTAGAAGGTATGTATACCAGAAAAAAAAATAAAAAACAGAGCAAGGTAAGGGGGTCTAAAGGTCTAAGCAGTAATGGGAAAGGCAGGTTGCAGTATTAAATAGGTAGATGGGAGCAGTCAAAGTAGGCCCCATTGAGAAAGTGACATTTTAGCAGACTTACAAGAGATGAAGTTTGCCACGACGTATCTGGAGGGAGAGTATTCAAGGCAAAAGAGATGTGCCAATTAGGCTGGGCATGGTGGCTCAGGCCTGTAATCCCAACACTTTGGGAGGCCGAGGCGGGCAGATCACTTGAGATCAGGAGTTCAAAACCAGCTGGCCAATATGGTGAAACCCCGTTTCTACTAAAAATACAAAAATTAGCCAGGTACGGTGGTGCGTGCCTGTAATCCCAGCTACTTGGGAGGCTGAAGCAAGAGAATCGCTTGAACCCGAGAGGCGGAGGTTGAAGTGAGCCGAGATCACGCCACTGCACTCCAGGCTGGGCAACAGAGCCAGACTCTGTCGCAAAAAAATTAAAAAAGAAATAAAATTAAAAATAAAAATAAAGAAACGCACCAATTCTGGAATGCCAAAGAAACATCAGTAGGCCAATGTGGAAAAAGGAAAGGAGATCAGAGAGGTAATGGGAGTTCAATCCTGTGAAGCCTTAGAGGCCACTGCAATGACTGAGTAAAAGGGGGAACTACTGCAGGGTTTTGGGGTAGGGGAATGATGCTTTTCATCAAGACTTTGATCCCATGAGGATAAATGCATAGTAAACAACATAAGTTACTTACTTCATCTAGATTCCTAAAACGTTCTCTCATTGGAGTTTCTAATTCTTGTTGTATTTGGGCTCTTAGCAATTCCAATTTTTGTGGAGTTAATATCTAATATGTAGAGAAATGCAAACAATATAAAATCACATTAAAATCAAGAATTCTCCATATTTCAAAGCCTCTCTCCTAATTATGACAATGGAATTCATGAAAGTTTTTGCAATATAGTTTTTTTACAGTGATCACTATACAAATAGAATCATCATTTGAAATAATACTTTAAGAATCTCAATTTCAGGCTCTTGGAGATGTCAAAAATTCCATTAACATGAAGTAAAGACAATTACTGATTATTATTGCTATTGTTAGGAATAACTATGTTGGCAGCTAAGACTATCATGTTGTATACAATGGCTAATAGTCTAGTTATTTTCCAAAGCAGGCAAAATAAAGGTGTAACAATTTGTTATACCAAAGAGAACCTTTCAGACTTATTTTCAATTAGAAAAGGCTCATTTTTACTCTCACACTGTACCTAATTTAGGCTTCTCCTTGTCACACTCTTTTATAGAACTCGTATTTTAATAAGTAATTAAATATTTATGTAAGTCCCATGTGGGAAAACACAGTCTTTATTCACCGTTGTATTCCCAATACCTCCCACCAATGTCTGGCACATAGGAACCACTCAACTATTTCATGAATGAAGGAGGAACAAATACTAGTTGTAAAAAAAAAAAAAAAAAATCTAAAGTTTGCATGTATATTAATTTCTATAAAAATGATAATGTTCAGTTTCCTTTTTTATGAAGAGTCCAAATATTGTATTCAAAATATTACATTTTACTGAATGGAGAGCTTACTATATATAAAGCATTGTACAATGCACTGTAACCTACATACCATCCTGTTCTAAGCACATTATATGCATTACTTTATTTAATTCCTACAACAATGCCACAGTATAGCTATGCTGAGGCACACAAGGTATCTAAATAACTTTATAAAGATCACAAAAACTCACATGAAGCACATATCTCCCCATAAAAACTTCAAACTCTGGTGTTAAAAATAACTCATACACACAAATAACTATAAAAGTAGGCAATACAGGCTTACCAGACAGGTAAAAAAGAGAAAACACATTTAGGATAGAAGGCATGACACGTCAAAGGAATGGGAAAACTAAAGCTTATATAGAACCCTTATATAGAAAGCTTATAGAACCCAAACTCAAGCCAGGTAACATTTTAATTTGCCTGGGTGTCAGAGACTGTATGGGAGAAAAGTGATTCTCAAAGGTGAGTTAAAGCCATTTTGAATGGGACCACATTAAGTACTACAGAAAATTTAAAATTGTGGGACCCTATATGCACACTGGTAGAAATATCTAAACACTGTAACATTTCCAAATGCCACCTTGGAGGGCTGCACTCTGGCTGGAAACAAAAGGAAAATTAGGTTGCAGCCAAAGAGTGAAAGGTTCCTGAATACCAGGTTTAGACTCTTATTATTTATTCAGTATTCAATAGTATTTACTTTAAAAATTTATTTTATTTAAAATGAATATATACAATTACATAAATAAAATAATTCAAACAAAAGACTAAAAAGTCTTCTCACTTCAGTAATCCAATTTCCTTTTATTGAAGCAATCATTGTCAATAACTTATGTACCCTTCCTAAAACAATCTACAGATACACAAGCATGTATATCACTTTTGATTTCTATACAAAAAGGATATTGTACATATATTTTTCTGTACCTTATTTATTGAAGGTTTTTAAGCTTAAGAGTGACACTACCATATCTATATTTTACGAAGAAGCAAGATGAATCAAAAGCTTTAGTGGGAGAGTAGCTGTAGCTGTGGGAAGAAGAGGCAGTAAATGGAGCCAAAGAAACCAGACAGAAAGCTCATGTCATAATCTGGTTTACGGTATCAAGTATCAAGTCTGGGTGACAACATCAAGAGTCCAAACTAAGATGAGGTAGCAATTAAAAGGAAGAGATTAATAGGTAAAGCTTACATGGCTCCTGTTTCAAATGATCTAACTTCAAAACTAGGCAAGCAAAACCATGGGAAAATTAAGAAAATCTGAACAAAGGTGGGATATTAAAAGGTATTAATGAATAAGTATTTTAAATATGGCAAAGGTATTGTGATTATGCTTTTAAGACAGACTGCACTGATTTGTTATAGAGATATATACTCAATTATTTGTTGAAAGAATATTATTTGATTCAAAATAATCCAGAAACATTGAGGAAAAAAGTGGAAGTGGGTGGGAGAAAGTAGTAGATAAAACAAGCCTGGCTCAGAATGAATAATTATTAATGCTGGATGATGGGTACATGGGAATGCATTACATGTTTGAGATTTCCAAAACCAAAAGTTAAACTGAAAGTAAAAAGCCTTCCACTTTCAGCCAAGATAGAATAAGAGCCCAGATTCGCTCTCTTGCCTGAAACAAACAAAAGAACAGACAAAAATTAAACAGTTTGCAAGACACTAGACATAAGAAAGCAAAAGGCAGATCCCTGAGAGACACAAAACATAGAAGATAAGCTTTGAGAGTTTTCAGGACCTGGCACCGGAAAGGATACCTATGCAGTCATGAGGGACTCCCTGAGTTGAGGAGATGAAACTGAGCATCCAAGGACAGTGGGGTGGTTAGAGTCCTAAGACAGGGTAGCAGAGAAAAGAGGGCACAGAAAGACAACTATGAAGACCTACAAAAAGTCTTGACTCATTCAGTAGAGTACTGATTAACACATGTGTGCAAGGAAACTACCTAAGGCTAGGCAAATACACACCTGAAAGGATTAGAAGGATGAATACGCAGAGCTCACAAAGACCTAAGAATAGTTTCTGTTCCCCAAAAACAGATTAAAATCCTTTGTTTCATAAAGAAATTGTTATACTACTCAGAAGAGTCTTGCCTCAGTGGTGGGAAATAATTAGCACTACACTAAATACTACTCTGCTCCCACTTAAATCTTAAAAGCAAGACCCAGAAAGATAAAACTGTTTCCAAATAATTTAACTGTGTCCCAAAATAAAGCTCAAGAACATGTATCAGAATATAAAAATATTGGGAGGTGGAGATTGCAGTGAGCTGAGATCACTCCATTGCACTCCAGCCTGTGCAACAAGAGTAAAACTCCGTCTCAAAAACAAAACAAAACAAAACAAAAACAACAACAACAACAACAACAACAAAAATCCAGCATTTTAAAAACAAAGTTCACAGTATCTAACATCCAATAAAAATTTACCAGGCATGCAGAGAAGCATGAGAGAGAGAGAGAGAGTGAGAGTGAGTGTGTGTGTGTGTGGTGGGGGCAGGGGGGATAAACTTAAAACAGGCCCAGAAATGACACAGATGTCATTAAAACTTTATTGTACAGTTATTGTAACTGAATTCCATATGTTCAAAGAACTAGAGAAAAGACTGAACATGTTGGATAGAGATAAAAAGACCAAGGCCGGGCAAGGTGGCTCACGCCTGTAATCCCAGCACTTTGGGAGGCCGAGGCAGGCAGATCACGAGCTCAGGAGATTGAGACCATCCTGGCTAACATGGTGAAACCCCATGTCTACTAACAATAAAAAATTTAAAAATTAACCAGGCGTGGTGGCGGGCACCTATAGTCCCAGCTACTCAGGAGGCTAAGGCAGTAGAATGGTATGAACACAGGAGGCGGAGCTTGCAGTGAGCCAAGATCGCGCCACTGCACTCCAGCCTGGGCGACACAGAGAGACTCTGTCTCAAAACAAAAAAAAAAAAACAAAATTGAGCTTCCAGAGACGAAAACTACAATTTCTGAGATGAAAATTACACTGCATGGAATTAATGGCAGGTTAGATACTGCAGAAGAAAAAATCAATCAATCTGAAAACATGGCAACAGAAACTAACCAAAATGAAGCACAGAGACAAAAAATACTAAAAATAAATTAATAAACAACATCAGCAAGCTATGGCAGAACTTTAAGTGGTCTAATATTAGAATGTAATTAAGAGTCTCCAAAGGAGGTGAAAGAGGAGAAAGAAAATATTTTTAGAAGTAATCTCCAAAAATTTTCAGTTTGATAAAAACTGTAAACCCATAGACCTATGGAACTCAATAAACCCCAAGCACTACAGATATAAAAAAAACTGCAAAGTATGTCAATCAAATTGCTTAAAACCAGCAATAAAGAGAACAGCAGCCAAAAAACCAGACAAAGTGCACTGCAAAGAACAAAGATAACCTGTGCTCACTACCCTGTAGAGTGATGTAGCTGCACAATATCCATGCAGCTTCTAGCATTATATGTTCAATTACATCACAGATGCCTCTTGGAAACAACAGTGCTTTAAATCCTGTAATGGTGTGCACCTCACCACTGGCCTGTGCAATCTAATAGCATACAACAGTTTAGGGGTCTTCTGATCTGAGGTCTCTGACAAAGCATCTCTAACTTTTTCTTACCTCCTAGGAATCTTATTAAAAACAAATACACACATAATAAATTCTCTCTTCCTCTGTCTCTCCCCATCTCTCCCTCTCCTATCCCCTATACCTCCAAAGCACACATAAACCAAGACACCGACTGAATTAGAGGATTTTTCCCATCCCATTTTAGGAAAAAATATTCTCTCTTAGGCTACTTTTTGTTTGTTTGTTTGTTTTGGAGAGAGAAAGAGTCTCGCTCTGTCGCCCAGGCTGGGGTGCAGTGGCACGATCTTGGCTCACTGCAACCTCCGCCTCCAGGTTCAAACAATTCTCATGCCTCACCCTCCTGAGCAGCTGGGAAGACAAGCATGTACCACTACACCCAGCTAATATTTGTATTTTCAATGGAGACAGGGTTTCACCATGTTGGCCAGGCTGGTCTCGAACTCCTGACCTCAGGTGATCCACACAACTCGGCCTCCCAAAGATCTGGGATTAGTCATGAGCCACTGCACCCAGCAGTGTCTTAGACTTCTAATGGAATATTGCCACTACTTGTCTCCAAAGAAACATAAGAATGCTTTATCATACAACAGTCTAGGTGTCATTACCTATTTTAAATCTATAAAAACAAATCTTTAACACTGCAGTACTTGCCATTTAATAATCTAAAATAGGCCAATCTTTTACAAAGAATACTTTAAGGCGGCAAATACTGCTATGCCAAAAATTCTTAATAAATTAATGACTGAAACTGAGTATTATACTTTGATCTGAGCTTCCCAGCAGCCAAAACAAAATGGGAACCTGTATACTAGGTTATACAGTTTTCATTAGCACAAAAAGAGTATATTAATCATTGGTAAAGTAATTTCCGTTTTATTAGAATATATCAAATGATCCCCATATTTAAAAAGGTTTTGCTAACATGGTACATAGTAACACAATAACAACATGTACTGACCACTTACTAGATCAAAGTACCATACTAATACTTTTTTTTGAGTCAGGGTCTCGCGCTGTTGCCCAGGGTAAAGTGTGGTGGTGTAACCATGGCTCCCTGAAGCCTCAAACTCCTAGGCTCAAACAAGTCTCCTGACTCAGCCTCTCTAGTAGCTGGGACTACAGGTGCATGCCACTATGTCAGGCTAACTTATTTTACTTTACTTTTTAGAGACAGAGTTACCCAGTTACGTTACCCAGGCTGGTTTCAAACTCCTAGCCTCAAGTGATCCTCCTGCCTCCTGAAGTTCTCAAGGTGGGAGCCACCATGCTCAGCCTGAACTAACACTTTCTATGCACTGTCTCATTTCATCCTTACAGTCATCCTATGAGCTAGGCACTATTATCATTACCATTCACTACTGATGCAGAAATGTTCTTTAAATGAATATCTCTTATATCTTTTTCCTATAAAAGCCAAAGAGATGACATTAAATCTTAGAAAAAGCATTTTTGTAGGCAGACTAGATAATGCACGTATATTTTAAAAATAATCATCTTTCATAAACCTTCATTGAAATATTTCTTGATCTTTGTTGAATTTACTTTTCTAAACTTACAATTTGCGCAAATTGCAAGCATCCATTAAACAAATAGCTAAATTGCTTCAAAATGTGTGTTTATATGTATACATGATGTTTCTTTAGCTTATTTTTGCCAAATAAATATCACACAGAAACTAGATATGTTTATCTTAAAAAACAGAAGCCTTACTAGATATGTTTATCTTAAAAAACAGAAGCCTTACTAGATAAATTATATTTGTGAGCAAACATTTGGGAAGTTTTCACATGGAGGAACATCCAAAGTTACCAACAGGGAGGCTATAGGGTAGATGACTTCATTTTAATAGGAGAGAGAAAATGTTTAACATACTTTAATCTATAAATACAATTGGATCACTTTAAAAAGTTCACCAGGTTCTCTAGCACTGAAAGCACTGAAGCAGAAAATGAAGAGAGTCCTGTCTGAAAGATGTTCTAAAAAGGATTCTGCTTTGGACAGTGTATTCGTTTCCTAGGTTGCCATAATAAAATACCAGAAACGACGCAGCTTTAAATAACAGAAGTTTGTTCTTTCACAGTTTTGGAGGCTATTAGTCTGAAATCAAGGTGTGTTGACAGGCCTTGCTCCCCCTAAAATCTGCAGGGAAGAAACTTTCCTTGCCTCTTTCTAGCTTCTGGAGCACTTAAATCTCTGCCTCCACCATCACATAGTGCTCCTCTCTACCCCATCTGTCTCCATCTCTCTTCTCCTCTTTTTTTAAGGACACCAGTAATATTGAGTTAAAGGCTCATCATACTCCAATATGACCTCATCAGCTTAACTAATTACATCTGTAATGAACCTACATCCAAATAAGGTCACCTTCTGAGGTACTAGGAGTTAGGACTTCAACATATCCTGGTTGGGGATACAACTCAACCCATAATAGATTCAAAGAAAAACTAGATGATTACCAACTCTAAGATGCTGAGGCTGTAGGTATGTTTGACACAGACAGTGCAATATATGAACAACAATCCCAATTCATTCATTTATTTCAATTTTTCACGTCATTCATTCAACAAATAGATGTTTACTAGGCATTATCCTAAACACTGAAGACACACTGAAAAAAAGTTCCTGCCTTCATGGAGCCTGAATTCAAATAAACATGTCATAATCTATGAATATTTACTATGTGGAAAGTATGGCAGTAAAAATGTAGATGTTATCTCATTAGTCCTCACAACTCTTGTTAAGCAGAAACTTTTATCCGCTTTACCACATGAGAAAACTAGGCATAGAGACATAGTTACTTGTTGAAGTTATCATCTTCTGGAAGAACTGTCCCTTTTTTTTCATTATAAACATCCTTTTTATCTTTAGTGATACTCTTTGTCTGGAAGTCTCTTTTATCTGAATTAATATAACTACTCCAGCCTTCTGGATGTGCTTTACTTACTTTCTGGATGTGCTTGGTACAAATAATCACATTTAGATGTCACTCTCATGAAACAGAATAATTAAATTTGCAATACCTGAAGAATCTCTCAAATATCTTGGGTTCAGCATTCACAGCTTCCACTCATACAGGGCTCTAAATTTTTGCAAAACAAATTAATGCATTGATTCTACAGGCTTAAATTACATTTCCCTCTTCGATTTACATTTCTGAGGTTTATATTTGTATATTTAAATGTCCTAAATATACCTAGGAATGAAACAGTGAGCATAGTGGAGGCTCCAAGCCAGGCTTAGTGGTGTTCCCAGCAATGGTAGATTTGAAAAAGTTATTGAATGACAAACTTACAAGGCTTCTGTCAAAGGATATCTAAGAGTTGGGTGATATGCCAGACTAGGTGACTTGAAAGATGCCTTCTTACTCTATGAACTTCTGACTCTAATATTAATAATACCTTATTATTTGTACCAATCAGATTGTTAGGCAGAAATAAATAGCTGGTGCTCTTCAGAGATTAAATAAATATGGGAAAATATTATTCGTGAGAACCTACTAATCTGAAATTTACAGGAAATTTGACTGGAGTTTAAAGTCTGGCTTTGCTCAATTTTCCAGACAAATGAAAAAATGAATAGCGTGAAAATGATCTAAAGAAACTGTACTTCAGCACTTTGGAGACAACTATCTTTTGCTTTACAAACCCATTTGTGTTACAATGTACACATAAATTATGTTCACATACTGTTTTTACAGTCTCTTTTAAGAAGCTCTTTAAGAATAGCTGTCCTTTTTTAGCTTTCAGTTATAATGCATATACAAATACTAGTAACTCTTTTAAAAAAATTCTTTAATTCTGAATTTTTATCAATTCAAACTCACTTTTTCCCTAATTATTCTTAATGGTTAAATATTATTTATATCAGAATAGGCAATATAATACCAATTTACATAAAATAACAGTTTCATGGCTCCCTTACATGGTAGCTAACATTCTAAAATATATGAAAGAAGATTAAATTGTACCACTTGGAGATACAGCAAAGTAATCATTAAGGATATAGACAGAAATTGCCATATTCACCAAAACTACTTACTTCCACTACGTATCTGACTGCTTTTATACTAACTCAAAACTCAAATATATTTTCTCACCTGCAGTTTCATTTCTTCTAAATCTTTAGTTTTCTCTACTAATTCTCCTCTTAGTTCTTCAAGCAGGAGCTGAAGTTTTTCCTGCTGAGTTTGCTTTTCATTAAACAGGTGCTTGAGTTCATTTTGTAACTTTACATGTTCATTCTGCAACCTGGTTTTTTTTAAAGAGAATTCAATTTTGAGTAAATCCTTTCTTTCTAATTGCATTACTTTATGTAAAGTCAATCAACACCACAGAAAAACAAGACCAATATCACACATTCCTTTAAACCCACAAGTATCTTTTATTTACAGAGTTTCATTTAATTATTAACACTGTAGTTTTGGAATGCAATTTTACTTTGGTGGGAGATGGGGAACACATTTAGCCATCTGGATACATTTAATCTTATACGTCCTGCTACTTTCAAAATAAGGCTTATAAATTCATAACCCACTTGATATCATACTTAGTTTGGAACAAAGTAATTTTAAAGTAAAAATTTTACTATATTAAAAAAGTTTTAAATGTATACATTGCAAAATAACAAAATTATACTATATTCTATAGCAAACATTCAGCCAAGATAATGCCAATAACTTTTTAAAACCAAACCCCACTTCTAGATTTAAGTAATTTACCTTGTGTGTTCAGCCTTCAGTGTCTGATAATTAGCTTTATGATGCTCACATCGTAACCTTTCATCAATTAACATTTTCTGGAACTCCGACTGAGAACCTGTCAATCCACTGTCTCCACCAGGAGGAAAATTATTGGGAAAAGTGTCCATATCGGTAAATGTGCTGACAACCATGTAAAAATAAGTTTTGGCTTTCTTACTGTTTTAGTTTTCTTTCCAAGGGTATTTCCCACTCCTTTCTTGCTAAGGCAGAATCTCAGGAAGCCAAATTATACCTGCACAGAGAAATAAACATAATTACATAATTTGCGATCAGTAAACGTAAGCCTCCTTTAATGTTACATATTTTTATCACTTTTATTATTCTTTTTTTTTTCTTTTTTTTTTTTTTTTGAGAGGAGTCTGCTCTGTTGCCCAGGCTAGAGTGCAATGGTGTGATCTCGGCTCACTGCAACCTCCACTCCCAAGTTCAAGCAATTCTCCTGCCTCAGCTTCCTGAATAGCTGGGATTACAGGCGCCTGCCACCATACCCGGCTAATTTTTTTTTTTTTTTGAGACGGAGTCTCGCTCGTTCGCCCAGGCTGGAGTACAGTGGCGCTATCTCGACTCACTGCAACCTCCGCCTCCCGGGTTCACGCCATTCTCCTGCCTCAGCCTCCCGAGTAGCTGGGACTACAGGAGCCCGCCACCACGCTCGGCTAATTTTTTGTATTTTTAGTAGAGACAGGGTTTCACCATGCTGGCTAAGCTGGTCTCGAACTCCTGACATCAGGCATTCTGCCTGCCTCGGCCTCCCAAAGTGCTGGGATTACAGGCGTGAGCCACCACGCTCAGCCTCTCCTTATCATTTTTATTACAAAGCCCAATTCTCAGATTTTAATTTGTTCATAAAACAAAATGCAAATATAAAGCTGAATCACACCTTGAACAATTTTCTTTACCTCCATGCAGCTTCTATGCTTCTATGACCATCAAAATCACATCTTCAAGTATTAACCTAGCTCCACTAGAAGCAGACTTTCCCAGTTTAGGTAGTCTTAAATTCACAAACCAGAGTCATGTTTCCTGAAGCTACCACAGTAAGCTTCAAGTATAGATCCTGGTATAAAATCCATACTCCCAAATCAGAGGAAAAGCTATTTGGAACTTGGTAACTGGCTAGGGAGAATCAAGGTCTTCAAAAGGTGACCTTCAGCAAGTAACTATGCCTATGATTAATGCTTTGAAGGGTCTTTTACTTGACACAAGGCAAGCTGCACCCAGACTACAGATTCACATGAGAAATTTGTCAACACATAAATATTGATCAACTCCTATGTGTTATACACTGTGTTAAGAAAACTAAATCTCACCTATCTCCAAAAGCACTGACTCAGTATTACAAACGTCACTGTTTATTTCATCTAGAAATAAAAAATGATGTTTCAAAGTGTTCTTATAACTAAGAACAAAAATTTTAATTAAAATAGTTGTCTCCTTTAATTTCTTTCTCTAGTCCCATAATACATACACACACACACACACACACACACACACACACACACACACATACATACATATTTTTTTCCTGATAGAATCTTCCTTAGCCATGGGTTATTACAAATCACTTCTTATAACAAAAAAAAATCTTTGTCCTATGCAAACCGACCATTAAATTATTCAGCCTTGCTTGAATTATACCATCTCTGATAAATTAGTGTGATATCTACGTATTACTTAAGACAATCTTTAAACTATAATTGCAGTTGTTTTGGTTTCCTCTGAAATTATATTTTAATACAGAGGGAAAAGTCCCTCAAGAACACTATACTCCTTACTCTTAGATTTAACACGCACTGGGATTCAATCTTTGTAAATACAGAATGCGCTATCTGTAGCAGCTACCACAAAATTATCCTGCCAAAAGTACACATTTGCCAAGGAATTAATGAATTGCATCATAAAACTGGCATTCAATTTTTACTCTACTGTGGGTAAAATGCTATCAAATAGAATCTCATGCTCCAAAGAAATCTTTCATGAAAGGAAGAGTCAACTGATGTGGCAAACTTCACTGTTGTCTCATTTTAAGAAACTGCTACAGCCATCCCAACCTTCAGCAACCATCTAAATAGTTAGCAGCCATCAGCAGAAAGGCCAGACCCTTCACCTGCTAATAGATGATTACTCACTGAAGGCTCAGGTGATCAATAGCATTTTTTAGCAACAAAGTACTTTCCAATTAAGGTATCTACATTTTAAAGACATAATTATATTGTAAACTTAACAGACTACAGTATACTGTAAACATAACTTTTCCATGCACTGAGAAACCAGAAAATTCTTGTGACTTGTTTTATTGCAGTAGCAATCCAAATAAGTTAAAATAAGGAAACACTAATTCCTAAATGTAAGTTTAGATTTACTCTTGACTTCTAAAGCTTTACAGGAAGAAAAAATATTTGGGGGTTAATAAATATGTTTGGTTCCACATTAAAAATTATTCTGTGGAAAAAATACATTTTTAAAGATTATAAAATGTGTCTTTATAAAATGTTGATATGTGACAGCTCAAAATTGCTTACTTCCTAGGTTTTCACTAAAAGTTAAGATTACTAAGATTTAACTAAAAATTAAGATTGCTAAGAGTTAAAATTCTAGTTAATACATAGAATTCTGTATGCAAAGGGTACAAGAAAAAAACAAAATTTGTTTTTGGTGAAAAAAGTGTTTTAAATGGCATAAAAATGTGTTTTTATTTAAAAAGTAATTTGTCTAATTCAGAAGTTATTGAAAGATTATTTCAAAATATGAATTTGGAAAAACATGAAAACAAGGCAGAAAGGAACAAGTGAAAAACAGACACAAAAAACTATGAGAATGTATTTTTGGTAAGAAAAGAGAATGACAGTAATTTTTGTATAAAAAAACTTATGTGGTTGAAATGATAGAAAAAAAGGGAAGTAAATTTTTGTCCTAAGGTAAAATGATTGTTTCAGTATAAACAAGAGAAATATAAGACAAAACTAAAGGACTGAGCAAGCTGTAGAAGGTCTGGGCAAATTATGAAAGGTTTGTGAGAGATGAATCTTATGAAAGAAATTTTATTTGTGAACAAATTGGCTAAAATGAAAAGTAAATTGTTTATAGGTTTGTCTTAAAATTGAGTCCTCATATCAAAAGTACACTGATACAACACTAAAATTTGATCTTCTCTTTTAAAACAAGATTTTCTTATTGATTGCTCTCAATGAAAAAATAATAAAAGTAGATTTTAAAAGGCAAAAAACCCCCACTATTTAAAATGGAGAGAGAAATTAATAATGATAAAGGTTAAATACACCAGAAAGATGTGACAATTTTAAATTTACATGCACTTACTATGGCCACTAAATAGTAAGGCAGAAGTTGTCAAAACTATAAGGAGAAATAGACAAATTCACAATGATAGGAGGAGAATTTCACCACTATTCTTGGTAACTAATGGGACAAGAAGATTTAAAAAAATAATCAGTAAGAACACAGATAATTTAAACAACACAATTAACCATGCTGACCTAACTGACATATGGAAGACTATACCCTGTAACTACAGAATACACACTCCTCACAAGTATACACATAACATTTATAAATGTTGACCACATGCCAGGTATTTAAAAAAAATTTCAAACATTTTAAAAGACCAAGATCATACAAGATACCTTCTCTGACCACAATGCTATTAAACTAAACTCAATACAAAAAATAATCAGAAAAGCCACATATGCTTACAAAGTAAGAAATACATTTCTAAATAACTTATGAATCAAAGAAAAGGTCAAAATAGAAATTAGAAAATATGTAGTACTAAATGAAAATTGATACTCCATTTTAAAACTTATGGAATAAAGGTTTCTACTTTGAGGAAGATGGAACAGATATACATTTTCCTTTTATACTCATTAATATAACTAAGAGTCCTGGATTTAGGTATATGACAAACGTAAGACTCTGAATAATGGAGACTAGAAGGCTGACTAGCTATGGACCTGAGAATGTAAGGACAAATACAGTGGTGAGTTTATTTCCCTGGGTTTTCTTTTTCATATATCTCAGACACAGAGCTGAAGAAACTGGCAACCAGGAAACACCAATTAATTCAGACAAATAAGTCTTGAACAAAAAAGCCTACTCTCTAGCCAAAGGAACAAAAAAGAGGGAGCCTAGCAAGATAATATGTAGACAATTACAATCTACTCTATCCAAATACCATACACACACACACACACACACACAAAAAAAAAAAAACTGTAGTTCCACCCCCATCCACACAAGCAAAGATTAGGTGGAAGCCAAGCTAGGCTGTAATAAAATACCCTAATACTGGGCCAAGATGGTGCACAAGAAGGCTCACCAGAAAACAGAAACTTCCATTGCTTCCTGAACCGTAATAAAGCTCAATGATCCTGCAATGTCAGAGGAGACCACATGGAAAACCTAAACTTTCACCCCCCACCAAGAGTAACAAAGAGGACCTCCCTCACCCCACTGAAATGCTGGCACAGAAGGCCTAGTGGAGACTTATGACAGGCAGAACCACCAACAGTAATGAGGCTACCCTCTCCAGGGTATCAGGGAAGATCACATGGGGAGCCAGAACTACAGCTACCTGGCAATAACAAAGACCCCTCCCGCAACCCCCCTCCCAAAAAAAACTAAGGTGTCAACAGAGGCCATCTTAGAAACCTCGACTTGCTAGGCACTATGGCTTGTGACTGCAAATCCCAGCCACTCAGAAAGTGAGGTGGGAGGATTGGTTGAGACCAGGAGTTCGAGACCAGCCTGGGCAACACAGTGAGACCTTGTCTCAAAAACAAACAAAAAAAAGTCATTAGCTAGGCATGGTGGCATGTGCCTATATGCCCAGGTACTTGGGAGGCTAAGGTAGGAGGATTGCTTAAGCCCAGTTCAAGGCTGCAGTGAGCTATGATTATGCCACCACACTCTAGCCCAGGCAACAAAGCAAGATTCCCACCTCTTAAAAAAAAACAAAAACACAAACAAAAAAACCTTGTACTTCCATCTCCACCTGGCAAAAACAAGGTAGTATGCCCTCTTTCCTCTACCAGAAAAGTGTCAGAAAAAGCCAGCTAAAACAAAAAGTTTAGATAGAATCCACAATATTATAATATCCCAAATGTCCAAGTTTCGATAGAGAACCACTGGTCGGCCAGGCACAGTGGCTTACACCTGTAATCCCAGCACTTTGGGAGGCCGAGGCAGGTGGATCACCTGAGGTCAGGAGTTCGAGACCAGCCTGGCCAACATGGCAAAACCCCATCTCTACTAAAAATACAAAAATTAGCAGGGTGTGGTGGTGCACGTCTGTCATCTCAGCTACTCAGGAGGCTGAGGCAGGAGAACGCTTGAACCCAGGAGGCAGGGGTTGCAGTGAGCTGTGATCACACCACAGCACTCCCGCCTGGGCAACAGAGGAAGACTCCATCTCAAAAATACATACATACATACATACATACATACATTAAAAAAAGAAATCCACTGATCATATCAAGAATGAAGATTTCAAACTGAATGAAAAAAGATAACAAGCCAACACTATGATGACAGGAATGTTATGGTTATCTGACAAAGACTTTAAAGCACTGATGATAAAAATGCTTAAACAAACAATGACAAACAAGCTTGAAATAAATGAAAAGAGGGTCACAGCAAAGAAATACAAGTCTCAGAAAAGAAGGTAAAAAGAAGAACCAAGTGGAAATTTTAAAACTGAAAAATACGGCTAAGCCTGGTGGCTCATGCCTGTAATCCTAGCACTTTGGGAGGCTGAGGCAGGTGGGTTACTTGAGGCCAGGAGTTCGAGATCAGCCTGGCCAACATGGTGAAACCCTGTCTCTACTAAAAACACAAAAATTAGCCAGGTGATGTGGCATGCGCCTGTAGTCCAGCTACTCAGGAGGCTGAGGCAGGAGAACTGCTTGAATCTGGGAGGCAGAGGCTGCAGTGAGCCAAGATTGTGTCACTGCACTCCAGCCTGGGTGACAGACTGAGACTCTGTCTTTAAAAAGAAAAGAAAAAAATACAATGACCAAAATAAAAATATTAGATGAGCTCATCAGCAGAAATAGAGAGGAAGAGGAAAAGAATTAATGCACTGGGAAGATACAACTACAGAAATTACTCGGCTGAACAATAGACAGAAAATAGACATACAAAATAAATAAGCAGCTCAGGGACTGTCAGAACTAACAAAAAATACCTACCATTCCTGTGCTTGGTGTATGATTCCATTTATATGAAATATCCAGAATAGATAAATACATAGAAGGTAGGCTGATGATTTCCAGGGACTAAGGGAATGGGGAAATGGGAGTTGACTGCTTAATGGTTACAAGGTTTTCTTTGATGTGGTAAAATGTTTTGGAACTAGATAATGGTAGTTGTTACGCAATGCTGTGAATGTAATAAATGCCACTAAATTATATACTTTAAAATAGTTAATGTTATGCTATATTAATTTCACCTCAATAAAAAAAGAGAAAAATAAACCTAGCAAACTAGAAACTTAAAAGTGCATCAATCTCATCAAAGGTGTATATAAAAAGAGTATTTTAAAACACCACACCTGACTTTAAAATCTTAAAACATCTTTTTCTGAGAGTGTGATCAAAACAAGAAAGTCCATTATTGCTACTTTTATTCAATATTGTATTGAAGAACTAGAACAAAACAAAGGAATAGAAGGTATAAAAACTAAAAAAAAAAAATCTTTATATACACATGTTCTGATTGTGTATGTAGAAAATCTAAACAAATTTACAGAAAAATAATTAGAAAAAGCAAGTTAGCAAGATTGGCAGATAGAGCAATATACAAAAATTAATTGCATTCCATATGCCAGCAACAAAATATTTTTTATTTTTTTCAATAGTGATATTCTTTAACAACAATGTATGTTTAAAGACATTCTTAATAATATAAAAAATATCAAAAACCTAGGTAAAAAGATGTGCAAACTATTTATTATAGGAAAACTGTGGCTAGCTACTGAAACAAACTAAAAAAGACCTAATAGAGATATGGACTAGGTGTATGGATTAGAAAACATTCTAAAGAGACAAATTCTCCCCAATCTACAGATGATGTGATATCAATTAATATCCAAATGAGTGTGTCTCTATGTGTGAGAAACTTAACATGCTGATTCAAAAATTTATGTGGAAATACAAAAGACAGGCCAACAACAGTGGAAATGATTTTAAAGAAAAAAATGAGAAGACTTTACTATATATCAGTACTTACTACAAATATACAGTAATTAAGATGGTATAGTATGCCATTGGCTTAATTATAGACAAAGAGACCAATAAAACAGGACACAGCCCATAAACTGACCTACCCATATAAGATAATTTAGAACAAAGGTGGTTTTGCTGAACCGTAAGGAGAAGAGAGTCTTCAATAAAGGCCACTGGGACAACTAGATAACCTTGTAGAAAAAAAGAAACTTGCGCCTTTCTTTTTATTACACACTAAAATTAATTCTAGTTGGACTGAAGATCTAAATGTGAAAAGCAGAAGCACAAAGTTGCCACAATATAGGAAAAAATATTCAGTAACTCAAGGCAGGAAAAATAGCACGTCTAAAATCTAAAAGGTGATTCCCAGATAAATAATGAGACCGAGCACCTTTTCTTTGTTTACTGGCCATTTAGATATCTTCTTTTATAAAATATCCATTTGCATCTTTTGCCCAATTTTTTCTATTGAATTGTCTTTTCAATTACTAATTTGTAAAAATTATTCATAATATTTAAATCTCAATGAGAAAACCAAAAAGACTGACGATAAGTCTGGAGAGGAGAGGAAGCAAAGGTTGTAGTGTAAACTGGCATATTCACTTTGGGAAAAAAACTAGCATTATCTACTAAGGTTAAAAAAAAATACATATACTATGACTCAGTAATTCCTCTCCTGGGCATATATCCACTTGAAATGTGGTATACACAGGTCCACAAAAAGATTTATATGATACTGTTCATAGCAGTATTATTCCTAACAACTGAAACCTAGAAACAAATCCAATGACCATCAACAGTTGAAGAAACGAATAGTGGTATAATGGAACTAGCACTATACTGCAATAAAAATAAGCTATAGATCAAGTTTGTCCAACCTGTAGCCCATGGGCCACATACAGCCTATGATGGCTTTGAACGCAGCCCAATACAAATTCATAAACTTTCTTAAAACCTTATGAGAGTTTGTTTTGCATGGTTTTTTTTGTTTTGTTTTGTTTTTTAGTTCATCAGCTTTCGTTACTGTTAGTGTATTTTATGTGTGGCCCAAGATAATTCTTCTTCCAGTGTGGCCCAGGGAAGCCGAAAGACTGGACACCCCTGCTATAGATACTCTATATATATAGGGTGAATATTACAGACATATTGTCCAGAAGAAGCCAAACATAAAAGAATATACACTAAATTATTACAAATAGATTATTACAAATATATAAAGTTTAAAAATTAAATACAAGCACTATAGTATATAGGGGATACATGCTTAGGTATAAGCATGTATAAAGAAAGGAACTATATTATCATTAAAGTCAGGAAAATATTACTTGATGAGGCTAGTAACGTTCTACTTCTTGATTTTTGTGGATATATGGAGGTTTGCTTTGTAACTTGCTTTGTAAATCACTCAGCTGTACATTGTTGTGTACTTTTCTATATGTATATTATAATTCATAATTTTTTTTGAGACATTCTCATTCTGTCATCCACGCTGGAGTGCAATGGCATGATCACAGCTTACTGCACCATCAATCTCCCAAGCTCAAGTCACCTCAGTCTCCCAAGTAGCTGGTACTACAGGCACATGTCATTAGGCCTGGCTTTTTAAATTTTTTTTATTTATTTTAATTTTTATTTTTATTTTGTAGAGACAAGGTCCCACTATGTTGCCCAGGCTTGGCTTGAACTCCCACACTCAAGCCATCCTCCCACCTTGACCTGCTAAAATGTTAGGATTACAGGAATGAGCCACTGCAACCAACCTTATAATTCACAATTTTTTAAAAAGGGACTTAGAAGGGAGAGTAATTCAAAAATTGGGCTCAGCATCATGTCAAGGACTGTAGTCCTTTTCATTTTTCTTCCAACAAATCCTGTTGGCTTAATTCTCCTCATGGTTGTGAGGCTACCACATGGATATGTAATATTCATTTTTTAAAAATTTATTCTACTATTTCTCCTTTATTCATGTGCTTGTTTATAGTCCTTTAAGTAAAATTTACACATAATGAAATGCACAAATATTATCTCCATGCATCACTTAACAAGGATATGCTCTGATAAACTCATTGTTAAGTAATTTCATTGTTGTGTGAACATCAAAGAATGTACGGTACTTACACAAACCTAGATGATATCGCCTATTATACACCTAAGATATATGGTATATAGCCTATTGCTTGTAGGCTACAAACCTGTACAACATGTTACTGTACTAAATATTGGAGGCAACTGTACAAAATGAAGTAGAGGTTCCTCTTCAAAGGGACTTTCCTTCCAGTCTAATTGAGAATAAATAGTAGCCTCTCTTAGAAGCAAAATTTACTCAAAGACCTGTGGTAATATTCTTAAATATCTGCTAGCCATAATAAAGAAACCAATATGCTTTGTGTGCTTAGCCCCCACCTTTTGGCCTAGATATTTGCCCTGGCATGCCTATATAGGCCCAAGCAAGCATTAGGTTATAGCCTGTTTCTCTTCCTTATTTGGAGGTGTTTTGGCCTTTCTCAGCATTCCACAAGTTACTTCCTCCTTTCCTTTGTTCTCCCCTACCTTTACCTCTTTTGGGAGGTTCTAAGTTGCTAGCCAATCAGGACAAGAACAGAATGTGAAGTCCCGTTCCAGCCAATGGAAACTGGACACAGCCATAGCATGGACGCATTAGATTATAAATGACCCTGTCTCCTTTGTTTGTATGTGCTCTCATGGCAAGACTGCTAGTGAGTGGCACCCTTTCTGCAGAAAGTAAATTAGCCTTGCTGGGAGATCCTTTATCATAGTGTTGATTTCCGCGACACTGAATACCCATTTCCAACAGCAACTGTAACACAAATCACTAGGCAATAGAAATTTTTTAGCTCCATTATAATCTTATGGTACCACTGTTGTGTATGTGGTTATATGCAGCACATGAATGCACACAATTTCATGAGTTCACAAAAGGAAGAATTCAAGAAAGCCTCAATTTCATCAAGATATAAAACAGTCCCATCACTCCAGAAAGTTCCTTCATACTCCTTCCCCATCACCCCACCCACAAGAGGCAACCACTTTTGTGGTTATTCTCACCATAGCTCCACCTGATCCAGAACATATTAAAGTGAAATCATACAGTACGTACTCTCATGTATTTGCCTTGTTTCACCCAAATAGCTGTGAGATTCACCTATGTTTTTGTGTATCTCAGTAGTCTGTTCCTTTTTAAGGCTAAATAGCATTTCATCATTTAAATATAACACATATTGTTTATCCATTCTCCTGCTGATGCGCATTTGGTTGTTTCTGGTTACAATGAATATAGCTGCTATGAATATTCTTGTACAAGACTTTCTGTGGACACATTTTCAGTTTGGGGGTGGGTGGTGGTAAACATTTAAGAGTGGAATTGCTGGGTCATGGAGCAGGTTTATATTTAACTTTGTGTAAGAAACTGCCAAATCTTTTTCCAACGTGGTTGTACCATTTTCTATTCCAACCAAAAACATATGAGAATTTTTTTTTTTTTCTGAGATGGAGTTTCACTCTTGTTGCCCAGGCTGGAGTGCAATGGCGCAATCTCAGTTCATCACAGCCTCTGCCTCCTAGGTTCAAGTGATTCTCCTGCCTCCACCTCCCAAGTAGCTGGGATTACAGGCATGTGCCAGCACACCCGGCTGATTTTGTATTTTTAGTAGAGATGGGGTTTCTCCATGTTGGTCAGGCTGGTCTTGAATTCCCGACATCAAGTGATCCGCCCATCTCAGCCTCCCAAAGTACTGGGATTACAGGTGTGAGCCACCATGTCCAGCCAACATATTGAGAATTCTGTTTGCGCCACATTTTTCCCAATACCTTGTAGCTGCACCAGACCAATCTGGTTCAACTTTTTTTTTTTTTTTTTGCAAAAGAAAAAAAGTTTTTTTGATCTCCTTGAATGTAGCACACAAAAAAAGTGATGGCTCCCCCAGGCTCCATCAGCAACAGTAAAGGGCAGGAACATAGAGATTTCTTTTTCCAGGCCCAGGCCTGTGAAAAACGATGGCTAAGTGTTAGTCCTTAGCAGGGCCGACGGATGGTCTCCATTCCTGGTTAACCCTCTGGAATTTGGGAGCATGAGTATCTCCAAGAATTCATTTCTACTCAGTAAAGATGGGGAGGGGAATCCCACTGTTACTTGTTGAACTGGAAAGAATAGACCCCATGCTCTGAGGGTGTGTCCACTGCCACTTGGTTCTGTTGGCCGCTGCTCTCCTCGACTGAAACACTGGAAGGAAGGCACAGGGGTGTACTGGGAGATGTAAGCTCCTTGCATAGCTGCAGCCGTCAGCATATACATGCCTGTGCTGCTGAGGCAGAGATGGCCCAGTTGCTGGGTAAGGGGTCCCATCATGGAGGCAGGCTGGAGAGAAATGGGATGGTCCATCCCTGGTGTCAGAACTGAACCTGAAGGCTGCATGAGGTATGAATGGTGGTGCATCCAGGATGGGTTAGGTACTTGTAGAGGAGATGTCTGAGTCACTCTCTGATACGAAGACACAGGAGAGGAAAGGTATGGGGAGAGTGCAGACCGAGCAAGCATCCTGTTGGGGGTGATGTTATAAGGGGCTGGGTAAAACCCATTCTGAAGAGCTGTGGTGGGGTCATAGGTCAAGGCCATGATGCCCATGTCTCCATTCCTTGGCCAAGCCCGTCCATTTTGCACAAATATTCCTTGGTTCTGTCGTTTCTTTGGCCCGCCATCAGCAAATTTGCAAAGCAAGGGATCGGATGGGGCTGGTACTCCAGGGGGTGTCTTAATATATTTTCCATTAAAGTGGGTGATGATGGCTTCACACTTCTCTGTGGACTCCATCCTTGCAAAGCCAACACCTCTGCTGGTCCCACTGGTATCTCGAAGGATACGGGTGGAGATAACCTGGCCAAAGGGCTTCAGCATCCCCTCCAGTTCCTGCTCATCCATTGACAGTGGGAGGTTTGAGATGTATAAATTTGTGGGGTCCTGTTCCTGTTGCTTTACCATCTGTGCCTGTACACCACTGGCCTTCAGTGCTGTTACAGCTTTCTGTGCTGCTGAAGGGCTGTCAAAATCTACAAAGCCATAGCCTTTACATTTGTTTGTGGTCTTGTCCAGTACGGCCTTAGTGGAAACAATCTTGCCATATGGCTGACACAGCTTGACAAGATCTTGGTCAGTAGTGCCTGGTTGCAATCCTCGGATGTATAGGTTGGTTTTGCTCAGCTGGTCATTTCCATTGCTTCCACTACTGCTGTTAGGTGTACTGTTGCTTGGGCTAGGTGGTGCCATCTGCTGAGCCAATGACACATATGGCTTCTTGTTGTTTCTATTGTAGCCAAAAGTAGAAATCCCGGGCCTGGAAGTCACGGATAGCAGCATTTTCTCTTTAATGTTAGGGAACGAGTGAGAGAGAGAGAGAGAGAGAAAGGGAGGGGGTAAGAAAGACGGGGAGGGAGGGAGGAGGGGATCGAGGGAAAGGGGGAGAGGGAGGGAGGAAAAAAGGGAGGGGGAGGAGAAAGGAGGAGAAAAGGAGCAGGAGGAGAGAGATGAAGGGGGGCTGCCTCTGGTTCAACTTTTATGTAATAAATTGTGAGTTATTTTTCAGCTGCCATGGACCCTCAGCTCACATAACCTGAGCATGCTCAGATGAGCCAAGACTGCAATCTCAGGAGGAACCTAAGTGCTTGGACCAAGAAATGGGGACTGAATTAAGAAGCAGACATTGCATGGCAGGATCCAGGATCCAATCAGATCAAGCTCTGGCATCATCCCATGGAGGGATCCTGTCAGATCATGCCTCCAGTACCACCTCATTGCAAGATCCAATCAGATCATGCCTTGTTATCCTACACTTATAAAACCTGACTCAGGCCCCTGCTTTAGGAACTATCCCCATGTTCTCCTTACTTGTTGCAAGTAATAAAATCCTCATGCTAAATCCTCTTTGGTTGTGAGCACTGAGTTGATGATACCTGCCAAGCAACCAAACCCATCTGTCGTGTGGGTAATAATGTGATGTTGTGAGTCCCTTTAATTGTAGCCCTTCTAGGAGGCATAAAGTGGTATCTCCTTATGATTTTAATTTACGTTTTCCTGAAGCACTTTTTCATGTATTTAATGGCTGTTCACAGACCGTCTTAATCTATGAAAAGATTTTTGCTTTAAGAACCATCACAGCAAAGAATATTTATGCTGTAGCTGGCAAAATGGGAGATTTTAATAGCTAATGTGTATATAAGAAATGAAAACAGGCCAGTGCGGTGGCTCACGCCTGTAATCCCAGCACTTTGGGAGGCCAAGGTGGGCGGATCACGAGGTCAGGAGCTTGAGACCATCCTGGCTAACACAGTGAAACCCCATCTCTACTAAAAATACAAAAAAAATTAGCTGGGCGTGGTGACAGGCGCCTGTAGTCCCAGCTACTCGGGAGGCTGAGGCAGGAGAATGGTGTGAACCTGGGAGGTGGAGCTTGCAGTGAGCCAAGATCACACCACTGCACTCCAGCCTGGGTGACAGAGCGAAACTCCGTCTCAAAAAAAAAAAAAAGAAATGAAAACAAATCTAAAATTTGTCTCATTGCACTAATTACCATTTAGCTTCCTGAGCACATACTGCTGTTTTCTACCGCCATGGCTTTGTAAATGCTAATTTCCTTGCTCAGAAGGCTTTTTCCATCTCTTTGTATTCTGATCTAGTGAATTCCTATTCAGCCTTCAAAACCCAGCTCAGGAATGCATTACTTCCTCCATGAAGTAAAGACCCTCCCAAATAGTTCATTATTCTGTGTTTTATCTTGCATTTTAGTATATACAACACATGGAATGTAACTTTGTCCATGACAAGAAACATGTCTTACTCATGTTCATAATCCCAACACCTAAAAAACCACAGGCACATATTAAGAGCTCAAAAATAACAAATGAACAAATAATGTGCTCACCATTCTAATGCTACTTTAGCCTCGATTCACTTTTCTCCTCCAAATTCAGAAACAGTCTTCCAAACAATAGTGGGCTGAATGCTAGCCCTCAAAATATGTCATTTCCTAATCTCTGGATGCTATGAATATTACCTTATATACTTTTAAAAAAAGGGTGGGGTGATTAAATTAAGGATCTTAAGAGGAGAGGCTTATGCTGGATTATGTATCCAAAACAATCACATGTATCCTTCTAAGAGAGAAGGAGAGGGAGTTTGAGACTGAAGAGGAAGAGGCAATGTGACCACGGAGACAGAGACTGGAAAGATGTAGCCATAAGCCAAGGAAAACCTACAGCCACAAAAAGCTGGAAAAGGCAAGGAAAAGATTCTAACCCAGAGCCTTCAGAGGGAACGTGGCTTGGCCAACAACTTGATTTCTGACTTCTAATCTCTAAAATGTTGAAAGAATAATTTTTTTGTTGTTTTGAGACACCTATTATATGGTAATTTGTAACAGCAGCCACAAGTAACTAATACAATGGCTTTCTCTTGTATTTATATTTACTTATAAAAAGGTTTATCAAACTCAAAATTTCTAACACAATTTTAAATTCCTACCATGGTTAGACTTCTTTGATTTCAATCAGTCAATACACAGCTATCAATTATCTGCAAGACACTTACACATACATTAGATGCTTGAAATACACAATAAAACGTCTCCTACTGTGCAGTTTACTAAATACAGAAATTCATATTGAAAATTTTTTAAAGTAAAGTACAGAGTTCAAACAGCAATAAGTGAAAAAAAGTGAAACATTATCTCGATTGGCCTGTTAATCAGTGAGCACTTGTTGGGCTAGTCTCAGTGAAAGGCAGTTTTTAAAAGACTAGTACAACCTTTTTCCAAATTCTTCATCTTCTCTTTGCAACCATTACAAATACATAATCACATCCACGTGTCCTTCCTACCACTTCTTTTGACTAGTCCCAGCTTTACAGACCTCCATATGACATTTTATTTTGCATAGGCACTGTATTTTTTAAGCAGTGAGTAGTACAATGTCTGCCCCAAAGTATGGTAATTCAAAATATTCAAAAAAGCACAGCTGCTGATGCTCATGGAAAGCTTCCAAAACACATTCCATTAAAAGCACATGCTATGCCTTTGAATATTTCAAAACAATGTTTTAAATACTACATGCCCTCAAAGTGAATGATGTTTTTTAAAAAACAACATTAAAAGTCTAGGGAGGACCTACACCAGGCATTTACTTTACTTATAAACAAAACATTAGAAATGAATTTCTTCAAAATCCAGAGATAATCCTGCACTAGTCACCCAAACAGCCTTTGGATAGCCATCCAGGATGTCTTGCGTACAAAAAAAAAGTCACAACTTGACGCCCTGCCAGAACCTGAAGTGCAGCTGGGAGCAGACCCTTCAAAGCCCTGGTAAGGTGCCAGGCTCTGTAATTGTGATTTAGAAAGAAACAAGGGAGAGCAAGGAATGAGAAAAGGAAGAAGATAT
This sequence comes from Homo sapiens, assembly GCF_000001405.40. Taxonomy (NCBI): domain Eukaryota; kingdom Metazoa; phylum Chordata; class Mammalia; order Primates; family Hominidae; genus Homo; species Homo sapiens. The sequence goes on from NC_000012.12 coordinate 94,428,042, forward strand.
GTATTCAAGTGGTTAGCAATCAACCACCAAGCACTCTAAATTAAAATGTTATTCTATTTTTACGATTGTACTGTCTGCCTCTGCACAGCTTAATTCACACAAAAGAATCTAGAAAGTAGGACATAGTAATGACTCAACCTCAAATGCTTAGTGTAAATTACCAAAGTCTCTGAAAGTTGTGATCTGAAAGGCAAAGATGATTCTTGTCCAAATTCATTTTAACATTTCTTAATGTAAGGTCTGTTACAATAACATGGGGACTTTCCAGAAGATTTATGAGCACTTAGCACCTCTGTGTGAGTTGTATATTCTTCTTTGCTCACAGTCCCACCTTTCTTCTGAAATAGAAAAGGCTACCCATAATATGGCTGCTAATACACAATAAAGATTATCTACTGATGCAACAGCATATCCTGAAAATTGTTTTTTAAATAAATCCTGATTTAATTTTACTTCTATGAGATTTATGCCGTAATCTGAAAAGTTAAAGAGAAATTGATACTTAAAACTGAGTTTAACTGATATTTTACTGCAGTTAACACAAACATTCTCTTCATTATTTTGAATCTGTCACAAAGCAAGTATAAAATTTTTCACAGCCAGAAAAAGGAGATAAATAAAAGCCATCCTCAAGACACACAGGTTAATGTTAAAACCATATACTTTAAAAAACTGATTAAACAACCAATATTTATTAAGTGACTGCTATACCACATTTACTGAATGGTCTACTTACAGTAAAAGGGTTTTGAGAGATATAAAAAATATACAGACCATCAAGTCAAGCACACTTCTCATGAGGAAAGAAGAGCCTGCCCATATTCAGAGTACTCCATGGATATTTTCTAAGTACCTTTAATATGCTAGACACTTTGTTGGATACAGGAATACAGAAATAAATAAAAGAAAATCCTTGTCCTCAAGGAGTTTATGATGGTCAGTGGAATATACTTGTTAACCAACAATTGCTGACTGAATAAGGATGAGAGAAAATGGACTATTTAAACTTTCTGGACTTAAAATTTTTTTACCATGTGCACATATTACCTATACAAAGTCATAAATTCAGGAAGTTTTTAAATTGTAAAACATTAAGGAATTCAACAAAGAGGTGACAGGAAACACCTAAATCAAGGAAAGAGAGAGAAGTGAGGCAGCCTGCTTATCCGAGATTAGCTAAGAGCCTGGAGAGAATTCCCAGTCAGGGGAAAGGGTAAATGAGAGATGCCCAGGGGTCCACATTCCCACCATGGATACTTGCAATCCTAGCCACAGTAGAGGCCCTGGACCCTCACAGGCCCTGAAACTAACAAAGGGAACTGCATGAAGAGTGCACAACAGCATTGCTCCAGAGAGGGAGCTCACGCTGGGGCACACCAACCTCTCCACTCCCCATCCCAGTCCTGCAGCTATAGTAAGACACCATTTTGAGAACTCAGTCCCAACAGACTGCACCTTGTGCTTGGGCTTAACAGCACCTGTCTCTTCACATCCCTGGAGTCCCACTGACATACCCAGCCCACAGCTACCACCATGCCTGGTTCCTGATGCTGGGGCCAAAGTGCACGCCTCTGGCTCCAATCTCAGCCACTGCTTCCAGCAGTGGAGCCACCACTCATTTTCATGTGCCCAGAGTCCCTCACCCACAGCTGCCATCACTGTGCTACCAGGACTAAGGAATAAGCAAAGCATGAGCTTCCACTGCCCAGGCTAAAGCACAAGCCAAGCATGAGCTGCCACCACCAGGACTAAAATGTGAGTGAAACACAGGCTGCACCACCAGGACTGAAACACAAGCCAAGTATGGTCTGCCACCACCAGGGCTAAAATGCAAGTGAAATGCATGTTCCTAATACTTGCCTGCATATAGCTGGTATCACTGAAAGCAACTCTGCCCTCCCCAGCAGTAGGGCTGCAGCACAGACACTGCCTCTCACAACATGAACATTGTGCTGGGGGCCTAAGGATCACCCCACCCCTTCCTAACACAGCCAGCACCTATACGCACCACTGGGGAGTCTAAAGACAAGCCCACCTGGCCTCACCCACCCCCCATGCCAGAGCACACAATCCAGAGGCCTGGAGATCACACAACTCAGCCACCATTGGCAACTAAGGACTCTTCCCAGGAACCTGAGATTGGGCTCACCCACCCAGCTACTAACATCACAGCAAGAAAATATCATACCTCCAAAGGAACATAATAATTCTCCAGCAACAAATCCCAATCAAAAATAAATTCACAAAATTCTGGAAAAAGAATTTAAAATATTGATTTTAAAGAAGCTCAGTGAGATACAAGAGAATACTGAAAAATAACATAAAGAAATCAGAAAAACAATTCCTAGAATATGAATGAGAAATTTATGAAAAAGATAGGTATCATTAAAAAAAAAGAATCAAATTCTGGAACTGAAGACTTCACTGAGTGAAATACAAAATACATTTGAAAGCTTCAACAACAGACTAGATCAAGCAGAAGAAAGAATCTCAGAACCTGAAGATAGGTCTTTCAAATAACCCAATCAGACAAAAGGTAAAGAATAAAAAACAGTGAGCAAAGCCTTTGTGACATATGGGCACCACAAGGCAACTAAATATTCTCATTTTCAGAGTCTCATAAGGCAAAGAGAAAATAAAATGCATAGAAAACCTACTTAATGAAATAACAGATAAAAACTTCCGAAGTCTAGCAAGGGATTTAAACATCCAGATACAAGAGGCTCAGAGATTCCCAAATACAGTGCAGAAAGGTCTTCCACAAAGCACGTTATAGTCAAACTGTCAACAATCAAAGACAAAAAGAGAATTCCAAAAACAGCGAAATTCATTTCACCTATAACAACACATAGACTGAAAGTAAAGGGATGGAAAAAGACATTCTATGCAAACAGAAACTAAAAGGGAGCAGGAGTAGGAGTAGCTATACATATATCTGTTAAAACAGGCTTTAAGTCAAAAACAGTAAAAAGAGACAAAGGTCATGATATAATAGTAAGAGGATCAATTCAGCAAGAGGATAACAATTCTAAACATATATGCACCCAACACAAGAGCACCCAGATATACAAAGGAAACATTATTACACCCAGAAAGAAATCCACAAATAGCCATCTAATTTTGACAAAGGCACTAAGGACATACATTTGGGAAAGAATGTCCCCTTCAATAAATGGTGCTGGGAAAACTGAATATCCATATGCAGAAAAATTAAATTGGATCCCTACCTCTCACATATACAAAAATCAACTCAAGATGGATCAAAGATACAAACGTAAGACCCAAGACTATAAAATTACTAGAAGAAAACATAGGGAAAACACTTCAGGACATTGGTCTCAGCAAAAATAGTATGGCTAACACTTCAAAAGCACAGAAAACAAGAACAAAAATAGACAAGTGGGACTATATTAAACTAAAAAGCTTCAACACAGCAAAGGAAACAATCAACAGAGTGAAGAAAAAACCCACTGAATGGGAGAAAATATTTGCAAACCATTCACCTGACAAGGGACTAATACCTAGAATATACAAGAAAATCAAAACTTAACGGTAAAAAAAAAAAAGCCTCATTAAAAAGTGGGTAAAGGCCACAAACATTTCTCAAAAGAATACATACAAACGACCAATGGGTATATGAAAAAATTCTCAACATCATTAATTACCAGGGAAATGCAAATCAAAACCACAGCAACATATCATCTTATCCCAATTAGAATGGCTACTATAAAAAAATAACAACAGATGCTGGCAAGGATGTGGAGAAAAAGGGAACTCTTATATGCTGCTGGTAGGAATGTAAATTAGTACAGCTACTATGAAAAACAGCACGAAGATTTCTCAAAAAACTAAAAATAGAACTAGTATACAATCTAGTAATCCCACAATGGGGTATTTATTCAAAGGAAAAGATATCAGCATGTCAAAGGGATACCTGGACTCAGGTTATTGCAGCACTATTCACAATAGCAAAGATACAGAATCGACATAAGTGTCCATTAATGGATTAACTTTTTCTTTTTTTTTTTTTTGAGACGGAGTCTCGCTCTGTAGCCCAGGCTGGAGTGCAGTGGCGCGATCTCAGCTCACTGCAAGCTCTGCCTCCCAGGTTCACACCATTCTCCTGCCTCAGCCTCCTGAGTAGCTGGGACTACAGGCACCCACCACCACGCCCAGCTAATTTTTTTTTTTTTTGTATTTTTAGTAGAGACAGGGTTTCACCGTTTTAGCCAGGACAGTCTCAACCTCCTGGCCTCGTGATCCGCCCACCTCGGCCTCCCAAAGTACTGGGATTACAGGCATCAGCCACCACCCCTGGCCTGAACTGTTTTTTTTAAATGTGGTATATATACATGGTGAAATACTATTCAGCTATGAGAAAGAATGAAATCATGTCATTTGTAGCAATATGGATAAAGATGGAGATCATTACAATAAGTGAAATAAGCCAGGCACAAAAAGACAAATATCACATGTACTCATGTGGGAGCTTAAAAAAAGTTGATCTCATGGAGGTAGAGAATAAAATGATATCAAAGGCCAGGAAGTATGTGTGTGGGGGAAGGTGGGATAAAGGGAGGTTGCTTAATGAATACAGATATCCAGTTAGATAGACAATACAAGTTCTAATGTCGCAGAGCAGAGTACAGTTAATAATTAATTTGAATCATATATATTTCAAAGTAGCTACAAGAGAGGACTTTAAATGTTCCCAACATAAATGATAAATACTCAAGGTGATGAATACCCCAAGTACCCTGACTTGATCATTACACATTCTATGCATGTAACAAATACACATGTACCTCATAAATATGTAAACTATGTGCCAATTTAAAAAGAGAGGAACTTCAAAAAAATTATAAAATATTATAACATATTTACCAGTAGTATGAATGGACAAGGGAGAGAACCCTAATTCTGCTAGTGAAGCTGCCAGGGAAAACTTCACAAAGCAGCAGCTAAAATTAACAAAGGGATGCAAGGAAGAAACATCAAGTGCAAAATAATGGAGATTAAGGAGAAGAACATTAGTGGTGGAGGGCAGAGGAGAGGAGAACACCCTGGGGAGGTAAGGTAGGGCCTAGAAGGCCACATGCAGAAGACTGGAATTTATTCCATGGTCTTGGAGAGCCAGTGAAAGATTTTAAACTTTTAGATGGATAGAAGACATTACGGGGTAGACTCACATTTACATTTCAGAAAAATAAGTCGTTTATTTGCAGAGGATAGATTTGAGGAGGAAGAATAGAAGAAAGAGAAAAAGAAAAGGAGATCAAAGGTCCAGGAAAGTAATAATGAGGGCCTTAACTAAGACAGTAGCAGCAGGTAGTCAATAATCTTGAAAATTAATTTGAAGCCAGGCGCAGTGGCTCATACCTATAATCCTAGCACTTTAGGAGGTCAAGGCAGGCAGATGCCTTGAGCTCAGGAGTTCAAGAACAGCCTGGGCAACATGGTGAAAGCCTGTTTCTAAGAAAAATACAAAAATTAGCCCGGTGTGGTAGCATGTGCCTATGGTCCCAGCTACTCAGGTGGCTGAGGTGGGAAGATCGCTTGAGCCCAGGAGGGTCGAGGCTGCAGTGAGCCAAGATCGCACCACTGCACTCCAGCCTGGGTGACGAGGTGAGACCCTGTCTCAAAAAAAAAAAAGAAAAGAAAAGAAAATTAATTTGGGGGCAGCAAGAGCAGGAGTTAATAATTAGATACCTATACCCATCCCCCAGCAAAAAGTATTTTAATGTCACTAGTTAAAAGGCCTATCAGGAAACCAAGATAGGAAAGCAAAGAATAAACACTAAAATGGAATCCAGTTAAAGTGAAAGAAAGGTTGTTTCAAAGATTACAATTACTTCAAGCACTAATCCTACATAAGAATGAGGAATCCTGTACACTGACCTTTGGCAAATGAATCTTAGTAAACTGCAAATACCATCACTGTAAAACACTCAGAATAACTACCTTTTTTCCATAGGGATTTCATAAGCAGAGGGGCAAACTCTAAAGCTGGCTCTGTCGGGAACAAAGACATAAAATAAGGATTTTGTTCCTTAAATGTCCACCTGCTGCTACTCCTCCTCATTCTTTCCTTCAAACAAATCATCTCTATAGCAACACACTCTTAAAGAATTTGTGGGTGGAAAGCATATGTTTGTGCAAAAATATGAGAACTCAAGAACATGAGCTATTTTATTTTTTCCTTTAATACAAGAGATACACAATCTATTAGGATACAACTAAAAAATAAGAGATATGAAACAAAAAAATGTTTATACACAAAAAAATGTAAAAATTGTACAAATGATAACGCAAATGTTTACATGGAAATTCTTTTTATAGGTTACAATGACACCTTGTGGTAAGACTTTTCAAGTTATACAAATTATCTTAGAAAATATTTTTTACAGCAGAGACGTAAGAAAACCGGTTTAGAAAATAGGAAAGCTCAAAACCATAGTAATGAGTTAATGTGTACAAGTATAATAATACATTTGAAAAGTTAAGGTTGAAAAATCAAACTTTTAAAAATGTCACAATATTAGGTAGGCAAAAGCACTTTACTAACTGTAAATACAAGTTGAATATCCCTTATGTAAAATGCCTGGGACCAGAAGGATTTCAGATTTTGAATTTTTTCAGATTTTAGAATATTTGCATGTACATAATGAGTATCTTGGGGATGGGACGCAAGTCTAAACATAAAATTCATTTATGTTCCATATATACCTTATACATACACATAGCCTGAAGGTAATTTTATTTTTCCCTTGAAGGTGCTTAATAAACTGCGTGTTGTATGCCTGCATTTTGACTGCAACCCATCACATGAGGTCAGGTTTGAAATTTTCCACACGGTGTCATGTTGGTGTTCAAAAAGTTTCAGATTTCAGAGCATTCTGGATTATGGGATTAGGGATCCTCAACCTGTATAAAGCATTATACTAGTCCCTTCACTTGAACTGAAATTATTAAATACTCTTCCTTATTCTCTGGTCCCTTATTCCCATCTTGTAAGAAAAGTCAAGCTGCACCTCTCAAAGCTTCATCTATTACTTTATCTGAATGACACTGAAATTTGCACCCTAGTTCCTAACCTCTCTCTGCTTATGAATCCCCCTCTACTTACATGTTCTCTCTATAACAGAAGCTCAAAGATGGGATTTAAGACAGACTACCCAAAATATGGCACCTTGGCATTTGAGAAAAAAGCAGAAGCAAGAAGGTTTATCTCACCTTCCTCTAAAGTAGGTCATAAGATCCTCAATCCAGAGGTGTCCTCCCTATACCTGTAGGAGAGAAGACACAAAGAGGAATCTGAACAAACAGGACTTACTAAGTTTCCCCCAGTTTGTTACTGCTAGAGCATACCCATTTGTCCTCTAACGATACTTCTGCATGACTGTCCACAAAAAAACAGAGAGACAGACCCTTTGAAAAAAGCAGTTTACTGCTGCAAATGCCACAAGACAGCCAAAAAACTCCAAAGACAAAAGACATGAACTCTCGGGAGCTCTATGGGCCTGTCCATCATCTGAGAAACCCCAGTACTTATCCTGCCAATGCAGGGCAAGATTATATCCCCCTTCTACTACCGCAGCTGCTCCTCTCTTGAAATTGCCACTTCCTGACTGGAGGCCAACCAACTCAAGCCATTTCAGCAACTCCTAACAGAACAACTCTGTTCCAACGGAGAAAACAGCAGCTAATTCAACTGCCTGCAACTCCCTGGCTAATCAGAGGTCCTGAGTCTGTCCACATGACAACTTCAACCGCTAGCCTAACCAGCATTCACTCTCCTGCCACCTCCACTACAGCAGGTGCTGGTATCCACAGCTGGGAGACCTGAAGACAGATTATATCACAAGACAACTTGCAGACATTCGCCAGCACCAGCCTGGAGCCCAGTAACCCTGCTGGGTGGCTAGACCCAGAACGGTAATAACAATCACCTCAGTCTGGCTCCTAGGAAGCCCCATCCCTAGGGGAAGGGGGTGACTCCACATCAAGGAATCACCCTGTGGGACAAAAAAAAAAAATCTGAACAGCAGTCCTTCAGTTCTAGATCTTTCCACTGAAACATACAAATAAAAAGGAACCAGGAAAGTAATTCTGGTAATATGGCAAAACGAAGTTTGATAACACCCCCAAAAGATCACACTAGCTCTCCAGCAATGGATCCAAAACAAGAACAAATCTCTGAATTGCCAGATAAAGAATTTGGAAGGTTGATTATTAAGCTACTCAAGGGGGCACTAGAGAAAAGTGAAAAACAACTTGAACAAATAAAAAAAAAAATAAAAAACAGGATATGGATGAAAAAGTCTCCAGAGAAATATACATCATAAAAAAAAGACAACCACAACTTCTGGAAATTAAATACACACTTAGAGAAATGCAAAATGCACTGAAAAGTTCCAACAACAGAACTGAACAAGTAGAAGAATTTTAGAGCCCAAAGACAGGGCTCTCGAATTAACCCAATCTGACAAAGACAAAGAAAAAATAATTTTGGCTGGGAGCAGTGGCTCAGCTTATAATCCCAGCACCTCAGGAGGCTGAGGCAGGTGGACCACAAGGTCAGGAGATCAAGACCATCCTGGCTAACATGGTGAAATCCCATCTCCACTAAAAATACAAAAATTAGCCAGGCACAGTGGCGTGCACCTGTAGTCCCAGCTACTCGGGAGGCTGAGGCAGGAGAATCACTTGAACCCGGAGGAGGTTGCAGTGAGCCAAGATCACGCCATTGCACTCCAGCCTGGGCAACAGGGGGAGACTCCATCTCAAAAAAAAAAAAAAGAAAGAAGGAAAGAAAAAGAAAAGAAAAGAGAAGAAAAAATTATTTTAGAAAATGAATAAAGCCTCCAAGAAACTTGGGACGTTAAAAGACCCAACATAAGAATAATTGCTGTCCCTAAGGAAGAAGAGAAATCCAAAAGTTTAGGAAACTATTTGAGGGAATAATTGAGGAAAACTTCCCCGGTTTTGATAGATATCTAGACATCCAAATACAAGCAGCTTGGCCAGGCGTGGTGGCTCATGCCTGTAATCCAGCACTTCGGGAGGCCAAGGCAGGAGGATCACTCAAGGTCAGGAGTTTGAGACCAGCCTGGCCAAAATGGTGAAACCCCAACTAAACTAAAAAAAAAAAAAAATTACCTAGGCATGGTGGTGTGGGCCTGTAGTCCCAGCTACTAGGAGGCTGAGGCAGGACAATCACCTGAACCTGGCAGGTGGAGGCTGCAATGAGCCAAGATCGTGCCACTGCACTCCAGCCTGGGCAACAGGGCAAGACTTGGTCTAAAACACATACACACACACAAACAAATACAAGAAGCTCAAAGAACACCCAGGAAATTCATCACAAAAAGATCACCTAGGCACACAGTCATCAGGTTATCTAAAGTCAAGACAAAGAAAAGAATCTTAACAGCTGTGAGGCAAAAGCATTAGGTAACCTACAAAGGAAAACCTAACAGATTAACAGCAGATTTCTCAGCAGAAACCCTACAAGCTAGAAGGAATTGGGTCCTATCTTCAGTCTCTTTAAACAAAAAATTATCAGCCAATAATTCCATATCTAGCAAAACTAAATTTTATAATGAAAGAGCAATAGAGTCTTTTTCATACAAACGAATGCTCAGAGAATTCACCACTGCCAAGCCAGCACTACAAGAACTGCTAAAAGGAGTTCTGACTCTTGAAACAATCTCAAAACATCAAAATAGAACCTTTCTTAAAGCATAAATCTCACAAGACCTACAGAACAATAACACAATGCAAACAAAAAAAGGTAATTAGGCAGCAACTAGTATGATGAATAAAATAGTATCTCACATCTCAATACTGATGTTGAATGTAAATTGCCTAAATGTTCCACTGAAAAGATACAGAGGCCAGCACAGTGGCTCACACCTGTAATCCCAGCACTTTGGGAGGCCAAGGTGGGCAGATCACCTGAGGTCAGGAGTTCAAGACCAGCCTGGCCAACACGGCAAAAGCCCATCTCTACTAAAAATACAAAAAAATTACCCAGGCATGGTGGCAGGTGCCTGTAAACCCAGCTACTCGGGAGGCAGAGGCACGAGAATCGCTTGAACCCAGGGAGCAGAGGTTGCAGTGAGCCGAGATCATGTCATTGCACTCTAGCCTGGGTGACTGAGTGAGACTGTCCCAATTAAAAAAAAGAAAAAAAAAAAAGATGCAGAACAGCAGAATGGATAAAAATCTACCAAGTATCTGCTGCCTTCAAGAGACTCACCTAATACATAAGGACTCATATAAACTTATAAGGTAAAGGGGTGGAAAAAGATATTCCACGCAAATGGAAACCAAACGTGAGCAGGAACAGCTATTCTTATATCAGACAAAACAAACTTTAAAGCAACATCAGTTTAAAAAGGCAAAGATAGACATTATATAATGATAAAAGGATTAGTCCAACAGGAAAATATCACAATCCCAAAAACATATGCACCTAACACTGGAGCTCCGAAATTTATAAAACAATTACTACTAGACCTAAGAAATGAGATACATGGCAACAAAACAGTGAGAGACTTCAATACTCCACTAACAGCACTAGACAAGTCATTAAGACAGAAAGTCAACAAGGAAACAACAGACTATACCCTAAAACAAATGGACTTAACAGATATTTACAGAACATTCTACCCAACAATTGCAGAATATATTCTTTTCATCAACACATGGAACATTCTCCAAGATAGACCACAAAACAAGTCTCAATAAATTTAAGAAAATCAAAATTATATCAAATATTCTCTAAGATCACAGCAGAATAAAACTAGAAATTAACTCCAAAGGAAGCTTCAAAACTATACAAATATATGGAAATTTAAACCTGCTCCTGAATGACCTCTGGGTCAACAATGAAATCAAGATGGAAATTTTAAAATTCTTTGAACTGAACGATAACAGTGACACAACCTATCAACCCTCTGCAATACAGCAAAAACAGTGGTGCTAAGAGGAAAGTTCATAGCAATCACTGTCTACAACAAAAATTCTGAAAAAGCACAAATAGATTATCTAACCTCACAACTCACAGAATTAGAGAAACAAGAACAGACCAAACCAAAACCCAGCAGAAGAAAAGAAATAACAAAGATCAGAACTAAATGAAATTGAAACACAACAACAAGAACAACAACAAAATACAAAAGATAAATTAGACAAAAAGCTGGCTCTTTGAAAAGACAAAATCGACAGACCATTAGCGAGATTATCAAGAGAAGAGAGTAGATCCAAACAGCTCAATTAGAAACAAAATAGGAGATATCAAAAGTGATACCACAGAAATACAAAAGATTGTGCTTTTGTATGGCTACTATGAACATCTTTATGCACACAAACTAGAAAACCTAGAGGAGATGGATAAATTCCTGAAAAGATACAACCCTCCTAGATTAAACTAGGAAGAAATAGAAACAAACTGAACAGGTCAATAACAAGTAGCAAGATTGAAACAGTAATAAACAAAAAAAATGCCAACAAAAAAAAAAAAAGTCCAGGACCTGATGGATTCACAGCTGAATTCTATCAGACATTCAAAGAAGAATTGGTATGAATCCTACTGAAGCTATTCCAAAACACAGAAAAAGAGGGAATCCTCCCTAAATCATTCTATGAAGCCAGTATTATCCTAATAGCAAAACCAGGAAAGGACATAACAAAAAAAGAAAACCACACACCAATATCCCTGATGAACATAGATGCAAAAATCCTCAACAAAATACTAGCTAACCAAGTCCAACAGCATGTCAAAAAGAAAATACACCATGAACAAGTGGGTTTTATACCAGGGATGCAGGGTTGGCTTAACAAATGGAAGTCAATAAATGTAATACACCATATAAACAGAATTAAAAACAAAAACCACATCATCTCAACAGACGCAGAAAAAGCATGACAAAATTCAGATCCCTTTATGATTAAAACCGTCTGCAACATCGGCATAGAAGGGACATACCTTAAGATAATAAAAGCCCTCTATGACAAACCCACAGCCAACATTACACTGAACAGAGAAAAGTTTAAAGCATTCCCCCTGAGAACTAGAACAAGACAAGGATGTCCACTTTCACCACTTCTATTCAACACACTACTGGAAGTCCTAGCCAGAACAATCAGACAAGAGAAAGAAATCAAGAGCATCCAAAGTGGTAAAGATGAAGTCAAAGTGTTGCAGTTTGCTGATGATATGATCATATACCTAGAAAACCCTAAAAACTCATCCAAAAAGCTCCTATAACTGGTAAATGAATTCGGCAAAGTTTTAGGATACAAAATTGATGTACACAGATGAGTAGCTCTGCTGTATACCAACAGCCACCAAGCTGAGAACCAAATCAAGAACTCAACCCCTTTTACAATAGCTGCAAAAAATAAAATAAAATACTTAGGAATATACCTAACCAAGGAGGCGAAAAGACCTCTACAAGGAAAACTACAAAAAAAAAAAGCTGAAAGAAATCACAGATGACACAAATGGAAATATATCCCATGCGCATGGATGGGTAGAATCAATATTGTGAAAATGACCATACTGCCAAGAGCAATCTACAAATTCAATGCAATTCCCATCAAAATACCACCATCGTTCTTCACAGATCTAGAAAAAAAATCCTAAAATTCATATGAAACCAAAAAAGGGCCTGCAAAGCAATACTAAGCACAAAGAACAGATCTGGAGGTATCACATTACCCAACTTCAAACTATACCAAGGCTATAGTTACCAAAACAGCATGGTACTGGCATAAAAACAGGCACATAGATCAATGGAACAGAACAGAGAACCCAGAAACAAAGCCAAGTACTTACAGCCAACTGATATTTGACAAAGCAAACAAAAACATAAAGTAGAGAAACGACAACCTATTCAACAAATGGTGCTGGGACAATTGACAAGCCACATGTAAAAGAATGAAAGTGGAATCTCAACTCTCACCTTACACAAAAATCAACTCAAGATGGATTAAAGACTTAAATCTAAGACCTGAAACCATAAAAATTCTAGAAAATAATATCAGAAAAACTCTTCTAGACATTGGCTTAGGCAAAGAGTTCACGACCAAGAACCAAATGCAACAAAAATGAAATAAATGGATGGGACTTAATGAAACTAAAAAGCTTCTGCACAGCAAAAGAAATAATCAGCAGAGTGAACAGGCAACCCACAGAGTGGGAGAAAATATTCACAAACTATGCATCCCACAAAGGACTAATATCCAGAATCTACGAGGAACTCAAACAAATCTGCAAGAAAAAAACCAAATATTCCCATCAAAAATTAGGGAAAGGACATGAATAGACAATTCTCAAAAGATATACAAATGGCCAACAGACATATGAAAAAATGTTCAACATCACTATCAGGGAAATGCAAATCAAAACCACAATGCACTACCACCTTACTCCTGCAAGAATGGCCATAATTTAAAAATCAAAAAATAATAGATGGTGACAAGGATGTAGTGAAAAGGGAACACTTTTACACTGCTGGTGGGAAGGTAAACTAGTACAACCACTATAGAAAACAGTGTGGAGATTCCTTAACGAATGAAAAGTAGGCTGGGCGTTGTGGCTCACGCCTGTAATCCCAGCACTTTGGGAGGCCGAGGCGGGTGGATCACAAGGCCAGGAGATCAAGACCATCTTGACTAACATGGTAAAACCCCGTCTCTACTAAAAATACAAAAAATTAGCTGGGTGTGGTGGTGGGCACCTGTAGCCCCAGCTACTCGGGAGGCTGAGGCAGGAGAATGGTGTGAACCCAGGAGGCAGAGCTTGCAGTGAGCCGAGATCGCACCACTGCACTCCAGCCTGGGCGACAGAGCGAGACTCCGTCTCAAAAAAAAAAAAAAAAAAAAAAACTAAAAGTAGAACTACCATTTGATCCAGCAATCTCACTATTGGGTATCTACCCAGAGGAAAAGAAGTCATTATATGAAAAAGACACTTGAACATGCATGTTTATAGCAGCACATTTGCAACTGCAAAAATATGGAACCAGACTAAATGCCCATCAACCAATGAGTAGATAAAGAAAATGTGGTAGGTATATATATATATAATGCAATACTACTCAGCCATAAAAAGGAATGAAATAATGGCATTCACAGCAACTGAGATGGCATTGGAGGCCATTATTCACAGCAACCGAGATGGAATTGGAGGCCATTATTCTAACTGAAGTAACTCAGGAATGGAAAACCAAACACCGTATCTTCTCACAAGTGGAAGCTAAGCTATGAGAATGCAAAGGCATAAGACTGATATAATGGACTCTGGGGACCTGGGGGGAAGGAGGGAGGGGGGTGAGGGTTAAAAGACTACACACCGGGTGCAGTGTACACTGCTCAAGTGATGGGTGCAGGAAAATCTCAGAAATCACCACTAAATAAGTTATCCATGTAACCAAACACCACCTGTTCCCCCAAAACTATTGAAATAATGATTTTTTTTTTAGAAAAAACACGGAAAGAAAGGTTTCCCTGTTTCTTTCAGTCTTCACTTCTGAAGACTCATATAAAGTAAAGGTTTCATTAAATAAATGTGTATGCTTTCCTCTTGATAATCTGTCTTTTGTTATAGGGGTCTCAGTCATGAATCTAGTAATAGGTGAGGAAAAGTTATCACATTTTATCCGCTACATCAACTTAACAAAAATTCAGTTCATTAGGTTCAAATTTTCTACTTGTCTCCTTAAAAAAGTCAGTTACCACTATCCTCCTCTCATTTCCTAACCACTACCCATCCTCTATCCTCTATTTATAACAAATTAATCCTACTGATTCTTCTTCATCTGTTTGTTGAATTTAATCATTCTTCCCCATTTCTAGAGCCATCACACTCCAGTGCCGAATCTTAAATATTTTACACTTAACAGAAGCCTCCTAGACAGTGTCCCAGACTTTAGTATTTTCTCATTCTTACATAGCCTACAAATATCACCAAAACAATCTTTCTCATACATTGCCTTCGTCACTATAACTCCTATGATAATCCTTATTCTTTCCTGACTCAAATCTAAATTTCCCAGCTAAACTCACAGCCCCGTATTAGCCAGCTCCCTATACAAATTCAAACATTTTGCTGCCCCACAGGACCCCTTTGCTAGAGTCAATTAAGTTTACAGACCCCCAGGACCCCTTTGCTAGAGTCAATTAAGTTTACAGACCCTCAAACACATTTCTCTTTGCCTTCACAACTTTGTTCATACAGTTATGCCAAATTAAAATACCTTCTTAAACCTTGTCTATTAATCCACAAATCACAGAGTCAAACCTGAAACCCTACAGTCTGCAAAATCACAAAACTATTTTCGGAGTTTTAGTTGCTCTAAAAGTGAACAGAAAGAGTAGCTTTTGTCCATGTGCTTTATAGGTTCCTGCCTTCCTTGTGCTTGCCCCAGGATATTTATTCTATATAAACATATATTTTTTTGAGACAGAACCTCACCCTGTCACCCAGGCTAGAGTACAATGGCGCAATCTCAGCTCACTGCAACCTCCGTCCCGCGGGTTCAAGTGATTCTCCTGCCTCAGCCTCCCGAGTGGCTGGGATTACAGGCATGCACCACGCCCGGCTATTTTTTGTATTTTTAGAGATAGGGTTTCACCATGTTGGCAAGGCTGGTCTCGAACTCCTGACTTCAAGTGATCCACCCACCTTGGCCTCGCAAAGTGCTGGGATTACAGGCATGAGCCACTGTGCCCGGCCTAATTTATTCTATATTCTATAATGTCTGCACTTTTCCCCTCCAGATGCTTTATAACTATATAAACTACGTTTTCCAAAGAAACTATAAATTCCTCAAAGGAAAAACTACATATAATCTTCTACTGTTTTGTTCATCTTCATAGTTCCCAATTCCAGTAAACTGTTAATGACAGTAAAGTGATCCACAAAATTTCTATGATGTGAATCCTACTCTCCCATAGGCTTGTAATGTAATTTCAGAGAAACCTTGGGGAAGGATGTCACCAAGAACACTGTTTGCTAACCAATTATGCATGCGTTATAGTTAGTTATCAAGAAATTTCTACCTCAGGCCGGGCGTGGTGGCTCACGCCCGTAATTCCAGTACTTTGGGAGACCGAGGTGGGCAGATCACCTGAGGTCAGAAATTCAAGATCAGCCTGGCCAACGTGGTGAAACCCTTTCTCAACTAAAGATACAAAAATTAGCCAGGCATGGTGGCAAGCACCTGTAATCCCAGTACTCAGGAGGCTGAGAGAGGATAATCACTTGAACGTGGGATGCAGAGGTTCCAGTGAGCCGAGATCAGGCCATTGTACTCCAGCCTGGGCAACAAGAACAAAACTCCAACTCCGAAAAGAAAAGAAAAGAAATTTCTACCTCAAAAGTTAAAAATTCTGGAGGACAGTCTACTAAGCAAAAGCTTTCAAAATGAATATATCTTTTCATTTAGTAATTCTAATTTTAGGAATTAATCCTGAGAAACTAATTAGAGATGCACAAACATTTATGTTCAAGAATCTTCTTTTATTTGTCATTCAGTAAATGTTTACTGAGTGCATCCTAAATTCCAGGTAGGAATGGAGGATAGAATCAGTTCTTATCCTCATGGTACTAACTTAATAGTGGTGTTTACAATGGAAAAAGAGACTATTAAAAAAGCAGGTCATGGCCAGGTGTGGTGGCTCATGCCCGTAATCTCAGCATTTTGGGAGGTCGAGGTGGGAGGCTCACTTCACCCCAGGAGTTCAAGATCAGCCTGGGCAACATAGTGAGACTCTATATCTATTTTATAATTGTTTTTAAAAAGCAGGTTACAATAGCAAGAAATGCCATATTTGTGGATCAGAAAATTCAATATTGTTAAGATGTTAATTTCTCCCAAATTCAATGCAGTGTCATTCAAAATACCAAGTTTTCATAGAAATTAACAAGCTGATTCTAAAATTCATATGGAAACACAAGGGACCCAGAAGAGCCAAAAAAAAAACTTTGAAAAAGAACAAAGTTAGAAGACTTGCATTACCTGACTTCACTTATTAAAGTGCCATAGAAATGAAAACTATGTAGTATTAAATCAGTCACAAAAATCCATTAAACAAAAAAGACTGTCCAGAAATAGAGTCAAATAGAAACAGTCAATTGATTTCTGACAAAAATGCAGTCAATTCAGTGAAGAAAGGATAGTCTTTTCAACAAATGGTCCTGGAACAATTGCCTTTTCCATACACACACACACACACACACAAAGAACTTCAAGTTGCTCCCCACGCCATATACAAAAATAGGATCAAAATAAATCAGAGGCCTGAATTAAAAACCTAAACTATAAACCTCCTAAAAAAAAATACAGGAGAAAATCATTTTGATCTTGGGTTAAGACTTCTCAGATATAACACCAAAAGCACAGTCCATAAAAGAAAAAACTGACAAACTGGATTTCATCAAAATGAAGAACTTCAAAATCCACTACTCTTCAAAATCCACTGTTACATAAATGACAAGATATACCAGACTCAGGGGAAAAACTGCAAATCATAAATCTTATAAAGCACTTGCATCCAGAATAAAGAACTCTCAAAACTAAATGATAGGAAAATAAACAATCAAAATTTTTTTAATGGGCAAAACATTCAAATGGACACTTCACCAAAAAAGATTAAGTAAACATTTGTTTGTATTTTCCAAGTACTCCAGTTTCCTCTTCTCATATCCTAAAGATGTGCACATTAGATTCACTGGGAGATTGAAATTGTCCCAGTAGGAATGAGTATGGGTGTGTATTTAAGTGCACCACGCAATGGAATGTCATCCTGTCCAGGGTTGGTTCTGTGCCAGGAT
This sequence comes from Homo sapiens, assembly GCF_000001405.40. NCBI lineage: Eukaryota > Metazoa > Chordata > Mammalia > Primates > Hominidae > Homo > Homo sapiens. The sequence continues at coordinate 94,445,887 of NC_000012.12, forward strand.
AGGCTCTAGCCACCAGAAAGCCTGAACCCTAGAGCAGGCTGGAAAATGAATGAATGAATGAATACAAATTATTGTAAAATGAAATTTCAAATAAAGTATATAATCATGTAAATGCATGACAATACTATGTAGTACAAAAGCACTCTTATCAAGCCTGCCATATTTGTGATTATTTTTGAACTGCATGATAGTAAGAGGTGTCCCTTATATTTTTTGCTTTGCAAACATTTATTTCTTGGGTTAACCCACCACCACTATGACCATTGTCACTCACTGGTTCACCAAAAATTAGGTAAGTAACTATCTTACTTGTTTTTTTTACTAATCTTTCTTAAACATTATAGCTCACATTTATTTCAACGTTTAATGTTGGAAGTGTCTTGGGTCTTTATTTAGAAGTTTGATGATGTTTTTTGACCAGAGATATGCCATAGGAATTTAACTATTGTTTTTATCAATTAGTCTAGGGTAAAGTTGGTTTCATGATACATCATTTCACTTAAAGTCAGTTTCCAAGAACCTATCAATAATGTTAAGTGACGGCCGGGCGTGGTGGCTCATGCCTGTAATCCCAGCACTTTGGGAGGGCAAGGCAGGCAGATCATGAGGTCAGGAGATCGAGACCATCCTGGCCAACAGGGTGAAACCCCATCTCTACTAAAATTACAAAAATTAGCCGGGTGTGGTGGTGCGCACCTATAGTCCCAGCTACTTGGAAGGCTGAGGCAAGAGAATCGCTTGAACCTGAGAGGTGGAAGCTGCACTAAGCTGAGATCATGCCACTGCACTCCACCCTGGCAAGAGAGCAAGACCCCACCTCAAAGAAAAAGAAAAATAAAAAATAATGTTAAGTGACGACATACTGTACACGAAATATGCAGTGGGAGTTCTAGAAGGTCAGTAAAGAGAGAAAGAGGCAGAAAAGAAGTTTTGAAGAAATAATCGCCAAAAACTTCCCTAATTTAATGAAAAACATTAATTGACACATCTAAACAGCCCAACAAATCCAAAGAAACCTGCAAATGCTGAAACACAAAGAGGAAATCTTTAAAAAGGAGCGAGAGAAAAATGACTTCACATACAGGGCAACAACAATATTATTAACGTTGATTTCTCATCAGAAATGACATGGAAAAAACAAATTTTTTTAAAGAAACACAAAAAACTCACCACTAAAAATTCTATATTCAGCAAAACTGCCCTTCAAAAATGAAGATGAAATAAAGACATTTTCAGATAGATAACCAAAGACGAAGACAAGTCGCTGCTGTGAGACATGCCTTATGAGAAATAACAATGGAAGTCCCTCAGGATAAAAGGAAGTCACACCATAAAGTTTAATCTAGGCTGGGCACAGTGGCTCATGCCTGTAATCCCAGCACTTTGAGAGGCCAAGGTGGGTGGCTCACTTGAGCCCAGAAGTTCGAGACCAGCCTGGGCAACATGGCAAAACCCCATCTCTACAAAAAATAGCCAGGTGTGGTGGCACGTGCCTGTAGTTCCAGCTACTTGAGAGGCTGAGGCAGGAGGATTGCTTGAACTGGGTAAGCGGTGGCTGCAGTGAGCCAAGATCGCACTATTGCACTCCAGCCTGGAAAACAGGAGAACCTGTCTGGAAAAAAAAGAAAAATAATACTCTACAGGAGAATGAAGCTCATTGGAAACTGTAATTACATCAGTAAATATTAAAGACTCTAAAAATATAATTATTTTCACTTCATCTCGTTTAAAGACATAAGACTACATAAAGGAATAATTATAGTACTGTGTCGCTGAGTTTGTAATACATACAGCTGTAATATATATAATAATAATAGCACCAAAAAGAGAAAAAACAGATAACACTGGAGGAAAGTTTCTATAATTTATCAGAATTTAGTATTATTCTGAAGGAGACTGTAATTAAGTTAAAAGGCATATTGTAATCCCTAACAATATAGCAAAAGAAATCAACAGAAATAAAAAGATACACTAAAGAATATTTAACACAGAAAGATGGTAAAGAAAAGAGGAAAAAGCAAAAAACAAATGAGACAAATAGAAAACAAATATGAAAAATGCAGATGTAAATCCAATAATATCAACAATTACATTACATGTGAATGAACTAAACACTCTATTCAAAGGGGGGATTATATTACAATGGATTACAAAACCTAACTATAGGCTGTCAACAAGAGATAAATCTTCAATTCAAAGACATAAACAGGTTAAAATTAAAAGGATTTTTTTAAAAAAATACACCATAGAAACAGTAACCACAAAAAAAACTAGAGTGGCTATAGTACCAAGAAAAATAGATTTTAAGATAAGAAATATTACAGACAAAGGAGGCCATTTCATAATGAAAACAGGGTCACTATATCAGGAAGATATAACAATAACTGTCCATCTAACCAAAGAACCCCAAAATACATGAAGCAAAAAAAGAGATAATTAAAAAGAGAAATAGGTAATTCAACAGAAACAGCTGAAGACTGCAATGACTGATAGAAAAAGACAGAAAATCTGCAAGGATATAGAAGTCTTGACTAACCTCATCAATAAACTTGACATAACTGACAGAAAATACCACCCAATGATTGCAGAATATACAACCTTTTTACAAACACAAGGAAAATTTTCCAGGATACACCACATACTGGGGCACAAGACAAGTCTCAATAAAATTTAAAAGATTGAACTCATAAAAAATGTGTGATCTGATCACAATGGAATTAGTCATCCGAACAAAAATAAATCTAGGAACACCTCAATTATTGGTAAATTTTAAAACATACCTCTAAATAACCCATTGATCAAAGAAGAAATTGCAAGGAAAAATTTTAAAATATATTTCGAATTGAATGAAAACAAAACACAGCAAACCAAAATGTACAGAATGCAACTAAAGCAGTGCTTAGAAGGAAATGTATAGTTTTAAACATTTATATGAGAAAAGAAAAAAGGTCTCAAACCAATAATCTAAGCTTCCATCTTAGGAAACTAGAAAAATAAGGAGCAGAGGGGATATTAAACCCAAAACAAGCAGAAAAATAATAATTTTGTAGTGTGGAAATCAGTGAAATAGAAAATATAGATATGAAAAATAATCAGTGAAATAAAAGGTTGGTTCTTTGGAAAGATCAACAAAATCGAAAAAAAAAAAAAAACTTCACTATACTGACCAAGAAAATAAGAGATACAAATTACCAAAATCAAGAATGAAAGAGGGAAAATTATTGCCAACCTTAAATTATTAAAGGATTTCTTAATACAAACTTCGTATCAACAAATTAGATAATTTATATGAAATGGACTACACTTCCTAGAACATACAAATTACCAAAACTCTAGAAGAAAGAGAAAATCTGAATAGACCTATAACAAGAAGTGAAGAAACTGAACCAATAATTTTAAATATTCCCACAAAGAAATGGCCAGGCCCCCACAACTGCACTAATGAATGCTATCAAACATTTAAAGCAGTAAGAGCAAGATCACGAGCAACCAACAGACTAATATCCCTCAGGAACATATACCCAAAATTCCTTAATAATAATCAGACAAACCATATTCAACAACATATAACAGAGATTATACAGCACGGACTGGGCATGGTGGCTTAAGCCTGTAGTCCCAGCACTTTGGGAGGCCACGCAGGTAAATCGCTTGAGCCAAGGAGTTCAAGAACAGCCCAGGCAACATGGCAAAACCCTGTCTCTACAAAAAATACCGAAAAAAAAAAAAAAAGAAAAATAGCCAGGTGTGGTGGCATGAGCCTGTAGCCCCAGCCACTTGGGAGGCGGAAGCCGGAGAATCGCATGAGCCCAGGAGTTTGAGGCTGCAGTGAGCCAAAATCACACCACTGCACTTCAGCCTGGGTCACAGAGCAAGAGTCTGTCTCAAACAATAAAAAAAAAAAAAAAAAAAAAAAAAAAAAGATTTTACAGCATGACCAAGTGTGATCTGTCCCAGGAATACAGGGTGGGTTTAATCTCCAACAATCAATTAATATATAGCATACTAACAATAAAAATCATATAACCATATCATCAGATGCAGGAAAAAACATGACAAAATCTAACACCCACTCATGATTAAAAACTTGCAACAAACTAGGAACATAAGGGAGCTTCCTTAACCTTCTTCAAAGGGCATCTATAGAAAATCTACAGCTAACATTATACCTGATGGCAAAAATCTGCATGTTTTCCCCCTAAGACTGGGAGTAATGCAATGCACATTCAACACTTCTCTTCAACATCTTACTGGAGGGTCTAACCCAAGAATTAAAGCAAAAATGAAGAAATAAATAACATTGAGATTGGAAAGAAAAAGTATCGTTTTGAGACATGATCATCTATGTACAAACAATATGCAAAAATTGGTTGCATTTTTTTTTAGACAGATTCTCGCTCTGTCTTCTAGGCTGGAGTGCAGTGGCACAATCTCAGCTCACTGCAAGCTCCGCCTCCCGGGTTCACGCCATTCTCCTGCCTCAGCCTCCCGAGTAGCTGGGACTACAGGTGCCCGCCACCACTCCCAGCTAACTTTTTTGTATTTTTAGTAGAGACGGGGTTTCACCGTGTTAGCCAAGATGGTCTCGATCTCCTGACCTCGTGATCCACCTGCCTTGGATCCCAAAGTGCTGGGATTACAGGCGTGAGCCACCAAGCCTGGACGATTGCATTTTTTTGTGCTAACAATGAACAATTTGAAATCAAATCATGAAAACTCCATTTCCAAGAGCATCAAAATTATAACAGTCTTAGGAATAAATTTAACCAAATAAGTGCACGATTTGTACACTGAAAAGTAAAAAACATTATTAAGAGAAATGAAAGATCTAAGTAAATGGAGAGATATTACATGTTCATGGATTGGAAGACTCAAGATGGTTAAGTTAGTGATTCTTCCCATATTGATGGATAGATTCAATGCAAATCCTACAAACATCAGATGTGTTTTTGTAGAAATTAACAAGCTGATCCTAAATTGTATATGGAAATGGAAAGAGCATAGAACCAATTTTGAAAAAGAAGAAAATGTTACACTACTTATTTTGAAACTTACTATAAAACTGCAGTAATCAAGACAGAATAGTGTTGGAGTAAGGATAGGTTTATAGACATGAGTCTTGGAATAAATTCTTACATTATAGTCAACTGATATTTTACAAAGATGCCAATACAATTGAAGGGAAAAGAACAGTCTTTTTAACAAATGGTACTGGATAATTTGGCATTCACATTTTTAAAAAATGAACTTAGATCCTCTTCTTACATCAAATGCACGGTTAATTCAATATGAATCTTATATTTAAAGGAAAGAGCTCAAAGAAGACCTTTGGGAGCTCAAAGAAAAATCTTTGGGACCTTGGATTAGGCAAAAAGTTCGTATACATAACATGAAAGTACGTGCCACACACACAAAAGAAATGACTTCATTAAAAACTTTTGCACTTCAAAAGACAACAGTAAAAATATGAAAAGCCAAGACACCAACTGGGAGAAATATTTGCAAATCTTATCTCTGATATTAAAAACAATACAAACTTTCATCCAGCATATATAAAGAACTCTTACAACTCAGTAAGACCAAAAAAAAAAAAAAAAAAACCCAGCTAAAAAATGGGCAAATGCCTTAAACAGATATTCCACCAAATGGCCAATAACCACAGAAAAAGGTGTCCAACATTACTGTGCAGGGAAATGCAAATTAAAATTACAATGGGATACTACTAGATACTAACTAGAATGGCTATAATTAAAAAGATAATACCAACTGTTGGTGAGGATGTGGAGAAACTGGAATCATCATACATTGCTGGTAGGATGTAATTGGTACAGCTACTTTGGAAAACATTTTGACAGTTTCTTTAAAAGTTAAAAATAAGCTTACCATATAATTCAACAATTCCACTCCTAGGAATTTACCCAAAACAAATGAATACATATGCTCACACAAGGAATTACAGACAAATCTTCATAGCAGCATTATTCATAACAGCCAAAAACTGGAAACCATCCAATGTCTATCACCTAGTGAATGGGAAATACTATTCACTGGTTACCAGTAAATGGGAAATACTATTCACCAATACTATTCAACTGGTGAATGGAAAATACACACGAATACTATGCAACAATTAAAAAGAACAAAACATTGATATACATACATTAAATAAACCTCAAAAGCATGAAGTTAAAGAAGCCAGATGCAAAAGACTACTGTATTGATTCCATTTATATGAAATATGTAGAAAAGACAAATTTATAGTGATAGAAAGTAGATCAGTGGTTCTCTGGGGCTGTGGGAAGGAGTTACCTTAAATGCAAATAAGCTTGAGAGAATCTAGGAGACTGATAAAATGTCAGAAATTGCCTTGTGATGACAGTCGCACAACTCTATAAAGTTGCTAAAAACCATTAAATTGTACACTTACAATGAGTGGTTTTTATGGTAGGTAAAATATATCTCAATAAAGCTGTTTAAAAAGGGCTAGGTAGAAGAAAGAAGTTATCTCTTCCAAACTTTGGAAAATTTGTTGATAGTTGTAGTAATCAAGGCTGAGTTCAAAGGATGACCAAGCAAAAAGAATCCAGGTTCTTAAAGATTATCACTAAGCCACTTAATTGACAATCTTAGAACCACCTATCTCCAGACTTCTTACATGTGAGATAATACAATTTCCTTCTTAAGGCTTTAAAAAAGAAAAAGAAAAAAGAATAACGTTGCTAATTCTAAGGGACACAGGACATGTTCATTCCATTACAGAAAATTTGTAATATCATCCATAGAGGAAGATATCAAAGAAAAGGCAGGAATTTTGGTGGATCTTGAAGGATGAAAGAATATGACGGGGGATGGGGAAGGAAAAGAAGGGTATGTAGTTCAGAAGAGTCATTAATAATGGCAAGGATAAAAATCAACAATGCCCACTAAAAGTCAAGTTTACAGCTTACCTTATTTTAATCCATACATTAAGGACCAAAAAATTAAGTAACTGGTTCAAAAAGTTACGCAGCTAGTAATCTAACCTTCACTCTCAGGATCCAGGCTCCAAAGTACATACTCTTTCCTCTGTTACGCTGCTAAACAAGGACTTAAACTACCCCCATTTGCAAGTTCAGATCTTTGTAGAGGGCATCTTTATTTAGATAGGTTTACATTTATAGGACTACACACTCAATGTTTCTTGAGCAACAATTTCCATTTAATCAATAAACTAAATGTGATGTGCATTCTTTCTTTGGTTTCCAAAACGTTACCCTACTCTGGTTTTCCTACCTTCTTTCTCCCCCTTCCTATTACATGCTGGTGTTCACAAGCTCTCTTCTGATTCTACACAACTCTCACTAGGAACCTCATCTATACCTGGTATTTCAACTACCACTAACGTTGATGACTCTTCTCTCTCTCCAACTTCAAGAATTGTTTTCCTAGTTTTCTTTGACTAACTTCCTCCGGGCCAAGTTGAATACTGCTCTGTACACCCTACAACTACACTTACAAGATTCTAAAGAGACATTCCTCAATTTTTGTGTATTCTTTCTAGTTCTAGGCCAGGTATTCTTCCTACATGCCCCAAAACACATTCTTATCTATCCTTATAGCATTTAACATGCTTTATTACAAATTACTAATTACTTTGTCCATTTCTCCCATCAGAGAATAAGGTGCTTGAGACTTAGCACTATGTCTTATTCACAATCTCCCCAGTGCCTAGCATAGCATGAGACACATAATAGGCACTCAAATATTGATTAAACCCATATATAAGAGAAATAAAATTTGCTTTAAATTGGAAGCATACCATTTCTGAAGGAAACTTTCAGAGATTTATGTTTTCAAATGAGAAAATAGGCCATGAAAGGTGAAGTGACTCACCCAGTCAAGCCTTGGTCTCCTGAATCACAATTCTCTTCCCACAAAATTACAGTGCCTAGGCCGGGCGCAGTGGCTCACACCTGTAATCCCAGCACTTTGGGAGGCCAAGGCAGGTGGGTCATAAGGTCAGGAGATCAAGACCATCCTGGCTAACATAGTGAAATTCCGTCTCTCTTAAAAATCAAAAAATTAGCTGGGCATGGTTGCATGTGCCTGTAGTCCCAGCTACTTGGGAGGCTAAGGCAGGAGAATCGCTTGAACCCAGGAGGCAGAGGTTGCAGTGAGCTGAGATCACACCACTGCACTCTAGCCTGCTGACAGAGTAAGACTATGTCTCAAAAAAAAAAAAAAAAATTAGAGTACCTATTAAATTGTGCTTAGTGATCTCAGCTTTCTATGAAGCTCTAGAAGTAATACAAAAATGTTATAAAGAACCATTTCAACTTCATCCACTCCAGCTCTGGCTGGCTATATCAGTTGTAGAGAAGTCTGTTATTACATAATACTTTTTCTGCCCAGAATAATCTTTAATTGAACCAGTATTTTCACGTGTCCTTCACACAAAAAATAATTCAATACATACTTATTGAGACATGAAGCCAGCTGGGATTCTGGGTCCGGTGTGGACTTGGAGAACTTTTCTGTCTAGCTAAAGGATTGCAAATGCACCAATCAGCGCTCTGTGTCTAACTAAAGGTTTGTAAACGCACCAATCAGCACTCTGTAAAAACGGACCAATCAGCACTCTGTAAAATGGACCAATCAGCTCTCTGTAAAATGGACCAATTAGCAGGATGTGGGTGGGGCCAAATAAGGGAAGAAGAGCTAGGCACCTGAGCCAGCAGCAGCAACCCACACGGGTCCCCTTCCATGCCGTGGAAGCTCTGTTCTTTTGCTCTTCGCAATAAATCTTGCTGCTGCTCACTCTTTGGGTCCACACTGCCTTTATGAGCTGTAACACTCACCACGAAGGTCCGCAGCTTCACTCCTGAAGCCAGCGAGACCACGAACCCACCGGGAGGAATGAACAATGCCGGACGCGCCACCTTTAAGAGCTGTAACACTCACTGCGAAAGTCTGCAGCTTCACTCCTGAAGCCAGCAATACCACGAACCCACCGGGAGGAATGAACAACTCCGGACGCGCCACCTTTAAGAGCTGTAGCACTCACTGCAAAAGTCTGCAGCCTCACTCCTGAAGTCAGCAAGACCATGAACCCACCAGAAGGAAGAAACTCCGGACACATCTGAACATCTGAAGGAACAAACTCCGGACACACCATCTTTAAGAACTGCAACATTCACCACGAGGGTCCGCAGCTTCATTCTTGAAGTCAGCGAGACCAAGAACCCACCAGAATGAACCAATTCCGGACACATTATCATGCATCTCTATGTGGAAAACAATGTGAAAGAAGTTATAATTCATCAGTACTCTAAAAAATATCCTTAAGAGCATATATTGCATGCCCCTTAAGTTTAACAATATCTGAAATAGCTGCCTTAAAACAAAATGCAATCACACTTGAGAGAGGCTGAATATGAACATCAGAGATAGGCAATGCAACTTCATCAGGAAAATCCCTATAGTCCAATGCTACTGTTTTCAAGGGTTGCTATATTATACTGCAATTGTGTTACTGGGCAACAACTCAGAAGCTAGAATGGCAAATTCACTCAAGAAGTAACTGAATCAAACGAATATTTATGAAAGCATTCTGAGACTCAACTTCACTTTCTATATCTTCAACTGAAGTAACTCTTTGTTATAAGCATTAGATACAGGATTTTTGGTGAGACTGTAAAAACTACATGGACATTTTATAGACATATTTTGAGACAGAAGATAGGTGCTTTCCAAAAGGGAATGGCCAGGTTTAGGTTCCTACTAACTCTGAATTTTAATCCAAAAGCAATCTGAAGTCACAATATACAGAAGGCAAATAACTGGGCATTTCCTTAATTTCTTCCATCCTGGATTATAGCTCAGTTAAAAGAAATAGTAGGCCGGGCGCATTGGCTCACACCTACAATCCCAGCACTTTGGGAGGCCAAGGTGGGTGAATCACTTGAGGCCAGGAGTTCCGAGACCAGCCTGGCCAATGTGGTGAAACCCTGTCTCTATTCAAAATACAAAAAAAAAGCCAGGTGTGGTGGCATGCACCTGTTAGCCCCAGCCACTTGGGAGGCTGAGGCAGGAGAATCACGTGAACCCACGAGTTCAAGGTTGCAGTGAACAAAGATTGCACCACTACGCTCCAGCCTGGGCGACAGAGCAAAACTCCATCTCAAAAAAAAAAAAAAGAAAAAAGAAATAGTACTAGACTTGACAGTCAGTGATCTCTCCATGACCTAGAGAGGGCAGTCCTGATGAAAAAAATATAATTAATAAACTGATATTCTACTAGGAACCAGGAAATTGACCAAACTCCCCAAGCCCACTGAAGAATAGTGCCAGCATTCCTGAGAGTCCTTACTGCTGGTATTGCCATGGGAAATTCTCAAATACTCACTTTCTAGGAACAGAATCTTTATTTCTGATTCCGTGAATTCCCACTCTTCAATCTTTTTTATAGTTTACTGTTGCCATTTCCCCTTCACTTACTCTCTTCTCTCAACAACCTTACTTTCATGATACTTACAAAAGTGGGGGAAAGTAGAAATGCCTATCTGTCATTGTATTAGTCCATTTTCATATTGCTATAAAGAACTGCCTGAGATTGGGTAATTTATAAAGGAAAGAGGTTTAATTGATTCACAGTTCCACATGGCTGGAGAGGCGTCAGAAAACTTACAATCATGGCAGAAGGTGAAGGGGAAGCAAGGCACCTTCTTCACAAGGTAGCAGGAAGGAGAATGAATGCAGGAGGAACTACCAAACACTTATAAAACCACCAGATCTCATGAGAACTCACTGTCACGAGGAACAGTATGGGGGAAACCGCCGCCATGATCCAATTCCCTCCACCTGGTCTCTTCCCTGACACATGGGGATTATGGGGATTATAATTCAAGGTGAGATTTGGGTGGGGACACAAAGCCTAATCATATCAGTCATCTTTAAGAAACATTTATTCAGCAACTTGTATTTGGAAAAGACTAAGGATACAGCTCATCGAGATCTGAAGTCCTGCCCTTAATAAGCTTACAATCTAGTTAGGAAGTCAAGAAAGCTAAAATAATACAATAAAAAGTATAAGTATCAAATAAATTTAACTCACAAATACATACTATTCCTATGTATGTATGTATGAGGTCATGGTGGAGTTGAACCTTATAGAAAAGGTACAATTTAGATTTTAAGAAAGAAGGGAATAAGATCAGGTCACGGGGGATAGAAAGATATGCAGACTAATATGGAAAGGATAAAGTACAGAGCAGGTTTAGGGGATAGTGAAGAAACCAATCTGGGCAGAGACACCTTTTCCATAAAGAACATACACTTGAAAAGGCAAGGTGAGAGGATTTCAAATAATTCACCTTAAGTCAAGAAACATGAACTTGGGTTAAAAGGAAGTTTTTTACACAGATTTACACACATTCCCTAAAAGCACATAGGTTAAACAATGTGGGCAATTTACTTATGGAACCTAATATGTATGACAAAATTAAAAGCAAGCTCATCTACTTTTAGGCAAAGAGACAGTACCTGGGGGTGGGGAAATTCTGACAATTCACTAAAATTCACTAATCTTTCTGTTAAGATTTCACTCTAAGCTTCTTGAATTAGAACATCCCATGACATAATGCTGATTTCTGATTACTAAGGATTATACGAGTCATTCTTGATTTGTCTCCTCCATCTTGCCCAACTTTTGAATATTTCATTACTTCAACATCAGCATATAGAAAAAAGGAGGAGAGAACTAAAATTAAGTCCATGGATTTTAGCAATACATAAGGGTATCTGACATAAAGAACATTAAACTTCAAGTTCCAATTCCCATTATTAATAGATTTCAAAGAAGTCATTTAGTCTCATCATGTCTCAAATTTTCTCACATACTTGCTTACTTGAAAGGTTATTGATTGAAAAGATCATTCAAAAAGTGCTCTAAAAACTAACAACTTGCCATAAAAATTTTATCATTAAGGGTTCAATAAGAGGAGACAGTGAGGTGACTGGTAAACCAAGGATTAAAAACTACCTGTGAATAGGCCAGGCACGCTGGCTCACACCTGTAATCCCAGCACTTTGGGAGGTCAAGGTGGGCAGATCGCCTGAAGTCAGGAGTTCGTGACCAGCCTGGGCAATATGGTGAAACCCCATCTCTACTAAAAATACAAAAATTAGCAGGGCATGGTGGCATGCACCTGTAACCCCAGCTACTCGGGAGGCTGAGAGGAGAGAATCACTTGAAACTGGGAGGCGGAAGTTGCAGTGAGCTGAGATCCCACCACTGCACTCCAGCCTGAGCGACAAGAATGAAACTCTGTCTCAAAAAAAGAAAAAAAAAAAAACTACCTGTGAATAATCAGTGTTTCATTCTCCCAGTGCTGCATGGAATTCTAAATTGTATTTCACTATTATTTGAGAATGTTCTAAATACAGTCCGCGCACTTCATCTGATCTGGAAAGAAAACACTCAAAGTAAGGGGAATACCCAGCATACTCTGTCCTAAATAACCAAAGGACAACTCAAAACCATTTGCAACTCTCAGGAGAGTCCTGTGTGACACTTATAATTTAAAGCATTCTGGCCTGGTGCGGTGGCTCACACCTGTAATCCCAGCACTTTGGGAGGCCGAGGTGGGCGGATCACCTGAGGTCGGGAGTTTGAGACCAGCCTGGCCAACATGGTGAAACCCCATCTCTACTAAAATAAAAAAATTAGCCGGGCATGGTGGCACGCACCTGTAATCCCAGCTACTCGGGAGGCTGAGGCAGGAGAATCGCTTGAACCCAGGAGGCGGAGGTTGCAGTGAGCCGAGATCGCGCTACTGCACTCCAGCCTGGGCGACAGAGTGAGACTCAGTCATAAATAAATAAATAAAGCATTCTAACAATTCTGAACAAACTGAGTTTGAAATCAAACCTCAATACAAAAGGTGAGTATTAATTCTAACCACTTACAGGCTAAATTCATAAATATGGAAAATTCTAAATCCAGGTAACTGTAGGATAGATACCTTTAATTGTGTTTTAGTTAAATGTCAGACTTGTTTACAGACATGTTGCTTGGTAACAGAAGCACTGCTTTAACAACCCACTCTGTTTTAGAGCTGCTTAAAGTCTGAACAGATTATGAAGTATATATCATATACACGAAATTCAGACAAGTCTTTCCTTATCCTAGAGATCTGTAAGATTTGAAAGAGCTTCCTCATTTCAGCTAACTAAAGGCTTTACAAATACTTAGCAGTGGATATTCTTAAGAGCAAAATGCCCATTGATTATGGTCAAAAGTTGGACACTGAGGATTAACCAAAGTATTTAAACCCAGCATATGCTAACATATTTTAGGTGTTTATCTCAGTAATGACAGTCGACATCACTGTTCATTCAAATTGTCTTCAAAGCCAAGGAAAATGGTAGCATAGCTTTTTCATCGTAAATTAAGCTGGAGGTACTTAAACGTCTGGCCAATTACCAAACTGGCTACACAACCACCAAGCCAGAGTGCATCCAAAAGCTCCATGAAGAGTTTCACGTGCGTCTCTCTGCCTACTTTTCTAGCACGAGCTTCCACTACTTTAACAGGAAAATAAAAAAAGGATTCAAGGGCAGTTTGTGGAGGGACAAAATGAGTATTCCAAAATACAAACAAGACACCGTCCCCAGAAAGAGAGGTTACATACCAGACGCACGCACGCTCCTTGCAACCCGCACACGGAAAACTTAAGTGACCGCAGTTCTGGCCGCGCTCGCCACCGGGGACACCTCCACAGCTCCAACCACAGGCACCCACTCAACTCCGCTTACGGAGGCATTGGGACTAAGGGTTACGGTCCTACAGCGGGGTGTCGGCCCAGCGAGAGGAAGAGGGCCGAACGGACCCCTCGGGCTCCCGTCCCTAGGGAAATGTGAAGTATCCCGGGAGAGGTCCGAGGGCGGCGGCGGCGGCGGTGAAAAGCCCCACTCCTCCGCGTGGACCGGGATCCTCAGGGGTGCGGCGCCACCCCACGTGCTGACGTATGGCCCAGAAGCCGCCTCATCGCACCGCCCCACCAGCCTGGAGGAGCGGGCTCTGTCCCTTGGCCCAGCGGCACGCGAAGCAGGAAGTCCCACCCCCCACGCCGACGTCACCCACGCCACCGACGCCGGTTGCTGCCGGAGCCGTTAGAGGGAGGAGACAAACGAACCGAGGCGGGAGCGGCCACGGGTGACAGCGGCAGCGGCGGGGCCGGGCTGCGCTCCCGAAGGCGTTCCTGGAGGGCCCTGGGATGGACTCAGAGATCCCCAGAGCCCCAGGGGACGGAAAATCTAGCCCCGGGCACTTGCCTTGGAGTCTGAGTGATGCGCGTCGTTGGAGCGCGAAGCCGGTCTCCCTAGCCTCCGCCCGACACAGCGTCTCCAGGGGTTTTCCTCCTTTTCGCGCCTCTCCTTCCCTCTTCCCCACACCATTTGAGAGCCTCAAATGGTAGTCCTGCCGCCACCTCTCTCCCTTCGCCAGCCTGCCATCGTCCCCATGGGTGCAGATATGCGCTCCCGAAGCCGCCTGCCTGCCGCGTCTGCCTCGGGCATCAGCCCACGAGTGGGGAGTCGGCTCAGCTTGCCACGAGGGAACCTCGGGTTAGGACCAATCGCCCGGGAGAGAGCCCTCCTCGCCCCCGCACCTCCTGCTCCAAGTCTCCTGTCCTGGTTATCCCAAGTTCAGGGCCCACCTGGGGTCACATGGGGAACTACTTGTCTTAAGGCTGTAAACAATAGTTGGAAGAGGAGTTGCTAGCTTTTGAGAACTTCCATGATCATCCAAAGTCTGAAACAAAGTAGGCGGTCAGCCTTTCAAAATACGTGTTGGAAGAAACAGACACCTTCCCATCCCCAGCGTTTGTTCAGTGCCTTGGTTGGGCTTTGATTCTCACTGCTTTGTGAAGTACAGCTTATTTTTACCCCCAAGATTATGATTTTCAGGCTGTAGTTATTATTGGACAACTGAGAGGTGATTTTGTTGTTGTTGAAATGAGGGAAAACGGGCCATTAGAAAGGACCGTGTCTCTTAAGAGGAGGGAAAAAAAGGACAGCGAGTTGGTAATGGAATGTTGCTGGATGGATTACATAGATGAGACATGGGAGATAGAATAGAGAATCCAGAAATTCTCATGTATGTGTGCGTGTTTAGTATAATAACAGTAGCTCACATTTGCTGAGCATTTGTGTGGCAAGTACTGGAGTACTTTTTCAGGTTATCTTATTTAACTCTAACATTTCTGTAAGGTAGGTGCAATTGTTATCTCCATTTCACAGAGTTGCCCAAAACCATTACTTTTAAACGCTGGAGCCAGACAACTCCAGAAATCTCTGTGGTAGCCAGTAAACTATACATGACAAATTATTGGTCAGTAGGAAAAAGATCATTCGGGAAATGGCGGTGGCTCACGCCTGTAATCCCAGCACGCTGGGAGGCCAAGGCAGGTGGATCACCTGAGGTCAGGAGTTCGAGACGACCCTGGCCAACATGGTGAAATCCCATCTATTAAAAATACAAAAAGCCAAGAAAAACAAATATTCAATTAACAAACGGAAAGTTGTCCCACTTCCAAACAGTTGTTTTTTGTCTATCATTGTTGATAGGGGTGTGGGATACAATTACTGTCAGGCATTTTTGGTGTGAAGGTGAAATTGGTACAACCCTATTTACCAAAATTTAACATATGCATTAGCCTTTGCCCCACAGCTGTCTCATTTCCGAGGCATATACCCTAAGGAAAATAAGGGATTCATAAGGATACTATTTGCCACCTTTTTTAAAAATAATGCTTCTAGAAACAAGTGTCCATCACTAGGACACTAGTTAAGAAAATTATGATTGGTACATGCAATGGAATACTCTTGACCCATTAAAAACTGATGGAAAGTTCTTTATTTGCATTAAAGTATGTCCAAAAAATATAGTTTCCCCTCAGGAAAAAAAAAGCAGAATGTAGTTTAGCAAGTACAGTGCTGTCCTAATGTGAATATATGTGTGTACATATGTTAATATAAGTGTACAAAAATATCTGGAAGAAGGTCAGTCAAAATACAAGTGTTTTACATTTTGTCTTTTGGACTTTTTATCTGGTTGGTGTTTTTTGTAATTTATTATTTTACAAAAACAAAGTTGTGTTTTATGTTTTAATTAAAGCTGTGCCAGTGAAAAGGGAGCCAGTTGACTCTTGACCTTCACAAGTAGGTAACCATGATGAAGTAACTATGTCTGGGGATCTGAGTCTCAGCTTTTTTGTGTCTATAAATTTGATTATATTCATTTACCTATAGTTGGACAAGCTAACCTACCACCTGGACATCATAGTTTTGACTCCCCAAATTGGACTGGGTATCCATTCTATGTGTTCTCTGTGTGCCTGTCATGGTATTTGTCACACTGTACTGTAATTCCCTCTGTGCCAGTAGATTGTTTGCTCCTGCCATACATATACACATGCACATACATACTTTTTCTGCTATATGTTACACATTTCTTTTGATTTATTATTTGTCATCTACATTTGTATACAGAAGTTTTAATTTTCATTAGCCAAAATGCTAATGAAATCACATAGATATTAAAGGGATACTTGGAACAACTTTATGCCAATAAATTCAGTAACTTAAGCAAAATGGACAAATTCCTAAAAAAATAAATAAATAAATTACCAAAAATGACACAAAAGAAGGAAAAGAAAATCTAAATGTTTCAGTGTCTGTTAAAAAAATTGAATTTATAAGCAAAACACTTGCCACAAAGAAAACTCCGGGCAGATGACTGCACCAGTGAATTTTATCAGACATTTAAGGGGGACAAAGTACCAATCCTACACCATTTCAGGAAACAGAGCAGGGAGAAATACTTCTATACTCATTTTATGAGGCAAGCATAATCATGCCAAATTATTTTTCCTGATACCAAAATTTGACATTTTGCAAGAAAATTATAGACTGATAGTCCTCATGAATATATATATATATATAAATTCTTAAGTATTAGCAGATTGAACTTGCAATATAGAGGATTACATACCATGACCAAGGAGAGTGAACTTAACATTGAAAAATCAGTGTAATTCATCACATTAACAGAACAAAAGAGAAAAAAAATTGTTTCAATAAATGCAGAAAAAGGATTTGACAAAATTCAAAGCCCATTAATGTTTTAGAAAAAAAAAAAAAAACCAACTCTAAGCAGCCTAGGAATAGAAGGGAATTTCCTCAATGATTTGAAAAAGTTAATGGTGAAATATTAAATCATTTTCTCCTAAGATCAGGAATAACAAATGTAAGACAAGAATTTTCTGCTCTCACCGCTTCTATTTAGGAAATTGGAGGCCCTAATCAATGCAAAAAAGCAATAAGAAAAAGCGTAAAGACTGGGAAGACTCAGATATCCTGATTTCAGAACTTGCTATGAAGCTACAGTAATCAAGATAGTACTATACTCTTATAAAGATAGGAGTACAGATCAATGGAATATAATTGAGTCCAGAAATAAAGCCTTATATTTATGGTCAGATGACTTTCAGCAAAACACCAATACAACTCAATTGGAGAAAGAGTAGTCTTTTCAACAAATGGAACTGGTAAAACTGGATAGCCACATGAGGAAAAAAATTAAATTGGAACTCTACCTCACACCATTTATGACTATTAAGATGAACCAAAGATCCGAACACAAGAGCTAAAATTATAAAACTCTTAGAAAAAAATATAACTAAATCCTTATCACCTTGAATTAGGCAGTGGCTTCTTTGATGTGACAAAAAGCACAACCAAGGGAAAAATGAATGCATTAAAATTAAAACATCAAAATCAAAACCTTTATGCTTCAGGCTGGGCGCCATGGCTCATGCCTGTAATCCCAGCACTTTGGGAGGTCAAGGCAGGTGGATCACCTGAAGTCAGGAGTTCAAGACCAGCCTGGTCAACATGGCGAAACCCCGTCTCTACTAAAAATACAAAAATTAGCCAGGTATAATGGCGTGCACCTGTGATCCCAGCTACTCGGGAGGCTGAGGCAGGAGAATTGCTTGAACCCAGGAGGCAGAAGTTGCAGTGAGCCAAGATTGTGCCACTGTCCTCCAGCCTGGGTGACAGAGCAAGACTCCATCTCAAAAAAAAAAAAAAATGCTTCAAAGAACAGTATCAAGAAAGTGAACAGACAACCCACAGAATGGGAGAAAATATTCTGAAAATCATATATCTGGTAAGGGTGCACTGTTCAGAATATAAAGAACTCATAATTCAACAATAAAAATCCAATTTAAAAATGGACAAAGGATTTCAATAAACATCAAAGAAGATATACAAATGGCCATAAGCACATGAAAAGATGCTCAATGTAATTAGTCATTAGGGAAATACACATCAAAACCAGGTGATACCACTTCACTAGGATGGCTGTAATTTTTTTAACGAATGGACAAGAACAAGTGTTAGGACATGGAGAAATTGGAACCCTCATACTCTGGTGATGGGAATTAAAAATGTTGCCACTACTTTGGGAATAGTTTGGCAGTTCCTCAAGAGGTTAAACATAAGTTTACCATATGACCCAGCAATTTCACTCTTAGATATATACCTATGTAAATTGGAAAATACATTCACTCAAAAACTTGTGCACAAACGTTCATAGCAACATTATTCATAATGACCAAAAGTAGAAACAACACAAATGCCCATCAACTGGTGAATGAATGAACAGACTATGGTGTATCCATACAATGGAATACTATTCAGCCATTAAAAGGAATGAACTACTGATTCATGCTACAAATTGATGAACCTTAAACACATTATATGCTAAGTGAAAGCCACATTTTATATAATTCCATTTATATGAAATGTCAATAATGGGCAAATCCATAGGGAAAGAAAATAGATTAATAGGGGCTGGGGACTGGGACAGTGGAGATTGACTGCTAGTAAGTATGGAGTTTATATTTGGAATGATGAAGATATCCTGAAGTAAAATAGTGGTGATGGTTGTACAACTTTCTGAATATGCTAAAAATCACCAAATTATATGCCTTAAAAGTGAATTTTATGGCATGTGAATCAAATCTCAATTTTTAAAATGGGAAGGAATAAGTACAGTTGTTCCCCCTTATCTGCTGGGGATACATTCCAAGACCCCCAGTGGAAACCTGAAACAATGGATTGTGCCAAACCCTATATACACTCTATTTTTTTTCTATGTATACATACCTATGATAAAGTTTAATTTATAAATTAGGCCCAGTAAGAGACTAACAACAATAATGAAATAGAACAGTTATAACAATATGCTGTAATAAAAGGTATGTGACTGGTCTCCCAAGATACTGTACTATTCTTGCAATAATGTGAGGTGATAAAATACCTACATGACAAGAGGAAGTAAAGTGAATGAGGTAGGCATTGTGACATAGTTTTAGGCTACTATGGACCTTGAACACCAGCATCATAATAATGATGATCTTATAACCAAGTTGGCTACTAAGTGACTAACAGGTGGGTAGCATATACAGCATGGATATACTAGACAAAGAGATGATTCCAGGCACGATGGAACAGAGTAGCATGAGATTTCATCATGCTACTCAGGACAGCCCGCAATTTAAAACATGAATTATTTCTAGAATTTTCCATTTAGTATTTTTGGACCAAGGTTGACCACAGGTAACTGAAACCACAGAAACCGAAACTGCAGGTAAGGGGAGACTATTGTAAAATTATATTCACAGACAATATGATTGTGTGCATACAAAACCCTATGGAATATATAAAAAAGGTAAGAGAGGCCAGGTGTGGGGTGCGGTGGCTCACGCCTGTAATCCCAGCACTTTGGGAGGCCGAGGCGGGCAGATCACCTGAGGTCAGGAGTTTGAGACCAGCCTGACCAACATGGAGAAACCCTGTCTCTACCAAAATTACAGAAAATTAGCTGGGCGTGGTGGTGCATGCCTGTAATCCCAGCTACTTGGGAGGCTGAGGCAAAAGAATCGCTTGAACTCGGGAGGTGGAGGTTGCAGTGAGCCGAGATCATGCCATTGCACTACAGCTTGGGCAGCAAGAGCAAAACTCTGTCTAAAAAAAAAAAAAAAAAAGTACAAGAAATAGTAACTTCATTTAACAAGTGATAAGATACATGCTCAGTATAGCAAAAATCAATTCTATATACTAGCAATAGAAAGTGGAATTGTAAACAATACCATTTATAATGTATCCAGAAACATCTGAAACCTTGGAATAAACTTAACACAAGATGTGCAAGATCTCTGTATTGAAAAACAATAAAATGAGTCCGGGTGCAGTGGGTCATGCCTATAATTCCAGCACTTTGGGAGGCTGAGGCAGGTGGACTGCTTGAGGTCAGGAGTTTGAGACAGCCTGGCCAACATGGCAAAACCCCGTCTCTACTAAAAATACAAAAATTAACCGAGTGTGGTGGTGTGCACCTGTGATCCCAGCTACTCTGGAGGCTGAGGCACAAGAATCACTTGAACCCAGGAGGTGAAGGCTGCAGTGAGCTGAGATCGTGCAACTGCACTCCAGCCTGGGTGACAGAGTGAGACCCTGTCTCAAAAAAAAAAAAAGAGCAAACACAAAACATGGATAGAAGATAATTAAAGAAGACTTAAATAATAGAGAAATATTTTATATTCATGGATGGGAACACTCAGTAATATTATCCTGTCTATTCTTCCTAAATTGATTTGTGGATTTTCCATATCAGAATTCCAGCAGGTTAAGGAATAAAAAACTATGCATTGAGTACAGTGTATACTACTAGGTTGATGGTTGCACCAAAATCTAATAAATCACCACTAAAGAACTTATCCATGTAACAAAAACCACCTTTTTCCAAAAACTATTGAAATAAAAATACAAAATTATCTCACAAAAAAAAATCCAGCAGGCTTTTTTTTTTAGGACAAAATCCAAAATTTATGTGAAAAAATGAAGGATCTAGAATAGCCAAAATAATCTTTAAAAAGAACAAAATTGGAAGACATACTACCTGATTTCAAGCCTTTTATAAAGTTATAGTAATCAAGACTGTTATTTCCAAAGGATAAACTAGTAGTTAAATAGAACAGATTAAAGTCTAAAAATAGATCTATACATATAAAGTCATTTCATTTTTGACCAAGGCATCAAAGCAATTCAATAAGAAAAAAAATTGATTAATAAATATTACTAAAACAACTGTATAACTATTTAGGGAAAACAAAAAGAACTTCAACCTTTCATCTCCATACCCAGAAATTCAAGATGCCTCCTAGGCCTAACATAAAACCAAGATCCATAAAACTTCTAAAAGAAAACAGAAGAATCTCTTAATAACCTTGGAGTAGGCAGATATTTATTGCATGAGACATAAAAAACACTAACCATAAAAAGAAAAAAATTGAAAGATTGGAGTTTATTGAAATACTTGCTCTTCAAAGTTACCATTAAGCTACAGACTGGGAAATATTCACTACATATGTATCTGGCAAAGGACTTCTACAAGCTAACAATAAAAATAGTTATTAACAATAACTCATTTAAGCTAATAGCAAAGACATGAACTTTCCCTTCATGAAAGATATACAAATGGTTAATAAATACATTTAAAAATTCCTGAATATCTGTCACAGATGATAAGATCTTGAAGAAAATCCTAAAGATTTCACAAAACAGAACTAATGAATGAATTCAGAAAGTAGCAGGATACAAAGTCAACACACAAAAATCAGCTCTTACTATTTATACACTAACAACAATCTGAAAAGAAAATTCCAAAAGTATCATTTTGATGTATGATAACATCAAAAAGAATAAAATGCTTAGGAATTAACCAAGGAGGTGAAAGACTTACACATGCAAGCTACAAAACATTGCAAAATAAATTAAAGAAGATATAAATAAATGGAAACACATCTATGTTCATGGATTGGAGCAGTATTAAAATGTCAATACTGTATGAAACAATCAACACATTATGCAATCCTTATTAAAATCCCAATGACAATTTTTGCAGAAATGGAAAAATCATCCTAAAATTCATATGGAATCTCAAGGGAACTGAAATAGTCAAAACAATCTTGAAAAAAGAACAAGGCTCAAGTACTCACACTTACTGATTTCAAAACTTACTACAAAGCTATAGTAATTAAAACAGTGTAGTATTGGTGTAAAGACAGACATAGACCAATGAAATAGAATGGAGAGCCTAAAAATAAACTCCCTCATTTATGATCAAATAGTTTTTGATAAGGGTGCCAAGACCATTCAATGGGGAAAGGACAGTCTTTTCAACAAATAGTGCTGGGAAAACCAGACCCAGAATGAAGTTGAACCCTTACCCAACACCATATACAAAAATTAACTCAAAATGGATAAAAGACATAAACATAAGACTTAAAACTATAAAACTCTTAGAAGAAAACACAGAACAAAAGCTTCATAGCATTGGATTTGACATTGATTTCTTGGATATTAAACCAAAGGCCTAGGCAACAAAAGAAAAAATAGACAAATTTCACTTTATGAAAATTTTAAAATTTTGTATATCAGATGACACTATCAACAGAGTAAAAAGGCAAGCCACAGAACAGGAGAAAATATTTTCAAGTCATATCTGATAAGTGATTGATATTCAGAATATATAGAGAACTCCTAACAAAGAATACAATTTTAAAATGGGCAAAGGAGGCCGGGCATGGTGGCTGATGCCTGTAATCCCAGCACTTTAGGAGACCAAGGGGGGCAGATCAGTTGAACTCAAGAGTTCAAGACCAGCCTGGACAATATGGTAAAACCCCATCTCTACCAAAAATACAAAAAATTAGCCAGGCATGGTGGTGCTTGCCTATAATCCCAGCTACTCAGGAGGCTGAGATGGGAGGATCACTTGAGCCTGGGAGGCAGAGGCTGCAGTGAGCCAAGATCACACCACTGCACTCCACCCTAGGTGACAGAGCAAGACTCCATCTCTAAATAAGTAAATAGATGGCAAGGGACACGAATAGACATTTCTCCAAAGAAAATATACAAATGGCCAATAAGCATATGAAAAAATGCCCAATTTAACTAATCATTAGGATGCAAATCAAAAGTATAATGAGACACCACCTCACACTCATTAGGGTGGCTACTATTTAAAAAAAATATTAGCAAGGATGTGGAAAAATTGGAATCCTTGTGCACTGTTGATGGGAATTAAAATAGTAGAGCCATTACAGAAAACAGTATGGAGGCTCCTCAAAAAATTAAAAATAGAGTTATATAATCTAGCAATTCCATTTATGGGTATATACCTAAAATAATTGAAAATACGTCTCTCCATACTCAGAAATGGAGCTAGAAAAAAAAGAGATTTGCACACCCATGTTCACAACCAGCATTATTCACAATAGCTAAAATGTGGAAACATCACAAGTCTCCATCCACAGATAAATGAATGAGCAATATAGTATATACATACAATAGAACAGTGGTCCCCAACCTTTTTGGCACCAGTTTCGTGGAAGACAATTTTTCCACAGATTGATGGGTGGGGGGGTGGTTTCAGGATGATTCGGGCACATTACATTTGTGTATTTTATTTCTATTATGACACTGTAATATGAAATAATTATACAACTCACCATAATGTAGAATCAGTGGGAGCCCTGAGCTTGTTTTCCTGTAACTAGATGGTCCCATCTGGGGGTGATGGAAGACAGTGACAGATCATGATTCTCATAAGGAGCATACAACCTCGATCCCTCACATGCACAGTTCACAACAGGGTTCGCACTCCTATGAGAATCTAATGCCGCCGCTGATCTGACAGGACGCAGCGCTCAGGCGGTAATGTGAGCGATGGGGAATGGCTGTAAATACAAATGAAGCTTTGCTTGCTCACCTGTTGCTCCCTGCTTTGCAGCCCAGTTCCTAACAGGCCATGGAATGGTACTGGTCCATATTATTCCACTTATCTGAGATACTTAAAGGAGTCAAAAGTACAGAGACAGTAGAATGGTGTTTGCCAGGGGCTGGTGGGGTGGGGGATCTGGGGAGTTACTGCTTAATGGGTATAGTTTCAGTTTTACAAGATAAAGAGAATTCTGGAGATAGATGCTGGTGATGGTTGCACATTTATGAATGTACAGTGTTTAATACGATGGAACTGTACACTACAAAATGGTTTTTATGTTATGTGTATTTTAACACAACAAAAAAATGGAGGAAGTACTTAATATCTTTGATCATCAAGGGAATGAAAATTAAATCTACAGAGGACTTCATTTCACAGACATTCCAAGGTGCTGAAATAAAGTGTAGTAGCCCAAACATTAACAAAGATGTGAAACAGCTGGAACTTACACATTGCTGATGTGAGTGTAAAATACTTTGGAAAAGTACTTGGCAATTTCTTTTCATTGTACTTTCATCTACCTTATTCATGGCTCATCAATTTCACTTAGTTACCCAAGAGACACGAAAATGCAACTTCACAAGAAAACTTACACAAAGAATGTTTAGAGCAACCTTATTCATAATAACCAAAAACTAATAACCTAAATGTATATCAACAGGAAAACAGATACAATTTAAAAATGATATATATTCTTACAACGGAATACAACTCAGCAATACAAAGGAACAAACTGCTGGTATACCTGACAACATGAGTAAGTCTCACAAATATTTTGATAAACAGAAGAAGCCAGGCACAACAGAATACAAACCGTATTGTTCTATTTGCATGAAATCCAAGAAAGACCATCTAGTTTTAGAAATTTCTAAGTGGTTATAGGGGACAGTGATTGAAAGGAGTCCAAGGGAACTTTCTAAGATGATAGATTATATTTTGTTTCAAGTGGTAATTACACAGGATATACAGTTGTCAAAATTCATCAAATTGAGTAAGATATGTGTATTTTATTCTGTTAATTATACCACCATAAAACATATTTTAAAGTGCTAATAGAAATACTTTTCTATTCACTGAAATACTAATGTTTGCTAGCAAGAGAACTCTTTTCCTTATATCAAGATAACCCAAGAAATCAGACTAGTAATCAGAAAGTTGGTGCACTCATACTCGGAGCAAGGGAAAGGTCCTAGGGATAAATCCAAACTGCAAAAAAATTTAATCAGCTCTCAAACAATAACAAATGGGTTACTCTACTATGGCAGATAAATGAAATAAATAATTGCTATGAATTAAGGACTTCAATATTGTGAAGCTAACAAAATTTGTATTACAGGTAAATGGAATAATAGGGTTTTTAGGAACCCAATAAGGAAATTATCATACAAGTGTAATTTTAATTTTTTATTTCACTGTACTTCAATGTATACAAACAAGTTTCAGGGTGTTTTTTTTTGTTTTTTGGTTTTTTGGTTTTTTTTTTGAGACAGAGTCTCGCTCTGTTGCCCAGGCTGGAGTGCAGTGGTGTGATCTCGGCTCACTACAACCTCTGCCTCCAGAGTTCAAGCGATTCTCCTGCCTCAGCACCCCCCGTAGCTGGGATTACAGGTGCGTACCACCACACCCAGCTAATTTTTTTGTATTTTTAGTAGACATGAGGTTTCACCATGTTGGCCAGGCTGCTCTCGATCACTTGACCTCATGATCCATCCGCCTCGGCCTCCCAAAGTAAGTTTAAGCTTTAAATGAAAAAAAGTACGGACATTTGGAGTATTTGTGCAAGAAACAGAATGCTTTAGGATAAGGAATTCTTATAAACGGTAGGCATTCCAGTATTGCATTTCCTTTAATACTTTGTTGCCAGAGCCAGAAATAATGTAAGAAGAATAAGCTTGTATTTCAGAATGTCAAGGAAAAAAAGCTATATGTCATATGGCTTGGTGGTAGACAAACCTATTTTTGTCTTAAAATTTCATATACCTTCTCCTTTAATTATCTCTTCTTTCCTCCTTTCCTTTTTCTTTTTCATCATTCTACTTTTATTTTCTTTCCTTCTCTTTCATCTTCTTTCTTTTTCTCTCCTTTTTTCTTCTTCTAGACCGTATTTCTTAGCCTTGTTTTCATAATTGATCCCCTAAGCAGCCATTTTAGACACCACTTTCCTCATTGCTCCTCCCACCCCCATGAAATCTTAAATCACAGATATACTGTATGTCTGTTTATGTACTGTGGCTCTTTGGAGGGCCAAGGACCATTGTAATATCTAAGGTTTTTTGCCCCCTTGAGGGGTGATATCTCCCCATTAAAAATAACATGTTCCAACTAATGAGTTCTTTGAGGGGAAGGATCATGTCCTGTTTACCATTGTATGCCTTGTGCTTAATATAATGCTTGGCACACAGTAGGCAATCAGTAAATAAATGTATTAGATGAATATTTATTGAATTAAAGTGAAAATGGTCTCTGCTGTAAACTCATCAAACAACTAAACAGCTAAAATTCTTGAATCTTTTTTAGACAATACTGTCTACTACTTATACTCCACAGTACCTCCGCATTTGAAGATTGTCTTCCTGAGACTATATCCATGTGACTTGATGGAATCTTGGAAAGCACCTTGATCACAAAAGTAATAAATTCAAAGCCAAGTCCAAGGGTGAGTTACTTATACAGATGGCTAATTTTATCTACCATATACTGATTTTTTTTCCTAGCATCACTTTCAGAAGGTGATCATTTCCTAAATTTTTCTCTGAATTGAGGCTTGCAGCCTCTTTGATACTTACAACTCACTATTCAAAACTTATCAGTTCCAGTTGACGTGCAAGAATTGGATTAGGGAATGAGTAGAAGGTGACGGCACTATAGGAAAGGAGAAAATAAATAGAGGAAGTCATTAAACTTCTCTGTTCCTTAATTTTTCTTTATCTGTAAGACCTCTTCTAGCTCTAAAATTTGTGATCTTGATTTATTCTCTGAGTGAGTGGTTCTCAATAGAAACATTTTATTAAAGAAATCAGTGGAGGGTGTCATCAGTTGCCTCAAGATTGGAAGGACAGTGCTGCCAGCCTTTGTGGGAGAGGCCAGGGATGCTAGACATCCTACTGTAAATGGGACTTTGGTCAGTTCAGGTCCACAGAGAAGCAGACACCAAGACAGACATAGAAGAGATGGATTGGGGGAAATGGCTGTAGGGAAGAGGAAGCAGTTAGCAGGCAGAGTTTGAGACTGGGATGCAGATCTGACACCCATGTCAATGTCATGAGAAGAGGGAGGTGGATTCAGTAGGAACAGCCTTAGATTATAATAACAGCTCTAGGAATGTCTTGGCCAGGCCAATAGGGAGCCACAGAGCAAAGACTGACCATTTGAGGGGGTTCCAATTTGACCAGATGTGGCCTGGCTCTATTACCCCTGCTGTGCTCAGCCATTGAGGAAGTTTGGGTAGGGTAAGGCCAAATCATAAATGCCATGATGAATCTCCAAGGAATAATACTAGAAGACTGTCAGCTAGCTACAGTCCTCACAGCAGGTTCTCTCTCTCTCTCTCTTTCTCTCTCTCTCCATCTCTCTCTCTTTCTCTTTAAAGCAAAACAAAAATGATACTTTACTGAGATACTTTTGCTTGTAAAGCAGGAGAACAAGATGATATACATAAGTCATAACATGTCAAGACATGCCAAGGTGATGATTTTGATGTTTTCTTTATCTTTTTCTTTTATCTTTTTTTAATCCAGGTTAAAGTTGGACACAAAATGAGAAGTTTGGGGAGATAAGGCTTGGGAGTTGAGATCCTGCATGGAAAACAAGATGAATTAACTTCCCAGGCTGCGTAAGTGTTCACATTTTGTATCGAATTATAGCAGATTTGTTTCTTCTTTTGACCTCAAAAACCGTTTGGAAACCTTAGGGAAACTTCATGGCATCTTTTCCATTTTGCTGATGGTTGTCAGGAGGGATAGCACCAGACCTTAACAGAGGTGGCTTCACCTTGCCTAGAGCATCAATAATCTTATCACAGATTCACCCCTGTTCTTTCTCGTTTAGACTCTGAGGGTCCCACTTCATTGTCAATTTCATTTGCAGTCACAGGTTTAGCATAACAGCTAACCTTATTTTTAGTTGATGATCTGGAACCCTTCACCTGACTTACAGGCAAACTCTTGTGTATTTTTTGTTAGAAAATCTTCATATCGCCATTAGCAAATGCTGTACTAGTTTGATTACTTGGCCATTAGCTGCTTCTCAATAGGCCAGGTTGGGAGGCATTTTCTTGGCATTTTTGTTTTGTATCTTGAGTTTTGGAGGTGAATCACTGCCATTTTTAATGGATGCTGGAGGCATTTTGTCAAAGGATTCCTTTTTGGTTCCTTCATCTTTGTCATCTGCTTCATCTTCATCAGTATTATTTCCTGATATTTCTGTAACTTTAGAAGCATTTTCATCTATATTGTCTTCTTCATGGTTTCCTCAACTCTATTTTTCCTTTCTAGTCCTTCCAGCAGGTTCTCTGTTGAACCTCTCATGTTCTGGGAGTAGCTTTTCTGATTCCTCTGGACCTCACTTCTTGAGGGAAAACTTAGACAAAGGGGGTTATTGGGACAAACCATAATCCCTGTCACTCAGTTGGTTTCAAAGCTGCAACTGCTACTTATCTTCCTCTTCCATACCAATTTCAAGTTCTCCTCTCCTTCAGCAGTCACTTCCACAGATCTTAGTGGTGTAACCTGGGTGTGACCCAAATCCTCATTCCTGATGAGAAATATATATTTATTGGCAATTACACATACCTCATGTGATTGTTGTACATGTCCTTCCACAGTTACAAGTAAGTCTCAAAAGACTCCCAAGTGGATCACCTAGGGGCTACATATTTTTCTCTGCCCATTGTGTAAAAGAAGCCCTTCTGCTTCCTGTTGATCTAGGTCAGTTACCCCTGCCAAGATGGGGATTCCTCTTCCTGCCTGCTGGCACCTTGACACAAAGGGTCCAAAATGCCCAAACAGTTGCCATAGCTTGTAGTTCAGTGGGACCTTCCTTGCATTTCCTGGCAAGAATTCACCCCACTTTGGGGACCAGGACTTCTAAACCTTCAAAACCCAGAGTTGCAGGAACAGAAAGCACAAAGTTCCCCGATGAGTCGTTTGGGTGGATGGTAAGTAGGGCCACTTCTTCTTCCTCTGCCTTTTTCCTGGACCCATGTATTCTTCCTATTAGGGACAGTGCCTTTAGAGCTCCCTGATTTAGTATATATACTGATCTTGAAAAGTGGCACTCTGTTCTTGCAGAATATTGCCTCCAAATCGGCACTCCAGCTGCACCTTCAGTAGGTTGCCCAGTGCTCTATCAGGCTGGCTGCTCCAGATGGTGCAGTATGTGATAAAACCAGTAGATCCCTTAGTCATTAGTTCATACTCATACCACCTTTACTATGAAATGGATCCCCTGTTTGGATCCTGTGTTGAGTTGGATACTATACCTGTGGATCAGGCCTTCTTTAAGCCTCTAGATAGTGGTATGGGCTGTGGCTCTGAAGCCAAGAAAGGCAAACCCATACCCAGAATAAATATGTATCCCTGTAAGGATAAACTGCTGGCCACTCCAGAATGGAAAGGGCACAGTGTTGTTGACTTGCCACCAAGTGGCTGGTTTATCTTCTCAAGTAATAATGCCATATCAGGGACTCAGGGTTGGTCTCTGTTGCTGGCAAATTAGACCTTCAGAGACAAGTAGGTATATTGGCCTTGGTAAGTAGGAATTCATGCTCTTGGGCTCATGTGTAGCCTTCATCTCTGCACTCACAGTAGGCAGACTTACATGTTGCCTACATGTGAACCAAAGCAGTATTCCTAGGTATGGAATTCATTGCTTCCAGAACCCAAAAAGGCCCACCAGGCATTGGGCTTCATTATAGTAGGAGATGCAAGATGCAGAAATTTGCCTTTTATCCTGGAGGGGATGTCTCCACAGGCCACTGACTACTGGACCTTGAAAAAACTTTACGGAAGTCACAAATTCTTGAATCTTCTTAAAAGTGTATCTCCCACTCTCTGGATACATGTCTTACCAAGACCTCTAGTATACAAGCCACATCTTGCTCATCATGCTCAGTCTGAATATTGTTGATATAACATATCAATGTGATGTTACACACTGGATGTCCAGACAGTCCAGATCTCTTCTGACTGTATTACAATAGAGAGTAGAAGAGTTAACATGGTCCTTGGACAAAGCTGGAAATAAATATTGTCTCCTCCACATGAATGTGAATTATTTCTTATCCTTATTTCTGATTGGAATATAAAATAATGCATCCATCAAATCAGTGTCTACAAACTATGTGACTGAGGCCTTATTAATCTGCCTTAGCAATTATACCATGTCCAGCATAGTTTCAGTTGAGAGTACTACTTGTTTAAACTTGCTGTGGTAGCCTGCATTCACTCTGTAGGATACAAACGTGGTACTAATCTCCTGTGGGACACAATGTCATTTATATTCTATCTTGGCTAGGGTGGGGGACAGTTTCAAAGGCTTTCAGTTGGTCTTCTCATTATGATAGCTCTTTAACAGCTCAAGGACCCAGTACTTCCACTGCCAATGATGTCTGTTGTAATTATATACTCAGGGACAAAGAAATACCTAGCAGATGGGTCTTCAGACCCAGTGAATTCACTGTGTGCAGACTTTAGCTAAGACTTTATTACTTATTCTCATAATTTTCCACACACAGGGGAAGCCATGATAACACTTTGGGTCTCCAGTTACCAAAGTCGACTTAGTCCCTAGGCCCAAAGCTCCTCTGAAATGACTGGGCACTCCCGTTTCCCAGTGTAAATGCCCTACCCAAGTGTATGCCCTAACTCCTTTTGGAGAATGATAGGAGGAATCATTAAAATATCTACTTGCCACAATGTTGCAGGGTCCTCCTAGGGACCTAGCTACCTCCTCAGTCAGTGGGCTCTAGATCTGAAAATTTGCTTAAGTTCAGGATGAACAACAAAGACATTTATTGAAATGACCTCCCTTAGCCTCCTGCCCCTCCATTCTTGCCTTCTGCTTGTACATGTTAAGCAGCACTCTTAATCTCTTAATATCTGCCTATTTTGCCCCTAAAGTAATGATGATCTGTCGCTGGACCCATCAACTCTATGACTATGTCCAGTTTTGAATAAGCTCCAAGAGAGGCCTCTCATTCTCACACTTGGGCTCTGTTTGTAAACAGCCTTCAAAGTTTCTCATTCTCTCTCCGTGGGGCATCAATACAACTTAGTAATAACCACTCTGCTCACTAAGATCTTTTAAATGCCCAAATCATTATACAGGCAAGGATATTCCCTACACTGAGATTTTTTCCCAGCTCACAACCAGTGAAAACTTTAGCAATTGAACTTCTACCTTGTGTCAAGTACTATCTGTGCCCCAAATTCCATTCAGAATGAGTTGGCCTTACCAGCTGGGTGGTAAGTGATGGACTCTCTAAACCCTGTCTTACTATTTGCTTTCTGAGGTCACTCCCAGTAGTAGCTGTCAGTTTGAGTCTTCCATGAAGCAGACACCAAGACAGAATTAGATTTATTGGGGAAAATGTCTGTGAAGGATAAAAAGCAAGAGGGAGTAGGCAGAAAGAGCCTCCAGAGTGACACCTGTGAATGGAGAAAAGGAAGAAAAGAAGAATAGAAATTCATGGCATAATAGGTGTTAAAAAAAGACTTCTGGACTGTTAAAAAAAAAAAATAGGAAGAGCCTTAGGCTGTAATGCAGTTCTGTGAAAATAACCAAGCCTACAGAGAGTCATCAGAACAAAGATAACCCATTAGAGGAGTCCCACATTGGGCAGGAATGATCTGCCTTCACCAGACTCAGTCACTGGCTGAAAGCAGCGGAGGAAGAGCCAGAGGAAGAGCGTGTACTCAGCATGAATCCTGCAATGACTCCAAGGTGTGGCAGTTAAGTGGCTGTCCCTAACTACAGTGTTTACCGCAGGTTCTCGAAGAGCTGACCAGTACACTCCTATAGCTGCCACAGCAACGCTCACATAACAAAGAATTGTACTCTATACCTCATGATTTTCATATATCTAGGCAGATACTCATATATGTTTTTTTAAAAACAAAACACAAAAACTTTTACCATTATCTGGAATTATCCAGGTCTAAAACCTATTTTAGATACAAACAAAAGGCCAGGTGTGGTGGCTCACACCTGTAATCGCCGCACTTTGGGAGGCCAAGGCAGGCGGATCTCAAGGTCAAGAGATTGAGACCATCCTGGCCAACGTAGGGAAACCCCATCTCTACTAAAAATACAAAAATTAGCTGGGTGTGGTGGTGTACGCCTGTAGTCCCAGCTACTAGGGAGGCTGAGGCAAGAGAATTGCTGGAACCTGGGAAGAGGAGCTTGCAGTGAGCCGAGATCGCTCCACTGCACTCCAGCCTGTCGGACAGAGCGACACTCCGTCTCAAAAAAATAAACAAAAATGATTTTGTACAGTTTTAATATCTACCGAATTTTTAGTAATGCAAATTCCATGTAAATCAAGAGTAAAATGAAGTTCATGTTATTTGAACTTTACCAATTGTTTTTGCTATTTTGAAAAATTAAATCACGGGCAATGACAATGTCCTGATATTTGAATCACCAATACAGTATGCCTGTAGCTATATTTGTGCCTGTCTCATGTATGTATATGAATATACCTCCTTAAACTATTTCAAAGTGGAAATATAAAGAAAAATGACAGTTTTCCTTTGAATGTTGTCTTCTTTAAAATCCAGCCTTACTAATTTCAAGTATGTAGAATTTTCACACATTGATGGTAGAAATACAAAACTGTACATTTTCCATAGGAAGAATTTGGCAATAGCTAGCAAAATTAAAAAGTTCATTTACTTTTTACCCAAAGTGCATCTTCTAGGAATCTAACCCAAAGAAAATATAACAAAATATGAATATGCAAGGATATGATGGCAATATTTGTAATAGTATAAGACATCTTTCAGTCCAAATGTTATCAGCAGAGAATTTGGTTGAATACACTGTAATAGATTTGCACAGTGGAGTACTATGCCACTATAAGAAGGACTGAGTAATATCTCTAAATATTGTTATTAAACAATCCTAGGACATAAGTTAAAAACTTTAAAAGCAAGGTACTGAACAGTGGTATACAGTAACTTTTATGTAAGAAAGGAAGGGAAGGCCAGGCATGGTGGCTCATGCCTGTAATCCCAGCACTTTGGAAGGCCGAGGTGGGCGGATCATGAGGTCAAGAGATCAAGACCATCCTGGCCAACATGGTGAAACCTTGTCTCTACTAAAAATACAAAAATTAGCTGGGCATGGTGGCGTGCGCCCATAGTCCCAGCTACTCAGGAGGCTGAGGCAGAAGAATCGCTTGAACCTGGTAGGCGGAGGTTGCGGTGAGCCAAGATCGCTCCACTGCACTCCAGCCTGGTGGCAGAGCGAGACTCTGTCTCAAAAAAAAAAAAGGAAAAAACTACAGAGAAATCTTGAATTTTAGTTATCTTTTTATTAATATACTGATACTGTTATGAAAATATTTTTATTGTATATATGGGTAAAGCAAATAAATGATTGTGTTAGTATCATTAGGAACCAAAAATTTTACTGTAAGAGGAAAGATATGCAAGTATAAAATCAAAGACCTAAAATTCCTATAGTCTTATATTTAAATTGGAAGCATTAGTATGTTCTCAAGATTTAATTTTCTCTTTAAAAATATTTATTTCAGTCAGGTGTGGTGGTTCACGCCTATAATCCCAGCACTCTAGGAGGCCAAGGCCGGTGAATCACTTGAGGTCAGGAGTTCGAGACCAGCCTGGCCAACATGGTGAAACCCCATCTCTACTAAAAATACAAAAATTAGCTGGGCGTGGTGGCAGGCACCTGTAATCCCAGCTACTCAGGAGGCTGAGTCAGGAGAATCGCTTGAACCTGGAAGGCAGGGGTTGCAGTGAACTGAGATCACGCCACTGCACTCCAGTCTGGGCAACAGAGTGAGACTCTGTCTCAGAAAAAGAAAAAAGAAAAAAAATATGTATTTCATAGCTCTTTCCACTGAAAAGGACTAGGAATAATAGCCTTATAGCAATGATCTCCCCTACCACTCAGGTTATGGTCTCTTAAAAACCATTTCCCAGTAAAAGGAATCAAGTCTCCTTTGAGAAATAGTTGACTCCAGGGTTGGTGTGGGAAATGTATAAGATGAGCTTGAAATAGCTTTCATAACCAAAAGTAAGAAGGCATCACGCACTGTTAAGGTTGTTTCAGAAGAACTCAGGAGCCAACTTGAAGAAACTCCATCTAGTCAAACGTGAGACAATTTAAGCATCATAATGATTACTAAAGTGAATTGAAAATATCAAATATATTAAAATCCATAGTGCATGACATTCAAAAGTAAACATTTAGAGGATGTTTCAAATTCATTATTTGAAGTCTAGTTAACAAAGGAATTAAATTGAGCATTTGCTCTGCCTTTTCTGTACAAACTGTATTTCCTATACAAATACATGAAAAAAAGTTCTTTATATTTCAGGTAATAAAATCAGGAAATGATAAAAATTAGAATATCATCATTTTTTCATCCCTTAATGAAAAAAATGGACCTAGGCAATGCTCATCAGTGGCTGCTAGGACCATTAGATAAAGGGCTGATGGGAAACTTTTATATAGGCTAGATTATGCTTTCAATACTTAAACCCACTAACTAAACTTAACTGAAAAAGAGAAACAGCCCAGATATTGATATGCTTTCTGCTATGATATAATGGGATGGGCATAGCTTCATCTATGAAATATTCCTTCCAAAAAAGCCAAACCTGATAGATCAAGCCTCTAGATCTAACAACCAGATTACAGCAAATACAGAAAAAAGAGGAACATGACAAAATGACACACAGGGACACAATTAGCAAAATCCTGAATGTGAGATACAATGTGACAAATGCTTCTTCAACAAATAAATGGCAGGAATTTTTTTAAAAAGGAATCATTCTAGATTGAGGGATATTTAAGAGGCATATCAACCTAATGCAATATATAGACCTTGTTTGAACTGATGCAAGTAAATCAACTGCAAAAAGACATTTGTGAAAATCTGAGAAAAATTTTAAATTCCATATATTTGATGAGATTAAATAATTATAGTTTTAAGCTTTTCTTAGGTGACATAGTAGTATGTGGTTATATTTTTTAAAGTTAAAGTAATTCTTTATGGATAAAATATATCTGGGTACTATCTGGGATTTGCTTTCAAATAATCTGAGAAGGTAGGAATGTTATCTAGATCAGTAGCTCTGAGACCTTAGCGGACCTACAGATTAGCTGGAGAGATTGTTAAAACATAGACTCCTGAACCCTACCTCAGAGATTCTGATTCAGTGGTCTGGAGTAAGGTCAATGAATTTGCATTTCTAACCATCTTCCAGGTAACACTAATGCTGCTGATCCAGGGACCACATTTTAGGTAGCATTGGTAAGAATGAAAAAGATTAGCTATTGATAATTGATAATCGTTGAAGCTGGATATTGTGGAAACATGTAGTTCATTATACTACTCTCTCTAGTATATGTTTGAAATTTTTATAATAAATTATTAAATGTATATTCCAATATCTGACAATTATGTCTGTCAACGTTCCCACGCATTTATATACTACCATATATATTTTTGTTATAAATTAATCTCATTTATCCTTTATAATATAGTCAGGGCATTACATTGATTTTTTAAATTTATATATGTAGTCAGGTTGCACTCTCTGTATATTTCATTTGTGGATGATAAAGAGTTATAAAAATATTTATTTTAAAATAGAAATGTTGAGTCTGGTAAAGGTGAGAACTGCTAATTTAAGACAATCTGGAGAAATAAAAGCTATGTAGAAAAGCAAGCCCTGCTGGCTGAAAAGGAGGCTTCAGTGGTAATCAAAGCAGAAAGACCTCACCAGACCTGCCAGGATTTCCACTTTCCTAAAAAAGAGGGTTAACTAATGGGAAGTATTCTTGAATTCTGCTAGGACATCTTCTTGTTCACCATTTGGCACTTTCTGACTATTTAAGATGGGAAAATGATCCTGAAAACATTCATCTGTCTCTACCCAGCAGCAGCCTAGTTATTAGCACTCCAGGAACTTGTCAGAGAGCTCCGTTTTCAATAGAGAGCTGTCCAGTCCCAGAAAAAAACATAGTTGAGAACTGTTTCAGAAAGATAGCCTAAGGCAGTGGCTGCACTTTGGAATCATCAGGGGAAATTTTAAAAATCCTGATGTCTGGATCCTACCCTCAGAGATTCTGACTTAATTGTGAAGAATAATTAGGCATTAGAGATTCTAAACTCCCCAGGTGTGGCCAGGTGGGGGCGGTTCATGCTTGTAATCCCAGCACTTTGGGAAGCCAGGGTAGTGGAATCACTTGAACCAAGGAGTTCAAGACCAGCCTGGACAACACAGTGAGACCTGTGTCTCTACAGAAAAAAATAAAAATAAAAATTAGCCAGGCATAGTGGCACACACCTATAGTCCAAGCTACCCCAGAGGCTGAGGTGGGAGGATCATTTGAGCCTAGGAAGTTGAGGCTGCAATGAGCTGTGATCATGCCACTGCACTCCAGCCTCGGTGACAAAATGAGACCCTGTCTCCAAAACAAACAAACAAACAAAAAATATAAACTTCCCAGCTGATTCTAATCTGCAACCAAAACAGAACCATTGCTCTAAGTTTGAAGTGGTGGTTCTCAAACTTAGATGGAATCAGAACCACCTGGAGGGTCATAAAACACAGACCACTGGCCTCACCTACAGTTTCTGATTTAGTAGGTCTACAGTGGACCCAACAATTTGTATACTTAACAAGTTCCTAGGTGGTGCTGATGCTGCTGGTCTGGAGACCACAGTTCAAGAACATAAAGCTTCTGCTGTACACCTTAAGTACAATGGTTGTCTCAAGGAAAAGCACTTGTGTAATTGCCAGTGGTTGAACTAGTCACTTTATTGAATACCATCTTTATTTGAGAGAATGCTGGCAAACAGTGTTTATTCAGACTTGGGTATTTGGAAGACATTTTCTCAAAAATAAAGTCAGCTAGTCACTGCAAGGAAAACAACTGAGAAAATTTTTTGGCCAGTGACAAAATCTAAGCTTTCAAATGAAAATTAGAAATTTTCAACATTTAAAGACTTTTGTGTTAAGATTGGTAGTGATATTAATGAATGTGATTTTGGATACAGTGTAACGAAATGTGTCAACATTTGGAGTATCTGGATAACTCAGTGAACCAGTATTTTTCAAATGAATGTCATGTTATAACATTACACATGAGTGACAAAGCCATTCAAAGGGCAAGTTAGACAAATTTATTTTAATGTAATAGTATTATCATTTCAGATTCCATATTACAACTAACCTTTATTTTTAATTTTTTAAAATTGCTTTATTTATTTTTGAGACAAGGTATCATTCTGTCACCCAGGCTAGAGGGCAGTGGCGTCGTGATCATGGCCCACTGAAGCCTCAAATTCCTAGGCTCAAGCAATCCTCCTGCCTCAGCCTCCTGAGTAACTGGGACTAACAGGCACATGCCACCTGACCAGGCTAATTTTTTAAATTATTTTTTTCGTAGAGACAGCTTCTTGGCTATGTTGCCCAGGCTGGCCTCGAACTCCTGCCTCAGCCTCCCAAGTAGCTGAGATTACTGGCATGAGCCACCACTAACTGCGTCATGGGCCGCAACGAACCTTTAAAAACTAGCACTTGTTTGTATCCTGAGACTTTGCTGAAGTTGCTTATCAGCTTAAGGAGATTTTGGGCTGAGACAATGGGGTTTTCTAGATATACAATCATGTCATCTACAAACAGGGACAATTTGACGTCCTCTTTTCCTAACTGAATACTCTTTATTTCCTTCTCCTGCCTAATTGCCCTGGCCAGAACTTCCAACACTATGTTGAATAGGAGTGGTGAGAGAGGGCATCCCTGTCTTGTGCCAGTTTTCAAAGGGAATGCTTCCAGTTTTTGCCCATTCAGTATGATATTGGCTGTGGGTTTGTCATAGATAGCTCTTATTATTTTGAGATACATCCCATCAATACCTAATTTATTGAGAGTTTTTAGCATGAAGGTTGTTGAATTTTGTCAAAGGCCTTTTCTGCATCTATTGAGATAATCATGTGGTTTTTGTTTTTGGTTCTGTTTATATGCTGGATTACATTTATTGATTTGTGTATATTGAACCAGCCTTGCATCCCAGGGATGAAGCCCACTTGATCATGGTGGATAAGCTTTTTGATGTGCTGCTGGATTCGGTTTGCCAGTATTTTATTGAGGATTTTTGCATCGATGTTCATCAAGGATATTGGTCTAAAATTCTCTTTTTTGGTTGTGTCTCTTCCAGGCTTTGGTATCAGGATGATGCTGGCCTCATAAAATGAGTTAGGGAAGATTCCCTCTTTTTCTACTGATTGGAATAGTTTCAGAAGGAATGGTACCAGTTCCTCCATGTACCTCTGGTAGAATTCGGCTGTGAATCCATCTGGTCCTGGACTCTTTTTGCTTGGTAAGCTATTGATTATTGCCACAATTTCAGCTCCTGTTATTGGTCTATTCAGAGATTCAACTTCTTCCTGGTTTAGTCTTGGGAGAGTGTATGTGTCGAGGAATTTATCCATTTCTTCTAGATTTTCTAATTTATTTGCGTAGAGGTGTTTGTAGTATTCTCTGATGGTAGTTTGTATTTCTGTGGGATCGGTGTTGATATCCCCTTTATCATTTTTTATTGCATCTATTTGATTCTTCTAATGTACAAAAATCAAAGCATTCTTATACACCAATAACAGACAAACAGAGAACCAAATCATGAGTGAACTCTCATTCACAATTGCTTCAAAGAGAATAAAATACTTAGGAATCCAACTTACAAGGGACGTGAAGGACCTCTTCAAGGAGAACTACAAACCACTGCTCAATGAAATAAAAGAGGATACAAACAAATGGAAGAACATTCCATGCTCATGGGTAGGAAGAATCAGTATCGTGAAAATGGCCATACTGCCCAAGGTAATTTATAGATTCAATGCCATCCCCATCAAGCTACCAATGACTTTCTTCACAGAATTGGAAAAAACTACTTTAAAGTTCATATGGAACCAAAAAAGAGCCCGCATCGCCAAGTCAATCCTAAGCCAAAAGAACAAAGCTGGAGGCATCACACTACCTGACTTCAAACTATACTACAAGGCTACAGTAACCAAAACAGCATGGTACTGGTACCAAAACAGACATATAGATCAATGGAACAGAACAGAGCCCTCAGAAATAACGCCACATATCTATGACTATCTGATCTTTGACAAACCTGAGAAAAACAA
Source organism: Homo sapiens (assembly GCF_000001405.40). Taxonomy (NCBI): domain Eukaryota; kingdom Metazoa; phylum Chordata; class Mammalia; order Primates; family Hominidae; genus Homo; species Homo sapiens. The sequence goes on from NC_000012.12 coordinate 94,485,168, forward strand.
GCAATGGGGAAAGGATTCCCTATTTAATAAATGGTGCTGGTAAAACTGGCTAGCCATATGTAGAAAGCTGAAACTGGATCCCTTCCTTACACCTTATACAAAAATTAATTCAAGATGGATTAAAGACTTAAATATTAGACCTAAAACCATAAAAACCCTAGAAGAAAACCTAGGCATTACCATTCAGGACATAGGCATGGGCAAGGACTTCATGTCTAAAACACCAAAAGCAATGGCAACAAAAGCCAAAATTGACAAATGGGATCTAATTAAACTAAAGAGCTTCTGCACAGCAAAAGAAACTACCATCAGAGTGAACAGGCAACCTACAACATGGGAGAAAATTTTCGCAACCTACTTATCTGACAAAGGGCTAATATCCAGAATCTACAATGAACTCAAACAAATTTACAAGAAAAAAACAAACAACCCCATCAAAAAGTGGGCAAAGAATATGAACAGACACTTCTCAAAAGAAGACCTTTATGCAGCCAAAAGACACATGAAAAAAATGCTCATCATCACTGGCCATCAGAGAAATGCAAATCAAAACCACAGTGAGATACCATCTCACACCAGTTAGAATGGCAATCATTAAAAAGTCAGGAAACAACAGGTGCTGGAGAGGATGTGGAGAAATAGGAACACTTTTACGTTGTTGGTGGGACTGTAAACTAGTTCAACCATTGTGGAAGTCAGTGTGGCGATTCCTCAGGGATCTAGAACTAGAAATACCATTTGACCCAGCCATCCCATTACTGGGTATATACCCAAAGGACTATAAATCATGCTGCTATAAAGACACATGCACACGTATGTTTATTGCAGCACTATTCACAATAGCAAAGACTTGGAACCAACCCAAATGTCCAACAATGATAGACTGGATTAAGAAAATGTGGCACATATACACCATGGAATACTATGCAGCCATAAAGAATGATGAGTTCATGTCCTTTGTAGGGACATGGATGAAATTGGAAATCATCATTCTTAGTAAACTATCACAAGGACAAAAAACCGAACACCGCATGTTCTCACTTATGGATGGGAATTGAACAATGAGAACACATGGACACAGGAAGGGGAACATCACACTCTGGGGACTGTTGTGGGGTGGGGGGAGGGGGGAGGGATAGCATTAGGAGATATACCTAACGCTAAATGACGAGTTAATGGGTGCAGCACACCAGCATGGCACATATATACATATGTAACTAACCGGCACATTGTGCACATGTACCCTAAAACTTAAACTATAATAATAATAAATAAAAAAGAAGCTCAAAAAAAAAAAAAAAAAACTAGCACTTGTGGAATTCTGGTATAGTACAAAGAATATCCACAGTTATCTGAAAAGGCTATTAAAATACTCCCACTTTTCCAACTACATATCTGTGTGGGGCCAGATTTTCTCCATATAATTAAGCCAAAACAACATCATAACAGACTGCAGAATCAGATGTAAGAATCAAGTTGTCTTCTATTAAATCAGACATTTAAGAAATTTGAAAAAAAAGTGACTATCACTCCTCTCAATAATTTTTTTTGTTTGTTTTGGCAAATAGTTAATATTCATAAAGTATTATTTAGGTTAACATGTAGTAAATGTATTATTGTTATTTTTAAAGTGAATTAATATTTTTTCATTCTCAGTTTTAATTTCCAATAATGAAAATACTGCTAGTTATAGGCCATGTACACCTAATTTCATTGGGGTCCTCAATAATTTTTAAAAGCATAAAAGGGGCCGGGTGCGGTGGCTCACACCTGTAATCCCAGCACTTTGGGAGGCTGAGGTGGGAGGATCACGAGGTCAGCAAATCAAGACCATCCTGGCTAACACAGTGAAGCCTCATCTCTACTAAAAAAAACAGAAAATTAGCCGGGCGTGGTGGCGGGCGCCTGTAGTCCCAGCTACTTAGGAGGCTGAGACAGGAGAACAGCGTGAACCCGGACCCAGGAGGCAGAGCTTGCAGTGAGCCGAGAGATGGCAGCACTGCACTCCAGCCTGGGCGACAGAGTGGTTTTTTATTTTTTTATTTTTTTTTGAGACGGAGTCTTGCTCTGTCACTCAGGCTGGAGTGCAGCAGCACGATCTTGGCTCTCTGCAACCTCTGCCTCCCAGGTTCATGTGATTCTTGTGCCACAGCCTCCCAAGTAGCTGGGATTGCAGGCGTGCACCACCACACCTGGCTACTTTCTGTATTTTTAGTAGAGACAGGGTTTCACCATGTTGACCAGGCTGGTCTCCAACTCCTGGCCCTACCTGATCCACCCGCCTCAGCCTCACAAACTGCTGGGATTACAGGCATGAGCCACCACGCCCAGCCTTCTAGAGTTCTAGGAGTGTTCTATCTCTTGGTTTTGGTGGTGGCTATGTGGATGTTAGTTTTGCAGTTATTCCTTAAAATTTAGATATAAATTTTATGTACTTTTGTGAATGTTATGTTTCATAAGATTTTTCAAAAATTGCGATTAAGGAAGTTGCCTCTTGGTATAGCAGAAAGAATTGGGTTTTGGAAATAAAAGATGCAAGAGATGCTTATATATTTTGGCTACTAATAAAGAAAGGTTTTCTGTATTTGAAAAAAAAAGATTCATGATTCAAGTTCTCTGTGTTAACCTACTGTGCGGTTTGGGGGCCAAAAAAATAGTTGTAATACTACCTTCTGTAAAGCATAAACTGTAAAGTGGTATGCAAATGTTGGCCACTATTATTTTTTTCTTTTCTTTTCTTATTTATTTATTTATTTTGAGACAGAGTCTCACTCTGTTGCCCAGGCTGGAGTGCCAAGGTGCGATATCAGCTCACCGCAACCTCCACCTCCCAGGTTCAAGTGATTCTCCTGCCTCAGCCTCCCAAGTAGCTGGGATTACAGGTGCCTACCACCATGCCCAGCTAATTTTTGTATTTTTAGTAGAGACAGGGTTTCACCATGTTAGCCAGGCGGGTCTCGAACCCTCGACCTCAGGTGATCTGCCCTCCTTTTGGCCTCCAAAAGTGCTGGGATTACAGGTGTGAGCCACCACGCCCAGCTGACCACTGCTATTATTGCACAGGAACAACATATATATCTGCTTAAAAGTTTCTCTCCTAATTAACCTGTTTGTGACCTTTAAGCATACTTCATAGAATTCCTGAAACCATTATGTTTTTCTTTGTTTTTTGTTTTTTGTTTTTTTACTTCCAAAATACTTGGGGTTAAATTTCTTACATGGTGTTAATAACTCTGTTTTGTTATACATTACTTTTCTGTTATACATTACTTCTCCGAATAGTATTTAATCATCTGATTTATTTTCTTTAAACTGCCTCAAGTTATACGTGTCTTAATATTTATGACCTCAAATACTTTGTAGAAAAAGAAGAAATGGGTAAGTTATATATAAACAGTTAAGGATTCTGACAGGATGGGAGAAAACGTGGCCCTTACATGTCTTCTCTCTAAAGGTTGTGAGGCACATTGTGGCAGTCTCACTTCCCCCTTTCTGCAGCACATCACCCTCAGATAAATAAATAAAGCAGAGGACTTTCATTTCCAGCCAGTTGTCATAGCAACTTTTGACTATCCAGAGAAGAAGGAATTCTCATATCTTAAGCCCTGACTCCAGAAGAGCTAAAAAGACACAAAGACTAAAAGGAACATTAAAGAATGATTTGCAAGATGTGATAAAATTGAATATCTGTTATTCAGAACTTTTCCAGTATATGTATGTGCTTTTTCCCCTGACATATTTATATTTCTTCTTATAGAATTCAGAACTCAACAGCAATAGACTAATAGCTACCATTTATCACTTATTACATGCCAGATGCATAGAACATTACATATATTGTTTTTTAATACACCCAACAACACTGTCGGTGTTATACTATTTTTATCCACATTTTACAGATGAGGAGCTTGAGTTTAGATAGATGGAGCAGTTTACTCAAAGTCACAGGATAAGTGCTCATCCTCTCAGCCTTCAACACAGTTGATCACTTCTTAAAACATTCTCCACTTTTCTGCATTTTTCTCCTGCTTTATTGGCCAAACACTTTTCTGACTCTCTTGGTTCTGTCTGATCTGTAAATGATAGAATGCCTAGAACTTACACTCTTCTCTATCCAGTTAATATCTTCCTTTCCTATGGCTTTAAATGTTTTCTATATGTTGACAATCCCCACATGGATATCTCCTTCCCAGATATTGCACATGCATTTCAGATTCTGGTATGCAAGTGTTCACTGACACTTAGATATCTAATAGGTATTTTAAAGGTAATAAATCTAAAACAGTTCCTGTCTGTATATCTTACCTATCTCAGTAAATGTCAGCACTGTCTAACCCAGATGCTTAAGCCAAAATCCCTAAGAGTCATCCTTGATTTATTTTCCCCTCACACCCCCACTACCCTGTCCCAGGACTGCTAATGTATAAATAAGTAATTTCAGAATTATCCACAAAATCTATCTTAAGTCTACTTCATTTCACCTCCATTGCCACCACTTTAATGAAGGCCACCATCTTTTCCTGGACTCCTGTCTGAGTCCATTTTGTGCTGCTATAACAGAATACCACAGACTGGTTAATTTATAATGAACAGAAATGTATTGGCTCACAATTTTGGAGGCTGGGAATTCCAAGATCAAGAGGCAAACATCTGGCAAGGGCCTTCTTGCTGTGTCATACCATGACAGAAGAGCAAAGAGAGGGCAAGAGAGAGAGTAAAAGAGGGTCAAGTTCCCCCTTTTATAATGAACCTTCTCCCTTGAAAATGGCATGAATCCATTCTCTCCACCTTCCTGGCCTAATCACATTTCACTGGGCCCATCTCCTAACACTGTTGCATTGGGGATTAAGTTTTCAACACATGTTTTTGGGAGGACACATTCAAACCATAGCAACTCCTAACCAGGAACTTTCTAACCCATATTCCTGCTTCCATTCTCCAAAGAGCAGCCAGAATGAGCTTTTGAGACCATAAATCAGATCTTGCTAGCGTTAAAGGCTTCAATGGCTTCCATTGCTCTTAGAGTATGATTTGAACTTCTAACTGTAGTGTAAAAAGCTATGCATGAGCTAGTTAATGCCTTTTGCTCCAGGATACTACAGTTGTCCCCCTCCATCATTCTGCATTAGCCACAGTGTCCTCCTTTCTTTCCCTCAAACACGTCAAGCTTTTTTTTTTTTTTTTTTTTTGACTCAGATTTTGCAGTATGAACTACCTTAAACTTCTCTTAGCTTATTATCCTAGCCGGCTATTTTTCCTCCTTCAGGTTTCAGCTCAAATATCTCCTTAGAGATTACCTTATCTAAAGTTGCCTCCTGTTGGGGCTCTCAGTTAATCACATCATTTTTCTTTTCTTTTCTTTTTTTTCTTAGAGACATGTCTTAATGCTTCGCTGCATTGCCCAGGCTGGACTTGAACTCCTGGGCTCAAGCAATCCTCCCGCCTCACCCTCCCAAGTAACTGGGACTACACATTTTTATTTTCTTAATAGCACTTATCAATATCAGAAATCTTTACTAGTGTAAGTTCCACAGGGTCAGGGAAACTTGTCTTTTTCATTGCTGTATTTTCCAAACTTAGGAGTATATAGGAGGTGCTCAATGAATAATCCTTGAAGGAAGGAATGAAGGAAAAGGGAAAAAGTGAGAAATTCAGTGCTGGAATTACATTCCAGGGTGGGTTTACTCCAAAATTGCTTTGACCTACCTTCCTTTCGATGGGGTTCGGGAAACACCACCCCAACATATGGTACCTTCAGAAAATCTCAGAAGCAGGAAGGTCACTTTACCTTCCCCTCAACTTTCCTCCGTGAAGCGGGTTATAAGACCTTCATTCCAGAGGCACTCACCCAAACCTGGAAGAAAGGAATGTCCTTATCTCTGAAGACACAAGGATACAAAGAAGAACCTGAACAAACAGGACTTCCTAAGTTTCCTGCAGTTATCATAACCTTTTGTCCAATCATACTTCTGCAGAACTGTCTGCTCTTCATCAACCCTAAGCATAAAAATACACACATATCCCTGTTTCTTTGGGTCTTCATTTCTGAAAGCTCCTGTGTCACATAAAACTTATATTAAGTAAATTTGTATGCTTCTCTCTTGTCAATCTGTGTTTTGTTATAGGGACCTCATTTATGAACCTAGCTATGGGTGAGAAAAGATTTATTCTTTCCTACACTATTTTTAGCTTTTCAAGATGATTTCTAGCTATGTTAGTTGTTTTGTTCTAACTGTAGACTGATGCCTGAATCCCCCCAAAACACTGAGTTTGAGATGGGGATGAAAGGAGACGGCTGTGAAAGAATGCAATTGGAAGGGCTCTCAAACAACTGCAAACTCTTTAACTTTGGGGGAAGGAAGACAAAAGAAAGAGAACACCATGCCACAGTTTTTACTTCTTCAGAAATGAAAGTTAAATTCCTTGAAAGAACTCAACATATGCCCCATCACATCCCTCCCTGCCAAATTCCCATGGTTTTTAGGTAAGTTGTTCTCAAGCAAAAATCAATATTCCAAAATGTGAACTTTGGAGTTTGAATGCAACCATACCAGCCCATTGCCGCTCATTCTCACTCTTTAATTATTGGCAATAAAATTGTATCTAAAAAACTTATGAGGAAAGAAGACAGAAGAAAGGCGCAGGATAACAAAACCTGAAGCATTAAGATACAAAGGGCAGCCTGAGCAAATCAATGGATGTTTCTCACAGCTGATCTCTCCACACTAGCCCAAAATTGGTTGTGAAGTCCAGTCAGTTCCTAGGGGAAGAAAGAGGAAAGATGATGCAAGGATACTTTTCCACAGAGAATATAGTTCTAATTTATAAAAGTTTACAAAGAGTTTGAATCTCAAATATCTCACTCTACTTCTGGCACCAAAAGGAAGCATGCCAAGGCCTAAGAGAAATAAATTGTTATAATTTACATGTTAGTTGGCTTTCAGTAGGTTTGGCTCCTGAGCCTTTTAAATGTCAAGGATTTTAGCGTTAAAACACTTAGCTTTCAACACTTTAGAAACTCCCAATGCTAATGTTTTTGTTTTGTATTTTAACTAACAATTCTTTGGCTGAAGACTTTCATTTTTGAAACACTTAAATTCCTAATAAGTAAAAACCTGGCAGGGGGTTTGGAGAGTTTGGGCCATAATGATAGACTGAAAATTACTTTTACTCTTGACCTTCATATTGACTTGTTGTGATCTAACAAAGATCATTTATCTTCCTGGGCTTTCAATTTTTTCATTATAAACTATAAAAAATAATATGGATATTATTTTGAGATCATTTATCTTCCTGTGGTTTCAGTTTTTTCATTATAAACTATAAAAAATAATATGGATATTGTTTTGAGATCACTGGAGAAAATGGACAAGCCCAGCATGGTTATTTGTAGAGGTACTTATATCAAATTCAATTATGTAAATCCTGTTTTTAAACAACTTTCTAATTCTGTTCAATATGATTTCTAAGTTTTATACAGTGAAAACAAAATTTAACTTGATAGTCTGTCAAAATCTAATATTATATCTATAGTTTTCTTTTGTTACCAGAAAGGAGTCCCAACCCAGACCCCAAGAGAGGGTTCTTGGACCTCATGCAAGAAAGAATTCAGGGTGAGTCCGTAGAGTAAAGCAAAAGCAAGTCTATTAAGAAAGTAAAGGAATTAAAAAAATGGCTACTCCATAGGCAGAGCAGCAACATGGGCTGCTTAACTAAGTATACTTATAGTTATTTCTTGATTATATACTAAACAAGGGGTGGATTATTCATGAGTTTTCCAGGAAAAGGATGGGCAATTCCCAGAACTGAGGATTCCTCCCCTTTGTAGACTATGTAGGGTAACTTCTTGACATTGCCATGGCATCTGTAAACTCTCATGGCACTGGTAGGAGTGTCTTTTAGCATGCTAATGCATTACAATTAGCATATAATGAGCAGTGAAGACGACCAGAGGTCACTTTTGTCATCCTCTTGGTTTTGGTGGGTTTTGGCTGCCTTCTTTACCACAACCTGTTTTATCAGCAAGGTCTTTATGACCTATATCTTGTGCTGACCTCCCTATCTCATCCTGTGACTAAGAATGCCTAACCTTGGCCGGGCGCAGTGTCTCATGCCTGTAATCCTAACACTTTGGGAGGCCGAGGCAGGTGGACCATGAGGTCAGGAGTTCGAGACCAGCCTGACCAACATGTGGAAAACCAATCTCTACTAAAAATACAAAAATTAGCCAGGCATAGTGGTATGTGCCTGTAATCCCAGCTACCCGGGAGGCTAAGGCAGGAGAATCGCTTGAACCTGGGAGGTGGAGGTTGCAGTGAGCCAAGATCGTGCCACTGCACTCCAACCTGGTGACAGATCGAGACTCCATCTCAAAAAAAAAAAAAAAAAAAAGAATGCCTAACCTCCTGGGAATGCAGCCCAGTAGGTCTCATCCTCATTTTACCCAGCCCCTATTCAAGATGGAGTTAGTTGCTCTGGTTCAAACACCTCTGACACATTCAATTAGAGTGAAAGAGACTTAGTAAAATTGAAATAACATCTCCAGAGTTAATTTTCTTTTCTTCTTCTGCACAGAACCATCCCTATTTACTCTGTATGAAAACTTTCATTACCTGATGCTCCACTCTCACGCCTCCAATCTTGGGTCTACAAGTACCACAATTTTATGTGAAAAGACATTTTATATGAAAAGACATTTTACGTAAGAAGAAATACAAACACCAAGAAAACATTAAAACTATACGATTTCTCTAGTAGTAGGCAAATAATGCAAAGTAAAATTAGATAACTTTTTCACCTTATCTTTTGACAAATACTAAAATTAAAATTGGCAAATATTTAAAAATTAAAGTTTCAGTATTGTCTAAGGTGTAAAGACATAGTTTTTCATATATGGCTGATGGGAGTGTAAATTGTTAAGATCTTTTTGAGTGAAAACCCCTTTGCAAAAGTATGACATAAGAGAAATCTAACATGGCTGACTCCATCTTGCTTCTAGCCTCACGGACTGGCTGTCTTTGCTCATTTCTGGAAATTTTTCTTTGGGAGAAATTTAGTTTACAGTTTAAATAATAATAACCCTTCCCCAAAACTAAACTGCCCTTGTAAAACTAATGAAAGGTCACCAAGTTAGAAGGACGAGAGGGGCCTGAATTCTAAATAATTACTAGCCATTACTCTGAAGGTCATACGATTTGCAACTTTTCCAATTACTCTTGCAGATAACATCATTATTGTAGACCCTAAGATTGGTCTTTTGAAATGTCTTTTCAGTTTTTTGCATTTCTGACAAGTGGATGGCCCCATCCGAACTTGTGACTCAATCAGTCCTGTGGCCCCCACCCAGAAGCAGATCAGTGCATGAGGACCATTTTCCACACCCCATGTTGACATCCCCAACCAATCAGCATGTCTCCTACCCTAGCCCTGTGCCCACCAAACTATCTTTGAAAGACTCCTAACCTCTGAACCTTTAGGGAGACTGATTTGAGTTATAACTCCATCTCCCATGTAGCATAACCAGCCTCACATCAATCAAACGCTTTCTTTACTGCAATGCCATGGTCTCAGGGGGTCGATTTTGTTCCTGCAGCAGGCAGGAAGAACCCATCAGGCAGTTACACGAGGAGCAATTTGGCAAAACCTATTATAGGTTTAAAATTTTACTTTGAGTAGCTTGGTAGTACACAAAGATACAAATATAAAGTATCAAGTGTTGGTGGGAATGTAGTCATTGGAACACTCATACACTGTTAGTGGGACTGTAAACTGGCAGGACCACTTCGTTTTTCTGTTTTTTGGTTTTTTGAGACAGGCTCTCACTTTGTCACCCAGACTGGAGTATAGTGGCATGATCTCGGCTCACTGCAGCCTCCACCTCCTGGGCTCAAGCAACCCTCCCACCTCAGCCCCCTAAGTAGCTGAGACTACAGGTGCACACCACCATGCCTGACTAATTTTTTGTATTTTATGCAGAAACAGGGTTTCACCATCTTGCTGTCAGAGGCGTTTAAACCACAGCAACTCCATCTTGAATAGGGGCTGGGTAAAATAAGGCTGAGACCTACTGGGCTGCACTCCCAGAAGGTTAGGAATTCTAAGTCACAGGATGAGATAGGAGGTCAGCCCAAGATACAGGTCATAAAGACCTTGCTGATAAAACAGGTTGCAATAAAGAAGCTGGCCAAATTCTACCAAAACCAAGATGGCAATGAGAGTGACCTCTGGTCGTCTTCACTGCTCATTATATGCTAATTATAATGCATTAGCATGCTAAGAGACACTCCCACCAGTGCCATGACAGTTTACACATGCCATGGCAATGCCAGGAAGTTACCCTATATAGTCTAAAGAGTGGAGGAACCCTCAGTCCCAGGAATTGCCCACCCCTTTCCGGGAAAACTCATGAATAATCCACCCCTTGTTAAGCATATAATCAAGAAATAATCATAAAATTGAGCAACCAGCAGCCCTTGGGGCTGCTGTGTCTATGCAATAGCCATTCTTTTATTCCTTTACTTTCTTAATAAGCTCGCTTTCACTTTGTACTATGGACTTGCCTGAAATTCTTTCTTGTGTGAGATTCAAGAACCCTCTCTTGGGGTCTGGATCGGGACCCCTTTCTGGTACCATTGCCAAGACTGGTCTTGAACTCCTGAGCTCAAGCTATCTGCCTGCCTTGGCCTCCCAAAGAGCTAGAATTATAGGCATGAGCCACTGCACCCGGCCAGGAAGGATCACTTGGGAAAACAATTTGGCATTATCTACTAAGGCTGAAGATGTGAATGTCTTATAACTCAGCAGTTCCACTTCTGGGCATAGACTCAAGAGAAACTCTTGTACATGTGTTTATATCCACACTGTTTGTTAAGACCAAGAAAGAAGAACTAATCCTAATTGTCCATCAACAATACAATAGATAAATACAGCAGTGAAAATGAAGAAATTATAGCTACACACAATGACATGGATGATCTCAGGAATATTGTGTTGTGAGAAAAAGCAAGTTGCAGAATAATATATACAGTATGGTTCTGCAGGGTGCCAGACTATGCCACCTCAAAATACGCCTCTTTACCACTGGATTATCTTGAGCTAAACACAACTGAGAAATAGTAGATACAAGTAAAGCTCTTTACCTCCCTCTTACTACCTAAAAATGCAGTATAAAATTCCCCTTTTGGAAAGGAATTTATATTTATAAAGCAAATTTATATTTGTAAAATTTGTCTCCTTACCAGGAAGAAAGCTATTCATAGAGATGACCCTTATCACCTGGATGACTCTTATCTGCAAAACAAGATAGCCTTTATTTATCACACATTTCATCCCCTCACTTTCCCATAAGCTTGCCTCCCTGACCCAGAAATCCCAAACCCCTTTTCCTTTGTTTAGCCTAAGATGATAAATAAGCCTCAATCATCTAACCACATCCTTGAGTCTCATTTCTTATTTAAACTAATGTGCATTAAGTGTGTAATCAAAACCTTTTTTTCTCTTGCTAATCTGTGTTTCGTTATTTTAATTCACAGGCTCAGCCTGTTAGGAGGGTAGAGGAAAAAGGATTCCTCTTCCCCTACAATTTCATTTGTATAAAATCCAAAAGCACATAAAACTAATTGCTTGGGAAAACAGATGTGATGGTAGGGGCAAAGGGAACATTCCTTCCACACTCCAAAGATTTGATAATTAATTTTTATTTTTTATTTTTGAGATGGAGTCTTGCTCTGTCACTCAGGCTGGAGTGGGTGCGATAGCTCACTGCAACCTCTGCTTCCCAGGTTCAAGCGATCCTCCCACCTCAGCCTCCCAAGTTGCTGGGATTACAGGCATGCACCATCATGCCTGGCTAATTTTTGTATTTTTTGTACATATGAGGTTTCACAATGTTGGCCAGGCTGGTCTTGAACTCCTGACCTCAAGTGATCTGCCCATTTCAGCCCCACAAAATGCTTGGATTACAGGCATGAACCACCATGCCTGGCCAAGGTTTGATAATTTGAGTCTCTGGAATAAACTGACAACAAACAGATTAACAGGAGAAAAGGCATACAAATTTATTATATGCACATGAGCCACACAAAATATGAAACTTAGAGAAGGACCAGTTGAGCTGGCTAAAGTTTATTTTTGTTTGTTTGTTTTTGAGATGGAGTCTTGCCCTGTTGCCCAGGCTGGAGTGCAATGGCACGATCTTGGCTCACTGCAACCTCCACCTTCTGGGTTCAAGCAATTCTCCTGCCTTAGCCTCCCGAGTAGCTGGGATTATAGGAGTGTGCCACCACGCCTGGCTAATTTTTGTATTTTTAGTAGAGACGGGGTTTCACCATGTTGGCCAGGCTGGTCTCGAACTCCTGACTTTGTGATCTGCCCGCCTTGGCCTCCCAAAGTGTTGGGATTACAGGTATGAGCCACCACACCTGGCCAAAGTTCTATATGATATGGAAAGGAATAGGGGGCTGGGAGCTCCTGAAGGATGGTGATAACAAGCTATGGGAGGGTAAGGGGGAAATGCATTGTCAACAAATTCTTTTTTGTTGTTTGTTTTTTTAGAGACAGTGTCTCTATTTTCAGGCTGGAGTACAGTGGCATGATCATAGCTCACTGCAGCCTTGAACTCCTAGGCTCAGGGGATCCTTGGACTACAGCTAATTTTTCAACACCCAACTAATTTAAAATTTTTTTTTAGAGATGGAGTCTCCTCATGTTGCCCAGTGTCAGGTTCCAGCTCAAGCTGGGGTCTGAGGGGAGTCAGTGAACAGGTGGCAGGTAGCTGAAAGAACACTCAGGGGTCTGTAGGCAAGTGCAATATGGCTTTATTCTCTCGCCTTCTCCATCAGCCTTTGTCTCAGCTGCCTGCTCTGGCCACAGTCCCTCTCAGTGCCAGCTCCATGGCTCCTGCTGCCCCCACGCCTGCAGCTATGCTCCCTAGTGTGGGCACCACTTCCTGGCTCCCTCCTGTTCACCTGCAAGGCAGCCAGCTTTATCAAGCACGCTCTCACAGTGTCAGTGATACATCTATGCACGTCACAGATAACAGTGACTCAGAACCAGGTGATGAGTCCATCCATAACATGGTTACATAACTGTGATTATATAATGCACGGGATTGTGCACCTGCGCTCCAATCCGGCTGTGCCATGCTGCACTGGATGTTTACTTCGGCCCACTCTTGACTGTAGTGCAGCCATTTCCCTTACACCCAGGATGATCTCGAACTCCTGGGCTCAAGTGATCCTTCTGCCTCAGCTTCCCAAAGTGCTGGGATTACAGCCTGAGCCACTGAGCCCAACCAGACTGTCTTATTATGCAGATAAAGTCTCTCAGGTAGCAGCCCTGAAGGTGGTAGCCTCTGATAAGAGTTTCTCCAGCATGGTGTCAGAACTTTCTTCTCTTTTCCTGTGAGCTAGTCTTCTCTGGTTAATGATTGCATTCCTTCTGGAGAAACTTCCCTTGGATAAAGGAAGATCAGAGCAAGGCCTTCCCTGCATTACTGCTCTCCAGGTGCTCTCAGTCTGAAGTCTAATGCAACATGTTTTGTTTTCTGAGCCCCAACACAATAAAGCTAAAAGTAGAGTAACAATAAACCTAAATTAAGGATAGTTGTTACCTTTCAGAGAAGAAAAGGAGGATGGGGTTGGAGAGAAGCACACAGGGTACTTTAAAGGTAATGAGTGAGGAAAGTGAAAATGACTTGGAGACCATTGAACAGGGCCCAGAGACAAAAACTCCTTATCTGAGGAATTTAGAAGGCAGCAAAGAACACCTGGTGACCATCAAACAGGCCATCCAAAGGCAAAAGTTATCTAGGAAATTTAAAAGTAATTAAACTTCCCAGCAGGGTGCAATGGTTCACACCTGTAATCCCAGCACTCTGGGAGGCCGAGGCATGCGGATCACCTGAGGTCAGGGGTTCGAGACCAGCCTGGCCAACATGGTAAAACCCCCGCCTACAAAAAATACAAAAATTATATTTGGGCATAGTGGTGGGCACCTGTAATCCCAGCTTCTCAGGAGGCTGAGGTGGGAGAATTGCTTCAACCTGGGAGATGGAGGTTGCAGTGAGCCAAGATCGTACCACTGCACTCCAGCCTGGGTGATGGAAACTCCATCTCAAACAATAACAATAATAATAATAATAATAAAACTTCCCTACTATCTAAAGTTGGCATCTGGTTCCAGGCCTCTTTCAACTTTTATTAAGTAACTAGAATTTTTATACATCTTGGGAATTCCATGCCGAAACTCATTGTGCAACCCTTGCTGACGTTAAGCCACCCAAATGTCTATACATGTAATAATTTATCATGACCTATGTAGCTAATATGGCCCAAATTACCTTTAAGCTCTTACCTTAAGGTCCATAAAAGGTCCTAAGGAAAATCCACCATTTCACACCCAGTCCTCCCACTGAGGCGCCCCGCTGCACCCTTTAGCAATATTCCTTCTTTCTAATAAACTTTCCTTTTTCAAACCTATACTGTTGTCGGTAAGTTGACTACTTCCCAATGGCGGGGCTCTGACACCTCGCCTGGCACTAATAATGTTTTGGGTTTTTTTCCTTACATTTGGTGATAAATTCAGAGGTTTTTGGTTGTAAATGTGTTTCATTTTACTTCATAAATATTTTTGTGTCTAGTCAATGTTTAATAAAAGCAACTTAAAGAACTTAAGTGTCCAACAATCAGTTATACGTCAACATAAATAGAACAATTTTATTTATATAAAACTCTATATATATTATGTGGATAAACAGCAATGAAAGATGTGTACAAGGACATATAATAATGTATTAATCATTGTATCACTTAGTGAGTGGATTTGGACTGATTTTGCTCTCCTTGTTTTACTTTACTATATTGTTTATTTTGTCCATATAAAGGACATGTATTTTCTTATAAAGAAAATAAAACTGGTTGGCATGATGACACATGCCTGTTTAATCAGCACTTTGGGAGGCTGAGGCAGGAGGGCTGCTTGAGTCCAGGAGTTTGAGACCAGCCTGGGCAACATGGCAAAACCCTGTCTTTACAAAAATACAAAAAGCTAGTTGGGTATGGTGGTGCACCCCTGTAGTCCCAGCTACTCAGGAGGCTGAGGCAAGAGGATCAATTGAGTCTGGGGAGTTGAGGCTTTAGTGAGCCATGATCAGGCCAGTGCACTCCAGCCTGGGCAAAGAACAAGACCCTGGCAAAAAAAAAAAAGAAAAAATTTTAAAAAGAAAGAAAAGAAAGGAAGGAAGGGAGGGAGGGAGGAAAGAAAGAAGGAAGGAAAGGGGAGGAAAGAAAGAAGGAAGGAAAGGAAAGGAAAGGAAGGAAAGGAAAGGAACTATTTCTTTAAAAAAAAAGATATAACTATTAGGATGTTCACAACAGTTAGATAGATGTATAGATAGATAAACATATTGTGTAAGAAAGAATTAACCTTACTCAAAGTAAGGTATGGCCTTTGCTGTCAGCCCCTAGGAGGTAATCTCTAAGCCCTTGGGATGTCTTGCCTGATGAAAGTGTCCTTGTTTACTTGGGGGCCTTGAGCCATGCCAGATAGTCTGATTACAATAATTTGTGGTAGGGGCTTTGGGGCACATGCTATCAGCTCAACCTCCAGAGAAGCTGGAGGTTAAGGTCATCCACATGGGCAGTCAACTATGTCTATGTGGTGATGCCCCAGTAAAAACTTTGGACACCAAACTTCTCTGGTTGGCAGTACTCCATGAGTATTGCCACACACTATTGCTGGGAGGCACAATGGCTGGCTCTGACTCCAATGGGAGAGGACATTTAGAAGTGTCATGCTTGAAACTCTCCTGAACTCTGCCCCTTGCACCTCTTCCTTTGGTTTATTTTAATTTGTACACATCACTGTAATAACCCATAACCGTGAGTGTAGCAGCTTTCAGTGAGTTCTGTGAGTCTTTCTAGTGATTATTGAAACTGAGAGTGTTCTTGGGAATCCTTGCACTTTCATTTGGTGCCAGAGTGAGGGTGATCTTGGGGACACCTGAACTTTGGAGTTGGTGTTAGAAGTGGAATTTGCAAGAATGACTGTATTAGTCCATTTTCACACTGCTGATAAAGACATACCCAAGATTGGGCAATTTACAAAAGAAAGAGGTTTAATTGGACTTACAGTTCCACATGGCTGGGGACATCTCACAATCATGGTTGAAGGCGAAAGACATGTCTTACATCACAGCAGGCAAGAGAGAGAATGAGAGTCAAGCAAAACGGGTTTCCCCTTATCAAACATCAGATCTCATGAGACTTATTCACTACCACAAGAACAGTATGGGAGAAACTGCCCCTATGATTCAATTATCTTCCACCAGGACCCTCCCACAACAAGTGGGAATTATGGGAGTACAATTCAAGATGAGATTTGGATGGGGACACAGAGCCAAACCATATCATTCCATTCCTGGCCCTTGCCAAATCTCATGTCCTCACATTTCAAAACCAATCATGCCTTCCCAACCATCCTCCAAAGTCTTAACTCATTTCAGCATTAACTCAAAAGTCCATGGTCCAAAGCAAAAGAGACAAAGCAAGTCCCTTCTGCCTATGAACCTGTAAAATCAAAAGCAAGTTGGTTACTTCCTAGATACAGTGGGGGTACAGGCATTGGGTAAATACAACCATTCCAAATGGGAGAAATTGGCCAAAACAAAGGGGCTACGGTCCCCATGCAAGTCTGAAATCCAGCAGGGCAGTCAAATTTGAAACCTCCAAAATGATCTCCTTTGACTCCATGTCTCACATCCAGGTCATGCTGATCCAAGAGGTAGGTTCCCATGGTCGTGGGCAGCTCTGCCCCTGTGGCTTTGCAAGCTATAGCTCCTCTTCTGGCTGCTTCCATGGGCTGTCATTGAGTGTCTGTGGCTTTTCCAGGCACATGGTACAAGCTGTCAGTGGATCTACCATTCTGGGGTCTGGAGGATGGTGGCCCTCTTCTTACAGCTCCATGAGGTAGTACCCTAGTAGGGACTCTGTGTGGGGGCTCTGACCCCACATTTTCCTTCTGTACTGCCCTAGCAGAGGTTCTCCATGAGGGCCCCACCCCACAGCAAACTTTTGCACGGGCATCTAGGCATTTCCATACATCTTCTGAAATCTAGGTGGAGGTTCCCAAACCTCAATTCTTGTGTGCACCCGCAGGTTCAACACCATGTAGAAGCTGCCAAGGCTTGGGGCTTCCACCCTCTGAAGCAACAGCCTGAGCTGTACCTTGGCCCCTTTTGGTCATGGCTGGAGTGGCTGGGATGCAGGGTAGCAAGTCCCTAGACTGCACACAGCATGGGGCCTGAGCCAGTCCATGAAACCATTTTCTCCTAGGCCTCTGGGCCTGTGATGGGAGGGGCTGCCGTGAAGACCTCTGACATGCCCTGGAGACATTTTCCCCATTGTCTTGGGGATTAATATTCAGTTCCTCATTACTTATGCAAATTTCTGCAGCCAGCTTGAAGTTCTCAGAAAATGGGGTTTTCTTTTCTATCCCATTGTCAGGCTGCAAATTTTCCAAATTGTTATGCTCTGCTTCCCTTATAAAACTGAATGCCTTTAACAGCACCCAAGTCACCTCTTGAATGCTTTGCTGCTTAGAAATTTCTTCTGCCAGATACCCTAAATAATCTCTCTCAAGTTCAAAGTTCCAGGGTCTCACTGTGTTGCCCAGGCTGGAGTGCAGTGGCATAATCTCAGCTCACTGCAACCTCAGCCTCCTGGGCTCAGATGATCCTCCCACCTCAGCCTCCCAACTAGCTGGGACCGAAGGTGCACACCACCATGCCCAGCTAATTTTTGTATTTTTTTGTAGAGATAGGGTTTCCTTATTTTGCTCAGGCTGGGCTCAAGCGATCTTCTCTCCTTGGCCTCCCAAACTGCTGGGATTACAGGTGTGATCCAGGTGGCCGCAGTTCCTTATTTTCTTGTCTGTGTCCATAACTCCTCAACAATCCCTCCCAACTGGTCTATAAAATCATTTTGTAGACAAAGTGATATTTGTTTGTTTCTTAAATATTTCTGCAGAATGGTTTTAAAAGGCTAAAAGATTTAGTTTTAGATAAAAAGATTTACATTGCTCACATATCAGAGTATATTAAATGGTGTACAGTGAGAAATCACTCTTTCCTTCCCCACACCATTCCCCATTCACTTTGTTTTCTTCCTCTGTGAGTAGTGATTATAGGTTCTGTTGATCCTTCTGAAAAATGTTTATGCATATTTAAGACTATATGTGTGTATGTGCATTCAGTTTTTCCACAAACATTTCACATAAATGGTAGCATACTATACACACTCTCTCTGCATTAAGGATCTTTCTCTATCAATACATTAATATGTACATAATATCTTCTGTGTGTGTGTGTGTGTGTGTGTGTGTGTGTGTGTGTGTGTGTGTTGTGCTGAACTACACTGTGTTCACCATTACAAGGGCTTTAGTAAGACTGTTGAAATGAATAAAATTACAATACAGGGAGTTGATAATAATAAGTGTTGATGACATCAAAGTGACTAATAAACACATGAAAATGTGCTCAACATCATTATTCAAGAGGGATATACAAATTAAAAGCACAGTGAGATTTTACTACCCACCCACTAGAATGAATAAAATAAGCAAAATGAAACATCTGACAATACCAAGGGTTGGAGAAGATATGTTGCAACCGGAACTCTCAGACACTCTGCTGAGAATGTAAATTGATAGAGCCACTTTGGAAAACTGATCTTAACTACTAAATCTGAACATATGCATAGCCTATGGCACAGTAACTCCACTCTTAGGTATGCTAAGAGTAGAGCTGCCAACAGGAATGCTACATATGTTCACCAAAAGACATACAAGTAAAGGATTAATCTTGTCCAAAGCAATGTTTGGCCCTTGATCAGTTTCTAGGAGGCAACCTCTAAGCCCTTGGAATAAGAGCATCCTTACCTGGGGCTTTGGGTCACACCAAATAGCCTATGTTAACAATGTCACTTATAGCCAGAGTATTGGGCCACATGGCATCAGCTTAACCTCTGGAGAAGCTAGAGACTAAGAGCAGCCACGTGGTTGTTGCCATTTCCATGTAACCAACCCCCAGTAAAATCCCTGGACACCAAGGCTAGGGGAGCCTCCATGCTAGGTTGGCGTTACTCCATGCATCTGCCACTCATCATTGCCGACAAAAGTAAACTCTGTCTGCGGGACTCCACTGAAAGAGAACGACTGGAAGCTCATGCCTGGGAACTTGCCTGGACTCTGTCCTCTGTGCCTTTTCCCACTGCTGATTTTAATCTGTATTCTTTCACTGTAATAAACCATCATCGTGAATATAACAGCTTTCTTTCTGAGTTCTGTGAGTCCTTCTAGTGAATTATTGAACCTAAGGATAGCCTTGGGGATCTCCCAAATGGCAACAAGAATGTTCATAGAGGCATTATTCATAATAGACAAAACCTGGAAACAACCCAAATGACCATGAATAGAATAGATGTATATTCATATAAAGGAATATTCTACAGCAAGAAAACTAACTGCAACAACATGCAACAATATTGATGAATCACTCAACCATAATATTGAGCAAAAGAAGCCACAGAAAGGAGTATGCAGTATATTATTTTATTTATGTAAGGTTCAAAAATTAGTCTATGTTGAGAGAAGCCAGAATAAGGTTACCTTTGAGATGGGGTATTGGCTGAAAATCTCAAGCTTGATACTTATAATCTGTGCACTTTTCTGTGTGTAGATTATGCCTCAACAGAAAGTTTACTTCCTACACACCTATTATCATTGTTAAAAAAAAAAAGAGTGAGAGAGAGAGAGAGAAGAGGGGAGGGGGAAGGAAACTGGATTGGATTCTGGCAAGGTTGCAGAGTAACTGCAACTCTCATACACTGCTAATGGGAATGTAAAATGGTACCACTACTTTAGAGAATAGTTTGATAGTTCCTTATAAAGTTAAACATACACTTACCATATGACCCAGCAATTCTATCCCAAGGAGTTACCCAAGAGAAATGAAATTTTATATTTATGCAAAAACCTATAGGCCACTCATCCTCTTCAAAAAAAACTCGAAGAACCCAAATATCCTTCAACAGATGAATGGATACATAAACTATGATGCGTCCACATAGTGGAATACTATTATACTACTCAGCACCGAAAAGGAGTGAACTATTGACACATGCAACCCCTCAGATGAATCTCGTGTATTAAGTGAAAGAAGTCAGACCCAAAAGGCTGCACACTATAGGATTCAATTTATATGACATTCTGGAAAAGGCAAAACTTTAGAGACAGAAAAGAGACTGGTGGTTGCCTGGGGTGGGGGGTTATAGGAGGCATTGACCACAAAGGGGCACAAGAGAATTAATTATTTGGGGGTGATGATAACATTTTGTAACTTGACTGTGGTGGTAGTGATTACACAGCAGAATGTGTCAAAACTTAAACTATACACTAAAAAGGGTGAGTTTCATTATATACAAAGTGTACCTCAGTAAAACTGACAGATATATAAACATGTTTAAAGCTTACTTTTAAGTAATAATAATAATAGGTGCCACGAGAGATGTAAAGAGGAAGGAGACTATGAAAAATTTATTTCCCAGTGAGAATTAGAGAATTGTCACGGAAGTGTTCATATGCATGTTGAGCCTCAAATATACATGAATAATATCTGGGGAGTGACCATCTTGAAGAACTAATTTCCAATTTCAAATTCATGGAAGAAAGTATCAGAGAATCATATTTCTGTACTTTTGCCATAGCACCTTCCACTGAGCCACAAACCAAGTAGATCTAAGAGCCACTTAGTCTCATCTGTCATGGCACACCTTTGGGCGAGAGTCACACTGCCTCCACCTGAGAAACAGCTCCAAGCCCAGAAAACAAGGGGCTTAGAGAGTCAGAATCCTTAGGTCTACCAGGGACTTCAAAACTTCCTCCACAATATTTGTCCTTTCAGAATAAGAGGAAATAATCCATTAATAATTAAAGCTAACACTTATGTAGCACTGACTAGATGCCGGGCCCTGTTCCTTAATTTCATATATATATATATATCAATTCTTACAACAACTCCATGAGGTAGGTAGTTTTGAAAACAACCCCATTTTACAGATGGGAACCTGAAGAACAGAGTGGTTAAGGAACTTGCTCAGGGTACAAAATTAGTAAGTGGTAGAGGCAAAATTCAAATCTGAGCATTCTGGCTCCAGAGACATCTTCCTAATCATTGCAGTCTAGTCCCGCTCCGTGCACAGTTAGGGTAGGGGTTGGGTGGCCAGTATATCCTAGTCCAAGTCTCTCAAAGTATAAACTGCCATTCACTAGTGTGATGGAATCAACTGAATGGGTTGTGACCAGCTTTTAGAAAGTGGAATTGAAAATAAGTAAATATATTTTGGAATGGGATGAATAGATAATATCAGAGTACATTCCAGATATATGTACTGAGTCACTATATAGGTTGTATTTATTACTGTGTGTCAAGATCTGAAAAGTTTAAAGCACTTTCCAGGTCCACCCTCAGAGGATAAAAGCTCAAGATGTCCTAAGCCTGAAATCCAGGCTATCTCTTCTCCAAGAACGTCAGTCCTCCCCCATGATACATCCAGCAGTCTCCCTAATGCTTTTGGGTCTTGAGGGCAGAGTCCCACAACCTTTGGCCATTGACTACTGCAGAGGAGTAAGCTGGGTGTAATTCTGCTCAAAATGAGAGTCAGGCTAAGCCCCGGCTTTAGTAGTGGCCAGAAAGCTAAAGTCATTCTCTGAAACAGAAAATGTGGATTCTTTGCACTCTCGCCAGGTGCACGTTATAACTGGTGGGGAAGCTCCAGCTGAAATGCCTACAGCCCTTTGAACTAAAGTGCTTTACATTCCCTGTCTTCTCACAAGGAGGAATGGTAGAAATATAGGTGACAGGGGACCGGTATCACTGAGCACCATGATACTGTTCACTGGACACCTGGTGGCTCAGGTGTGTAGGAGACAGCGGCAGTGTCTGCAGTGGCACATTGAGGCTGCAGGAAGAGGCCATGCCTGACCCAGGAGGCCACTCCCTCAAAGCCTCCAGCAGCCACCAGAAATAGGAGAGACTTGTCTTGCTCAGACACAGGATCCTCATGCGTATCTGGGCCACAGCCCAAAGTACTGACAGTCTAGCTCTCCAATCTTCTCATGTGCACACCTAGGTACCTTCGAGGGCATATGACTGTGTCATACCTGGTTCTCGGGCGTTCATTTCCTCATAGATTGTGTTTTTCAGGGTGATATTTGCCTGGCATGCAACCTTCTACGTGGTGATCCAGGGGCCCGGACGCTTCCATTCTGTGACTGTGCCCTCCTTTAGGGTCTCTAGGACCTCTGAGTCCTCTGCATTCAGCCTGCAGATGGAGAAAGAGTGGAGAAGATATGCCCTTGTCTTAAGCTCCTTGGCTATTTATTGAGAACATAGCCCCTTTCAGGTGCAAAGCAGGAGCTGAGAAATACTGCCTCCAGCTGGGCTACTGTTTCCAGCATCAGCTGTCCTCTGCAGTGAGAGTGTCAGGAATCTTCATCTCTGCTTCATGGACCAAGAACCACTGTGTCCCATACCACCCTGGGAATGATCCCCCTTTTCTTGCAGAACAACTAAGCTGCCTCCTCCACCCTTTATGAGGGAAACTCTTAATGATTTCCTAACTATGCATATTGTAGCTGGTAAGTCTCTTCCTCTAGAAAACATAGGGAAAAAGCCACAAGTTGACTCTCAAAGCAAGACTCCCCTTCTGTTTTCTATGGTATCTGAACATTAGGAAATAGTCTAGAAGGATGCCATTGCTAGACACTAGGAACACAGACTCGGAAGGTAGGGTTAGGCGAAGAGTTTCATCTTTTACTTTACACCATTCTGTATATTTGGTTTAAACACTAATGAGCAAAAGAAGTATTAGGCAGCATAGCTATTTATATGAAATTCGAGAATAGGCCAAACAAATTGATTATGATAAAAATCAGAATAGTGGCTATCTCTGGGGAGGAAATGGGTTTTGACTGGGAAGAGGCAGGAAATGTTCTCCATCTCAGTGTGAGTGATGGCTACACAGGCGTCCACACAGGTAATTAACCATGGTCTACACTTAAAATTAGCACAGTTCATGTTCTTTGGCATATATACATTATACCTCAATTTAAAAAAATATATATATATTAGTTTAAAAATTCCCTGCCCTAATTTACTCCCTGTGTTAGTGTGTTTGCATTGCTATAAAGGAATTCCTGAGGCTGGGTAAGTTATAAAGGAAAGAGGTTTATTTGGCTCACAGTTCTGCAGGCTGGATAAGGAGCATGGTGCCAGCATCTGCTTCTGGTGAGGGCCTCAGGAAGCTTACAATCATGGTGGAAGGTGAAGGGAAACCAGAGCATTACATGGCAAGAGAGGGAGCAAGAGAGTGAGGGAGCAGGTGCCAGCCTTTTTTAAACAATCAGATCTTTTTTTTTTTTTTTTTTTTTGGGATGGGGTCTTGCTTTGTCACCCAGGCTGGAGTGCAGTAGTGCGATCTTGGCTCACTGCAGCCTTTGCCTACCGGGTTCCAGTGATACTCCTGCCTCAGCCTCACAGGTAGCTGGGATTACAGGCATGCGCCAACACGCCCAGCTAATTTTCTTTTCTTTTTTTGGGGCGGGGGATGAAGTCTCGCTCTGTAGCCCAGGCTGGAGTGCAGTGGCATGATCTTGGCTCACTACAACCTCCACCTCCTGGGTCCCGGTTCAAGCAATTCTCCTACCTCAGCCTCCCAGGTAGCTGGGATTACAGGCACACACCACCATGCCCAGCTAATTTTTGTATTTTCAGTAGAGATGGCGTTTCACCATGTTGGCCAGGCTGGTCTTGAACTCCTGATCTCATGATCCATCCGCCTTGGCCTCCCAAAGTGCTGGGATTACAGGCGTGAGCCACCGTGCCTGGCCTTAAACAACCGAATCTTGCATGAACTCATAGAGTGAGAACTCACTGAAGGACAGCACCAAGCCACTCATGAGGGATCGGCCCCCGTGAGCCAAACACCTCCCACTAGGCCCACCTCCAACATTGGAGGCCCACATTTCAACTTGAGATTTGGAGGGGACAAAACATCCAAACCATATCCCCCCCCAAACTTTTAGTGGCCCCTTTTTAAGAATCCTGTTGGAGACATTGATGATGACAGGCAAAGTGTTTCCCTCCCCTTCCACCCCCATAAATTAAACTCTGCCTTGGGTCCATTAGATGTCCCTGCAGTTGCAGAAAACTGTACAGAAAGGAGCAGGCCCAACATGGTCTCAAAGAGCCCCAAGTTATCACTGAAAAGAAGTGTGATGTAATAGAAAGAACTCGAACTTGGGAGTCAGCCAGCTCCGTGTTCAAATTCCAGATCTGCCCCTTAGCTGCAAGATCTAGGCAAGTGACTTAGGCTTTCTGAGCTTCTGTTTCCTCCTTATAAAGTCACTTTCATGTGGTTGAGGTAAGAGGTGAATGAAATACTTCTGCCTCAAATACTCCTTGATGAGGTGATATAGTTTGGATCTGTGTCCCCGCCCAAATCTCATATCAAATTGCAATCCCCAATGTTGGAGGTAGAGCCTGGTGAGAGAGAATTGGATCATGGGGCTGTGTTTCTCATGAATAGATTAGCATCATCCCTGCTGATTCTGTTCTCATGATAGTGAGTGAGTTTGCCTGAAATCTGGTTGTTTAAAAGTGTGTAGCACCTCCCCTCTCTCTCTCTTGCCTGTGCTCCTGCCATGTAAGACACCTGCTGCTCCTTTGCCTTCTGCCATGACTGAAAGCTTCCTGAGGCCTCCCCCAAAGCAGAAGCTGCTATCCTTCCTGTACAGCCTGCAGAACCGTGAGCCAATAAAACCCCTTTTCTTTATAAATGACCCAGTTTCAGGTATTTCTTTATAGCAACATGAGAACGAACTAATACAGAAAAATGAGGGATGAATCTGATGTGAGCAATGCATATTTGAGATCGACCATGTCCAGCCCTTGCTCTGTGCATGGCGTGAAGAAGGAGGGGCTCGCGTTTCCTGCCCTTCCACAGCCATCAGCAGGGAAGACAAAGTGGCCAAGAGATGCTCACTTCTCTATGGAAGTGTCAGCTGCCCCATGACCAGTGATGTCTTTGCCAAGTGATAAGTCACCGAGCTGGAAGTGGCTGAGCAGAATAGTGCTAAGAGCTAAGAGTGCTAAGCAGAGTCAGTCAATCCTTGTGACACCCCAGCTTCCCCATTCAGTCACTAAGAGACCCAAGGAAAAGATTCTGCCTCCCTGTGCTTTAGCCTCTTTACCTGTAAGGTGAGAACAGCAAGACCACCGACCAAATACACTAATACCCTTAAAGAATTTTGGACTTGGCACAGAGTCAGAGCTCCACAGGAGCTTCACAATAAGGCCACTGCTTTTTGCAAACATCTCCCTTGTCATCCTGACATTGCAAAGGCCACCTGTTGGCTGTGGCCTCTCCCTTCCCTGTCTCTGTCATAGGCCTTTTTCTGTTCTGTCTGCGGTAGCTTCGCCACAGCCTTAGCCATAGCAGCAGTTGTTTGTTTTGTTTGTTTTTATTGTTTGACCAACATCTACCCAATCCCCCCATCCCCTAGCCCCTGTAACTACCATTCTACTCTCTGCTTCTATGAGTTCAACTTTTTTTCAGATTCTACGTATAACTGAGATCTTGCAGTATTTGTCTTTCTATGCCTGGCTTATTTCACTTAACATAATGTCCTCTAGGTTTATTCATGTTGTTGCAAATGACAAGATTTCCTTCTTTTCTTTACAGCTGAATGTTATTCCACTGTGTATACATGCCACCTTCTCTTTATTCATTCATCCACTGATGAACACTTAGGTCGTTTGCATACATTGTGACTATCGTGAATAGTGCTTCAATGAACATGGGAGATATCTCTTTGACATATTGATTTCACTTCCCTTGGATATGTACTCAAAAGTGGGATTGCTGGAATCATATGGTAGTTCTATTTTTAATTTTTTTCAGGAATCTCCATACTATTTTCCATAATGGTTGTACTAATTTACATTCCCACCAACAGTGTACAAGGGTTCCCCTTTCTCCAACACTTGTTATCTTTTGTTTTTTTGATAATAGCCATTCTAACAGGTGCAAAGTATAGTTTTAATCTGCATGTGCCTGATGATTCGTGATACTGAGCATTTTTTCATATACCTGTTGGCCATGCCAGCAGTTTCCCAGTTACTTCCTACTGCCTGTACTTTTTCCTTTTCTAGCTATTATCACATATTTCTTCAGTTCATAAATATAGCATTAAAAAAATCATGGGCTCCTTTCCTCTCCCATCTGGCACCACTGTGATGTGTCCCCCAAGGAACTGGAGTCTAGGCCCGAATGCAGTCTAGGATAAGGAATAGGAAAATGAATTCTTTTGTTATAACCTTTTACTTGATGCAGTTTTTGGAGAGGAAGCTTGTCACTTTCTGCTTCCTGCAGCTCTGTGTCAGGGCTGTGATTTCAGGCCTTTTTAAGGCTGCAAATAGGCTTGACCCATCTGGCAAATCTCAAAGTCAACTTTCCCTATAGTGTGCCAGCACTCTGAACTGGAGTTATTTAAATTCAACCTTCTGCCTGACCTGGAGGAGAAAAAATAAATAGCAGAGTGTTGCTTTATGGGTTCAAACTAAGACCCCAATGCTGAGGATGAGATGATGTAAACAGGAGGGCCTGGGAGAGGAGATGTATTTTCTCCCAGGTCATTTGCACATTGTTTAATGTGCCAGAAGAAATAATTTGGAAGAACCTTTTGAACCTGAAAGAATGTCCCCAAAGTAAGTGGGTATTTTTAAAAACTCTGTATGGCCTTCTCCTCATTTAAAATTTCACTGCTCTCTGGGAGGCAGAAAAAATCTTTTACCCATCCTGTATCTTCTTTTTTCTTCCTTGCTGTCAAAATCAAACTCCCATTATAGAGTTTGAAAATGCCATATATTTGCTTCCTCCACCTCTCTTGCAGCCCAGCATGGGCACGTAACCTAATTTCAGGCAATGGAATTTGGAGAAATCTGATACCAGGGGTTCTAAGGAAGGTTTCTCTCCTAATAAATAAGAAGCCCATGGAAAGCCTTCCCTTCTTATTTGTTGAACAGGTGGCTGCCTGTAACGTCCCAGGCACATCTTGTCTCCATCCTTTCTCTTAAATGTGGGAAACTTCTTCTGGGGTCAGGCCTACCTGACCCTGTGCCCACTCTTAGAAATCTCAGCCACTCACATGGCTTTATCTGTGTGATATTGTGAAATATCTATTTGGTCTTCATCCAGCTTCTAAAATCCTTGAAATCTCCAGAATGGTAACAGTGTCTTTTGCATAAGAAGATGGCTTCAGGATGAGGGCTGGTCACCAGAAAAACCAAGACATGAATAAAGGGTTGGAACTTTCAACCTTACATCCTGACTTCCAGAAAGCGGCTGAAGGTCGAGGTTGATCACCAATAGCCAATAATGTAATCAATCATGCCTATGTAATGAAGCCTCCATAAAAACCCAAAAGGACAGGTTTCAGATGAGCTTCCAGATAGTTAAGCATGTGGAGGTTCCTGGAGAGGGCATGGAAGTTCCATGCCCCTTCCCCCATAACTTCCCCTATGCAACTCTTCCATTTGACTGTTCATCTGTACCCTTTGCAATATCCTTCATACTAAACTGAGAAATGTAAGTGTATTTGTCTGTTCTCACGCTGCTAATAAAGACATACCCAAGACTGGGTAATTTATAAAGAAAAAGAGGTTTAATGGACTCAGAGTTCCACATGGCTGGGGAGGCCTCACAATCATGACAGAAGACGAAGGAGGAGCAAGGACACGTCTTACATGGCAGCAGGCAAGAGAGTGTGTGCAGGAGAGCTCCCCTTTATCAAACCATCAGATCTCATGAGACTTATTCACTATCATGAGAACAGCACGAGAAAGACCTGCCCCCATGATTCAATTTCCTTGTACCAGGTCCCTCCTACCACACGTGGGGATTATAGGAGTGACAATTCAAAATGAGATTTGGGTGGGGGACACAGCCAAACCATATTAGTAAGTAAGCATTTCCTTGAGTTCTATGAGCAGCTCTAGCAATTCAATTGAACCCTAGGAGGGGGCTGTAGGAACCCCAATTTATAGCCACCCAGTCTAAAGCACAGGTCACAGTCTGAGGCTTGCAACTGGCATCTGAAGTGGGGGGCGATCTTGCGGGACTGAGCCCTCAATCCCTGGGACCTGATGCCATCTCAGGTAGATAGTGTCAGATCTGCAAATGTGTTGATAACAGAGTATGCTTATTTCAGTAATTCAGCAAACATTTACTGAGCACCTACTTTATGCCATGTTCTAAAAGCGAGGACAAGATAGGCAAGGTCTCTACATCCATGAAACTTACAATCTAATAGGCTTCTAGCACAATAACTGTCTCCACTTGGCTTTTCTGTTTGGTGTCCTAACTATTCCTGACATAACACATCTAAAGTTAAACTCACTCTCTTTTCTCCGAAACTGACTTCTCTATTTCTGGTCATGGATCCCAGGTTCAAAATCATGACATCATCTTTGTCTCTTCATTCACCCTTGTTGCCAGCATACCTCATTTCTATTTAGTCATTAAGTCTACTCCCAATAAGTGCCAGGAGCTGGAGCTACAAAGATACATAATGGTCCCTGATACATACACATATATATAATCACAATACAGAGTAAGATGTGCAACAATAGAGGTCCATGGTAGATGAGAGGGGAAAGTGCCTCAATTCTTGAGAAAGCCAGGAAAGGAGAAAACGAGGAGAGTAAGAAGAGACAAAACTGAAAATAGAATCTTGCAAAAATACTAATATTTACAGGGTTGAACAGTGTCAGATGGGCAGAGAAGTCAGGTTATGATAAGGCCTGAAAATGTCTTGTGGTTTTGTAAACTAGGAGGTGATCTTGGTGAGAACAGTTTCAGTGGAGTGGCGGGTTAGCCACTCCAAGAATGAATGGAAGATAGTGAGGAGGACTGGTTTAACATTTCTAGCATCTATTCTTCCTTCTGGGAACATTGTCTTGAGTTTCCTTTGGGGCCACCCCTTTCCCTCTCTAACCATGCTCAGGTGGAGGTGGCCCCACCACTAGATCCAGGGCCCAGCCAACAAAATCACCACATATCCATGCCCATTGGAGATTTGTTCAGGGGTGGAATTATGACCAAGACTGGGCCAATGAGAAATCCATTGCTGGAACTCTCAGGAAACAGGTGCTCTTGTTCTACACCAGTTTGAAGCTCAGGATCTCACCTTGTCAGAGCTGGACTATTGCATCAGTCCTTTTACTAGTCTCCTTGTCTTCGAATTCTTCATATCAACCAAAGCTTCCAAGCTCTTCTTTTCAACACTGCTTTTACATTATTCAAAAACTATTGAGCACCCACCATTAAATTCATGGCACTTAGTGCTTCATATTCCATTATCTGGAGCAAGTCTACCTTTCCTTGTACCTCCCTGTCATCAAAGCTTTACATATCTTTCCTACTCCTGGACTGCCTACCCGTTTCCTTTCTACTATTTAAATCCATCTCATCTTTCAATGTCCTAGCTCAAACGTCATCTTCCTCCATCTGGTACCAGTATCACTTGACAGCAATTTTTGGAAAATATGATTTATTGTCTAGTTTTATTACCTCTCATTTTACATCTTTAGTTTTTTTCTCTCCCAATTACCTTGCAGGAAATATGAAGGCAATAGCCATGTCATAATTATTGGTATACTGTGAGGCATTGATAACAGAGCTCTGTACAGCCAACACTCAAAATTTTCACAGAATAATGAATAGACATTTTCGGTTCAGCAGCAGGTGGCAAGAAATGGAGATTAATGTAAAGCTACCATTTATATGATGAGAAGAGATGTGGTCAGCAGTGAAGAGAGGGAAAAAAAATTTAATGGATACAAATAGTCTGGTCAAGAAGATAGAGCTAGGAGCATTGTAAGTGGAAAATTTTTGTGCAAAGTCAAACTTGACAAGGCAAGGAGATAAACCCAAAACAACAGGATGGGGGCCACAGGGACAAGCTCTGAAAATGCTGGAGTGTCTGTAATCCAAAGGGTGGTGAGAAGCGCAAAGAGAAGCTAAGTGACTTCAAGGATCAGCATAGCCAGTGACTTCAGCAGCAAGGACTCACATGACTCAGAGCAGGAAGAGGTTGTGAGGACCCTGGGAGATGGCACTTATTGGACAAATAGTACTTACATTTTATCACTCTCTTTAACTCCCTCCAAAGCTCCTCTAGAAGAATGAAGAAAAGCTGGGTGTGGTGGCGCGTGCCTGTTGTCCCAGCTACTTGGGAGGCTGAGGCAGGAGGACCACTTGAGCCCAGGAGTTCTGGGCAGTAGTGCGCTGTGCCGATCTGGTGTCTGCATTAACTTTGGCATCGATATAGTGACCTCCCAGGAGCAGAAGACCAGCAGGTTGCCTAAGGAGGGGTGAACCAGCCCCAGTCAGAAACAGAGCAGATCAAAACTCCTGTACTGATCAGTAGTGGGATCACGCCTGTGAATAGCCTGGGTAACATAGCCACGTCCCATCTCTAAAAAAGAAAAGAATTTTTTGGCCGGGCGCGGTGGCTCACGCCTGTAATCCCAGCACTTTGGGAGGCCGAGGTGGGCGGAACACAAGGTCAGGAGTTTGAGACCAGCCTGGCCAATATGGTGAAACTCTGTCCCTACTAAAAATACAAAAAATAGCCAGGTGTGGTGGTGTGCACCTGTAGTCCCAGCTACTCGGGAGGCTGAGGCAGAAGAATCGCTTGAACCCAGGAGGCGGAGGTTGCAGTGAGCTGAGATCATACCACTGCATTCCAGCCTGGGTGACAGAGCAAGACTCCAGCTCAAAACAAAAAAAAAAAAGAAAAGAAAAGAAAAGAAAAGAAACGAATTTTAATTTATTTAAAAAAAAAAAGAATGAAGATAAGCTCTCAGAAATGACTTCCCCAGGGATGTGGAATGGTGATGAGAAACCACTGTTGACAAGGTCCCAGGAGACACCCACGTTGCAATTCTCATGGTCATCTCCAGTCTTCACCTTCCTTGGTGATCTCTCTTCCTGAAACATTCTCTGTCCTGGGCCTCTGGGACACCCCCTTTCATAGTTCTGCTCCTAAGGAACTGTTCCCTCCTCCTCAATCTCTTCTATTGGATCTTCTTTATCTTCCTGACTTTTGAGCACCAGAGGGTCCTAGAGCTTCATTCTCAGGCTCTTTTTGTCTAGATTTGCAGTCAGGTACTGGGGGGAGTCTCATCCAGATTCAGAGCTTGAAATACCTTTTATGAGTTGATGATATCCAGTTTTGTATCTCAAGCCATAACCTCTCTCTTCTCCCTTAAATTCTAGAATCACAGGTCTACTGTCCATTCTATATCTCCACCTGGATGACTAATCATCATTCCAAGCTTGACAGTTCAGAAGTGAGCTTTTACCCCTCTCCCATCCCACCACTGAACTCTACTGTGCTTCCATTCTTGGCCATTTCTGTAAATTACTACGCCACTCTAACAGCTGTCAGGCCAAACTCTTTGAATCAACCTCGTCTGTACTCTTTCTCATACCTGACATCCAATCCATTAGCAAATTTGGTCAGCGTTGCCTTAAAAATATATCTTGACTCTGAAATGTGTCTCTTCACTGCCACCATTACCACCCTAGTCCAGTCTACTCTCATTTCTGACCTGGACTATAATCATGAACTTTTAATTGGTCTTTGTGCTTTCACCTTTGTGGTCGCCTCCAGTCTCTTCCCACAGAGCAGCCAGAGTTATCCCTCTGAAGTGTGAGTAAAGTCTCATTACTCATCAGCTCAAAACCCTCTGTATTAGTTAGGGCTCTCCAGAGAGACAGAGCAATGGGATATATATAGATGTAGATACATGAGAGGGGACTTACGAGGAGAATTGGTTCATGTTATTATAGAGGCTAAGTTCCACTATAGACGGTCTGCAAACTGGAGGCCCTGGGATGCCAGCAGTGTGACTCAGTCCAAGTCTGAAAGCCTTAGAACTAGGGAAGACAATGGTGTAATTGTCAGTCCAAGGCTGAAGCCCTGTGAACCTGGAATGGCTGCTGATATACATGCTGGAATATCCTAAGACCAGAGAGTCTGGGATTCTGATGTCCAAAGGCAGGAGGAGAAGAGTGTATCCAGCTCCAGGAGAGAGAATGAGAGACAAATTCCCTTTTCCTAGGATCGTGTTCTATCTGGGCCCTCAGCCAGTTGGATGGTGCCCACCCACATGGAGGGCAGATCTTCCCGACTTAGTCCACTGAGACTCACATGCCAATCTGCTCTAGAAACATCCTCGAAGACACACCCCAAAATAATGTTTTGCCACTTCTCTGGGTATTCCTTAATCCAGTCAAGTCGACACTCTAAATTAACCTTCACGTCCTCCGATAAAAGTCTGACACATGTTACTTCATGGATGATACCTTGAAGACATTAACCTTCAAAACTAAGTGAAATAAGCCAGACATCAAAGGATAAATAGTATATGAGTCCACTTAAATGAAATACCTAGAATAGTCAAACTTATAGAGGCAGAAAGTAACATAGTATTTACCAGGGGCTGCCTGGAGGGGAGAATGGGAGTTACTGTTGAATTGGTACAAAGCTTCATTTTGGGATGACGAAAAAGTTCTGGAGATGGATAGTGGTTACAGTTGCATAATAATGTGCTTAATGGCACTAAACTGAACACCGTATACTTAAAATAATTAAAATGGTAAATTTGGCCAGGCACGGTGGCTCACGCCTGTAATCCCAGCACTTTGGGAGGCCGAGGTGGGCGGATCACAAGGTCAAGAGATGGAGAGCATCCTGGCCAACATGGTGAAACCCCGTCTCTACCAAAAATACAAAAATTAGCTGGATGTGGTGGCACATGCCTATAGTCCCAGCTACTCAAGAGGTTGAGGTAGGAGAATGGCTTGAACCCGGGAGGCGGAGGTTGCAGTGAGCCGCCGAGATCGCGCCACTGCACTCCAGCCTGGTGACAGAGTGAGACTCTGTCAAAAAAAAAAATTTAAAAAAAGGTAAATTTAAAGTTATATATATATTATCAAAATTTAAAAACAAAAAATTCTGTAATGGCTTTCCATCTCACTCAGGGTCAAATCCAAAGTCCTCACAAAGGCCTTTTAGGCCCTGCATCCTTGGACCTCTGCCACCCCTCAACCTCCTCTTCCACCACTCTTTGCCCCTACCATACCACTCTGCTGCAGCCACACTGACCTTGCGATTCCCCAGACAAGTCAAGGACACTCCCGCTCAAACATGCCTAGCACTGTCCTGCCTTAGGCCTTTTCATTGGCTGTTCTTTCTGCCTGAAGTATTTTTCCCCCTAGAAGTTTGCATGCTTATCTCTTTTACTTTATTTAGTTCTCTACTCAAAAGTCACTGTTAGAGCAGTCATTCCATAGCTAACATAGCACCTCATAACCCCTCCATTGTTCACAATCCCTTACCCAGATTTATGCTTTAAAGCACTTATCACAGACTGACTCTTTTTTCCATTCACTCAGTTATTGTCACATTCTCCCCATTAGAATGTAAGCTCTCTGAGAACAAGGATGTTGTTTGTTCCACTGATAGATCCTAGTTTCCTAGAACCATACCTAGCATACAGTAGGCACTCAATAAGTATTTTTCTTGAATGAATAAATGAATGAATGACATTCTTAGCAAGTGCCAAAAGATAGTATCTGTATTAGTCTGTTCTTGTGTTACTATAAATACCTGAGGCTGGGCAATTTATGAAGAAAAGAGGTTTAGTTCTGCAGGATGTACAGGAAGTATGGTGCCAGCATCTGCTCAGCTTCCAGTGAGGCCTCAAAGAGCTTTTACTCATGGCAGAAGGCAAAGAAGGAGCAGGCACATCACATAGTGAGAGAGGGAGCAAGAGCGGTGGCGGGGTATAGGAGATGCCAAGCTCTTTAAACAATCAGTTCTCATGTCAACTACCAGAGAGAGAACTCACTCATTATCATGGGGATGGCACCAAACCATCCATGAGGGATCAGCCCCCATGATCCAATACCTCCTACCAGACCCCACTTTCAACACTGGGGATTACATTTCAACATAAGATCTGGAAGGGACAAGCATCCAAGCCATATCAGTAACCCAAAAGACTGTTTAGGTAACTGCCTAATTTCTGGATAAGTAAAAATAATTCTCTTGGAAGAGGCATGCTGAACCCAGTTGCTTTTGTATTTTGTTTTGGGGTTTTGTTTCTTTTACTAATTCTGAAAAACATGTTCATGACAAAAACACAGCTAATACCAAAAAGTAAAGAAAAAAATAAAGGACACTCAATTCCACAATTACTACTGTAGATATCAGAAGGTTTTATTCAAGTTTTTTAATGTATATTCATTCTTCTTAGCCTGAGGGCTCATAAAAGCAGAGCCTGAGGCAAGGATTACAGCACTGATACTTTAATTGGGAAGTGCAAGCACAGGGTTGAAAGGAGAAGAGAAAAGGCCAGGCGAGACAAGGAAAGATGCAAACATGATTGTGGGATGTTGATTTTCAACCCTACTTCAGAACTGGGAAGAAAAGGATGGGAATAAGGGAAATCAAAATGCCACAAAACTCACTGCTTTTATTGAAATTCAGCTATTTTTCTTGAATCAACATTCTCTGGTCAATGCTGACAATTGTGCTAGCTTTCTTCTTGTTGCTTTCATGGTGGAGAGAATTTTTGGAGATCCTTACTCTTCCATTTTTCTCTGACATAACTCACACAGTTTTATGCATTTTTTTATTACACATGAGCATTTTCCATATCCTTAAGTATTCTCCAAAAAGATAGAGGTTAATGGATGTATATTATCGATATTTATTTAATCATTCTTCTATATTGAACTTTTACATTATCTTCTAGTTTTCTCCTTATAGATAATACCTTGATACATATTCTTTGACCATATCTTGGATTACTTTCTTGTGCTAAATTGATAGCAATGGAACTACTTACTGAATTAAAGACTATGAACATTTTTAAGCTGTCTGAGTTAGGTAGTAATAGAAAGTTAGGTTGATTACAGAGGAGATCTACCAAAAAAACAACAAAAAAGTAAACTGCAAGTAATAGAAAAACTAACAACTAGGATTTATTACTTACATAACCAAGAAATATGAAGGAAGATAGGGAGATATAATCAAGAAATTAGACTTTTTATTTTTTTGCTCCAACTTCTTCAGAATGTTGACTTTTCATCCAGGTACTTATTTGCCTCTTGGCAGCAAATGTCTCCCAGCATCACACTGTCACACAAAATTCAGGAAGACAGGGGTATATGAAGCCAGGACAGTGAGAGAGGCTCTTTACATACCACTCTTTAGGAAGGAAAATGTTTACCAGAAACCCCCCACAGGAGAATTCTCCTCAGGGCTTATTTCCAAGTACTGAGTCTTGTGGTCATCATTAACTGTTGGGTAGGCTAGGTAAACAAGTATCTGGTCTTTTCCACATTCAATAGTGAAATTAGACAAGATTTGATATAGGTGTTGAATTGGAACTGTATTAGATAGCAAAAGCCACAACAGTGCTGTGTAACAAACCATCCCAGAACTTAGGTGTAAAAAACAGTAAGCATTTATTTCATGTTCACAGTTTGGATTAATTGAAGCCTGTCTGATCTATGTTGGGTTTGGCTAGCCTTGTCTGTGGGAGGGCTCAGGTCTGTTCTATGTGTGATCATTATTGGGTTTTTTTTTTAATTTACTTTTTAAATGTTTACAATTTAATAAATCTCTTCATTGCAGACATGTATGGCTGTTTGGTAGTATTCAGAAACATCACAGCAATGGCAGTTTTTCCAATTGGTGTGTAGTCCTCAATAATTATATATAAAATTGCTGTCAAATCAGTAAGACTGCATTTATGCATGCATCATTTTCAGGATTGTTAGTAACCTGGGCATAATTTCCCCAAATAACTTTGCCTCCTTGCATCACAAGGCCCAATTCGCTCATATTTACTTCAATGACAGTACCTTTGGTAATAACATCGAAAGTTGTATACAGTGGGGACAAGGGGCTCTTCTTTACACCAAGTATTCGTAGGCAAAAGGTGGCTTTCATTTCAGGATGTGTTACATGGGCTTTCTTGAAATGCAAGCCCATTGGCCTGATGAATCTTTCATATTTAGGTGGTTTTCTTGTAAACCCATCTCCAACAAAGCAGACTTTAGTAACCATCCTCTTCCATGCCTTCTTCTTTCTCTTTCCTGTTCGAATAACTTTTAATACTTCTGTTTCTCCCTGGGCACGTACTTTAGGCAGAGGGACTTCCCATTTTCCCACTTTCTCTTTTCGTTTCTGTTTAATCCTATTGGAAAGTACTTTAGCTCGAGATTGTTCCTCTCTGTCCAGCAGATAGGCAGGTACTGCTCCCTGTGGAGTCTTTTCATCATTCTTTTGTTTGATGTTTCTCTTTTCATGCATCTTGATAGTCTTTTCATTTGTATTTTCTCAGCATGGCGCTGTTTATGGTAAAGCTTAGCCTTCAGACCAATCATTTTCTTTCCCTTCTTTGAACATTCATGAGCCTCTCGACTTTCCTTCTTTCCCTTTTTCTCATGGTAATCCAAATGGTATCCATAGTGTTTACAGTGTAATTCAATATATTCGTTCTGTGGCATGGTGACAGCCACAGAGCTGCCAGGAGCAGTCCCTGGGGTGCGAAAACGCTCTCCATTTTTGGGTCTCAGAGACCCACGAGCCCACGCCGCACAGGCCGGGACAGGAAAGCATTATTGGTTTTGTTTTTACTTTTTATTTTAAAACAAAATATAAATAAAGAAAACAGCTGGGTATGGTGGCTCACACCTGTAATCCTAGCTACTTGGGAGGCTGAGGCAGGAGAATCGCTTGAACCCCAGAGGTGGAGGTTGCAGTGAGCTCAGATAGCAACACTGCACTCCAGCCTGGGTGACAGAACAAGACTCTGTCTCAAAAAGAAAAAGAAAGAGAAGAAAAAAGAAAAAAAAAAAAGAGAGAGAGAGAGACAGTGTCTCCCTCTGTTGCCCAGGCTGGAGTGCAGGAACACAATCATAGCTCACTATAACCTCAAACTCATAGGCTCATGTGATCCTCTCCTCTTGGCCTCCCAAGTAGGTGGGACTACAGGTGCACACCACTATATCCAGTTATTTTTATTTTTTTATAGGGATGGGGTCTCCCTATGCTGCTCAGGCTGGTCTCGAACTCTGAGCTCAAACAATCCTCCCACCTCAGCCTTCCAAATAATTAAGATTACAGGTGTGAGCCACCACACCTGGCCTCCGTCATCTGCTAGTGGTTACCCAGTAGTATAGTTTATATAGGAAAGTCAGGATAACGCCCAATTCCTTTCCTTTATTTATCCATTTTTTGAAATAATGAATTAATTGTTATCCTTCAAAGGAGACCAATTTTTTATTACTATGAATTCAGAAATGTAAATATATTCGATGTATTTCAGTTCATTCCAATTCTTGTCCTTATTGAAGCTAAAATTGTCTGATTTGTGGCCACTAGGAATCTCTTCAAGTTGACGCCTGAGTCATTTTGAAATGACCCTAGTAGTTGATAGAGTCCTTGCTATCTGGTATTACAAAATGTTCTAGGTTAAGTTTGTACTTTTTTTGGTTTGTTTTTTGTTTTTTTGGGTTTTTCTTTTTTTTTTTTTTTTTGAGACAGAGTCTCACTCTGTCACCCAAGCTGGAGTGTAATGGCATGATCTCAGCTCGCTGCAGCCTCTGCCTCCTGGGTTCAAGCGATTCTCCTGCCTCAACCTCCTGGGTAGCTGGGACTACAGGTGCGCACCACTACGCCCAGCTAATTTTCATATTTTTAGTAGAGACAGGGTTTCACCATGTTGGCAAGGTGGGTCTCGAACTCCTGACTTAAGTGATCCTCCCGCCTTGGCCTCCCAAAGTGCTGGGATTACAAGCGTGAGCCACCATGCCCAGCCTAGTTTGTACTTTTTTTTGCCACAGGTTTGGAATCAGTCATTTATCCAAGAAGCTCTGGTTTTCTTTTAGTGAAAAGTGTAATTTCTTTATCACAAGCTGGGCTCCAGGGATGCCCTATGTTACTTGGTAGACTTGTCAATATATGGGGGCTATTTTAGTAAACAGAACTAGAGAATATATTTTGAAGGTAAAAAACATTTCATGACTTGACAGCGATATTTCTAATTCACACTCAAGTCTACAGTGCTATGCCTTAACATTTTTTTTGTTTGTGTTTCTTATAGAGAGAGTGTCTCGCTATGTTGCCCTGGCTGGTCTTGAACTCCTGAGCTCAAATAATCCTCTCGCCTCAGCCTCCCAAAGTGGTAGAATTACAGGCATGAGCCACCATGCCTGGGCCCTTAACTTCTTTTATATTGTCTCTGCAACTCCTTCTTCCACACCAAGAATCCTGGTTCTGGTTCTTAGAACAGGAGAAGTGATGGAATATTCCATAACTGCTCATTTACTTTATCCTACATTATATACAGAAGAGTTTCAAAATAACAATACTTACAATAACCATTACAAATTATGACTACTGACATTTTTTTAAACTTTTTCATACCTTATTCCCACTCTTGCCTCATTTTTTAAAGTTATACTCGATCTACATTGTCAAGGCACATAATCATCACATATTATTCTTTCCCTTTTTACTCTCATTTAGTCTTCATCTACAAGTACCTATATATTTAATACTTACCATCAGTCCTTATACCAGAGACTGTCTAGTCACTTTGGTTGTCTAAAGCTTATTCTGTAACAGGTTCCTCAGGAAGTACGCATAGGAACAATATTCCCTGAGTTTTTGCATGTTCATAACAGCTTCTCTGTGCCCTTTATACTTAAAGAGTTATATGTCTTTCCTTGAGAGTCCTAAGTGTGCTATTCCATTTTCTTCTGACACCAAAAGTCTAATAATAATCAAAAAGTCTAATAAAAATCTTCCTTCCCTTATAACCTCATGTTGTTTTTGCCTAGATACTTAAAGATTTTTTTTCCTTTTTCTTTAAAATCCAGAAATTTTACTAGAATATGTCTTAGTATTGGTCATTCAGGTTCACTATTCTCATATGGAAGTCCCCTTCCATCCTCCCTTCTTCTTTCTTTCTTTCCTTCTTTCCTTCCTTCCTTCCTTCCTTCCTTTCCTTCCTCTCTCTCTCTCTCTCTCTCTCTCTCTCTCTTTCTCTTTCTTTCTTGATAAAATCTCACTCTGTTGCCCAGGCTGGAGTGCAGTGGCATGATCTTGGCTCACTGCAACCTCTGCCTCCCAGGTTCAAGCAATTCTCCTGCCTCAGCCTCCCAAGTAGCTGAGATTACAGGCATGCACCACCACACTCAGCTAATTTTCATATCTTTAGGAGAGATGGGGTTTCACCATGTTGGCCAGGTGGGCTCAAACTCTTGACCTCAGAAGATTCACCTGCCTTGGCCTCCCAAAGTGCTAGGATTCCAGGCGTGAGCCACCGCGCCCAGCCCATAGTCTCTTTTAATACGTACCTTCAAATCTATTTTATTTAAAATTTCTTTCTTGAATTATAACACTTAATATTTGATTTTCTTGCTTTGGTTTTCTTATTCAGACACTTTTGTTATCCACATGTTGGTTCTTTGCCTATATTCATTCAATAGCTGTATTGTTCCTCAATCTTTCTCTCTCTCTTAGGTTCTTTTTGATTTTTTAAATATTTTCCTTACTTTTACCTTCTGTTTCTCTTAAGGCATTGTCTCCTATGTTTATTTACTGGGTCCCTTATAGTTGAGTCTTCATTTATTTTATTTTTATATTTTTCTTGAGTTCTGTCACTTCACTTCTGAGTTTTCCTAATTCTGATTATGTTGTTCTTTCATGTTTTGTATCATTTTCTTAATGTCTTCCAGCTTATTTTGAAATAGAGCATTATAGTTGCATTTTTCTTTTTAAAGCAAATCTTTCTGATCTGCTTTCATTACCTGTAGGGATATTATTTTGCTCTATTCTCATTTTCCTTACAATAACTTTGCATGAGGTTTGACCGCAATACTTTATTGTTGCTTATTTTTATATGGATTTAGGTTTCTTGAGCTTTTAGATTGAGGCTTTGTTCAGAATAACTGTTACAACTTTACAAAATTACCTATTCTGCTGTGTTTCATGTAGTGCAAAAAAAAAAAAAAAAGCAGCTTGCTTTATAAGGTTTCCTGGAGATTCTCATCACTTTTGTCTACCTTCTTTCCTTCATCTCTGTAATGCCTATTCTGTTCAATTTTAATTCTAGTCCCAGTAGTATCTTTAGGGAACAAACCTGTCCTAAAAGAGATTCCTACCTGGTGGGTTTTGAGAGTTCACAGGGGCCGGACTTCTCCATACCTTTCAGACCTCACTGAAGGGCTCCCCACTGCTCTCACCAGCAAATTGGAATAGGCAAAACCGTTTCAGCTACTCTTCCAAAATTGGCCTGCTGAGCCTTCCAGTGAATACCTGTAGTATATTTTAGGGGTTTCCTGTTCTCAGGTTTGTTAAATGCCTCATTACTCTCCTCTGCTTTCTCCTGCCCAGATGAGGATGCCATGCAGGTCTTGTGACTATCAATTATTTATTCTTGCCTGCTTCTATTTTCAGGGTTCAAAGGGATACCTTCTCATTTGGTTTGGTTGGAAATGTCTGCAGATTTTTGGTTTTGCTATGAGCTTGTTCCGGCTATTTTTATGTGAGAATTAGGAAAGTTTCAAGAGCAATTCTGCCACCACCATTCCAACTTCCCAAACCCACGTTTTCACTCTAGAGCCCATGTTGAAGGGGCAGGACTACATAGGGGAAGCTCTTTTTGTGGTAAAGGGAGAAATGCAACAGAACAAACTTGACACCAGAGGATGTTTAAACCTCTGTGTGCAGCACACATTTGTTAACTTTCCACTGGCCAAAAACAGCCACAAGGCCAACCACCACATCAATATGCAAGAAAATAGACTCTTCTTCTAGTGGGAGGAACTACAAAATCATGAAAACAGCACGGATATAGGCAGCAACAAGGAATTGAGAATAATGATTCAGTACTCCACACCAACCAACTGCATCTGCCCCAAAGCCATTTTCTAAGTCTTGCTAAATTATTTTCCAGAAATGGTTTGTTAATTAGACTTCCACCCATACATAAGAGAGTGCCCTTCATTACTGAACATTTTTTAATTGCTAATTTAAACTGTTAATTTAATAAGTAAAAAATATCTTAGTGTCATTTAATGTTTAAATTGCACCTCTTTTTTTTTGTGTGAGCTTTAATACTTTTACATTCACTTATTAGTTATTTGTCTTTCTTCCTTAATGACTTGACTGCTTATGTCTTTTATTCATTTCATTGTGGCAGTTGGTGTTTTTCCTTTTAATTTACAAGACTTCATTTCATATTAAAGATTTTCATCTTTATTGTTCCTATTTCTTACACATATTTACTCCAATTTGTCATTTCTCTTTTGTATCATTTTTCTAATTCTGCATAACAAATCCCCTTAAAACTTAGTGTTCTAAACAACAACAAAAAAGTTACTATTGCTTACAAGTCAATGGAGCAGCAGGCCATATCTGATAACTTGGATCAGGCTTGGCTGATCTCAGCTGGGCTCATTCACGTGCGTGGGTCAGCTAGTGCCATGGCTGGGGAAAGGTTGGTCTAAGATGGTCTCACTCACACGCTGGCTGTTGGCTTGCTGTCCACTGGTGCAATGGGGATTAGTGGACCCTGTTACTACCATACCTTTTGATTGAATTTGTGTTGTTTTTGGTATACATTTAAAATTTTGATATATTCAAATTTGTCATTTTTTCCTATGTGATTTCTTTATCGTTTTTATATTTGTAAAATTCTTTCCCAGTCCCCAAGGTCTGATAAATATGTACTTAAGTTTTCTTTTACGATTTCATTCTTTTATATTTCATTCTTTTATCTCTTATACCTCTCTTTTATCCATCAGAAATTGAGGGATGTGAAGCATAAGAGAGAAAAAGTGGTATCTTTTCCTCACCCATTGCTAGGTTCATGGCTGACACTCTCATAACAAAAGATGCATTAACAAGAGAGAAGCATAATTTTTTTTTTTTTTTTTTTTTTTGAGATAGGGTCTCACTCTGTCACCCAGGCTTAAGTGCAGTGACGAGATCATGGCTCACTGAAGCCTCCACCTACTGGGCTCAAGCAATCTTCCCACCTCAGCCTCCCAAGTAGCTGGGACTACAGGTATGTGCCACCGCATCCAGCAAATTTTTGTTTCTGTTTTTGAGACAAGGTGTTGCTCTGTTGCCCAGGCTGAAGTGCAGTGGTATAATCTTGGCTCACTGCAACCTCCACCTCCTGGGTTCAAGTGATTTTCCTGCTTCAGCCTCCCAAGTAGCTGGGATTATAGGCACAAGCCACCACGCCCAGCTACCTTTTTTGTATTTTTAGTAGAGACAGAGTTTCAACATGCCGGCCAAGCTGGTCTCAAACTCCTGACCTCAAGTGATCCACCCACCTTGGCCTCTCAAAGTGCTGGGATTACAGCACGTGAGCCACCACGCTTGGCCAAATTTTTGTATTTTTTTTTTTTTTTATAGAGACAGAGTTTTGCCATTTTATCCAGGATGGTCTTGAACTCCTGGGCTCAAGCGATCCTCCCATCTCAGCCTCCCAAAGTGATGGGATTACAGGCATGAGCCACTATACACAGCCAGCAGAACATATTTATTTAATATAAATGTTATGTAACACAGGAGCCTTCAGAAATAAAAACCTGAAGAATTAGGAATATTTGTGTATTTGTATGGACAGTCGTGCAGAAGTATGATTGGAGGACAATCTAATGGTAAAAAACTGGGGAGGGCCAGGCACAGTGGCTCACACCTGTAATCCCAGCACTCTGGGAGGCCGAGGCGGGTGGATTACCTGAGGTCAGGTGTTCAAGACCAGCCTGGTCAACATGGTGAAACCCCGTCTCTACTAATAATACAAAAATTAGCCAGGCATAGTGGTGCATGCCTGTAATCCCAGCTACTTGGGAGGTTGAGGAAGGAGAATTGCTTGAACCCAGGAGGCGGAGTTCACCCAGTTGCAGTGAGCCGAGATCGCGCCATTGCATTCCAGCCTGGGCAACAAGGAGAAACTCCATCCAAAATAACCCGCTCCCCCGCTCCCCACAAAAAAACTGGGGAGAATTTAGCATGATCCATTTGTTCAGA
Source organism: Homo sapiens (assembly GCF_000001405.40). Taxonomy (NCBI): domain Eukaryota; kingdom Metazoa; phylum Chordata; class Mammalia; order Primates; family Hominidae; genus Homo; species Homo sapiens. Next base: position 94,528,419 of record NC_000012.12, read on the forward strand.
TTCTTCTTGGCACCCCACTGTGACATTTCTTCCCTCTGGGTATAGGGCAAGACACCTGCCACATGAAGGTCTTCGGGGAGAAGGGAGGGAGAAAGTCAAAGAGTGACTTTTCTCGGTTTTATGGCCTGCTTCACGGAAAAAGGGTTGAGGGGAGTTCTAGTTTCTGTGGCCTTGCTTCAGGAGAGAGGGGGCGGGGGAAGGTCAGAGAGACCTTGCTACTGTGATTTTTTTCAATTTCCTTCAGCTTAAAAAATACTCAGTATGCCAAGGTGTCATATTTTGGGGTATTGTGTTTTGAGCCTCATCAGAAACGGGAATTTAAATGGCTGTTTTTCCACATGTAGTTAACCAATTATTCAAGCACTGTTTATGGAATACTTTGCCTTTTCTCATGAATTCGAGATATCATCTTCATCACAGAGTGAATTATGATTCATCCTTGGGTCTGTTCTGGACTCCTGCCTTTGTCCCATGGATGTGTCTATCTATGGGTTCTTGTACTGCCTAAATCTATAGTCAAGGAGTGGCAGGAACTCAGGGTTGAGGTGAGATTATCACCATTATGACTACAATTTAAGTTCGTTTGTATAGCCCTTCTGAAGCCCAGAGCTCAAGCTGAGTGCTGAAAGTTCAGGAGGGAGGCCAGGCGAGGTGGCTCACGCCTATAATCCCAGAAGTTTGGGAGGCCGAGGCGGGCAGATCACCTGAGCTAAGAGTCCCAGACTAGCCTGGGCAACACTACGAAACCCCATCTCCACCAAAAATACAAAAACATGGCTGGGCGTGGTGGCATGCACCTGTGGTCCCAGCTACTCAGGAGGCTGAGGTGGGAGGATCACTTGAGCCTGGGAGGCAGAGGTTGCAGTGAGCTGAGATCACACCACTGCACTCCTGCCTGGGTGACAGAGTGAGACCTCATCTCAAAAAAAAGGAAGGAAGGAAGGAAGGAAGGAAGGAAGGCAGGCAGGCAGGCAGGCAGACATGGTCGAGGTAGAGGTGGAGAGTGGGGGTGAGGAGAGGTGTCAGAGGTTGGGAGTCGGTATTGATCCAGACGTCTCAGGGGGCAGAAGTCTCTGAGCAGAGGAAGGGCACTTAAGATGAATATTCTAACCCAATACTTGTGTGGGAGCAGAAGAACGAACTACAATTACAAATTTGATGAAAAGAGAAACTCTTGGCTTTCCCCACCATTATCTGAGGTACCCAAGACACTTCTGCAAGACTGAAGTCCCAAAGAACCATGTGATCATCCCACACACATAGGAACTAACTGTGCAGTGTAAAAAGGCAGGCTTGTAGTCTTTCACCCGTGGCAGAACATATATTTATTGATTCACCTTTGAGTAACAGGTTTAGTAAAGATTGTCAATTCTCTGGGAAGATAAACATGAAGTAATTTTTTTACCCCAATAAAATCAATCAATTATGCTCTGTGGAACCTCTCTTTCCCACTGGGTAGCAGGCTCCATTAGCTACATATATCCCAGTCTGATTCTACAACTTTTCATTTTAGTTATCACAACAGTTTCTCTCCAGTTATTAAGATTCAACTCTGTTCAATGTAAAATTTCATTCTTATATTGGATTCAAAGCTTTCCTCCTCGCCTCTAGTGCAGACTAGACTCATGGCTTTAAAAGATTTGGGAGTGGCGGGGTGGAGACATGGTCTACTTCTCTCCCACCCGATTCTTGCCTGTGCTTTCCCCTGTAGCTTTGGGGGAAAAGGAAGAAAAGAGAAAGTTGAATATGTTCTTTTGTGATTGCCTATGGCAGAATTGTTGGTCTCCATGGCTTAGCAAGTGGTCCCCAAGACTTGCCCTGGCACTAAATGCCCAAGCAGCTCCCAGGGGTCCCTTGGGACATGTGGCCTTCCTCTTCCAGCTGACCCCAGCTGATGGCCTCGTGCAACATCTCTCCAATGCCTACTTCTCTTTGCCCAACACGTGACCATCCTCTGCCAAGTCCCCAGCTCCAAAACCTGAGCCTGTGGGCAGACTGATACATTCTTTGTACCTTTTAGCAACCAGGAGCTTGAGAGAATAATTCTACTCATACCTCACATCATCCCATTACATTTCCATTTTATAGAAACTTCCTTCTGACCCCAGTGCCAGCTTCCTATAGATCTCAGAGCTGTCGATGGCCCCTGACTCCACATACTAGTGTGGGCTCTTGATGATCCAAATGTCCCCAACATAGAAGTCATATTATATGTACTCCGGCCAGTTGAGTTATGAAGCATTTGTCTCACCCTAAGATCTTAAGATTCAATCGAGATATGAAGTCACCTCTCTAAGGCCACCCACCAAATCAGCACCATGTTCAAATTAGAATGTAAAGTGTCAGAATCTATGAGCAGGTTTTTTTCCATTGGGCTAGGATTGCTTAGGCTTCTAGGAAAACAGGAGCTAAGTCCCTGGGCTTTGGGGTCAGATGGCTCTGTCTGAGGCCTGGTTGAACCACTTCCTAGCTGGGTAAATGTTGTTGTTGCTGTTGTTGTTGTGTGAGAGAGAGAGTCTCACTCTGTTGCCCAGGCTGGAGTGTAGTGGCTCGATCTCAGCTCACTGCAACCACTGCCTCGCAGGTTCAAGCGATTCTCCTGCCTCAGCCTCCCGAATAGCTGGGATTATAGGTATGCACCACCATACCCAGCTAATTTTTGTATTTTTAGTAGAGACAGGGTTTCACCATGTTGCCTAGGCTGATCTCGAACTCCTGGCCTCAAGTGATCTGCCTGCCTCAGCCTCTCAAAGTGCTGGGATTACAGGTGTGAGCCACTATGCCCAGCTCACCTAGCTGGGTAATTTTGAACAACTTTCTTAGCCCCTCATAGTTTCAGTTTCCTCAACTGTAAAATATGGATAATAATAATAGCATCTACTTTACAGAATCGTTTTATTGCCTAGATGAGATTCTACAAGGGAAGCCCCAGTGTCTGGTGCCTAAGGAGTTCTCATGAATGGTAGTTATTGTTCTAAAAAAGAGAGCATCCTCAGGCTACTGATAATTCAAATCTGTCCAAATGTCGCTGCCTCGCAGATGGTTGAATTGTGTGTCGTTGGGGTTAATTCCCAAGCAACGTACCCAGTGTGCTCTGTTGCCTCCACCTCTGTGGGGACTGTCCCACTCAGGGGCTGGGACGGCATGGGGGCAGATGTGAGGAGAAGCTTCTACAGCTACTGTGTGTGCATAATCACATTAATTTGCAAAAAATTAAAAATAAAATAGAAAATAAATTGGCTGGGTGCAGTGGCTCACACCTATAATCCCAATGCTTGGGAGGCTGGGGCCAGAAAGTTGCTTGATCCAAGGAGTTCAAGACCAGCCTGGGAAACATAGTGAGACCCTGTCTCTACCAAAAAAAAAAAAAAAAAGAAAAAAAATTAGCCAAGTGTGGTGGTGTGCACCTGTAGTCCTCGTTACTGGGGAGGCTGAGGTGGGAGCCTGCAGTGAGTTATGATCGTGCCACTGCACTCCTGCCTGGGCAACAGAGCAAGACCCTGTCTCAAAAATAATAATAATAAGGCTGAGCACAGTGGCTCACACCTGTAATCTCAGCACTTTGGGAGGCCAAGGGGGGTGGATCACCTGAGGTCAGGAGTTGGAGACAAGCCTGGCCAACATGATAAAACCCTGTCTCTACTAAAAATACAAAAATGAGCAAGGTGAGGTGGTGTGCTCCTGTAGTCCCAGCTACTGGGGAGGCTGAGGCAGGAGAATCGTTTGAACCCAGGAGGCAGAGGTTGCAGTGAGCCGAGTTTGCGCCACTGCACTCCACCCAGCCTGGGCAACAGAGTGAGACTCCCTCTCAAAAAAATAAATAAATAAGGCCAGGTGCAGTGGCTCACGCCTGTAATCCCAGCACTTTGGGAGGCCGAGGCAGGTGGATCACAAGGTCAGGAGATCGAGACCATCCTGGCTAACACGGTGAAACCCGGTTCTACTAAAAATACAAAAAATTAGCTGGGCGTGGTGGCAGGCGCCTGTAGTCCCAGCTACTCAGGAGGCTGAGGCAGGAGAATGGCGTGAACCCGGGAGGCGAAGCTTGCAGTGAGTCAAGATCGTGCCACTGCACTCCAGCCTGGGCGACAGAGCGAGACTCCACCTCAAAAAAATAAATAAATAAATAAATAAATAAATAAGAATAATAAAGAAAAAAAGAAAAAACAAGTGAACTTTTTTTTAATGTTTTCCAGCTGCAGAGGCCATGTACTAGAAAACTCTTGAAATATTATTCAGTGTTTCTCAATACTTAAGCTGACTGCCTTCTGACAAATTGCCAAGTAGTGGTCAGAATTTAATTCACACCAAAAGAGAACACAAAGATTATGAGACAATTGACCCTATAAAAATGCATTCGTGGCATGCTCTTTAGTCACTTTGCATCTGCTCTCAACCCACCCTCCAGGGCTCTTATGTCACACTTATTTCCAGATAAATGGCCCAATTAGAAACCTATTGGCTAAGGTTGTACTAAAGGCAATGACCCTGCACACCAGAATCTCGTCCTTCTTAACATCACCCTTAAGCCAAAGCACAGTGGCGTGTGCATTCTCATTCCTGGACAAACTCTGCCCCCTGGCGCTGACTCACACACTTGCGCACCGGCGAGGAGGGTCTCCTTTGTTAGGTTTCCTCATGGGACAGGGATAGAAGAGCCTGTCACCCCCACCTGCCGTCTCCCCAAACCCCTAATTGCCATCAGTCTGCTCCACACAGATAATCCACCAAAAGGCTCCGAGTTTGTTTCTGCTCCGTGTATTTGAAATGAGTCTACCACATCAATCTCATTCTGTGTTAAAAAGTGTTTCTCAGCAGATGAGTAGGGATAAAATCTCCATGGGAGAAAGTGAAGGAGATGCCTGATCTGTCCAGGGCTTCCCGGGTCAGTGGCGCTTCGGCCAGAAGCCAGGCAGCAGGCCTTGGGCAGGTGGCTGGACCCCTTCTGTGCCACGGTATCTTTGTCTGTGAGATGAGGGGGGCAGTCCCCACCATACTGTGTTTACACAATAGAGGGAGAATTTAGGTGGTGACTGTGCTGTAGTAAAAAGAACAGAGGGTGTGGAAATAGGGGATTTGGGTCTAAACTCTGGCTCCAGGCCAGATGCAGTGGCTCACACTATAATCCCAGCACTTTGGGAGGCTGAGGCAGGAGGATCGCTTGAGCCCAGGAGTTTGAGACCAGCCTGGACAACACAGTGAGACCTCATCTCTACAAAAAATACAAAATTAGGTGGGCGTGGTGGTGCCTGCCTGTAGTCCCAGCGACTCAGGAGGCTGAGGTGGGAGGATCACTTGAGCCTGGGAGGCAGAAGTTGTGGTGAGCCATGATCGTGCCACTGCCCTCCAGCCTGGGTGACAGACTCCCTCTCAAAATAAATACATAAGTAAGTACAATAAATAAATTAATTAATTAATTAATTTCAGCTCTAGCTGTGGAACCTTGGACTAGAAATTCACTGTTCTCACTGTTCTCTAGAAATTCACCATTCCCTTGAGTTTCCTATCTTATAAAATGGGATAGTGACTTGCCCTGCTAGTCACTTTCTCGAGAAGAGACACCTCCAACTGCAGCGGGTGTGGCGCAGCCTTTCCCTCCAGGCTCCAGGAGCCCCTGCCTCCCAATCGGAAGGAGAGTTGTTTCAGATGAATATTCCTAGGTTTTAGCCCAGGAGGTTGAGTCAGAATCCTGCCTCAGAGGCGTGGCAGGAGAAACAAAATAATGAACCCCCAAAGGTGTCCATGTCCCGGTTCCCAGAACCTGCAAATATGTGACCTTGCATGGGAAAAGGGCCTAACAGATGCGACTAAATTAAGAATCTTAAGATGGGGGGATTATCCTCGATTACCCCGGTGGGCCCACTGGATCATGGGGGTCCTAACAAAGGGAAGAGGGAGGCAGGAGAGGCGGAGATGTGATGAGGAGAAGGGATTGGAGGGAAACACCACGCACTGAGGATGAAGGTGGCCTTGAACGCTGGAAAAGGCGAGGAAGAGATCCTCCCCCAGAGCCTCCAGGAGGAACTCAGAGCTGCCAACACCTCACTCCCAGCCCTGCAAGACCCACTTTAGGACTTCTGACCTCTAAAGCTGTAGATGATTAATCCGTGTTGTTTTAAGCCACTAAGTTTGTAATTATTTGTTTCAGCAGCTCTGGGAAGCCAATATGGCGCCATGGAGGGGCTCCTAGATCTGCATTTTTGAGTGACTCCTGGTAGAATTGTTAGGCATGCTAAATTTTGAGGGCTAGAGGTGTAGTAGGAAGAGACTGAGGAACAGGAGGTCTGTATTTCTAGCCCTGGCGTCATGAGCTATGTGACTTCGGCAAAGTCACTGCCTCATTCACTGGGCCTCAGATTCACTGTCTGTAAGCTGAGGCAGTTGGCTACAGGGGGCAGAGGGGAAGAGATCTCTGGCTGCAGTATTCTGAGAAGCTGAGAGAAAACAGTGAAGCTCTTTGAAAACAGTGAAGTCTGGCCAGTGTAGATCTTAGGACTGGGATTTCCTAGAAGAAAGAGATACTGGTAATTCTTTTAACAGCTCATTTTTATACCTCTCTTCCTGTGTGCCAGGTCTTGGTCTAAACCCTTCCCTTCCATGAACTCCTGTCTGTGAGGTCATCTTGGCACAGCAATCAGTCTTCTATGCGATGAATAATTAACTGCTCTGAGGAGATGATTTCAAATCGGGAGTCAGATCAATAAGCTACTAAGGGGGGATGGGCGGGTGGGCACCATCTTCAGCTAATGAAGGGGGCGATTCCCTGTCTCCGCTATGAAAAGAAAAATGTCACAGACATTACATGCCGCCTGAGGGGTATGGATAGAAGGGGGAAGGGGCTGCGGTTGCCAGGCAACCGGCTCATCACTAATCATGCGCGTAAAAGCCTTGGGCCTCTGTTATGAGCACAGCTAGTGGGCCACCCTCCTTCTCTCCGCCCCCTGCTTGACAGCTGGCCTTGGGTTCTGGTTCCAGACACTTAGACCCTGAAACAGGCCCAGGTCCCCCTCAGTATCCCCGGGTCGATTCTGTTGCTAGAAAGCAAACTGGGAGAGCAAAGACTCTTTGTGTCCACTCCAGACGACAAAGGTCTGGCACCCATATTCCAGGACACTCTTTCCTACACCATGGCCTTTTGAATGAGCTGTCACCCCAGAGGCTTACTTAGATTTGAGGAAAATCCCTTCCTGACCCCTCCATTCAAGGGAGGCTCTTGCTGTTTGCCGTGTGGATACTGAGCAAACACGTGGGTCCCCAGGCTGGCTCTTGATGTGCTCTGTAAACACTCCTCTCTGGATACAGCCAACTGTCCAATTATGCAGGAGTCAACCCGCTTCCCCTGGGGATTTGTTGTCTTAAAGAACGAGGACCCACTGTGACTAGAAAGTTGACATAGCACATGTCACACAGAGAAAGTGCACCCCCGGTGGAAGCCGGGGTTCCCTGGGGGCCCAGCCGTCTTTCCAAACAGAAGGGCAGAAGGCTGTTTGATCTGTGACCACTTCTGGAACATATAGGCTCAGGAACAGCCAATATTAGAAGAGATGTTTGCATCTGTTTCCTTCCAAGACACACAGGCTCTCTAAGAGAAAGGAGGATGGCTTTTGTGCTACGGGGACAAGCGCTATGTTTGGGACGTGGTACTAGAATTGTCAAAGGGCTGCCTTGTCCCAGAAAGTTATTTCAGAGAGAAGTCATTACACCCATTGGCTAAAAAGAGACAGGCATCACTGAGAATGTTGGATGTCCCAACCCATTTCTCTTCTACAGTTCACACCACCCCCAGCAGGCCCAGGCAGCCTGCACTGTGCCCGAGAACAGTTGATGCAGGGACACATTCCAGCGCCGGCCTCAGTCCCTTTCCCTCTCCCTGCTTCAGCCGCACTGGCTTCCTCACTCTTCCTCAATCATACCTATGTCAGCTCTTTGCACTTGCTGTGTCCTGGATACTTGCACCCCTGATATCTGGATGACACGAGACTTTCCCTGGCCACCACCCCATGTAAATAATAGATACGCCAACCCCATTTACCCTTTCCATGTGCCATTTTTAACTTTCTTCAAGCACTGCACCTCTTTTTCTTTCTGTGTAGCGGACTGTTTGTCCATCTATCTTACTTGTTTATTGCCTGTTTCATTCTCTAGGGTGTAAGTTCCAGGAGGGCAGGACACTTGTCTGCTCTATTAACTGCTGCACCCCTGGCACCTGCCACTGTGCTCGGCACAAGGCCAGCCCTCAACTAGCATTTGCTGAGTTGATTAGGATTCCTGTGATCCACTCTGTACCAGGAAGACACTGGGCTCTTTCTTACATCCTCACACCCAGAGCCTCTCTCTGGAGGCAGTGGATGTCATGAGTTTCCGATAGATCCTTACAGATACTTCATGCTTATTCAGAAAGATACACACACAGCTACATTCTTCCTATCTTTTTTTTTTTTTTTTTTTTTTTTGAGGCAGAGTCTTGCTCTGTCACCCAGCCTGGAGGGCAGTGCAACAATCTCAGCTCACTGCAGCCTCTGCCTCCTGGGTTAAAGTGATTCTCCTGTCTCAGCCTCCCAAGCAGCTGGGATTATAGGCACCCGCCACCACACCTGGCTAATTTTTGTATTTTTAGTACACAGGGGATTTTGCCATGTTGGCCAGGCTGGTCTTGAACTCCTGACCTCAGGTGATCTGCCTGCCTCGGCCTCCCAAAGTGCTGGGATTACAGGCATGAGCCACCGTGCCCAGCCCCACCTGTTCTTTTTAAAGCGTAGTGTACTTTATATATCTTCTATATATTGCTGTTTTCACTTGTATATCTTGAAGATTATTTCATGTCCATTTAAACAAAGCTCCCCCATTCTTCTCTATGGCTGAGTAATATTCCAATATATGGATATCTAGTAATTTATTTACTTGGCCACTCTAGATGGACATGTAGGCTATCTCCCATCTTTTGTTATTACAGAGTGTTGGAAACAATCTTGTATATACATGTCATGTCATTCATATGTGACCATACCCATAAAATACATTCTAAGAAGTTAAACTGCTGCATCAAAGGGTATATGCACTTATAATATGAATAGAAATTGACAAATTGCTCTCCACAGAAATTGTATCTCTACCACTACCAGTGATTTTTAAATTTTTTATTTTTGAGGCAGGGTCTCGCTCTGTCACCCAGGCTGGAGTGCAGCAGTGTGATTATAGCTCACTGCAGCCTCAAACTCCTGGGCTCAAGGGATCCTCCTACCTCAACCTCCCGAGTAGCTGGGACTACAGCTGTGCACCCCAATGCCTGGCTAATTATTTTTATTTTTTTATTTTTTATTTTTTGTAGAGAGGGGGTTTCACTATGTTGCCCAGGGTGGTCTTGAACTCCTAGGCTCAGGCAATCCTCCTGCCTCAGCCTCTCAAAGCTTTTGGATTACAGGCTTGAGCCACCGTGCCAAGCCCCACCAACAATTTATGAGACACTTTGTTTCCATACATCCTTATCAAACTTTCTTTTATCTTTGCCAGTTGAAAAGTGATATTGCGGCCAGACGTGGTGGCTCATGCCTGTAATCCCAGCACTTTGGGAGGCCGAGGTGGGCGGATCACCTGAGGTCAGCAGTTCGAGACCAGCTTGGGCAACATGGTGAAACTCCATCTCTACTAAAAATACAAAAAATGAGCCAGGTGTGGTGACAGGCACCTGTAATCCCAGGTACTTGAGGGGGCTGAGGCAGGAGAATTACTTGAACCCAGGAGGCAGAGGTTGTAGTGAACTGAGATTGTGCCACTGTACTCCAGCCTGGGTGACACAGCAAGACTTTGTCTCAAAAAAAAAAAAAAAAAGTGATATTGCAGAGTAATTTTATTTTTCATTTTCTTACTCAAAGATTTAATATTTTTACCTATATCTAGGAGGCATTTCTATTTCCTTTCTTATGAACTACCTAATTTTCTATTAGATTTTGGGTTTAAAAAATCAATTTATAGGAGTGCTGATACATTAGGAAAATTATTTTTTGGCTATGAGTTACACATGTTTTCCCTATGTGTCATTTGTCCTTGCATAAAAATCATTAGATGTTTTCTGCCTCATAGTTTTTTTAGTCTAATGTATTCATCTGTGTATGTATGTATGCATGTGGAACTGCCACTTTTAAATTTGCTTTTTAAATACTTTATCATATGTCATTATCCTTTTAGCTGTATTATTGGAAAGTGCATTTTTTTATTAGTTACATTTAAATTGGTGCTTCCTGGATGGGGTTTGAGTATACACTCTCAACTCTTGATGAATTGAGGGGCTACCTTATTCCTTGAGGACTCTTGTGAGATCTGGGAGGCACCCAACCTGTGATTACCCTCATCCATTTGATGCTGGCTCTTAAAAATCTCAGTTACAGAGAGTGACATGTTTTTGACTCTTTTTCAGGATTCTGGAACATACCACCTGTTTTAGTCTTTAATCATCTCTCCACTCATTACAGGTGCAGAAGGTTGAAGCAGCTGGAAACATCTGTTCCCAGAGAAAAGGAGCCCCTCTCTCCTGTCACTCTCCATGACAGGAACCCATCATGCAGTATCAACCTCAACGAGCCTGTCCTCCCACACTCAGCTTTTCACATCCTCCATCCTCAGTGTCCCCACCTGTCTCCCTCTCTACCTGCTTGCCATGATTCCTCGGCTCTCAGCCCCTGTTCTAGGGAGGCTGGCCACCTACATCTCTTCACTGTAGCCTGCGTATGGGAGCTATTCCAGTTAGTGGGGCCTGAATAATGGGGTGCTCTTTTAAAGACAATGAATGCAAAATTGCAGGCCAGGCCCAGTGGCGCATGCTTGTAATCTCAGCACTTCGGGAGGCCTAGGTGGGAGGATCCCTTGAATCAGGAGTTGGAAAACAGCCTGGGCAACATAGCAAGACCATCTCTACAAAATAAATAAATACATAAAGCAGGCATGGTGGTGCACACCTAGCTACTTGGGAGGCTGAGGTGGGAGCATGTCCTAGCTACTTGGGAGGCTGAGGTGGGAGGGTCATTTGAGCCCAGGAGCTTGAGGCTGCAGTGAGCTATAATTGTACCACTACATGTAGCCTGTGTGACACAGTGAGACCTCAACTCTTAAAAAAAAATTATGAATACAAAATTAAATATCAAAATGAATAGAATTAGAAAATACATTATAACAGGCCGGGCGTGGTGGCTCATGCCTGTAATCCCAGCACTTTGGGAGACCGAGGCGGGTGGATCACGAGGTCAGGAGATCGAGACCATCCTGGCTAACACAGTGAAACCCCATCTCTACTAAAAATACAAAAAAATTAACCGAGCATGGTGGGGGGCACCTGTAGTCCCAACTACTCGGGAGGCTGAAGCAGGAGAATGGCGTGAACCCGGGAGGCGGAGCTTGCAGTGAGCCGAGATTGCACCACTGCACTCCAGCCTGGGCGACAGAGCAAGACTCTGTCTCAAAAAAAAAAAAAAAATTAAAACAAATCACAAAGCTTAAAAGCCCGCAAATACCAGAAAAATACAAAATATAGAAAAATAATATGAGTTTGTGTTAATGAATTATCTGACACACTTCTACAGACTTTTTTCATTCCTTTTTGGATGCATGCTCTTTGACTGTCTCTTCATGTGACAAGAAGTTTGAAATACCATTATCCATAAAGGGAATAGAAAGAGATTTCAGGCTGTTTTCTAGCATGGTTGATAGTTTAGAAAAGTTTATTTTAGCTTCACAATCTGTTATTGGTAATGTCTTGCTAAGACATAGTCCAATACATTAGGATATAGGAATCACGCAATTTTACACAAAAACATACTCACTATTTGCTTTAATTCTGTGGGTTTATTATCAGGTTCCACAGAAATCCTAATAAATTTAAATTTGTACAATTTCCATCAAAAAATGAAAAAAAAATGTATAATGTGTCTAGATAGCTTTATCTAGTATATTCCAGACAGGAAAGAATTTCAATTCTGACCAGAAATAAAGAATCCAACTGTCCATTTTACAAGTTTGATGATTGTAAGAATTTTTCAACAGACTGGCCTTTGGCCCCGTTCATTTCCAACTTGTTTCTCATCCATTCCCCATGTGTTTCTGGTGGCCAGCACTGTGGGGCACATTCATACTCCAATATGACCTCTTGCCCTGCACCTTCTTGTTATGAGGCTGGATGGGTCAGTGCAGAAAGAGCAGAGCTTTTCTCTCTTTTTTTGAGACGGAGTTTCACTCCGTCGCCCAGGCTGGAGTGCAGTGGCACAATCTCATTTCACTACAACCTCCACCTCCTGGGTTCAAGCAATTCTCCTGCCTCAGCCTCCCGAGTACCTGGGATTACAGGTGCCTGTCACCACACCCGGCTCATTTTTTGTATTTTTAGTAGAGATGGGGTTTCACCATGTTGGCCAGGCTGGTCTCGAACTCCTGACCTCAGGTAATCCACCTGTCTTGGCCTCCCAAAGCACTGGGATTACAGGCGTGAGCCACTGCGTCCAGCCGAGAAAGAGCTTTTCTAAAAACCATATCTATACCCCACCAACTAGCAAACTTAACAAAATGACTATAAATATATCCTATTTAACACAAATTAAACATGTCCTCGACTTGATTTCTTCATAGCTGTTTTTTTAAATGCACATGTTCACTTCAGGGCTAGGTATGGGGAAGATTTAATAGAGTCCCCTCTATTGAAATGGAAGGAGGCTGATGTGGTCTTAATATTTTGTTTTATTTTATTGTATTTTATATTTGGGGAATGGGGTATCACTATGTTGCCCAGGCTGTTCTCAAACTCCTGGGCTCAAGCATTCCTCCCACCTCAGCCTCCTGAGTAGCTGGGACCACAGGTACACACCACTGTACCTGGCTAGTTGTGGTCCTAATAATTGCAACTAATATATCTTCTAAAAATTCTGCAAAGTGTATGAACACGACTCCCATCTAGGGCCTTAGAGGGACTCACATAAGGTAGTAGCCCTGAAGCTCAAGCTTCATTAGGTTCAAGATAACTCATCTCTGCTTCTGCTGTCTCCGCACTCCCGTACTGTCTAGGCTTCATTCAAAATAGCTGCTGTATATGTCAAGATGATTTTGATCTGCAGGGACAGAAACCCAACTGAACCAAAACAACTGGAGGATATACTGACCCCTAAACTGCTGGCTTTGGGAACAATTGGAACCGATGATAAAAATGCCACCAGAACTATTTCCTTCTTGCTACACCTCAGTTTCCATCTCCACAAATGCAGATGAAAACTTCAACCTTACAGGAGGCTGGACCTCTGCCAGTCCCTGACTCAAATCGCACTGCTTTGCCACTCCAGGGAAACCCCTCCAAGGGCCACATTGGCCAGTGTGGGCCATGTGAACACTCTCATGGGGGGCTCTGAGGGACAGCGCCCACTAGGTCTTCAAGGTTGGAGTGGGGAAGAAGGAAGATGTGCTGTGGTCAAAAGAACAATCCCTTCCCTGTCCCTGCCCAAGATGTCCATGTCCTAATCCCTGGGATTTTGCAAACTTGATTAAGAATCTTGAGGCTGGGCGTGTTGGCTCATGCTTGTAATCCCAGCACTTTGGAAGGCTGAGGCAGGCAGATCACCTGAGGTTGGGAGCTTGAGACCAACCTGACCAATGTGGAGAAACTCCATCTCTTCTAAAAATATAAAATTAGCCAGGCATGGTGGGTAATTTTGTGCCTACAGGCTAATTACACACCTGTAATCCCAGCTACTCAGAAAGCTGAGGCAGGAGAATCACTTGAACCCAGGAAGTGGAGGTTACAGTGAGCCAAAATCACGCCATTGTACTCCAGCCTGGGTAACAAGAGGGAAACTCCGTCTCAAAAAAAAAAAAAAAATCTTGAAATGGGCAGATGATCCTGGATTATCTGGGTGGGCTTAATATAATCACAAGGATCCTGACAAAAAAGAGGCAGGAGGCCAGGCGTGGTGATGTGCACCTATAGTCCCAGAGCTTTGGGAGGCCAAGGCAAGAGGATCGCTGGAGCCCAGCAGTTCCAGGCTGCAGTAGGTTATAATCACACCACTGTACTCCAGCCTGGATGACAGGGTGAGACCCTGTCTCTGTTCAAAAAACAAAAAGACAGAAGAAAGTCAGAGACAGAGGAGACATAAAGATGAATGTGAAGGTCAGATCATGTGGGGCCATGAGCCAAGGAACATGGGCAGCCTCTATAAACTGGAAAAGGCAAAGCGCTAGATCCCTCCTGCAGCCTCCAGAAGGATTGTAGCTCTGCCAGTGCTTCATTTTAGAACTTCCAGAACTGGAAAAAAATGAATTTGTGTTGTTAAAACCAATACATTTGTGGCAATTTGTTATAATAGCAACAAGAAATGGATACAGGTGCTAAGAAGATAGCAAAATGCATGCCCACTGTACCTTCTCTCTCCTCCTTCCTGGTCCTATCTATCTGTTATGGGCTGAATTGTGTCCTTCCAAAATTCACATGTTGAAGTCCTAACCTCCAGTACTTGGGAATATGATACTGTTTGGAGATAGAGTCTTTAAAGAGGTGATTAAGGTAAAATGAGGTCATAGAGGTGAGCCCTAATTCAATATGACTGGTATCCTTGTAAGAACAGGAGATTAGGATGCAGACAGGTACAGGCGAAGACCATGTGAGGCCACAGCAAGAAGGTGGCCCCCAACAAGCCAAGGAGAGAGCCCTCCAAAGAAATCAACCTGCCGACACTGATCTCAAACTTCTAACCTGCAGAATTGTGAGAAAATCAATTTCTGTTGTTTAAGCCAGCTAGTCTGTGGTGTTCCTTATGGCAACCCTAGCAAACTAATACATGATCCTTCAAGGCAGAGGTGAAAATCTGCCTCCTTTCTCAAACTGCCTTTGATCAGCCTGCTCCCAGAGCAGCCATTGTCTCAGAATACCTAGTGGCCAAGAGTTTAACCCAAGGATCACAAACTCAAATGCCTATAGGGGCCAGGAAGAACTAACATGAGTGAAGTGCTTGACTATAAGAAACTGTATTTGCCAATTGATATGGTTTGGATCCGTGTCCCTACCCAAACCTCATGTTCAATTGTAATCCCCAGAGTTGGAGGTGGGGCCTGGTGGGAGGTGATTGGATTATAGGGGTGGATCCTTCACGAAGGGTTTAGTACCAACCCTTGGGTGCTGTTCTCGTGATAGAGTTCTCATGAGAATTGGTTATTCTCAACAGGTTATTTACTGGTTGTGTAACCAGTTACATGAGAACTGGCTAGCACTTACCCACCTCTCTCTCTTGCTCCTTCTCCCACCATGAGATGCCTCACTCCGCCCCCTTCATCTTCTGCCATGATTGTAAGTTCCCTGAGGCCTCCCAGGAGCTGATGCCGTCATGCTTCCTGTACAGCCTGCAGAACCATGATCCAGTTAAACCTCTTTTTAAAATAAAAATAAATTACCCAGTCTCAGGTATTTCTTTACAGCAGTGTGAGAATGGACTAATCTACCAATTAAACATAATCAGTATACACTATCACAAAAATGACATTCACTCCCTATCTCCCTGTCTGCTTTTAGTTTTGCCACATTTTATCAAGGATGAATACAAGGAAAATCCTCTCTTCCTGACCGTTCAGTGGGGAAAAGTGGCAGTGCTGGGGTGAGAGGCACCTGCTTTTATTTTTTGTGTTAAGGAACCTACAGGAGAGGTGCGAGCTGAGCTGGAAATTGCAGGCCCTGCCCTGTGCCAAGGGGCAGTTGCTACTTAGCTCTAGCCAACTGTTACCAGGGACAAGGACAGGCCAGACCAGCCAGAGTTTTCCAATTTTTCAAAAAAACTGAAAATATACATTTTTAAAGTGAAATTTGATTTTAAGACATTGATAACTAATTTTTTAAAAATTAACTGTGTTGGCCACCTCACATCCATTACAACGGCTACTAGTAAAAAACAAAACCAAACAAAAACAAAATAGAAAATAAGTGTTGGTGAGGATGTAGAGAAATTGGAGCGCTGTTGGTGGGAATGGAAAACGGTGCAGCTGCTGTAGAAAACAGTATGGCAGTTCCTCAAACATTTAAAAATAGAATTAGCATATGATCCAGCAATTCCACTTCTGGGTATATACTCAAAAGAACTGAAAGCAGAGTCTTGAAGATATATTTGTACACCCATATTCATAGCAGCATTATTCATGAGAGCTAAAATGCGGATGCAACCCAAGTGTCCATTGACAAATGAATAGATAAGCAAAATGTGACACACATATATATATATCACATGATGGAATATTATTTAGCCTTACGAGGAGGGAAATGCTGATATATGCAACACAGATGAATCCTCAGGACATTCTGCTAAATGAAATAAGTCAGTAATAGAAGGATAAATTACTGTTCGATTCCATTCGTATGAGCTGCAATACTTAGTCAAAACCACAGAGACAGTGAAATGGTGGTTGCCAGGAAGTGGGTGGGGGGCAAGAATGGGGAATTAGTGATTAATGGGTACAAAGTTTCAGATTCGCAAGATGAAAAAAGTTCTAGGCTGGGTGCAGTGGCTCACGCCTGTAATCCCAGCACTTTGGGAGGCCGAGGTGGGTAGATCACCTGAGGTCAGGAGTTTGAGACCAGCCTGGCCAACATGGTGAAACCTCATGTCCACTAAAAATACAAAAAATTATCTGGGCACAGTGGCAGGTGCCTGTAGTCCCAGCTACTTGGGAGGCTGAGACAGGAGAATCGCTTGAACCTGGGAGGCGGAGGTTGCAGTGAGCCGAGATCGCGCCACTGCACTCCAGCCTGGGTGACAGAGTGAGACTCCATCTTAAAAAAAAAAAAAAATTATGAAAAAAGTTCTGGAGGTAGACGGTGGGGATGGCTGCACACCAATATGAATGTACTTAGTGCCACTGAATTTCACACTTAAAAATGGTTGAAATAGTAAATTTAATGTTATATGTATTTTACCAGAATTTTAAAAATTGGAAAATGACAACTGAGCTGGCTAAGATTGTTATTTTGAAACAAGACACATTTTTTAAGGCCTAGCTTCAGCTCATAGTCCACCAGTTTGCAACCTCTGTTTTAACACTTCCTTGTTTTCTAGTCATTTCATGTGTTCATGTCTTACCCAACTAGAAGGTAAAATTCCCTGGAAGTAGGAACTGTGTCTTAACCTTCTTTGGTATCTTTCAAAGTGGGTACTTGGAGCTTTGCAGTGGGCAAATCACAGTTGCCCTGCTGAATACTGGATGATACCCACACACTCATAACTAATTATTAGACACTGCCATGCTGTACACAGAGCTGTGGCCACATGGGATTAATTGTAACATTTCAAGAATAAGAAGAGAGCTTTTGAAGTACAAAAAGAAATTCATTCTGACTAGCAGGTGGGGATGGTGTGTCAGGAGAGACGAGGGTGAAGAGGGCAGGGAGACGGGAAAGGGGCCTTATAGGCCACAAGAAGGGGAAATGGGAAATTGCCACAGGCTGTAAGCAGAGGGTGACGAGATTGGATTGGATTTTGAGATAAATCATAAAAACTAGAGCCTGGAACGCCCCTGCTAAGAGATTCAGGAAAATGGTAAATGCCGCTTGGCAACAGCTCTCCAGGGCCACATGTGAACACAAACACACTTGTTTGTGTTCAGCGAATGAGGAGGTTGGGGACATAGGGAAGAACTAGGGGAACTCGGGGGGCTTCAACAAGAGGAGTGAGGCAAATGCACACCCCCTTCAGAGCAGGGGCTGTGTGCGCACGTGTGTATGTTGCGTGTGTGCAGTTAGAGTGGGGGTGATTCTTAGGTGGGTCTAGGCAAGCTGACACCCTAAGTTGCAGACCATGGGCAGCAGATGGAGGCGACGCTAAAGTCCAGCCATCAGACCCTCCGTGCTCCCCTGGAACACCTGTAGGAAACCCTGAGAACTCCAACTTTAAAGGGATCCAAGACACTGTAGCCAGCACAGTAACCCGTGGCAACCCCTAGAGGTTGCTATAACCTCAGCAATGGGGAGCGTTATACCGAAGGAACCTGCCGGTTCCCCAGACACAAAAATGGCTGAACCTTGGTGATCACAGCACATGACCAGGAACCGCCAATACACTCATGGAACTGTCCCGCTGACAATGTCTAGAGGGAAAATGCCCTGTCCTCTAACACCCTTCTCTGAGGGGGAAAAAAGCCACATTAGAAGAAGTGATATGACCAAAAGACAAGCTTTCTCCAAAGGCCAATGGCCTTGGAATGTTTATTAAGTGTTTTGTCTGTTTGCTCAAGTGCTATCCTTCAACACCGGGACTAGAAACAATTTCTTCAGAAATAACTAACCAGCCACAATTAGTAAAACTTCATAAAGCCTGGAGAATACTGTCATCAGAAGAGCTACATTTGGGGCAGTCTGGGGAAGGGTGAAGTGTGAGGATGGGGACCATTATCTCCAGAGGTCTAGTGATTAAGAACTGGGTGACTCTGGACAGCTGGTCCCAGGGACTTTGCACTTGTGGTGGAGGCTGAATTCGTCATTCCCAATCCGGATGCTATGCAATCATCGTCAAGTACTCCAATCCATCTGCATGTCTGAATATGGATGGGGATGCTCTGCACTGTCCCCATCGGCCGCTGGGTCCTCCACTCTCTCTCTGCTCTGGATCTCTGGATCTCATCTTTCTACTTCCTCTGCAGGTGGCATCATGGGGACTGTCTGGTGACTCCCCTAAGCAACCAGCATCAGACACTAGAAACTTCCAGTCAAGTCTCCTGGTCCCTGATTCCAACCAGACGACCACATCTTCACCCCAGGATGGACTTTAGACCTCAGCAGCAGAGACAGCCATACTTCCTGTGTGACACTGGGGCAACCACGTTTCTCACAGGCCCCCAGGTGGGGCTGAGATGAGAGCAGGCCATCTGAAGGTGCACAAAATAGGCAGGATGGGATGGAGGCCAAGAACATCCCAGTGAAATGGGTGCTCCCAATTTGCATTTGGGAAAGAAGGGCTCCCACCTTTCCCAAGCCCTGCATTTCACATATTTTGCCCCTATTCTACTCTACACTCAACCCCCAACTCTCTGAGTTCCACTCCACATGACCCCGCCCCCATCTTAACTTGCTGTGTCCTCACCCTACTCCACAGATCCCTGCCTCCCGTGCCTTTGCTCCAGGTGAGGCCATACACTTGGCGGAGGCCTATTTGCTGTGGCCATTTTGACCCAGGGAATGTCTGATGTGACCATTTGAAAACACTCTCCACAAAATTGCTCGAAACACTGTTTTATATTAAAAATTCAAAGCAGGCCTAAGTGAAAAAGACAAACAAGGGACAAGGGATGTGGGCCTGATGACTACTGAATGTACTACTTAGTAACAATAATTAAAAACTAAATATTTAATAGTTTGGCTTTCCCCCCAGCTACCTAAAAAAAAGCAAACAAACAAAAAAACTGCCTCTCAGACTAAAATAGCTGCTTCAAGAGCGCCACATCAACATGTGATAAGTTTGCTCACATTGTTACCTTCATCTTCCTACTCCCTGTGTCAATTACAAATGGCTTATGATGCAACTAATGGCCATTATCAAAGGCATAAGGAAAGACATTTAAGACTTCACATCACAAGAAGTCTCCAGACAGATGATTCCCAGCATTGACTCAACTGCTCAACGGGGCTCACAGAGACCCAGCTCCTGTCCGGCTTTCTTCTGCCATCCTTAGCTGCTTGGCTTTTAGTTCTCATTCTCATCACTTCATGGTTGCAAGATGGCTGCCACGGTTCCACGCATCACATCTTCACACAAGGCAGGAAAAAAGGGAAAGGGGCAGTAGTTAAAAGGCTGTTAGAGTGCTAGGTTTCCTGTTTAAGATAGCGTCCCCCATGGCAGCGCAGGCCTGGAAGCTTCTGCAAGCCCTAGCGCTGCTGCCCCGCTTCCTGGTGGCCAGGTCCCGGGCAGTTCAATTAACCTCCAGAAGATGGCTGAGCCTGCAGGAATGCCAGAGCAAGAAACTGATGTCTGATAACAGAGTGACAGTTCAAAGATTCTTTGTAGCAGACACTGCGAATGAAGCTCTTGAGGCCGCTAAGAGACTAAATGCAAAAGAAATTGTTTTAAAAGCCCAGATCTTAGCTGGAGGAAGAGGAAAAGGTGTCTTCAATAGTGGTTTGAAAAGAGGTGTTCATTTAACAAAAGACCCTAATGTTGTGGGACAGCTGGCTAAACAGATGATTGGGTACAATCTAGCGACAAAACAAACTCCAAAAGAAGGTGTGAAAGTTAACAAGGTGATGGTTGCTGAAGCCTTGGACATTTCCAGAGAAACCTACCTGGCAATTCTGATGGACCAGTCCTGCAATGGCCCCATGCTGGTGGGCAGCCCCCAGGAGGGCATCGACATTGAAGAGGTGGCTGCTTCAAACCCAGAGCTCATTTTTAAGGAGCAAATTGACATTTTTGAAGGAATAAAGGACAGCCAAGCTCAGCGGATGGCAGAAAATCTAGGCTTCGTTGGGCCTTTGAAAAGCCAGGCTGCAGATCAAATTACGAAGCTGTATAATCTCTTCCTGAAAATTGATGCTACTCAGGTGGAAGTGAATCCCTTTGGTGAAACTCCAGAAGGACAAGTTGTCTGTTTTGATGCCAAGATAAACTTTGATGACAATGCAGAATTCCAACAAAAAGACATATTTGCTATGGACGACAAATCAGAGAATGAGCCCATTGAAAATGAAGCTGCCAAATATGATCTAAAATACATAGGACTAGATGGGAACATTGCCTGCTTTGTGAATGGTGCTGGGCTCGCCATGGCTACTTGTGATATCATTTTCCTTAATGGTAGGAAGCCAGCCAGCTTCTTGGATCTTGGAGGTGGTGTAAAGGAAGCTCAAGTATATCAAGCATTCACATTGCCCACAGCTGATCCTAAGGTTGAAGCCATCCTTGTCAATATTTTTGGTGGTATCGTCAACTGTGCCATCATTGCCAATGGGATCACCAAAGCCTGCCAGGAGCTAGAACTCAAGGTGCCCCTTGTGGTTTGGCTTGAAGGAACCAACGTCCAAGAGGCCCAGGAAATACTCAACAGCAGACTCCCCATTACTTCAGCCGTTGACCTGGAGGATGCAGCCAAGAAGGCTGTGGCCAGTGTGGCCAAGAAGTGATGTCTTTGTCCTGATCCGATGGAGAAACAAAGCCATTTTTCCATAAAAAGGGATGGTTCATCATTGTGAAAGAAATGGTTATCTCGTTGGGGAGGAAAAGGGGGGGTGAAGGCAAGAATCACTGAAAAATCTTAAATCTGTGTTTTCTGGAATAAGCTATCTAGACAGCCTAAATCTGATTTTAGTCTTTATAAAAATAATATCTCGTATTCTCATACTTTTCTGTCACTGTAAGCCTGCCCAGTAGGCAGTGTTTTGCAGACTTTGGGGAGCGGTCTATGTGACCAAATATTGTGTGTATAGACAGAATTTGAAATCGGGTCCTGCTTCATTTACAAGAATTTTGGTGGGCATCTAATCCTACATAATGAAAAAGAAGAACAGACCATTTAAAAACTCAGACAAGATTATATTTAATATATTAATTACTAAAAAGGCACAAGATTACACTGAACATTAGCTACTAAAAAGGCACTGCCAAGACATTCAAACAAATAGCTATTACACACTGCAGCAGATTTTACAGGTTTCTAATTCCAACATATGTTTGAAAAATCCATGAGTGTTCCAAAATATACTTAATAATGGAAGGTCTGCATTAATATACCATCCATGTGTTTTTACCATTTGGTTTAATATTGAATATACTGTTTACCTCACACTAAAAATAAAACCAGAAACCTTATTTGTGACTTTGGAGTGGAAGCTTCCATTTTTGGGTCAAAAATGAATCCTGATTCTTATGGAAATCTCTGTTATTAAGTCATTTCAAGATGAGACAACACTGAAGATCAAATTGTGTTGGGTATCAGTATCTTCTCTCCTCGTTTATCTCTTACACCTCATCCTCCCAGGATCTACCAGTTGATGGTAGAAAGATGGGAACCTTATCTGAATGTTTTTTTTTTCCATGATGTCCAATTTTGTTGTGGGAAAGGATTTGGATAAAGTTTTTGTTTAAATTTTGGTAGATTTTTATCTATACAAGTTTAAATAAAATTATGTTTTGTAAGTTGTAAAAGAAAAAAAAAAGGCTGTTAGAACTGTCCTGGGAAGAACTGGACCAGAACTAGTGCAGCTGCGGTTGAGATGGAGAGATGATGATTTTGAGATGTATTTAGAAGGTAGAATTGACATGGGTTGATGGTGGTAATGACAAGGAAGATGGTTCTGAGGTTTCTAGCTTGGGTGGTGGTGGTGCCTTTTAATGGAAATAAAGAGTACAGAAAGAGCAGACTTGGTGTAAGGGAAAAAACAATGACCTTGGTGTTTTCGTTTGAGGTTCTCTAGGAACATCCTGAACCAATATTATATAAGAAATTTAAAATATAGATCCACTGCTTATAAAAGAGGTAGATGCTACTAGCTATGTAACTGTAGTAGTATTTGCCACACAGGCGGCAGCTGGGTCCACAGAGGGTGTGTAGGAAGGACGGGGAGCCACAGAACCCTGAAGAGTGGTGGAGAGGTACACGGAGACCTGGAGAGAAAACACCCTAAGGGATTAAGCTTCAAAGAACAGGAAGAGGTCTCCAGTGTTGACCAATCTAGAAACCAAGTAAGGCCAGGCTGTGAAATGCATGCACTGGTTTTGGCAATTAGGTGGTCGATGACCTCATTGGATGCAATTCTTGGGAGGGAGGTACTGATTCTAGTTTACAGTGGTTTGAGGAAACTTAGGCAGTAAGGAAGTGGAGACGTTCAGGAAATGTGCTGGAGGGATGGACATGTGACCAAGTTCTGGCTCAAGAGTCATAAAGTTGGTCTTTCGGGGGCACTTCTAGAAGAGATTTTCCTCTCTGTAAAAGGGAAGGAGAGCCTGTCTAGCATGTTTTTCTGTGTGAGGATGTGATGCCTGGATCCAGGGCAGCCATCTTGTGGCCAGGAGGGGAGACATTACTGATAGACGGAGGCCAGTAGAGCAAGAGCAAGAGGACGGCTGAGCATGGTCCTTGGCCTTCACTGAGCTAATAAATCAACCCTGCAGCCACCTGCCTCCCAACTTCTTTTTAGGTGAGAAAAATAAACCCTCGGCCGGGTGCGGTGGCTCATGCCTATAATCCCAGCACTGTGGGAGGCCGAGGTGGGTGGATTACCTGAGGTCAGGAGTTCGAGACCAGCCTGGCCAACATGGTGAAACCCCGTCTCTACTGAAAATACAAAAATTAGCCGGGTGTGGTGGTGGGCACCTGTAATCCCAGCTACTCGGGAGCCTGAGGCAGGAGAATTGCTTGAACCCGGGAGGTGGAGGTTGCAGTGATCTGAGATCGTGCCACTGCACTCCAGCCTGGGCGACAAGAGTGAAACTCCGTCTCAAAAAATAAAAATAAAAATAAACCTCTGTTGCTTCAGCCACTTTAGCTCTGCTTGTAACTGGAATGTCAAGGACACAGCTCATTAGGTGTGATGAAAATGAACTCTACTGTTGCTCCCATTGGCCCTGGAAACTCTTCAGTGGGGTGATATTCCCCTACTGGATGAAAACTCTGGCAGGTCCATGACTTTTGTCCTCACCCTCAGGTAACAGATAACCCAAAGTCACTTTCCCTAGCCAACAGATTTGCAGTTGTGGAATCAGAATAGTACAAGATGAATAAAAGCCTGAATCTGATTTTGCATCGTGTCTCCGTTCCATCACCAGGCCTGTCTCAGGCCCACAGCCTGAAGTGTAAAGAGGCCATGGCTGGTGTTTCTTTCTTTTTCTGCCTCATGCTTCTTCTCCTTCCACCCAACGCTCACCCCTACGAGGCTGCTAGGGTGTGCTTGATCCCTTAGGGCCAGGGCGTGGGAAAGACAACCGGTAGAGTCTTTCCTAAGTGGGTACTGCTAAAAGCCAGCTGGGGTCTCTGTTGTGACCCAACTGATTTTTTTCTCACGGATACTTCTGCAGGCTCTTAGGAGATTGCTACTCCGGGATTCCCTGCAGGTCTCTTGAGGGGATGCATCTGTCCTGGGGTCTCCTCCCTCAGCCTCACAGGGGTGCTGTGCCCACTTCCCACTTTCTTCTGAGGGGATCCCCTGCCCTCATTGGACTAGCAGCATTTCTCTCCTGAGTGCTGCATGCCAGAGCCGGAGAAGCACTCAGCATCACAGTGGCTGCCTCCAGCATAGGCCTCCTGTCTGGCAGCCACAGGTCTCGATAGCTCTCTCACTTGTCAGTCAAGAAGTAGGTCTCAATGCTCTGTCTGAGACCTGCCTTAAGTTGAGGGCAGTAAAACCTCCATCCTGGGCACCTCAGAAGAAATCTGAAGAAAAAAAACAGTTGAAGAATCTTCTCTTTCCCCTCTCTCAATCCTGAAAAGGGTGAGGAGTTCAGGAACACAGGGAGAGGCCCTCAAACCTGCGCTTTGGAAATTCTACCTATAGTGACTTGGCTTTGAAATGTTATCTTCTGTGTTTTAGCATCTTGGGCAAAACTGGTTTAATCACCCACCTCTGGAATGCTTTTTTTTTTTTTTTTTTTTTTTTTTTTTTTTGAGACAGAGTCTCATTCTGTCCCCCAGGTTGGAGCACAGTGGCACGATCTCAACACATTGCAACCTCTGCCTCCCGGGTTCTAGCAATTTTTGTGCCTCAACCTCCCAAGTATCTGGAATTATAGGCATGAGCCACCATGCCTGGCTAATTTTTTTTTTTTTTTTTTTTTTTGGTAGAGACGGTGTTTCAACATGTTGGCCAGCCCGGTCTTGAACTCCTGACCTCAGATGATTCACCAGCCTCAGCCTCCGAAAGTGCTGGGATTACAGGCGTGAGCCAGCGCACCCGGCCTTGGAATGCTTATTATTGAGAAAAATAAACCTCTATTGTTTTAGCCAGTTTTGGCTCAACATTCTATTACTAGCCACCAAAAGCAGCTGAACTGCTTCACTGTGCTGGGTTGGCTTCATGACTCCCCTGGCACAATAAAGACAAAGCCCATCATTTATGATAGTAAAAAACTGCAGATACCCAACAACAGGAGATGAAACCAATGAAACACATACATGATGGAAAATTGTGCAGGCACTTCAAGTGACAACTTATAGGAAAAAGTTCATATTTTGCTAGATTATATACATGCAGAGCAAAAAGACTAAGAGGAAATATGTAAGAAAGGTAAAATTCAATTTGGTTGAGAAATGGAGTAAACATATATTATATATGCATAGAAAATAGCTGGAAGAATACACAATACACAGATATCAACAGTTGCATCTGGGGAGGGGTCTTGGGGATCTGGGTGGGAAGGAAGGTTACTTCTGAATTTTTCAACCATGTGCACATATTCTTTTTTTTTTTTTTTTTTTTTTTTTTTTTTTTTTGAGATGGAGTCTCACTCTGTCGCCCAGGCTGGAGTGCAATGGTGCAATCTCAGCTCACTGCAAACTCCGCCTCCTGGGTTAAAGCAATTCTCAAGCCTCAGCCTCCCCGAGCAGCTGGGATTACAGGTGCGGGCCACCATGCCTGGCCAATTTTTATATTTTTAGCAGAGACAAGGTTTCGCCACGTTGGCCAGGCTGTTCTCAAACTCCTGACCTCGTGATTCGCCTGCCTCGGCCTCACAAAGTGCCGGGATTCCAGGCGTGAGCCACCGTGCCCGGCATGTGCATATATTCTTTTCTCAACTGAGGAAAGTAGTAGTTTCGTGGGTAGGGTTGGGTGGTGAAGGTTGTTTTTGTTTAAGTTCAACGTTTTTGGAGGGAAAGGGATAATAATGGTTTTCTCTAGGTGGAAGAATTAATGCGGATTTTTATCTTTCTCTGTCTCTTCTATATTTCCCCAAATGTCTCCAAGTCATTTTGTATTACTAAAATAATCAGGAAAAAACCCACAATAAAATGCTCTTCCTTTCCTTGTTCCCTTTCCTTCCAGAATAATTCAGTTTTAAAGCCATTAGCAGTTAGTTGAACAGAGTAAGGCAGGGACCCATGGTGGGAGGGGCTGGTAGCCTAGAGCAGGGTGGCCGAGCTCAGGCATGGGGAGGAGGACACAGGGGAGGGGGTACCCGGCAGAGTCATCAATCCAGAAGGGTGGAAGAGGGCTTCCTTGAATGGGCAGCCTGGAGCATGTGTCAAAGCCAGAGAGGGTGGCAGGGAGGTACATGCACTGGGGCCACCAGCAAGGTTGTCTTAGATCCAAGTAGGGCGAGGCAGTCAGCACTGTTAGTACCCAACCATCACCCACATGGTGGAGATGTGGGCAGCAGAGATGGGAAATTTGTTATACAGAGGGAGTGGAGAAAATGAGTAAATATGTTAGAGACAATGGAAGTCCGTGCTTTCACTGTAGGAGAAAGAAGTTACAAATATGGAAAGGAGAGCTTGAATAAACCCAGAGGTGTTGATTGGTATTGGAGGTATTAGTGCGCACTCATGATTTTCAATATAGACATAGATGCAGAAATCAGCAGAGATTTAAATTTTTATATAAATGCATATAAGTATATAAATAAATACAGACATTGTCTTAGTCAGCTCAGGTTACTATCACAAAATACACTAGATTGGGTGGCTTACACAACAGACATGTATTGCCCATAGTTCTGGAGACTGGGAAGTCCGAGATCAAGATGCTGGCTAGGGCCCTCTTCCTGGCTTGCTCCCTACCTTCACACTGTGTCCTTACATCATGGGACAGAAAGAGAGAATGAGAAAGAGAGACTGCTGCTCTTTTTTTTTTTTTTTTTTTGAGACGAAGTCTTGCTCTGTTGCCCAGGCTGGAGTGCAGTGGTGCAATCTTGGCTCACAGCAATTTCTGCCTCCCAGGTTCAAGCGATTCTCCTGTCTCAGCCTCCCGAGTAGCTGGGATTATAGGCATGTGCCATCATGCCCAGCTAATTTTTTGTATTTTTAGT
The DNA here is from genome assembly GCF_000001405.40 of Homo sapiens. Lineage (NCBI taxonomy): Eukaryota > Metazoa > Chordata > Mammalia > Primates > Hominidae > Homo > Homo sapiens. Next base: position 94,555,370 of record NC_000012.12, read on the forward strand.
AGAGACGCGGTTTCACCATTTGGCCAGGCTGGTCTTGAACTCCTGACCTCAAGTGATCCACTTGCCTTGGTCTCCCAGAGTGTTGGGATTACAGGTGTGAGCCACCTCGCCCAGCCATGCCCTCTCTTCTTATAAGGCCACTAATGCCATCATGAAGACCCCACCCTAATAACCTAATTTAACCTTGATTACCTTCCACAAGCCCCATTTCTAAATACTATCACAATTGGGACTAGGGCTTCAACATATGAATTTTGGGGGACTCAAAGATTCAGTCCATAACAGATGTCTATGTATGTACCTGTATCATTACATACTATACACACATACATATATCCATATACAAAATGTATTCCCTACCCTGTCTACTATGACGACCTGGGAGTGGTGATGCCCTAATAGCAGAGCAAACCTAGAATCCAGATCTTGGCTTTAAAATGCAGTTTTCCACCAAATGCAACCCAGGCTCCTTACAAGAACGGTCAGTTCTAGGTCTAGGGCAAGGAAAGTACAACATGAGCCTGGAGCACGTGCTTGCTCAAAGAATAATGAGGACATGGCAAAAGGACACAAAACATTGCTTAAATGAGTTCCCACAGCTGTACAGGGTTCAACTTGTTATTAAAATGAATAATAATCATGGATTACAACCCTTTGAATAAAATAGGAAACAGTGATTCCATACTAATATTAGCAAATAGATGAATAAATTGAAAGTTTGGTGAGAAATGGGAGGTACAACATACTTCTCCACTAAATCCTCATTAATTACTCATGGGGACAAAACATCTTTACAGTGAAGGGGCCTAGAAGACACCTTAATTATCAAAGCAAAATCATCAATAATGGGACAAATGGAAACTGAGCTCTATGTGACAGGATGCAATGAGAACAGTATCATTTCTGTGATGTTCTGGCCAAAGATGGATAACTTGAGTTTAATCACAAAGAAACACCAGATTGTGGGACATTATACAAAATGACTGGCCTATAATCTTCAAAAGTGCCATGATCATGAAAGTCAAGGAAAGATGGGAGGAATTCTTTCATTCAGGAGACAAAAGAGATAACTAAAGGTAACCTGTAATTCTGAACTAGGTCATTTTGCTGCAAAGGCAATTATTGGGACAATTGGTGAAACTTGAGTGGGGTCTAAGGACTGGATGTCAGTAAGACATCTATTTACCTTCCTGATTCTGACAGCTGTATTATGGTTTTGAAGGAGAGCGTCTTTATCTGTAGGAATTACACGTTAGAGTAACTGCATGTGACCGGATATCAGGTTGGCAACTGATGGTTACTCTCAGGTGGTTCAGGAAAAATATAATTCTTTGTACAGAACATCCAACTTTTCACTAAGTTTATGATCAGTTCAAAATTTTTAAAAATTTAAACAAATAAATTGATTTACATATAGAACTGAACATCTCTAAATATATAGTAAACGTTATTACATATTATATTTTTATTTATGCATTAATAATGTATAAATATAAAGTACTAAAACCTGGGAGCAGATCTCAACTTCCTTATGCCCAATGGGAATCTTCAAGCCCCTGAAGTTCCAAAGAGGTTCCAAAGAGAGCGAGCCAGGCCTTGGGAGGCTGCATAACTATAACTGAAGGCTGGGTCCCTCTCTATACCTTCTGACCATCCTATTCTGAGAAGATGGCTTTCAAACATCCTAGAAAACTCAAAATCAGAAATTCTAAATTTCTAATATTCTGTCCCTGGGCTCTCTATTCTGTTCCATTGGTCTATCTGTCTGTTGTTACGGAAGGATCATGCTGTTTTGTTTACCACAGTTTTATATATATTTTGAAATCAGGTAATGTGATACCTCCAGCTTTCTTCTTTCTGTTCAAGATTGCTTTGACTATTTGTGGTCTTTTGGGATCCCATATATATTTCATAAGTGTTTTTTTATTTATGTGAAGAATGTCATAGATATTTTGATTGGTATTTCATTGAATCTGTAGATTGCTTTGAGTAGTATGGACATTTTAACAATAATAATTATTCCAATCCATGAACATGGGATATCTTTCCACTTATTTGTGTCTTGTTCAATCTCATTCATCAGTGGTTTCTAGTTTTCAGTGTACAGATCTTTCACCTCCTTAAGTTTATTCCCAAGTATTTTAATTTTTGGTAGCTATTGTAAATGGAATTTTCTTAATTTCTGTTTCAGATAATTTGCTGTTAGTGTACAGAAACACTGCTAATTGTATAGTGTTCTCATAAATCACTGAAATCCCAGAAATTCTGCTAATTCAGGATCCCAAAGGCATGCCACAGATTGTTTCATGTCCCTGGAAGTGACTTGATGGTTTGGCATCAGACAGAGGAGGGTTTGATTTCCAATTCTACCATTTCTGTACCATTTCTCACCCTTTCAGCACCATTGCCTCTTGTTCCTTCATGTGTCAAGTAAGAAGATGACAGTAGCTTCTTCTTAGGGCTGCAGTGTAGATGAAGTGAGATAATATGTAAAGCCCCTTAGCCCTCTGCCTGGAAAATGACATATTCCATGAAGAGGAACTTGTTCCCTTTATCATTTAGAAGTTCTTTGTAAGTCATATTTCCCTGTTTTGACTCCAGAAATGTGGTCATAATTTCAATAAAAGTGGAAAGTACCTAAAGTCAGCCTGGGCTGGGCTCTGAGGTGTGCTCTTTTTTTAGCCAGGGTGGACTTCAGACTCCAGCAAATTTTATGAGATTAGCTTTATAGCCCAGAGTTCCTCCTAGTGTGGGGTGAGGAGAGAATGGGAAGGGCATGGTGAGGTAAAGGTCAGTATCAGGGAAACTGAAGTCAAAGAAAGCTGTTCAGAAGTGGCAGCATTCTAGTTAGATATCTTTATCCCTTTGCATCGGGGGGGTTTTTGGAAGGTTGTAGTAAACCCAACCATAATCAACACTATTTATTGAACACCAGCTGTCTAGGTACGGCAGATAAGAAAAAGACACACTCCCAGTCCACCAAGTGCTCACAATCTAGGGGCAAAGGAAAATAGCCCCAGTAGATATCTTTTTTTTTTTTTTTTCTTTTTGAGATGGAGTCTCACAGTGTTGTCCAGGCTGGAGTGCAGTGGCACCATCCCAGCTCACTGCAACCTCTGTCTCCCAGGTTCAAGCGATTCTCCTGCCTCAGCCTCAAGAGTAGCTTGGATTATAGGTGCCTGCCACCACACCTGGCTAATTTTTTTTTTAAATAGAGATGGGGTTTCACCATGTTGGCCAGGTTGATCTCAAACTCCTGACCTCAAGTGATCCACTCGCCTTGGCCTCCCAAAGTGCTAGGATTACAGGTGTGAGCCACTGTGCCCAGCCAGATATTTCATTCTCACAGTACCTGGGCTGCTTTGCTCATTGCATTGATTAAACACCACCTACATATGTGCCTGACACTTGGCAAGGTCCTGTGGGAGGACGAGATGAGTGAAAGAGCAAGGGCATGCTCTGGTCACAAGGAACTCACTGTTTACTTCAGGAGCAGACATAAAAGAAACACTTCTCAATAACTAGGAAAAAGGTATTTAGACAGCATTTCTTTACAGAATACAGAGTCAGGAGGAGAAGAACATGAGGGCTTTGCAGAGCTGACATCTGAAAGGGTCTTGAAGGAGAAGAAATGTGATTGCAGGCAGAGGAGGTGTTTGTGTGTCACCTAAGGGCATGAAATAGCAAGGTGGGCTCAGGGCTTGAGGCGTAGAGCATGCAATGGGGGTGGGGGGTGGGAGATGAGGCTGGGGCATTGCATGGACTTCAGTACACTGGGAACCTAGTGGGCTTCACTCAGAAATTCAGACACGACCCTCTGGGCAAGAGAAGCCACTGAAAATTTTAAGAAGTGGAATAAGATGATCTGATTTGCATTTTAGATCACACAGGTAGTTTACATGGTGGATGCATTGGGTATGGGCAAAACTGAAGACCCGGGACCACATAGGAGACTGTTACAACTCTCCTGGGGGGAAATAATGGTGCCCTGAACCAAGGTAGGAAAGAGTAAGGTGGACAAGTTTTGGGTGTCTTTAGAAGGTAGAGTTTGACACGATTAGATGGCACTGGTTAGAAAGAGGGGGAATGGCTTTAAGATTTCTAGCTTGGGTGGGTGAATAAATGGATGGTGTTGGTGCCTTTATGGAATGAGGTAGTGTAGATAGAGCAGATTTGAAGTAAGGGCAAAAAAATGAGGTTGGTTTTATATTTTGAGGTGCTCTAAGGATGTCTATGTAGAGATGAAGGGGAAATAGAAATATGGTCTGTGGCTCAGAAAAGAGGCAGGTACTCACTACATAGAGGCAGTGGAATTAGTCTTAGAGATGATGGCTGAATCACGGGGAGTCTGTGCAAAGGGGGTGAGATGGAGATAATGCAGCCAAAGAAGACTAGAGGGTGGTCAAGAGGTGGCAAGAGAACCAGAGAGCGGCATCAAGGAAATACCCAACAGGCTGGGCGCAGTGACTCACGCCTGTAATCCCAGCACTTTGGGAGGCTGAGGTGGACAGATCACTTGAGGTCAGGAGTTCAAGACCAGCCTGGCCAACATGGCAAAACCCCATCTCTACTAAAAATACAGAAATTAGCGGGGCGTGGTGGCGCGCCTATAATCCCAGCCACTTGGGAGGCTGAGGCAGGAGAATTGTTTGAACCAGGGAGGCAGAGGCTGCAGTGAGCCCCACTGTACTCCAGCCTGGGTGACAGAGTTAGACTCCATCAAAAAAAAAAAAAAAAAGAGAGAGAAAGAAAGAGAGAAAGAGGGAGGGAGAGAGAGAGACAGAGAGAGAGAGAGACAGAGAGAAAGAAAGAAAGAGAGAGAAAGAAAGAAAGAAAGAAAGAAAGAAAGAAAGAAAGAAAGAAAGAAAGAAAGAAAGAAGAGAGAGAGAAAGAAAAAGAGAGAGAGAAAGAAAGGGAGAAAAGAAAGAAGATATCCAAGGGAAGCAAAATGTTTCAGATGGGAGGGAGCACCGCAAAGGGAAATGACTAGAAGTTTAGTAAAAACACAGGCTGTGAAGCATGCACCAGAAGTGCAAATGGGTCCTCGGTGACCCCATTGAGAGAAGTTTTAGGGGAGTGCTGGGGGCTGACACTAGTTTTTAGTGGATTAAGAAATCCTGGGAGAGAGGAGTAGAGACTATTCTTTTAAGAAACGTGATAGTGACAGGGAAGAGAAGGAATAGTGAGCTGAGGAAATGCAGGATCATAAAAGTGGGTTTAGGACAGCAGCAGCTGGACATCTGTGTATGCTGAAATGAACCCACTGGAAAACAGGTGCTGATGAAGGAGGTGCCGGCTCTCAGAAGAGGCAGGAGGCCCAGGTGGGAGTCTGTCTTGGACAGAGGCCTGGAGTGGTATGAAGGAGGGGTGAGCCGAGGGGAGAGCTGAGGCCTGATGAAGTGGGGACCCTAGCCCTCTGCAGAAGGGAAGCTATTCGGCAAGGGGGTGCCAGGGAAGGCAGCGGCTTCCTCAGCACTTGCTGCGGGAAGAAACACTGAAGTCCCAGGCTTCCAGGTAATGCTGTTTTCATCAGCAGAGCCCCGCTGGCCTGAGCTGGAATTCTGACTGAGCAGGTGACATGGGCAAGGGCCGGGGGTGAGGCACAGAGTCTGCTGCGGAAGCATCTGCGGGGTGCAGTAGCCAGTAGAGGCGGCCCCGTGTATGCCTCGGGGCTGGGCGTCCCGCAGAGGGGGTTACTCACTGCTGACTCAGCCCCAGGTGCTCATTTGCATGTTACTCATTTCAAGCCAAAAACACTGGAGCAGGAGTACAGGAGCATCTCATCCCCTTTCCAAACAGAACCACCCCAGGTCTTCCCAGCGCTCCTGCTGCTGTGCCGAGTCTCTCTGACCCAGAAATATTTCTACTTTGGAAGAGTCTACTAAGCTGTGCTGTATAGCTATCTGTGAAATTGAGCTGAAAAATTCAAAGAAACACTCAGAAAATTCATTTTCTCTGTAAGGATATCAAGGTAAGTTTAACATGCCAAGAGCCTGGGCCTTCCCCCTTCCAAATATTATCTTATTTTCACCTGACTTCTCCCCCACCAGAATGTAACCTCCAAGAGGATAGTAACATTGTTTTGTACTCTGTGCCCAGAACAGTGCACGGCATGTAGCAGGTGCTCAATAAATGGATTAAATTCTGTAATCCCAGCACTTTGGGAGGCCGAGGTGGGCAGATCACTTGAGGCCAGGAGTTTGAGACCAGCCTGGCCAACGTGGTGCAACCTCGTCTTTATTAAAAATACAAAAAATTAGCCGGGCATGGTGGTGCCTGCCTGTGGTCCCAGCTACTCAGGAGGCTGAGGCAGGAGAATAGCTTGAACCTGGGAGGCGGAGGTTGCATGAGCAGAGATTGTGCCACTGCACTCCAGCCTGGGCAACAGAGCGAGACTCTGTCTCACATAAATAAACTAATTAATTAATGCATTAAATTATTGAAGGCCCTTGGGCACCCCAGGCCTTCAATAATTTAATGCATTTATTGAGCATCTACGATCTCATCTAACCCCTATAATCCTAGGCAGTTAACAGTTTAGGAAGGGGAGATTCTCAGAGGTGAAACACCACCCCTCCCATCCCCTCATCCTCATTTAATCAAATTGCCAGTAAGGGGAAAGCCCCCGAGTTTCGAGCTGGGCTTCCCACATGTCATGGAGTTCAGAAATGCCTCTATCAGTTTATCAGGTGCTCACTCCTGTGAAACTGATTCATGCTAACGGATTCACTCTGACAAGAATATCCCCGAGAAGAGAAAGCGAATGTAGTGATTTACATTCAAGCATATACAGCTGCCAAGGAGCTGAAACGTTCTGCCCTGTCGGACAGCTCAGTCTGTCCCCAGTAGAAAGAGTTCACTGAGGCTGCCAAGCAGTCGCCAGCTTGGCTTGGAGCCTGCACAGAGTCGATAGCCTCAGGGAGGCCATGAACAAGCTCTGTGAACCAGAAACCCAGAAGACCGAGTGCAGCTGGCCAGGCAGGATCCCCGCCTGCTCTAGGGACACAGCTGCCACTCTCCAGCTCACCCAGAGAGCCAGCCACCGGCCCCCTGCAACCCTCTACCTTCTCTTTTGAGAATGATTGCTTATTGACTGAATGGGTCACCTCCATTCCCTCTCATTCATGGTTTCCATGGACTTTCCTTTTTCTTTTCTTTTTTTTTTTTTTTTTTTGAGACAGAGTCTCACTCTGTTGCCCAGGCTGGAGTGTAGTGGCGTGATCTTGGCTCACTGCAACCTCTTCCTCCCGGGTTCAAGCGATTCCCCCGCCTCAGCCTCTGGAGTAGCTGGGAATACAGGTGCGCGCCACCATGCCCAGTAATTTTTTGTTGTTGTTGTATATTTATTAGAGATGGAGTTTCATCATGTTGGCCAGGCTGGTCTCGAACTCCTGACCTCAAGTGATCCACCCGCCTCGGCCTCCCAAAGTGTTGGGATTACAGGCGTGAGCCACTGTGCCCGGCCTCCATGGATTTTCTTAGTCAATTGTTTGTTGTTGACAAGGCATAGCAGGAAGTCACCTTGCAATTCTGACCATGTTTGGGGACAGCCACCTTTCTGAATCCAAGCATGTCTTTGGGTCTCTGCTTGCTTAAGCCACTGTGTGTGGGGATGTATAAACTTCTACCTGTGGCCTAAGTTTTGGGGTCTTACAGTTCACTGTTCCCGGGAGCTACAAGACCTGGGCATCAAAACACAGAATAAATATGATGAAGGAAGAGAATTCAAAACCACTTTGGGAGGAAACCCCTGGTAGAAGGCTAGGCTAGCACTGTTGCTTGTGACATTGACAGTCCAAGAATCAGAGAAGGATCCAGGCCTCCAAGAGCTTCTTTGGCAAATGGGGTCCCTTACTGCTAGTACAGACCAGAAAGTACATGACTTTATTTTATTTCTACTACTCAGTGGCTTATTTTAAAGCACAACGGGAAAAAAAAAAAAAAGGAAAAGAGAAAAAAAGAAATCCAATTCTCAATGCCTAAGCCAGAGCGGAGTAACCACCAACAAAACAGCTGTTAACATGGCTGACGCATGTTCCTGTTAACTGCTTTAGTCAAGTTAAAGGCCTGGCAAGGGAGAGATTCTGGCTGGCTTAGCAAGGAGAGAGATTTCTGAGGTAGCCACCACAGATGGTAGCAGATGTCACGCAGCCTCAGAGCAGAAGCCACCAGAGACTTCACTGTCTTGGAGCTGAGCAAAAAAGCTGAGAAACACTCAGCCACGTCAACAGCCAATTACACACCTCAAGAATCTCAGGAAGCCAGGGAGTGTGTAAAAGTTTCTATAATTAATTGCTTTCCATTCTCTTTATCCACAAATCTGTCAGCTCATGGCTCTTCAAAAATCAAGGATGCTAGCTTCAGGTATCTCTGCCCTCACCTTGTATGGCCAGCAGCATGAAGATGGAAATGCACAATTTGTAACCACATTATTGATTGCTATAGTCCTAGGATTAAAAGTGATCCCTGACTGACAAGAAGCCAGTTGTTCAATTCCTTCTATTATAGTGTAGGGTAGCGGTCACCCGTAAAGGCTAGAGTCACACAAGCTTGGGGATCCCCCAGTACCTGCTGCCTGATGCTGCTCACTATTTTCCCTCTCTGAACCTCAGTTTCTTCATCTACGAAGCAGAAATAATAGTGCCTGTCTTGTTGGGTGTTGGAATGATTATATTTGATAGTGCAAGTAAAGCACCTGGCACAGTACATTGTACACAGTAAATGTCAAAGAATGCCAGGTATCATCCCAAATCTATGAATGCCCAGAAAGGTGCTGTTTGGTATTGCCATGTTCCTTACATGACCCACAAATTTCTACATCTCATAATCATACCTATTTAGAAAATAACTCTGTATGTGGGGCTGCAGATATTCATAGATTTAATTGCAAATTTTAAAAGGCTATTATTGTTATTAAGACTTTAAGTTACTTTGTCAAATGGTGACTATGGACCTCCTCAAATGTACAAGATAACTTCTTTTTTTTTTAATTCTTTTTTTTTTTTTTTTTTTTTTGAGATGGCAGGGGGGTTCTCACTATGTTGCCTAGGCTGGTCTTGAACTCCTGGGCTCAAGCAATCCTCCCACCTTGGCCTCCCAAAGTGCTGGGATTACAGGCATGAGCCACAGCACCCGGCCCAAAATAATTTCTTACATTAGAAATCCGGTGGGGCATGGCTGCTCATGCCTGTAATCCCAAAACTTTGGGAGGCCAAGGTGGGAGAATCACTTGAGCCCAGGAGTTCAAGACCAGCCTGCACAACAAAGTGAGATCCTGTCTATACAAAAAATAAAATAATTAGCTGGGTATGGTAGCACTCGCCTGTAGTCCCAGCTATTTGGGAGGCTGAGGCGGGAGGATCACTTGAGCCTGGGAGATGAAGGCTGCAATGAGCTATAATGGCACCACTGCACTCCAACCTGGGTAACAAAATGAGACCCTGTCTCAAAAAAGAAAAAATCCATACATTACTCAAAACTGGTAAATACTGCTTTATTCTATAGCACTATGCTTAATGAAGCTTGAAACCAACTAACATAACTTTTCCCCATTTCTTTTTTTTTTTTTTTTTTTTTTTCAGGGAAACACAGAATTGGTAAGGTGTTTTCCCTAATGCAACATTTAGGAATATGCTGGGCTGGACACATATTTCATTCAATCACTTCCATTGTCTGTATTCATCCTCAGACATCAAATGACAAAAGTGTGCAAAATAACAGTTGTTCCCCATAAGATTTCCAAATATTCAGCTATGCTCCATTTTCCAGGGCACAGAATGGGCTACTGTAGTTAAGAATTTTTCTATCATCTGAGAGTTCTAGTTAGTCTGTCTGTACAGGGTGAGTGACCAAAGTAGAAAACTGGTCAGGACATGAAGTGAAGAGGGCTAAAAAGGCAAGATGAGAAAAACAGAGTCGTGAATTCTTCACCAGCCAAGACCTCACGAAAGGCTCGTGTGTCTGGGCTTCCATCCCACCCGCTGATAGAGGCAGTCCCCTCTCAGCCGCGGCGCTGCTTCTGTGGTTTCAGTTACCCGCAGCCCACCAAGATCCAAATATAGCAAATGAAAAATTCCAGAAATAGGCCGGGCGCAGTGGCTCATGCCTGTAATCCCAGCACTTTGGGAGGCCAAGTCGGGTGGATCACCTGAGGTCAGGAGTTCAAGAGCAGCCTGGACAACATGGTGAAACCCCGTCTCTACTAAAAATACAAAAACTAGCCAGACGGAGAGGTGCATGCCAGTAATCCCAGCTACTTGGGAGGCTGAGGCAGGGGAACCGCTTGAACCCGGGACGCGGAGTTTGTAGTGAGCTGAAATCGCACCACTGCACTCCAGCCTGGGTGACAGAGTTGTCTCAAAAAAAAAAGAAAAGAAAAGAAAGGAAAAATTCCAGAAATAAACAATTGGTAAGTTTTCAACTGTGCGCCATTCTGATCTGGCAGTATCCTGTACTGTCGCAACTGGGACCTGAATCCTCCCTTTGTCCAGTGTATTTATACTGTAGACCAAGCTTGTCCAACCCACAGCCCATGGGATGCATGCGGCCCAGGACGGCTCTGAATGCAGCCCAATGCAAATTTGTAAACTTTCTTAACACATTATGAGGTTTTTTGTGATTTTGTTTTAGCTTATCAGCTGTCGTGTTAGTGTATTTTATGCGTGGCCCAAGACAATTCTTCTTCCAATATGGCCCCGGGAAGCCAAAGAATTGGACACCCCTGTAGACGCTTCCCGACTGTGAGTCACTTAGCAGCTGTCTTGGTTATAAGATCAACTGCTTCTGCTCAAGTAATTTTTATTTTACTTTACTACAGTACATGGTCATAATCACTCTATTTTATTATTAGTCATTAATCTCTTACTGTGCCTCATTTATAAACTTTATCATATGTATGTATAAGAAAAATGGTGTATACAGGGCTCAGTTCTATCTGAGGTTTCAGGCATCCCCTGAGGATAAAGGGGGAATATTGTAGGAATAGCGTTGGTATCTGTACTACTGGACTGGTTCATAGGAGTTCACACACTGTGAAATCAAGTGCATTGTAGACACCAAAGCCCCAGACAAACTGGAGACAGTGCACTAAACCGACTGCTGGAGTCAGGCGTCTGCTCCCTCCTGTGCTGCTGCCCTGTGCCCCCCCCGGATTGGCATTGCCCTTGGTGTCTCATTCCAGCTTATGAAGGCTGTGCTTTGTCCTCGCCATCACTTCCCCTTTTTCAACACAAGGACATGTTTGCTAGCATCTTAGCATGACTGTGAATAAACTACTCTTCCTTCTGCCGGGGCTCAAGCAATGGGCCACACATCACCAACTTCCTACGATATATAGAAGACTTGAGATTCATTTAAAAATTGACTACAGCGGGAGAGGAGGATGAATAGATGGAGCACAGGGGATTTTTAGGGAAGGGCAACTATTCTGTGTGATACTGTAATGGGGGATACATGTAGTCATACATTTGTCCAAACCCACAGAATGACAACACCATGAACCCTAAACTATGAACTTTGGATAATGATGTGTGTCAATGCAGGTTTATCAACTGTAACAAGTGCACCATTCTGGTGGGAAATATCGCTAATGTGGAGGGGAAGCTATGCCTGTCTAGGGGCAGGGGTTATAAGGGAAATCTCTGTACCTTCTGCTCAATTTTGCTGTGAACCTGAAAGTGCCCTAAAAAATAAAATCTATTAAAAAAATTGGTCACACACACACATTTGCTACTGAGATGGGCTCCAACAAATGTGAAAATTTAAGAAATCTACCTCTTTATTTAACACCAAAGCTAACATCAAGTGTTTATTTAAAAAAATAATGGCACCTGCTTTGGATTCATTGATGACACCACAATGGGGTGAAGATCTACAGGGAATTTACAATTTTAGGCTGACATGAAACTAAGTAGTAACTCACAAAATGGAAATTCTGCAACAAGCCTCACAATAAACATTTCCAGTTTCTACTTTCAGAGTTGCTAACTACTGCCTAAACATATCTTAAACACAGAGCACGTTTTGTTGAAATATTTCTCTTAGGACAAACACAGTAGACATGCTTTAAATAAATTAAAATTGCAACACATAAATCATTCCTAAAACAATCAAGGTGCATTACTTTCTAGCTTCTTATAAATTAAACTGTACTGATTTCAGGAAACTATAGGTTAGTTCTGTTTCATATCTTTTTTTTTTAGCATCTTATCTAGTTTTGATGTGAATAAGCCAATTTCATTCTTTGCAGTGATTTATCTTTTTAAACCAACTCGTTCCTTTGTGCATGTGCTAACCTTAAAACACCTCTTCATATAAGCCCTGAATTTTAAGTGGTGCCATTTCTTCCTACCCCCAGCCCACTCCTCAGAATTACAGAAATATGTAAAATAGGTTGTTTAATCACACATGTTCATATGAATAAATATATTTAAATGTTTTTCCAAACCAATACAACTATATCTGGATTCACTGCAAAAACATTCCCATTCAATGCAAAATAATTTGGTACAATCCGACCAAAAAAGACAAAAGTAATTAGTTGCCTGAGGGAAGCTAGTTCCTCATTATTACTGAGCCCATAATTAAACCTGATATGCTAGAGAAATGGCAAGGCAATAAACACAGAGTGGGGCAATATTTAAATGAAAACAAGAGTGACAGAGCTGGAAAGAGCGAAAACCACATGAATGCTAATTGACAGAGAAGGATAACAGCCTCACCGGCTGAAATGAAAGACGGAGTTTCGGAAGATTTCCTTCTGTGAATAGCTGACAAGGATCACGCAGGCAAAAATGCTACCGTTCCAAGCTACAAACTTGGGACTAATCCCATGTTCATTGTCCAAACCCAGCAACGGAGTACTTTTTTGCTGTTTCATTATGGATTTCCATTTTTTTTTTTTTTTTTTGGCAGTTGGGGGTGGGGTGTTCTGGTTTAATCATATTCAGAGTTTGAGCTTGAAATAACCAACTCAAGACCCACAGGAGACTATGTCACCAGATAAACCCAGTGCTAGAATCCAATGTCCAGCATCTTCAACCACTCAGGAGTGTTTGCTGAGAGACCAGGTGGTGCTTACCCACCCAACAAGCACTTTCCATCTTTGGGTTTGCCCAAGATGTTTACCATAAATGAAAGGGGTGGGGAAAGGATTATAGTTGACACAAACATAAATTAAATATCCAATTCCAGCATATGTTACAGCTACATCACTATTTTTAATTGTAATATTTCTAAAATGTCATTTAATCTCCTTACACATTGAAGAGAACAAACAGTGGGAGTGTTTATTCCTTAAGAGAGAATAAACTGCAGAGATTAAAAGTTTCCTTCGAGTGTATCATCTTATTAAAAAGTACAAAGTTTCATGAACTTTCAACAAGACTGCAAAATAAATATGCCAGGTAGGTTGAGCCTATCCAAGTGAAAACAAGGTTATTTGACATTTAGTGAGAGTCAATGAAAATATGAATTATTTCAAAGGAATTCATGATCCAGGTAGGAGGATTTAGATCCTACGGTATGTTAGAATAAAGCTAGTTTCTAGCAGATTCTGTTAACAGCTCCAGACTAGAGGGGACGGAGTGTGCTGCTTTCCATTCTCTTCTCTACTTCTGTCACTGGGGAGAAGATACACGGATCACAGGTCTGAGAAGTGTGCATTAAAGCACATTTGCTAGGCTGAGCACTGGAATGGTGTGGGCTGGTGTGAAAATGAAGCCTACGTCTTCTTGGACCCTCCCAGAGCCCTTCACCTCAAGGGTTAGACATCTCTCCTTCTCTAAACTAACAGCAGCACTCAATCCCTGGTGTGTCCGAAGTGGTGCTTGGAAAGATTCACAGATACCAAGAGGGGCCCACCCAGGCCCCAGCTTGATTTAGGAGTGTAAGTTACACTCAGCACTCAGCCCACGCTGAGTCTGATGCCCACAGGTAAAGGGTAATGCTGGCCATCGAAATACAAAAGCTAAAGGAAGCACAACATTCTCTCTGCCTCCCTGCCTTGCACCTGGCCTCCTTATCTGTCTCCCAGACTTGAAAGATCAGTGTATACACATCAACGCGGTAGACCAGGGGGAGTCTGACAATGAAAGGAGAGACAGCCATGAGATCAGGGTGGGACTGGTAAGGGAGCTCTTCTCTGAATCCAAAATACTTTATCACCAAAGATTTCATGAAATGACATTTATTGTTTAAAAAAGCGTGAGTCTGGAATTAGATAGTGGTGATGGTTGAACAAGTTTGTGAATTTACTAAAACCACTCAATTGTACGCTTAAAAAAAAAAGCAAGCTTGAGCTGCCTAAGTCCCGCTCACACACACTGGACTTGTACTAAATGCTCAACGATTCCATTCTCTCAGACTATGGAACATTCTGTCACATTTTTTTCCTTCAGGAGATTTCCCTAAGAAGAGCTGTTTGCAAAATATTGCACTTAATTTGAATCCAGGGGGACCTGATGTCTCCTGGAAGAAAACGTACACTCACATGCCTTCCTGCCTGCAGCAGATGGCGGGAGTGGTGGGACAAGGGGCTCAACAGCAGTTTCCATGAACATTGTTTCCATCTTCCTCTTTGTTATACACACAGAGACACAGATTTAAAGGAAAGTATCATCTGGGCTGAAGGCGGTGAATGGTATCCCCCAAACAGGGATGTGAACTTTTGAATGTTTTCAGCTCAGAGGCAGTATGGTCGTCCTAATACCTCAGGACTTATGTTCAGTGAGATGTTAAGAGACAGGTGGCAACCTTGGCTCAAACACTGGACTTAATTTATTTTATTCTTGCTAGTCTTTCACTTCTCAAAGACGATGCTCTCAATCTTCATCCAGGTGAACTGCTCCCACTAATCTAGCCACCATTCAGTCACACCCTACGTCCTCGTTTCCTCATGCTTTCAGCGTTCCGACACCTCAGTGCACTTGAACTTTAGAGGCTATGGTTCGGTTGTCCTTCAAGGAAAAAACTGCAACATGACCATCATTTGTTTTCATTTCCTGAGTAAGCTTTGCAGTCCCTCACAGACCTGTGAATAAGATGAATCACATAAAGTGAATCATATCCTCCAGGGGGGCTTATCACAATCAAGATTTGCCAAAAAACAGCCAGGCATGGTGGCTTGTGCCTGCAGTCCCGGCTGCTTGGGAGGCTGAGGTGGGAGGATCCCTTGAAGCAAGGAGTTTGCAACCAGCCTGAGCAATATTTAGCAGAGCCCTGTCTCAAAAAAGAAAAAAGATTTGCCAAAACACAAACCTTCAGAGTAGTGCTCACAGGATTCCAAATTAATGTTAAAGTCACAGTCTGATGAGGGATTTGAAAACATTCCTGCACACTCTGAAGGCTGGGCATTTGCTAGCCAGTTGAGACAAAATCAGGTGTTGGTTGCCTGGGTATGAGAAGGTGAAAGCCCCATTCATAAATCCCTATGCCTTCCCATTTAAAGTGTAACAAAACCCCTCAGGTAGACTTGTTGGATAACAGGTGTGTGATAAGATTTCCACGTTACAGGGTCATACACGACTGACTGCTGTGGACACTGAGTACATGACGGGACCTATGGTCCCCTGGAGAGAAGCAGGGTGGATCACACGGGGACCATAGGCCACAGTGTTTAACACTGCCCAAGCCTGTGATTCTTCATTCCCTGAATCATGCATATCCTTGCTTTTTATAGGACTCACAGAAAACAACCATTAGCAATTGTGAAGCTCAATTCTGACAGAGACTTAGGAGAGAGACCTCTTTCTTCAGGATCACCAATTATGCCAAGGTCTCAATATACAGAGGTTTACCACGCTGGGCTGGTCAGGTGGGCAGGAAATCGGTCTGATTAAGGCAGTGAGCAAGGTAGGAGAGCTCTGAAACAGATTCGTGTTAACGAAGTACAAGGACTGAGTTGGCAACTGCTACGGAGTTAAGAGAATTGTAGTTATTTACACCACACAGTCCTAGTTTTTCTTACACACGAGTCCGCACAATCATTCACTGTAAAATTTGGTAGTATGCACAGAGTTTTCTTTAAAATAAAAACTTGAAAGAACTTGAAGGCAGGAACCAGTGGCTTCATCTTGGTATTATCATCCTTTCTATGGCACACAGGATATGGTCCCAGTTTTTACAAAATATAGCAAGAAGAGTCACGGCAAAGAAGGTGCCAAGAATGTGGCAGCGACTCTTCATCATGGGTGAGACGAACTTCGCGATGGTGGACACACACACTAAGATGACAGTCATGAAGGCCAGGATCACGTTGATGCACCTCCCCAGGAGAACTTTAGCATTCACGGTGTCTGTCTGCAGAGCTTGCTGCTCTTGCTGGTGGAGCTCCAGCTTAGAAATGCGAGTCTGGCAGGATTCCAAGGCTTCCTGTGAGCAAGAGGGAGAGCAAGGGTCAAACGGTGTTGGGATGGTGAGCAACACGTGAGTGCTCGCTCAGCTGTACACAAAAGCCCCAGCTCAGAAAGCCCAATGCCCAGGCGGCTGCAAATCCCCAAACCGATGATGATGGTGATAGACAAAGATGTGGAACAAGAATCCCAGGCTCATTTTCTCCTGTTGTTCACGAGTAGAAGAGCATGTGGATACAACCACAAAATACCATAAATGAGGAAGTATGGCTAAGTTTTTTGACTTTACCTGTTTTTTTTGAGATGTAGTCTTGCTCTGTCGCCAGGCTGGAGTGCAGTGGTGCGATCTCAGCTCACTGCAACCTCCGCCTCCTGGGTTCAAGCAACTCTCCTGCCTCAGCCCCCCAAGTAGCTGGGACTACAGGTGCGCACCACCATGTCTGGCTAATTTTTGTATTTTTAGTAGAGATGGGGTTTCGCCATATTGGCAAGGAAGGTCTCGATCTCCTGACCTCGTGATCGGCCCACCTCGGCCTCCCAGAATGCTGGGATTATAGGTGTGAGCCACCATGCCCAGCCGACTTCATCTTTTTTTTTTTTTTTTTTTTTTGAGACAGAGTTTCACTCTGTCACCCAGGCTGGAGTGCAGTGGCGTGATCTCGGCTCACTGCAACCTCTGCCTTCTGGGTTTAAGCAATTCTCCTGCCTCAGCCTCCTGAGTAGCTGGGATTACAGGTGCACGCCACCACGCTTGGCTAATTTTTGTATTTTTAGTAGAGACAGGGTTTTACCATGTTGGCCAGGCTGGTCTCAAACTCCTGACCTCAAGTGATCTGCCTGCCATGGCCTCCCACAGTGGTGGAATTACAGGCGTGAGCCACCATGCCCAGCCTGACTTTACCTATTTTTGAAATAAAGTGATATAAAATATTGGTGCCTGTTGGTGCCATCAGGGACAAAGCAGAGAAGGAGGGAGGTTCCACTTTGTGACTACTCCACCTTTCAGCCAAGGAGTGTGTGGGATCTCCAATGGTCAGTCCTTATTTCCACCGCTCAAAGATTTTTGTCCATCAGTTAGAGATTGGCGGAGGAAGGCGAGAGAAGGGAGGGGAAGGGACTGGGGCTGACTGTGGGGCAACTGTGCTTTCACCTGCTCTCTGAACGCGGTGTTACTCAGGACACCATCCGAGGCTATCTCCCTGGATCTCGTCCATGCCAAGTCTTCAATTACTAAGACACAGATGGCTACAAGTGTATCTCTAGGCCAGTTCTTCTTCTGAGATTGACTCACAGATCTCCATGCCTCTTTGACATCTCCATCAGAGCTTCCTGAAAGCACCTCAAATGCAACACGTACAAATGTGGCTTCATGTATTGCAGCTACCCAACACCTGCAGTCAACCCTCTTCCCTTCCAGTGTCCTTCTTCTCAGAGTACAGCACCATGATCCACCCAGTTCCTCATACCAGAAGCCTAACGGGCATACCCTGATACCCTTCTCATCCAACCCGTCGCCCAGCCACGGAGGCAACATCCAGTTTCTAGCTCAATTGGTCCGGTTCTCTCTCCACCCGGTCAGCACCCCAATCTAAGTCACCGGGATCTCCTGCCTGCAATAACCTTACACGAATTTCCCTATACACTCTTTTGTTCCCCACCCTTACGAATCCATTTTCCACACAGCCACCCAAGCGGTCTTTTAAGGATGCATATTTGGTATCACTCCTTTTCATAAAACCTTTACAATCTTTAATATGGCCTTCTGAGGCCTTGCAAGGCCAGGTTCAGCTCCCTCTCCTCCCTCACTTAATGACTTCATGCCAGCCGCTTGCCCTGTCACAGTACTCTGGCCTTTTCTAAGTTCTTTTTTTCTTTTAAGAGACAGGGTCTCACTCTGTTGCCCAGGCTAGGGTGCAATGGCACAGTCAGAGCTCACTTCAACCTCAACCTCTGGTCTCCTGCCTCCATTCCTCCTGAATGACTGGAATTACAAGTGCGAGCCACCACACACAGCTTTATTCTAAGTTCTGAAAAGGAGCACAGACTCACCTCAGGGCTTCTGCATATTCAGTACACTCTGCCTGAGACATGTGCCTCCCCCACTCCATCCCTTCTTCACCCGTGGATCTCCCACTCATTTTTTAGGTCTCGCCTTGATTGCCACATCCCTGGGGAAGCCTTTCCTGATCCATGAGATGAGATCAAGTCTCCCTTCAGCTCTCCTCCCCAACCACAAGACATACGCTGCCTGAGGACAGGAACTAGCCCATCTTGCATTTGCTGTCCTCTCCAGCACAGAGCCAGCGCCAGGCATGCAGCACGTGCCACACACTGGCTGAATATGAAAGAGACAGCTAGGTGCCAGTAAGAGAATGTGAGGCTTGATGGGTACAGTGGCGCATGCCTGTAATCCCAGCATTCTGGGAGGCCGAGGCGGGTGGATCACTTGAGATCAGGAGTTCAAGACCAGCCTGGCCAATATGGTGAAACCCCCTCTTTACTAAAAAAAAAATACAAAAATTAGCTGGGCATGGTGGCATGCACCTGTAATACCAGCTACTCAGGAGGTTGAGGCAGGAGAATCACTTGAACCCAGGAGGCGGAGGTTGCAGTGAGCCGAGATCACGCCACTACACTCCAGCCCAGGCAACACAGTAAGACGGTCTCAAAAAACAAAAAAAAAAAACAGAATGTGAGGCTTGAGAGAGAAACCTTCAGGCCTGCTGGGTGAAAAGGATCTAACTAGAGGTAGTACAATGTGCCCCTCTCTGTTCTAACTCATTTGCCCATCTGTGTTTGCTCAATTAAAATATAGTCACCTTTTCAGGTTTTAAACAAGAATAATGGCTCCAAGATTGATTTGCTTTTCTTCTGCTGAATAACTCTATGGGCCAAAGAACAGGTTCTCTGTTACTATAGTAACTTCTATTATACTAGGCTACCAACGAAAAGGATAAAACTTCTTCAGATCTTACATTCTAGAAAGTGCTGGCTTTCAGCAATAACAGGCATGTACTAGAAATCATGTGTTCTTTTCAACTACTTGGGTCCAAGGTTTCCTCTATTTTAGGCATAACACAGAAAAGGTGATGGAACAAGACAAAAGACCAACCTTTTAGGAAAATCCATGAATCTTTGATTATAAAATGAATTACGTGTACAAATAGACCGATCTTAGAATTGTCTTACAACTGCTGTCAATTTTTTTTAACCAAAAGAAAAATCCAAGAAAATTAAGGGTGAATTCCAAGGAATTTGAGTCACAGCAGCCAGAGTATTCAGCCCCACAATTTTTGGTACTTCCTTGGGTCCAGTAATTAACTTATTGGGGATGATGACCATAAAAAGGGGTTATCTTGAAACATTTCTAACTGGGAATTCAGGGTTTAAAAAACCACTCAGTTGTTTAAAACAACAAAACCCTGACATCCCTGCAGGCAACAGCCTCCCTGTCTCTGGCAGCCCATTCCCTTTGTGTAACCGTGCCTGTAAGAACAAAACAAATAAGAAAAAATGATGAAGTCAAAAGGCCCAACTGCTAGAAGCCCTGAGGATTGTGGCTACTCCCGGATGTAATAAAAAGAATGGACAGTATTTATTTTTTGACTGTTTACTATGTGCCAGGCAAAGATTTCAATACTTTACATGATTATTCCATTTAATCTTCCTTGACAACCTTTTGAGGTAGAGCTCATTAATATTTCCATTTTATTAAGGAGGAAACTGAGGCACAGAGCACTAACTCATCCAGGGTCACACAGCATAGGTGAGGAGGGCCAGGATTCTAACCAACGTGACAGGGAAGACACTCCAGTCATTCACACAGATGTCCTCTTTACACTTCTGAGTGAGAGATGAAACCAGAAAACGTCGAAATGAACCTCTCTGGATTTTTAAGTTCCCTTTGTGTGGTCCCTCCTTCACCACTAAAATATGTTTGTTAAAACACAGAAGAACAATATTAACCCAAACTATCCCCTAAATAAGAAAACCATGCATTCAGATACCACCCAGTGACACCCGAAACATGCTCTAAAATAGAACGACTTCGTGAAGCAATTGTACTGTTCACTTGGCAACATTTTTATTTGTTTTTTGGAGACAAGGTCTTGCTCTGTCGCCCAGACTGGAGTGCAGTGGTGTGATCACAGCTCACTGCAGCCACAAACTCCTCCCTCGTCGGCCTCTCAAGTAGCTAAGTTTATAGGCATGCCACCATGTCCAGCTATAATAATTAAAAAAAAAATTTTTTTCTAATTATGTTGGCCAGGATGGTCTTGAACTCCTGGCTTCAGATGATCCTTCTACCTCAGCCTCCCAAAGTGCTGCGATTATAGGCATGAGCCACTGCACTCGGCCCACTTGGCAACAATTAACGTTTAAATGGGTTCAAGTTTCTCGAATAAGCCAGTGGTGAAGCAAAGTCTCTTAATCCAGAACAGGGCCAGAAACCTCCCAAGTGTCTTTTGAGATGCGGTCTCTGGGGGCAGAATTTCCCATCAGCTCTGATGTGTTGGTTCCCAGAACTGTCCCAAGTAGGCATCTGGGATTAGCACAGGCTCAGCCCTCAGCAGAGTGGAATAAAAACGTGGCCAGTTGAAACTCCAGGTCACACATTGCAGGATAAAGCACTATCTTTATGTTTAATTTTCTCCCTTGTAAAGTGGGGCTTGGACTTACAGCCTTCAGCCTTCCTAGAGCTGGAGAAAATGACTACTGTCCACAGAGAAAATTCATAAAAATGAAGCTGGGCATTGCTTGAAGAGTACTTTTTTAAGAGACACAGGGCCTCACTCTGTCACCCCCCAGGCTGGAGTGCATTGGCACAATCACTGTAACCTTGAACTCCTGGGCTCAAGCCATCCTCCTACCTCAGACTCCTGAGTTTCTGGGACTACAGGTACACACTGCCACACCCAGCTAATTTAAAAAAAAGTTGTTTTTAGAGATAGAGGGGTCTCACTATGTTGCCCAGGCTGGTCTCAAACTCCTGGCTTCAAGTGATCCTCCTGCCTCAACCTACCAAAGTGCTGGGATTACAGGTGTGAGCCACCAGCCCTGGGCAATTTTTTTTTAAAGGCAATCAAGGAGCCTGGGGTTGTTTCACTACGTGCTAGGATCACATTAGGAAATACTGGAGCACAACTTTGTTTATATTGATCCCATTATCCTTTCCTTCCATCCACCCAGATCCTACCCATTCCTTCCAGTCCCGCCTTCTCTAGGACATTCAATTACATTCCTTCCTTAAGAATGACTTGCAAGACCTTGTTTAGGCCACTTAACCTCTCTGTGCCTCGGTCTCCATATCTGAGAAGTGGGGATAATAACAGAAACTACCTTAAAGTGTTGCTGAGAAGTAAATGGGAAAAAAAGAAACCTGTGAAGTGTTTTGCTAGTATTGAGCACACAGTATGTATCGAAGTGCTTTAATTTCTTACAAATACGAATGCTATTATTAATTAATTAATTAATTTATTCATTTTTTGAGACAGACTCTCACTGTGTCGTCCAGGCTGGAGTGCAATGGCGCGATCTCGGCTCATTGCAACCTCTGCCTCCCGGATTCAAGCAATTCTCCCGCCTCAGCCTCCCGAGTAGCTGGGACTACAGGTGTGTGCCATCACGCCTGGCTAATTTTTTGTATTTTTAGTAGAGACGGGGTTTCACCTTGTTAGCCAGGATGGTCTCAATCTCCTGACCTCGTGACCCAACCGCCTTGGCCTCCCAAAGTGCTGTGAGCCACCGCGCCTGGCCATGTGAATGCTATTATTTTACAGATGAGTGAATAGGCTCAAGTCTTACTCAGGGCCACACAACTGATATGACAGACGTGGGACTGAACGTGGAAATGTTTTGCTACTACATGACTGACTGCTCCCATGGTCCACAGCTTGCTAGACACCACATGGCTAAATTTCTGTGGCTCACAGAGTCCGTGTCGTGTAAATTGGCCAATGTTTGTGCTGTCTTGAGTTCTTTGGCAGTTGCGCTATCCCACACTCTCCACCTAGGCAGTGAGCTGCTTGAAGCCAGAGATTGTCTCCTATTTTTACATTTTACAGTTTTGGTGGTGATGGGCTTGAGGTGGATAATAAATACTTGTTCATTGATTTAGGCATAAAGTATAAAGAATATTGTCTCTTAGCCAGGCACGGTGGCTCACACCTGTAATCCCAGCACTTTGGGAGGCTAAGGTGGGCAGATCACTTGAGGTCAGGAGTTTGAGACCAGCCTGGCCAACATGGTGAAACCCCGTCTCTACTAAAAATACAAAAAAATTAGCCAGGCATGGTGGCATGTGCCTATAGCCCCAGCTACTCAGGAGGCTGAGGCAGAAGAATCGTTTGAACTCGGGAGGCAGAGGTCGCAGTGAGCTGAGATCACCCACTGCACTCCAGCCTGGGCCACAGAGCGAGACTCACCTCAAAAAAAAAAAAAAAAAAAAAAGAAAAAGAAAAAGAAAAAAAAAAGAATATTGTCTTTTTACTTAGTAATGTCTATAACATGAACTAGTGGGGTTAACGTGGTACAGATAAAATGTTTGTGCAGAGAAAACATTTTGTGCCATGTGCCAGAAACCCTCTAGGACTTAGGCATAAACATTTAGACTGTTAAATGAATTAAGGCTCGGGAAGAGCCCAGGCCTGTGTCTAATCACAAAGGGAAAGGTACCTGGATGTCCCGCGAGCGCTCGTAGGCCTGGTAGGCCACCTTCTCCTCAATGCTGGCCAGCTCCTGCTTCAGGTTGGCTGTCTCATGCTGATGCAGGTCCGTCAGGTCATGCAGCTGGTCCTCCAGTCGCTCATACCTTTAAAAGAGAGGAGCCGATTCCCAGTGTGACCTTTCACAGCACATTGTGGAACGATGTCCTTTTTATCTTCCTGCGCCAGTACCTTTTGGCTTGCTCTCATTCCCTGATGGGCTGTTTTTCTAAAAGAGTAAGGCTAGCTGTGGGAATTGAGCTTTTGGATAACACTGAGTCCCAGCTCTGGAAAGATCCAGTCTCTGGGGTCTTGACTCTCTGTCCTTGCCACTGAAGGTGCACACGGGTCAGACTAGCACCTTAGCTAGCTGCAGTGACCTCAAGATAGAGCTCATCAGCTGATGCACTTGCCAGGGCCAGGCAGGAGACAGGGCTCTGTGGGATCCTGCTAAAGGAGGGCCAGGACCTCTGGTGTCTGTGGTGCCTTTTCCCTATTCTGCCCTGACACTGCTGTTGGGGTTCATGGCCAGAGAGCCCACAGGGAAAGCACCATGCTTTTAGTATCACCTTCTACTCTGGGGTCAACTCTACTATTTCCCAGCATGCAAACACGCACTGATTATGGATTTCAGCTCTTGGAACTTAACTGACAATACAAAATTAAGCTTATTACAAATTATAGATGGTTCATCATGCAGTGTTTCAAAATGTCCAAATCTAAAGGAACAGAAGTACAAAGATTCTCATTCCTGTGCCCTGCCCCTCTCACTGAAGATTATTTTTCTCATATTTGAAACCTTAGCTGGGTGCAGTGGCTCACGCCTGTAATCCTAACACTCTGGGAGGCCAAGGCAGGTGGATCACCTGGGGTCAGGAGTTCGAGACCAGTCTGGCCAACATGGTGAAACCCCGTCTCTACTAAAAATACAAAAATTAGCTGGGTGTGGTGGCACGTGCCTATAATCCCAGCTACTCGGGAGGCTGAGATGGGAGAATTGCTTGAACCCAGAAGGTGGAGGCTGCAGTGAGCCCAGATCGCGCCACTGCACTCTAGCCTAGGCGACAGAGCAAGACTCCATCTCAAAACAACAACAACAAACAAAACAAAACAAAACAAAAAATCTTATACTGTGTATTTTGAAACAGGATGTACTGTTTGGAGAAGATGCATTCATTAGACTGGAATGACTTTGATCAACGCCAATTTCAGATGCTTACATAGGTCACCTGACAGAATCATTTTATAAAGAGGACCAAAGAGCTTCATCCAGATTTAATGCTTATTCTCAGGCATGACTTCTCAGATGTCAAATGCTGCTACTGCTGTGAATAAGCCTTTAAAGGTCTCTTCAGTAATACAGGTGGTGACTGTAACACGCGGGTCACAAACGTAACCACAGGACAGATGCAAACAGAAACCGTCCTGAACTCACATAAATAGGGATCTGTAACTTGGGAGAAAATGTGCATCTAGAAAGTGCTATATCCCAGACTATTTCGATAGAACTGACGTTCATACTCTGGAAAAGCTGTGACTTAAAATATAATTCTTGTGTGACAAAGATTCCAAAGATGCATATGGAAAGATTTTTGTTTCATAAAATTGGAGAATTGAAAAGGCCACATTTCTAAATTAATACAGACATAAAATCATACATCAATTATAAAACAATAAGTAAACTAAATTTAAACTTTTAATGTTATAGTATGTAATAGGCATTTTACTATTTTATCTACCTTTTTAGAAGTTAATGTATTATTAACTTTGACTAAAAAACTTTTGAAGTATCTCTTTATTGGAAAAAATGGGGAAAATGACCTTATATTTGGGCTTACACACTTTGTGTTAATAAGTTATAAGCACCTAAAAGCCAGCCTACAAAACATCTACTTTAAAATTACCTAATATAAGCCAAAGGTTTTGAATGTATACTTTAATCTTAAGATGACTTTGGAAAGTTCTTTATTTTACTTTAGAGTAAAAAGTTTAATGAGCAAACTACAGAACATAAAAAAATACATTACATAGGCTGGGTGCAGTGGTTCATGTCTGTAATCCCAGCACTTTGGGAGGACAAGGCGGGCGAATCACCTGAGGTCAGGTGTTTGAGACCAGCCTGGCCAATATGGTGAAACCCCATCTCTACTAAAAATACAAAAATTAGCTGGGCGTGGTGGTGGGTGCGTATAATCCCAGCTACTCGGGAGGCTTAGGCAGGAGGATCGCTTGAAACCAGAAGGCAGAGGTTGCAGTGAGCCAAGATCGCACCACTGCACTCCAGCCTGGGAGAAAGAGTGAAAACTCCATCTCAAACAAACAAACAAACAAACAAACAAACATTACATAAGGACTTCAAGATTGATGTGCCAAATAAGATTAACTTTGTTGGGTAATGAGTAAGTGTGTACTTGACAGTTGTTATGGAGGGAAATCAAATATAGATCTCTGAATTAGCATAATGACACTATAACGGAAGTCTACTGAATCAGCATCTTAAGATGCACGTGAGTTGTTGCCTGTATCCAATAATTTAAGGACCCACACATAAATCCTTCTCTAATTGTCAGCTAAAAGCCACAAATTATAAACTTAGAATCATGAAGGATGGAAATTATTGGGTATCCCTTATCTGAAATGCTTGGGACCAGAAGTGTTTCAGATTTTGATTTTTTTCAGATTTTGGAATATTTGCATATATATACGGAGATACCTCAAAAATGGGACCCAAGTCTAAAGACAAAATTCATTTGTTTCCTATGCATCATATACACATAGCTTGAAGGTAAAAGTGTACCATATTTTAAATAATTTTGTGCCTCAAGTTTGTGTTAAGTATTTATTTGTGGAATTTTCCAGTTGTGGCATTGTGCTGACACTCCAAAAGTTTCAGATTTGGGAACATTCTGGATTTCAGAGTTTTGCATGAGGGATGCATCAATACATTAGGGATGTATTGATTGCTAAACGCCCTTTAATCCATATCCATATTTATTGAAAATGTAACCATAAGGCATTCTTATTTCAAGCAATCTCTCTGCAGTAACTCATCCTTTTAAAAGAATGCCACACCTATCACGTACCCACTAAGTATCCGTGGTAATAAAAAAGTTTTCAAAATGAAAAAATAAAATAACATAAAATAAAAAAATAAATAAATAAAAAATAAAAAACACGCCAATGGAATACTTTGAAATACCTGTATCTTTCCTCTTGCAGGGTCTGAGAAATAAAACCATATTCTCTCTTAAACTGCACCTTCAGTGCCTCGATGTCCTCAGCCAGCTGAGCTTGGGTATCCTTGATCTCCCTCAGTTCCTCCAGGATCACGGCGAGCTTGCCCTGGCTGTCCAGTGTGCTGGCTCCACCAGCCCCAAACGACTGGTTTCCGTTACTGTCGGCCGAGCCTGACGTGCCACTCGAACATTCATCATCACTGCCATACTTGGGTTTGTTCACGATGGTAGCGCTGCCCCCGTAGGCCCTGGCACTCGCCTCTGGCCTAAACTCCTCTAAGGAATTTTTCAAGTGAGCAATGTTGTCGGCGCTGCCAAACTTATTCCGGATCAGGTTGGCAAACTCTCTGGACTTATTGAAAACGAACACAGGTGGAGTAAGTGAGACCCCTGGCATGCCCGATTTGCTGCTCTCCATGCAATGGGGGGCAGTTCGAGATTTCACGTGGGCATCTTTCAAAGAGCGATGTATATCCTTCAGGTGGTCTTTGGAAATGTCCTTTGAGCTCCTAGAGGCTCCATTCTGCTCGATCTCTCTGAGCTTTCGATGATACTGCTCTAACTTCTTCTGCAGCTGGGCGATGGAGTGAGCTGATTTCTGATTCTTCTTCTCAAAGACTTGCTTGATACGTCCCGCCTGCTGCTTGTCTGCGTTGTTCACTAGTTTCAGATACTCCGCAACATTCCCATCGCGCGATGTTTGCTCAATTTTTATCTGCTCTGTTACCTTTAGAATTTTTTGCTTCAGGCTGTCTGCAGTGAGTTTGACCTTGTGGAAGTCCAGGATGCCATCCGGGACATCAAAGTTGAGGTTGGTGTCTGACCCCCCTCGGCGTATGTTCAGGGGCAGGCTTAAGGTATTCATGTCATGACGTTCTACCTGAAAGAGACAGGAAAGAAGCACATTAAAATTTGAAGTCAAAGAGATAATTACTGTGACAGAATCTATGCACATACAAGATACATACATGAAGTCCCAGTTTTTCGAACTACAAGTGTCACGGGATAAAATCCCCCTGCTGTCCCCTCCAGTTGAACATAGAGGCAGCCTGGCTCCTTCCTGCATCCATCTACACTAAGTAGCTGTGAGATTCAGATCTCCCAGGGTATCCACTTTTTTTGTGTAATGAGACTGTAACCTGGCTCCCAGGGTAGAAAACGCAAAATAGAATGAGGTCACCAGTCAGTCCCGGTCTCCCAAAGTGCCCAGGTAACTGGAATGCCTGCCATACCACATTCACTGGGAACTTCACCACTATGGGGAACGCATCCAACTCAGAACTCACTCACTTAATAGAAGGAGAATCTTTTTTTTTTTTTTTTTTTTTTTTTTTTTAAAAAAGAAAGATGGGGAAAAATAGGGAAAAAGATACGAGCAGGTACATCCATCAAACAAGAACATTATTTTCTTAATGGAATCATTAAATAGATGTGATAGAATAATATGGTACAAGATTAACTTTAATAATTGGGTAATACAACAGTATTTAGATATGGAAACAACCTCAAACCACACCACAGTGATATTAAAAAAAAAAAAGGCCGGGGGGTGGGGGCGTGGCG
The DNA here is from genome assembly GCF_000001405.40 of Homo sapiens. Classification (NCBI taxonomy): domain Eukaryota; kingdom Metazoa; phylum Chordata; class Mammalia; order Primates; family Hominidae; genus Homo; species Homo sapiens. The sequence continues at coordinate 94,583,222 of NC_000012.12, forward strand.
CTGCTGGGCGAGGTGGCTCACACCTATAATCCCAGCACTTTGGGAGGCCCAGGCAGGTGGATCACCTGAAGTCGGGAGTTTGAGACCAGCCTGGCTAACATGGTGAAACCCCATCTCTACTAAAAATACAAAATTAGTTGGGCATGGTGGTGGGCACCTGTAATCCCAGCTACTCGGGAGGCTGAGGCAGGAGAATCACTTGAACCCGGAAGGTGGAGGTTGCAGTGAGCCGAGATCACACCACTGTACTCTATCTAGACTGGGCAACAGAGTGAGACTCTGTCTCAAAAAATAAATAAATAAAATAATGAGAAAACTAAGACCACATAAAATAGTTTTCTCACTCAAGGGCCATTTAGGGAAAAGAACTGCAACGCAGCATTGAGTTTCCTGGTGAAGGGGGTGGCAAGTTTGTGCTCTAAAAGGAAAAGGCAGAAGTAGACCATATCCCAGGGTCTATGGATGCCTCTCATGGGTTGTCTCACTTCACTACCATGCCAGACAAAGAACATGCTAGATTCATAAACATGTAGACACCAAGGGTTAAGGCCAGGATTTGAATCCAAGTCATCCTAACTGTAACCCTCTTTCCATGTCAGGTCACTCCATTGTTGATGTTCCTGGAGGATGAAAAACAGCTCTTTGTAGAGTTCAAACACAATCTACAAACAAGTCTTAAGATCCAAACTGAAGCATCTCATTTGTCAATATCCCTTTGATTAGATTAATGACTTGATATACAGTCTTAATAGAAATCAAATGAGAAGCAAGACAATATTCAGCATGTTACCTTTTTTTTTAAGGAATTAGTGGGCTGACAGCAAAAAAATTAGTAAAAAATTAATGAATCTCCCACTAAGTGATATGGTTTGGATCTGTGTCCCTATCCAAATCTCATGTTCAATTGTAATCCCCAGTGTTGGAGGTGAGGCCTGGTGGGAGGTGATCGAATCATGGGGGCGGATTTCTCATGAATGGTTTAGCAACATCCCTCTGCTGCTGTTCTCATGGTAGTGAGTCCTCCTGAGATTTGGTTGTTTAAAAGTGTGTAGCACCTCCCGTCTCTTGCAGGCATCCTCCTGCTTTCGCCGTGGGAAGTGCCTGCTCCCGCTCTGCCTTCCACCATGAGTAAAAGCTCCCCGCAGCCTCCCCAGAACCAGAGGAAGCCATGCTTCCTGTACACAGCCTGCAGAACCGTGAGCCAATTAAACTTCTTTTCTTATAAATTATCAGGATTCAGGTATTTCTTTATAGCAATGTGAGAACAGACTAATGCTCTAGGTGATCCAGACTTGAATATGGACCATATCCAACAACGGGTATTAACACTTCACCACGTTATAAATCCTGCCCAGTGCTTTATTCCAGAGGAGGGAGCACAGCAGCACAGTGGGACACCATCCTAGATGGGCGGGTCAGGCCTCCTCCACAACTTACAAACATTCGTTAGCATTAGCTCTTAGCCCCTCTCTTCCAATGCACAATTTTGTCATGAAGGAGAGACACTGGTTGCTTTATCTGGCAGAGGAGCACCATATAGGAAAAGCTGGAGGGAAATAAATGCCCAATCACTACAAGACTAGAAAACAGGATATATGAAAAAAGGATAAAGAAGTTGTGACTTCACCTGGTCAAGAGGGAAGGATGGGGATAGGGAATAAAGAAGGTATACAACAATCTTTAAGTCCTAGAGGGTCGACCACAGGAAGCTCAAGGAATCTAGTATCTGTGGCTCATTAGTGGACCCAAACAGGAACAGGTTCAAATTATAGCAACAGAGAATGCATGAAACTTAGAAAATGTTTATTTTGGGCAGATGGGTAATTAATGGTAACTGTACAATCACTGAGGCTAAAAATTTGATTTTGCTGGAGATATTATATCTGATCATGCTACTCTATGTCTTAGAAACTTCCTTTGGCTTCCTAATGGCTACTAAATGAAATAATATAACCTGGCACATCATTTCATTTAGCAGGCATTAGGAAGGACCTTATAGGGCTATAAGGCCCTAGCCCACCTTTCAGGCGTCACCTCACCTGAAGGACCCCTTAAGAATATCTTACAACCTAAATTCCCAGAATGTATATGAATTTTCTATGGATTTTCTCATATGCATGATATTCACAATGCCTGCCACCCATTTACTCATGCTTATCAAAATCCTACGTATTCTTTAAAACCCATTTCAAGGGCCAGGCGCAGTGGCTCACGCCTGTAATCTCAGCACTTTGGGAGGCTGAGGCGGGTGGATCATAAGGTCAGGAGATCGAGACCATCCTGGCTAATACGGTGAAACCCTGTCTCTACTAAAAATACAAAAAAATTAGCCAGGCATGGTGGCACGTGCCTGTAGTCCCAGCTACCCGGGAGGCTGAGGCAGGAGAACTGCTTGAACCCAGGAGGTGGAGGTTGCAGTGAGCCATTGCACTCCAGCCTGAGTGACAGAGCGAGACACCGTCTCAAACAAACAAACAAACAAACAAAACCCATTTCAAATGCCCCTTCTGCCATGAAGCTTTTCCCAGTCCCAGTGGAACACCCCCTCTCCATTCTGTGACATGCCTGTTGCTCTGTGCTTGTCTTGTGGCACTTCCTGACTCCTCCTTTGATCACCACCCATGCACTTTAACCCCCTGCAGACTGCAAGCTCCTTTGGGGAGGCATGATGTCATAGCTGTACCTAACTTGAAGTTCACGTACTTCCCTAGGAGGCTGTCAATAAATGTTTGTCTACTGAACCAAAGTGCCATCATTCTTTATTCCAAGGAGTCTGCCCTGGAATCATTTAAGACACCTTTCCATTGAGCCAAAAAATCACCTCAGAAGTTCTGCTCGCATAGCCCTGACAATTCCAGGTGAAGATGGCTTCCCAATACCTGGATAATAAATCTGGCACCATTTGAAACTGATTCAACTAAACAGAGATTTTTTTCCGAGTATCAATGTGCAACAAGATACACAAATACAAATAAGGACTTTAAAACTTTAATTGAAGCATAATTTATACTCAGAAAAGAGCACATGTAATAAGTACAAAGTGAAATAAGTACTCGATGAATTTTTACAAGCTGAACACATTGTGTGACCAGCAGCCAGTTAAAGAAATAGAACAGAAGCCTCCCTTGTGCCCTCCTTCAATCTCAACGACATCACCTCCACCTCCAGGGGCAACCATGATCCTCACTTCAAACCGCATACATTAGTTTTGCCTGTTGTATACATGTATTCTTCTTGTCATTTTTCACTCAGCACTGTTTGTGAGTTTCATAAGAACTTGGTTTTGCCCTCCTGGAGCTCACAGATAAGACGAGATGAAGTTATTTAAAATCTGGCTGGCATTCTCTATTGAGAAGTCCACAACAACATCTAGAGGTAGAAAGGTTTTCATATTTTACCTTACCAAACCGAGCAGTAAATAAACACCTGTTCTTACTCCTTTAATTCTCAACTGCATCAGGGCTGGTCATCCAATTCTGAGTCTCAAGGCAAAGCCTCATGCTCTCACAGACCTCTCGTTACAGGACAGCCTTGTATGCACAGGAATGTTTATGCACAGATGGCCAAATGACTTTTGGCTTACTTTATGATTTAACAATGCTTTGCATGTTCTCAAGAGTCCAGGTTGGCGAAAGCAACAGCATTTAAAGCCCCAAATCAATCGATCTTACTGCTTGTCAGCAAATCTCAGTTAAAAATGTTTGATGAGGGTATAAAGTTGGAACTATTACTGGGCTGCTCCTTTTGCCCTTTTATAACCCTAGCTAGCACTGCATGGGATAATTGAGAGACAGCTACACCTATCATTGTTAGATGCCTGTAAATTCCCTGAACACAAACTGAAATTACATGTGCGTGCTAAAAGAAAGCTGCCAGTCCTCCACCCTTCGTTTAATCCAGACTTGGCACTGACCCTATACAATACACTATACATTGCAGCTTGGTTTCAGGGTTAGGACGCAGGAAGGACAAAGGTTTCTGGTTATCTAGACTCAGTGTACACTGTGTGGATCAGGACACTGTGTTTCTGTTTGGGCGCTGACATTTACTATGTATGTGTTCTTGGGTAAACTGAGTCACCTCTACGGGCTTCCATTTCTGAATCTATAGAACAAGGAGACAGAACCAGACAATTCAGAACTAATACTGCACAACTCCATCAAGTGTAATCCAAGCTATCATTACTGTGAGACAGTACTGCATCATAAAAAGCCCAAGGGCTCCGGAAACAGACTGCTTTGGTTTCCATCTTGGCACCACTCTTAAGAGCTGTGGGACCTTGGAAAAATGACTTAGCCTCTCTGTGTCTCAGTTTCACTTCTGAAAATGGACATAATGATTCTTCAAAGAGTTGTGAGGAATAAATGAGAAAATGTATGTAAAGTGTTCACCTCTTCAAGTGTGACCTCCTGGCACACTGAATGATTTCAACAAATGTTTGTTACTGTTATCATTCCAATTTCATTCTAAAATGTACCTAAATTCAATTTCATTTAAAAATGTATGTAAAAACTGAAAGGGAAACAAACTCCAAAGTGTTAACAATGCTGACCTTTGCACCGTGGGGTTATGCGGGGTCATTCTTTTGTATTTTCAAGTCTTTTAAAAATAAAATGTACTACTGTTTTGGCAGAAAAGACTTTGCTTTTAAGAATGACTGCTAGCCTCTTTCAATTCTTCCAGAATACTTGGCTGTTATTACTTTAGATGAAAGGCAGATCCGCCTACTGAAACGCCATTCCTCATTGTGTTTTCTTTCCGGCACTGGAGACATTTCCACTGTCACCCCAATGCTCTGGAACAAAGGCTGAGGAAAAGCCTGAGTCCCGGACAGACGTCAAAATCTAACCCTGCACCACCTCTGCAATGAACCAGGCCTCCAGCACAACACACCAAGTTAGCTCACCTTACTCACCGGACACGGGCACAGCAACTCAGTCACCACCAGTGCGGCTTGGACACACTGTGCAGGATTCACGGAAGGCTGTCTCCCAGGACACTCTGTATTAACCCGCTAAAGCTCCAGAGGGAGATGAACCAAAAAGGAAGGGTACCAACACAGAGGCACACCACCCACCCCCCAGCAAACAGAACCAGAATGTAGGGCTCCTGTGGACCCTGGAACGACAGGGACTGAGGCAGGAGTCCTCTGAGGTTCTGGAGGCCACAGAGTAGCCACAATGTGTAGGGATGCAGAGCTATCACAACAATGTGACAGATGACAACGGCCTGCTTAGTCTCAAGGCTGAAGACAATGAACCTTTGCTTAAAGAAAGGCTGTTTGAGCCTCAGGCATTACAAGAAAAGGGTCAGATCCTTCAAATGGGCTGGCATTTCCAAGGCAACAGGTATTTCCAAGTACATGTGAGTGAAGATTTATGCATAGGTCCACAAGGACCTGCACGTTCAATACCTGAAGGCTTTTACAAGTCTTCGTGGCCTTGGTATGTAAGTCAGTATCACTGACATTTTTTACTATTAATCACTTTAGCTGAACTCTATTTCAGGTCTAAAGTCTAGGCCAACCTTGTCCAATCCACGGCCCAGCATGGCTTTGAATGCAGCCCAACACAAATTCGTAAACTTTCTTAAATCGGTATGAGATTTTTTTTTTTTTTTTTTGAGACAGTCTCACTCTGTCACCCAGGTTGGAGTGCAGTGGTGCAATCTCGGCTCACTGCAACCTCCACCTCCTGGGTTCAAGTGATTCTCCTGCCTCAGCCTCCCGAGTAGCTGGAACTAAGGCACATGCCACCACACCCAGCTAATTTTTGTATTTTTAGTAGAGATGGAGTTTCACAATGTTGGCCAGGCTGGTCTCAAACTCCTGACCTCAGGTGATCCGCCCACATCGGCCCCCCAAAGTGCTGGGATTACAGGCATGAGCCACCACGCCTGGCCAGTATGAGGTTGTTGTTTTTTTTTAGCTCATTGGCTATCGTTAGTGTTAGTGTATTTTATGTGTGGCCCAAGACAGTTCTTCTTATTCCAATGTAGCTCAGGGACGCCAAAAGATTGGAAACCCCTGGTCTAGGCTGCTCCTATGATATGCCACCCAGAATGTGCTAGGCTTTGCCATCGTATTAATGTCAAAATCTCAGTGGCTATAAAAGAAAGGCTTATTCCATGCAAATGCTAGAAAGTTGGCTGTGAGTCAGTGAGGGGACCCAGGTTACGGTGGGGCCTCTACCGTCTGGACGTTCTCTAAAAGACAGAGAACTCATTACACTGACCCTACCTAACTTCTAGGGGACAGGGGAGTATAATCCTATTACATGCCCACGAGGTAAAATATCATGTTAGTGACATGTGTAGTACCTTTCTTAATTGTTAAAAACTCTCTGAGGTAGGTTCTACTATTATTACTATTTTATAAACTAGTCACAGAGAAGTTAAGTAAATTGCCTGGGGGCACACAGCCAGTAACCGGCAGAGCCAGGCTGGAAATTCTGGCTGTCTGTCTCCAGTGCCTACCTGCCTAAAAATGACTGAATACTTTTATTGTGAATCAGGCACTGTGCTAAAGATTTTTTAATGCATTCATATATTCTTCACACCAACCCTTTTATGAGAAAACCGAGACTTGTAAAGGGTATGTTTCTTGAAGCCCATGAATAATAAATAGCTTAGGTGGGGCTCAACTCAGGTTTATGAAATATGCAAGACTTAGCAAGATCTGTACCAGCTCAGCCCCAGATCCCGCGAGAACCTCTGCAATGCCCTTAACATGGTCATCCATTGCATGGATAATCTGGGCTTCGTTTAGACTACTCTGTCAGAAAATTCTCCCTCAGGCTGAACTTGAAATAATCGTGGCTGTAACTTTGTGTCCACAGCTCTGGAGCCACATCAGTCAGGTCTGATATAGTCTATAAAATCTATTCTTTTTTTTTTTTTTTTGAGACAGTCTCTCTCTGTCGCCCAGGCTGGAGTGCAGTGTCGCGATCTCCGCTCACTGCAAATTCCAATGTTCAAGTGATTCCCGTCTCAGCCTCCCGAGAAGCTGGGATTACAGGTGAGTGCCACCACGCCCTGCTAATTTTTTTTTTTTTTTTTTTTTTTTTAGAAGAGATGGGGTTTTACTATGTTGGCCAGGCTGGTCTTGTACTCCTGGCTTTAAGTGATCCACTTTGTTCCATATTCTAAAATATAAACAGTGATTTGGGCCAAATAACTTTATGAAGATAAAAAAGCTTACTGCTTGTATTGGAACAATGCCTACGCATTTACAATCACTAAGAGGAGAGAGAGAATGAGATTAAAAACAGAAGATAAAAATAAAAGATAAAGGACCTCTGGAGAAAGAAGCCCTGTCCCTAAGGGCCTAGCAAGTGAGGCCATGTGGGAAAAGGCAAACAGCAGATAAGCCCTGGATCTGCCTGGAGGGAAGGGAGAGTGCCCTTCTCTGTGCTGGCTGATACAGCTGGGAGACCGATGTGGGGCTCAGCATGGCCCCACAGTGGGGTACCTTTGTGTGTTCTCCCAGAAGAACAGGAGCTTTTCTATCAGAAACAAGCGGGGTTGTGTCCTCACGCTTCCGGAGACTGGAGTTGCTCCTGTGTTCTCAGGAGAGGCGGGAGACGGCGCAGGGTCTGAAACATGGGGGACGATGTGCACCCGCAACAAACTACCAACACTGGAGAGGAGCCCCTGGATGTTATCGGGCTCAGCCTAGATGAGTGAGTTTATGTGAAAATGAGAAATGACCGAGAGCTTCAAGGCAGATCACATGCTTATGATCAACATTTAAATATGATCTTGGGAGATGAGGAAGAAACCGCGACTACTATAGAAATTGATGAAGAAACATACGAAGAGATATATAAATCAAGGAAACAGAATATTCCAATGCTCTTTGTCCTGGGAGATGGTCGTGCTGGTTGCCCCTCCATTGACAGCTGGATGAAACAATTTGTCCTGTATGGAAAATACGAGACTTCGTACAGTAGCCTTTCTAAATGTACAAGGCATTCAAAAGAGAAACCTGCATACATTCTGATATTAAGAAATAATTCTGGGGATTCTCCCACTCCTGAAATGAATTGATTTGCAGATAATTCACAACTTCTTAAGCTAAATGGCATTTTAACTTTTCTAAAGCTCTTCAATAAATATGACCACCAAGATGCAGAGCTCTTTTTCAGGACTTGTTTTGCTCTGTTATCCTTACAGACAATTTCTGATTTTTTTTTTTCTTTAAATTAAAATTGGTGTTTCCTCGTAGGAAAAAAAAAAAGAAATATATAAGATACAGTGGCTGGATGCAGTGGCTCACACCTGTAATCTCAGCACTTTGGGAGGGGAGATTGCTTTAGCCCAGGATTTCGAAACCAGCCTGGGCAATATGGTGAAACCCTGTCTCTACCAAAAAAAACAAACCCAAAATTAGCCAGGCATGGTGGCATGCACTTGTAATCCTGACTACTCGGGAGGTTGAGGCACGAGGGTCAAGAGCCTGGGAGGTGGAGGTTGCAGTGAGCATGAATCACGCCACTGCACTCCAGCCTGGCAGCCTGGGCAACAGAGGGAGACCCTGTCTCTAAATAAATAAATATACATATATGAGAGATACCCCTAGCCCATCTCCCTCTTGCTATCCTGGGGTCACACTTGACATGCACTTGCAAAATGTCTAGCCAGAGTCAGTGAACAGGGAAGCTAACTGAACCACCGGATCCCAGCATCCTTGCTAACAGAGCTAACCTATACTAGAAAAATAACTCCAGGGGCTGGATAAGGCTCCTTGTTATCTGTTACTAGAAACATATTACTACCTTCATGGGACACCTACACAGAATATTCAATACCTACATTTGCTAGAAGAAAGCTGCACTTTCCCCCACTGTGTGCTGGAGGGGAAAAATCTTAAGGACCTTCATATGATATCCAGAAGGACATTTTATTAGGAGAGTGTCTTAGTACAGTGTTTGTTCTAACTTGTTTAGACAAGGAACATTTCCTTTCATAGTTCAGGTCTGACAATAGCACACTCTGAACTTTAAATAAGTGCACCGTGTACAGCACGGGAACTGAGTCAATAGTTTTGCCATAAAGGTTTTATTCCTCGCATCCCCCCTTCTTCCTCTCTTGGCATCACTGACAAAAGAAATTCTGTAGCCTCAAGAATCCTATTTCCGGCCGGGCGCAGTGGCTCACACTTGTAATCTAAGTACTTTGGGAGGCTGAGGTGGGTGGATCACTTGAGGTCAGGAGTTTGAGACCAGCCTGGCCTACATGGTGAAACCCTGTCTCTACTAAAAATGCAAAAAAAAATGAGCCGGGTGTGGTGGCAGGTGCCTGTAATCCCAGCTACTCAGGAGGCTGAGGCAGGAGAATCACTTGGACCCCGGAGGCAGAGGCTGCAGTAAGCCAAGATTGCGCCGCTGCAGTAAGCCAAGATTGCGCCACTGCATTTGAGCCTGGACAACAGGCTCCATCTCAAAAAAAAAAAAAAAAAAAAAATTCTATTTCCTGAGAGCAGGTAAAGTAAAATCTCATTACTCTGGAATTAGGGATCATTTGGAACAGGAGCTAGAATACACATATCTTTCATGGCCCAATCCTTTCTCCAGACACTGCAAATTAATAGTGTAAAGGAGATTAGGCAGTGTTTAAGAGTCTCAAAAACAAATTCTTCAAGCATCCTCAAGCACTCACAAACACCTGATACTGTAATTAGAGATAATTATCTTCGGCCAGGCGCGGTGGCTCATGCCTGTAATCCCAACACTCTGGGAGGCTGAGGCGGGCAGATCACCTGAGCTCAGGAGTTCGAGACTAGCCTGGCCAACATGGCAAAACCCCGTCTCTAATAAAAATAGAAAAATTAGTCAGGCATGGTGGCAGGTGCCTGTAATCCCAGCTAATCGAAAGGCTGCGGCAGGAGAATCGCTTGCACCTGGGAGGTGGAGGTTACAGTGAGCAGAGATTGCACCACTGCACTCCAGCCTGGGAGACAGAGCAAGACTCTGTCTCAAAAGAAAAGAAAAAACAAAAAGAGCCAGGCATGGTGGCGGGTGCCTGTAATCCCAGCTACTCAGGAGGCTGAGGCAGGAGAATCACTTGGACCCTGGAGGCAGAGGTTGCAGTGAGCCAAGACTGTGCCACTGCATTCAAGCCTGGACAACAGGCTCCATCTAAAAAAAAAAAAAGAAAAGAAAAGAAAGAAGAAAGAAGAAAGAAGAAGAAGGAAGAAGAAGAAGGAAGAAGAAGGAGAAGGAGAAGGAGAAGGAGAAGAAGAAGAAGAAGAAGAAGAATTCTATTTCCTGAGAGCTGGTAAAGTAAAATCTCGTCACTCTAGAATTAGGGATCATTTGGAACAGGGGCTAGAATACATATATCTTTCATGGCCCAGTCCTTTCTCCAGACACTGCAAATTAATAGTGTAAAGGAGATTAGGCAGTGTTTAAGATTCTGAAAAACAAATTCTTCAAGCATCCTCAAGCACTCACAAACACTTGATACTGTAATTAGAAATAATTATCTTCTCATTAAGCCTCTACCAGGAAACAGTGGTAATCTCCTTTGAGTTACACGCACTTAAAAAATGTATCTTTCTTCAAAACAGCTTATAAATCACACTTCCAATAAATACAAACTAATTCTTTACAAAATTAGTCTGACCTGGTAAAGATTTGTACGTACTAAATCTACGTAAGAATTAAAGGGGGAGAAAGGCCAGATTCAGCAAGAATGTCCCTTGAAAAGTAGAAGGGAAGGCTACAGTGATGAAAATAGACCAACCTTACATGAGCACCAATTGCAAGGCAAGGACAGCCACAGTCCCTGGGGAGGAAACTGTGGAGGGATGTGAGGCAACACCCAAAAAAGGCAACTTCTAAGAGGAGCAGGGAGTCTCTGGGGACCCTGTGTACCTTGAAAACGAGCAAGTTTGGGAAAGGGAAGTGTACATTTATTTAATATCTGCCCCTTACCTCTCCAGGCCTGGGAACTAAGAACCATGCCTTTTAAATTTAAATATATATATATATATATACACACACACACACACAGAGTGAGAGAGAGAGAGGTCTCTCACTCTGTCACCCAGGCTGGAGTGCAGTGATACCATCACTAGCTCACTGCAACCTTGAACTCCTGGGCTCAAGTTATCCTCTCACCCTAACCTCCCAAAGTGTTGGGATTACAGGCATGAGCCACCGTGTCTGGCAGAACCAGGCCTAATTTTAGGACTAAACACAGAACAAATGTCCACTGAAGCTTTTAGTTCCTAACTCAGAAGGAGAGAAGGGGTGAGCAAGAGCTGCTAGGCACTAAACTTAAGGTCTTTTGGGGGCAGTTCTGGAAAATTTCCCATCCATGCTTGTTCATTCCCATAGGTTTCTGGCAGTGTCTGTCAGTAAAACCTCCCCAGGAAGAGGGGAAGCCAGCAAGGAAGGGGATGTGGGAATATCGAGTTTACTCTGGGAGAACCGCCCCCAGGAAAAACGAGTCTCTGAGGCCCTTAGTCAGAGAGCAGAGAAAAGAGGCCAAGCCTGGGAGCAGAGGGTCTGCCTACTGCCCTGCCCTGGCAGCCCAGTCTTCTACATTTCCCATCACATTCATTCACCACCTCACTTACCCCTAAAACACACAGGGTGGGCCTTCTTAGAAGGGACCTGTACTTAGTGTAAGTTTCTAAACGATAGTTACAAATCCAGCACCTGTCTTGCAGAGTCTTTCGGCATCTCCAGCCTGAACGAACTCTATCAGGCCATGCTGTGTTCATTATAGGCACCCTGCACAAAAGGGAAAGTAACTTGTCTCCTAAAGTATAGCTTCCTAGATAAGTAAGTGAATATAACAAGGGTGTGCAGTGTTATCTATCAGATAACAATAATTGTTTCCCTTTTTGCCTCGGATGCTAGGAAATTCAGAATCAAACGTAGAGTAACTGTTAGATCTGGTGATCAGCCTATATGTTTTCCCCTTCTTTTTCGACTTTTGGATATTAGCACTACTCTAACTATATTTTCCATGTGTCTTATCATAATCATAATCTTAGTGGAAAGAGGTGGGTATACTTTAACCTGCTTATTAAGAGGCTAGGTATGTCATCTTGCCCAGAGATGAACACTATACCAGCATTCCTATGTTTAATAGGGGGAATGTGGTCAACCATACCCAGCTCATGAACCTGCACTGCGACTTCCCCATCCCCATTCCTAGAGCATCCAGAGAAAGCCACATAATGGTCACAACTTGGCTCATGTCCTTTGAAAAGTTGCTATGTAAGACTGAGCCAGGAAATAGCGTTTGGTACTGGAGCCCCAAAGTGCATTCCCAAAGCATATGCAAGCCTCATAATTAAATTTTTCTCTGAGGGTGAGGGTTTCATTTATTTTTTGGTAGTATAACAAATACTGGAGGGAAAAACATGTACTGGATGATTTGCAGTATAGAATTTTCTTATAAATGGATCAGAATACTACTAGCTATCAGACAGGGCTTAGAAATAAGTAGCTATTCAAGAGTAGAAGAAAAACTGATCAACAGTCATTTCTTCGCCTTTTGCAATGCTGAAGCTAATTTTGCACAGTTTTATTTTTTCTAATATATGCCAGCAGTATTATCACCAAATGGCAATTAGAACTAAAAAGCTGCCTTTAGTTGTATCAAAATAATATAGCATTCCACTTAAAGAAAAAAAAAATGTCCATGAAAAGTACATTCAATCGATATTTTGGTACAGTATTTCTGGCATAGAAAAACAGCCTTACTTTGAAGTTGTGCTCGGCCTTCAAATGAGGCCCTCAACATAAAAACTGATTTCCTTGGGTTGAATAAAATCATCTTTTCAAAAGATAAATCAGATTATACCCTGTTCTCTCCCAAAGATCTTTAATGTTCCCTAAAGTGTGAAATACTTAACAAAGAATTTAAGGCTCTGTTGATCAGGGTCCTATCCTAGTCATTTTCCAGCAGGTCCATCCATCCTGATGTTTTGAGTACATCTATGTATAGCCCCTAGGGTAAGGCTGGACCTTTATATACACTCTCCTTTAATCCTCATATCTCCATGTCATTAGCTCTGCCTTGCAGATTTGAAAGGGGGAGGCATCAAATAAGTTATGGTGACAGCTAAGAAGACACAGAGCCAGGATTTGTACTAATGTCTAGTTTTTAACCTTCATCTTATTCCATGTGTGTGACGAGCCAGTCACACCTGAACACTGCATGCACTTTGCTATTTCTATGTCTGTTCCTCACCCTAGCATGGTCTCCTTCCCAATTCACCTTTCAAGGACCAAGTCAAACGATGTCTCTTCCACAGAGGTTCTCCCACCCCCACGCCCAGCTAGGATTGACTGCTTCCTTTGTGCTTCTCCCCATTTGCACTGACTCCTCATACAGTGCTTATTCTTCCAAGTATGACAGGTATTTGAATAACACATTTGTTCCTCCAACATTTGGATGCCTCCTTGGAGAGAAGGATCATCTATCATCTACTAGGCCACCTGTGTCTGCTCCACACTCTTTCCTCAATAGGACCTTAGTGCTTATTAAGTGAATCAGTTGTTGACTAGCAGCCAACTAGGGCAGCCAGTTGTTTAGGGACAAGTGGCTGCCCTAGTTGTTTACATTTGCTCAGCTGTTTGCAATGAGATCAAGAAGAACCTGCAACTGAGGTTGTGCTGGGTTGCTTTCAAAACAGACCGAACCACGAATGGTTCATGGCTTGTGACACATGTGAGAGGTCAAATAGGAAACTGATGTTTCATGGCTCTTCACTGCTCCAAGCAGAATATAGGTAATCAATTACCAAATGATAAATATTGCCAGCCATGGTGGCTCATGCCTATAATCCCAGCACTTTGGGAGGCAGAGGCAGGAGGATCACTGGAGCCCAGGAGTTTGAGACCAGCCTGGGCAACACAGTAAGTCACTGTCTCTATTAAAATACATATATATATATATATATATATATATATATATATGTATATAAATTAGCCAGGCCTGCTGGCGTGCCTGTAGTCGCAGCTACTCAGGAGGCTGAGGTGGGAGGACTGATTGAACCCAGGAGTTTGAGGCTGCAGTGAACTATGATTGCTCCCTTGCACTCCAGCCTGGGCGACAAAGCCAGACTCTGTCTCTAAGAAAGAAAAAGAAAAAAAAATTAAGATCTCCCACGTACAGAATATGCAGGTATGATCCTTTCCTCCCTAAGGGACCTTTTCCCTGTAGGGACCGTTGTAATTGTGGCAGACAACTCAGGTGCCTCCTCCTTTGGACACACCCATATGTTCTGACTCAATCCATTATTTGTGATGGCTTAAGGAAGCAGTCTTAAATAATTTCTCAGGCCAGGTGCAGCAGCTCACGCCTGTAATCCCAGCACTCTGGGAGGCTGAGGCAGGTGGATCACCTGAGGTCAGGAGTTCGAGACCAGCCTGGTCCAATATGGCAAAACTCCATCTCTACTAAAAATACAAAAACTAGCCAGGAATGGTGGTGCATGTCTATAATCCCAGCTACTCAGTGGGGCTGAGGCAGGAGAATCGCTTGAACCTGGGAGGCGGAGGTTGCAGTGAGCCAAGATCGCGCCATTGCACTCCAGCCTGGACAACAGAGAGAGGCTCTGTCTCAAAAAATAAATAAATAAATAATAAAAATAAAATAATTTCTCTAATGCACCAGGAAGGTTCTGAAATGTAGTTTCTTGTCACTTAGGAAATCACAATTTGATAGAACATGAACACAGAAATGAAGGAATTCTTTTACCCTCCAAAGTCCAAGAAGGCAACGACTTGTTTAAAGGACACAAGCAGGCCTCAAGAAGAATGGCTCAAGAGAGGACAGAATCTTGCCAGGATCATTCAAGTTTATCAGAAAAGAGAAGCCACCAGTTACTAAAGACTTATCAGCATCAAATAATTTCCTAAATGTTTCCGGTACCTTATTTTATTTTTCCTTTCAAGAATCTGATATTAGAATTAAAACTCCCATCTTCTCAGAAAAGTGACTTACTAGGACTCAAAGCTAATAAGTGGCAGAGCCATGTGATTCCAGCCCAAGTGCACCTGGCTCCAGGAATATCCTACCTTTTCTTGAGCTCTTTCTGTGTACGCCAAACCATTTATCATACATATACCTGTTTCCTTTAACCCCTAAAGCCCCTCAAATCTACTTAGTTTACTCAAATCATTGTGCTACCATTAAATATGCAAATGTGAAAAATATGTATGATAGAGAAACAGAAGAACAAAAACAGACTCCTTCAGACTCCTTGGTGCCACGAGGCAATTACTGGAGATGTTCTCAATTTGGCATTCATAAGTTCTCAATTTTGGCATTCATAAGTAGGAGAAGAAATGACCTTAAATCCCAAGATACCTTGCATAATAAAAAAATGTGGGTTACTTCTGTTTTACCCACTACCAAAGATCCTCAAGGCCAGCTTATACATAAACTCCCTCTTTGGCTAAAGCTCCAGCAGGTTCTACAGTCATTAAATGCTCTGCCGTCAATAAGAGGAGGCTTTCTTCTCCCACAGCCACAGACGTTTAAAGGCTCCAAAGATTCGTGTTTCAGGCAGAGAACAGTCCTCCTCTAAGATCATACTGTTTTGTGATCTGGGATAAAAGAAACGACAAAGAAATAAAACAAATGGTGGGCTGTGATTTTAAAGATAAACACTGTATCATGACCCTTCTTAGAACCTAAGTCTGTATTTGGGTTGGCTGTATCTCCAAAACACAGGCAACAGACTTCCAGGACCCACTCAAAACACTCGCAGCAACCAGGTAGCTCAGACCTCATGGGAAAGCTCTGATTCCAGAGCCATGTATCCTAAATAAAGGTTTGCTTCCAGGGTGGTAGCATAAGTTAGTGGTTAAAGGCACAGATTTCAGAGCCAGACTGCCTAGGTTCAGCACTGCCATGTGAATTGCCTCGTCTTGGGCAAGTTACTTTCTCTATGCTTTGATTTTCTCATCTGTAAAATGAGGACAGCAGTATCTACTAGTTCACAGTGTGACTGTGAGGATTACAGGAATTCATGATAGGGTCTTGTACAGAGTAAGTGCTATAAGTGTTGGCCATGGTTTATTAAACCTAACATACCCCAGATAGGTGGGTTCTTCAGAAGACTCCAGAGCCAAGAACAGTGATGCTGCTGTCACCATCATTAAGCTCTTTCAACAGAAGCCAATCATTGTCCCCGCCGCCCCCACATGCACGGAGTATTTGTGTGTACACAAACTGCTGCTTATCTATGCATCTTGCAGCAGAAAGGAGGGTGGAAAGTGGAGAACAGGGTCTCAAATTCATACCAGAAGGTCCCTTAAGAATCAAGTTTCAATGAACCTGAACAGGAAAGATAATTTTTAAAAGATACCCCCCCCCCCGCCCACACACACACACAAGCCTAAGATACTGCTTTACAGAGTCTTACCTAGTATTTAATTTGACTTGTATAAAGGTACTTTATGTAAAATAACTAAACTTTACATTCTCAACAGCCAGCTCTTAATGCTTTTATAATTGTCATGAGTTTTCTATATTGCTATTTTCAGTAAAACTAGGACTCTGAAGTAAGACCCTAAAGACAGATGTCTAACGTTTTCCACCTCCAAGTCTTTAAGCAAAACAAGAGAAAATCGTATTAGAAAGACATATCTAATGATTATAACTTGCTACTTCCTCTATAAAACCTCCTTAGCCTACTTTTTGAGAGTATTATGGCATGACCAGGCACAGTGGCATGTGCCTGTAGCCCCAGCTACGCAGGAAGCTGAGCCAGGAGGATCGTTTGAGCCCAAGAGTTGGAGGCCAGCCTGGGTAACACAGCAAGACCCCATCTCTAAAAAAAGGAGTGGTGGTGGGGGAAGAGAGAGAGAGGGAGAGAGAGAAAATGAATGAATATGAATTATGCTTGGAAGCTTGTTTTTACAGATATTATGTTGGGGGTTTGGGGACTGGGTTATACTTAATTCCATGACCTTAGGGGTAAACAGCATAATTATTTTATTGATGTTCTCTCTCCTTCATCTCTTCTTTAAAACTGTCACCAAATTCTGGTTTTTTTTTTTTTTTTTTTTTGGCTTGGTGGTTTCTCTCCAGATTGACCCTTCCTTGCTATCCTCAGGGCCATCTATCTTAATCCACATCCTCATTTCCTATCTCACCTATAGCAAGGGCAACAGTTTAACTGGGTTTCCTTGTTTTCAGTGTTCTATTCCTTCCATCTAGTCTATAGGAAGTCATTACACTGATCTTCTAAACTCCCACTTCCATCACACTAAAACACTGCTTAAGATGTTCAACGATTCTTCCTTTAATAAAGAGATTGGATTCCTCCCCTTGCTGGTACTTAAGCCCTGAGTAATTTTTCCTATTCAACTTCCAATGTCTTCCTCCTTCCTTCACCATCCACCAAGTGGATCTCAGCACTGTGGTACATGAACATATTTCTGGACTTTCTGTTTCACCTCAACACTTACACCATTCCCTTCCGGACACAGCATCTCAAGGCCTCTGTCATATCCAAATCCTACCATTCCTTCAAGATCTCTTCCATGAGGCCTTTCCAAAGGACTTCTTCTCCTTCCTGATCCATTTTGGCTCTTATATATACTGTTAGGTGGGTTCCTCTTTGTTTTATCATCTTTGCTGGGTTTTTTACTAGTTACTGAAAGCATTCACTTTCTCAGGTACCATACAACACTCAGCACAGAACGCGCAGTATCACTGAGCAGCAAATACCTATATACGAACCCAATTTCTCTATGTCATAACCCAGTATATTACAAATTCTGAATGAGACATCCAAGAAAGAAATACATGTTTACCAATATATACATACTTATGTATGTGCACATATACATGCACACACCTAATTAAAACAAAAGTTTTGTAAAATACTACTTATCTTTACTACACACAATGTAACTGTATTTACAGCTACCTAATTTTCTGGACAACTGGATATTAGAAATTATAATTACCTTTGTTAATTTTATTATGTAGAAAAAGTCCTTGTTTGCAGATACATATTAGAAACAAAGTGCCCTGGCCGGGCGCGGTGGCTCATGACTGTAATCCCAACACTTTGGGAGGCTGAGGCGGGCAGATCACTTGAGGCCAGGCTTTCGAGACCAGGCTGGCCAACATGGTGAAAGCCCATCTCTACCAAAAATACAAAAATTAGCTGGGCATGATGGTAGATGCCTGTAATCCCAGCTACTCAGGGGATTGCTGAGGCATGAGAATCACTTGAACCTGGGAGGCGGAGATTGCAGTGACCCGAGATCATGCCATTACACTCACTACACTCCAGCCTGGGCAACAGAGTGAGGCTGTGTCTCAAAAAACAAAAAAGAAGGCTGGGCGCAGTGACTCATTCCTGTAATCCCAACATTGTGGGGGGGCGAGGTGGGTGGATCACATGAGGTCAGGAGTTTGAGACCAGCCTGGCCAACCCTATCTCTACTAAAAAATTGGCTGAGCATGGTGGTGCACACCTGTAATGCCAGCTAATTGGGGAGGTTGAGACAGGAGAATTGCTTGAACCCGGGAGGCAGAGGTTGCAGTGAACCAAGATTATGCCACTGCACTCCAGCCTGGGTGACAGAGTGAGACCTGGTCTCAAAAAAAAAAAAAAAAAAAAAAAAAAAAGAGAAGAAAAAAGAAAGGGACCTGGTGTCTGTATATCACTTACTTTTAACAGGTTACAAACACAAACAAAGAAAATAAGAACATTTTAAATTGTTGAATCTGGGTAAGGTAGATGAGTATTTGCTGTGATGTTCCTTCTGCTTTTCCATATAAGAATATAAAGTGATAGTTGTTACTCATCAAATTTATTTCATGACCATAATCCTGTTTGAAAAACAGTGTGTTATAATTAGAAAAAAGACAAGCCACTTGTCCCTGTGTTTGTTAATCATACTTAAGGAAGGCTCTAACATTCTGAAGAACGTTCTGTGGTTACTTCCTGGCCTATAAAGGATTTAATGTTCCATTGCTGAGTCTACTAATCTCTCCTTCAAAATCCTTTCTACAAAACTTCTGTGAATCATTACGACCTTAGCAGAAAGGTATAAGATTAGGGATTGGTTTTTTAGTTGCAGAGATCACAGACTCAGAACTTACCCTAAGACCTCGCATACTGAGAACAATCCTTGTGGTTTTCACAGGGCTTTAAAATAACTAAATCTAGGAACATCAAAAGTTTAAGACAGTGCGCTAAAGCTGAAAGTACCATAGCAAACATGTGCACTGGTTACATTTTCCCCTTCCTTTTCCTTTAAGAATAGGTTTTAATAAAAGACGAAGTTCCATGAACGGTCAGTAACATCTCATTTAATTGACACTAAGGGAAGTATTCTAGATGAGTGAATGAAACTTGTAGATAACTGAAACTCCAAGTCTTGCTAATTAGAGATTTCTAGATTTTCTTCTTTCTTTTAATTTCTTTTAGAGACAAGGTCTTGCTCTGTTGCCCAGGCTGGCTTCCAACTCCGGGGCTCCAGTGATCTTCCTCAGCATCCCAAGTAACCGAGGCTACAGGAGTGCACCATCATGCCCAGGTGGATTTCTAAATTTCCAAGATTGTTTTCCTGTTGACTATGGACATCCACATAATCAAGTTTGAATTGTGACACAGCAACAGTGACCTCAAGAAGACAACTGAACTAGATCACTCGGGGGACCTGGGATCCAATTAACCTTAGGTCCTCGTAAAGAAGCAAGGTGGCTGAACTCTGCAAACTCTAAGGGCCTTGCAGCTCTCATATGCAGCAGTTCTGTTACTATTAGGTCTGTAAGGCTGGCATCCTGCACGCAAAATGCCAATAGCCTTGTTCATAAAATTATTAGCACAGACCAACTGACACAAACTGAGTATTACTCTTTATAATGAATCTTATTTTTTATTTTTTTGAGACAGAGTCTTGCTCTGTCACCCAGGCTGGAGTGCAGTGGCGCAATCTCGGTTCACCGCAACCTCTGCCTCCCAGGCTCAAACAATTCTCATGCCTCAGCTTCCCGAGTACCTGGGATTACAGACGTGCACCACCACGCCTGGCTAATTTTTTTATTTTTAGTAGAGATGGGGTTTTGCCATCTTGTATTTTAGTACAGACGGGGTTTTGCCATCTTGGCCAGGGTGGTCTTGAACTCCTGGCCTCATGTGATCTGCCTGCCTTGGTCTCCCAAAATGCTGGTATTATGGGCATGAGCCATCCCTTTATAATGAATCTTATTTACCAAAATAAAATTTAATAAGCAACAAGTCGTTAAAAACCATATGCAACAAAAGGAATGAAAAATTGTTCAACACACAACCCAGACAAATCTCACGTGTGTAATACTTAATGAAAGAAGCCACACACAAAAATGTGATGGTGTATGATTAGCGTGCTGCGGAGGTGAGAAGAGTGGTTACCCTTTGCGGGGAAGTAGGGGTACGGAGAATGATTCACCAGTAGGTGGCACCAGGGAGCACTGGGGTGCTAACAACATTGATCCAGGTGGCAGTCACTCAGGACATACACATAGGTAAAAATTATCCAACTGTACATTTAAGATGTATACACTTTACTGTAAGTGAAACCTCAAAAAAGTAATAAGATGCAAAAAAACTTAGATAACAAAAATGCAGGAGCTGTCAAAACTATTATCTTTATAGTACCTGTAACATTACAAATGCACAATGAATAAATGTTAACATACAGTATTGCTCAATTCTAGCAAGAAAAAAAACCACTTAAATTTCATTAGCATGTCAACCTGTAATGCATTTTGTCAGCTCTTTAACATTTTTAAAGTTTCCCAAACTTTCATGACACTGTCTCATAAATATTTGTTTTTAGAATACTAAAGAGCCAATGAAAAAGAGCAGAAATCCACACGTGTACTACTAGCAAGGCATTAATATCTGTGGTTTAACTGAATACATCAGATTTAGACATAAAAATATGCAATTTAGAATTCTGCAAAATGCAGCAAAATCCTAATACCATGTTGATCCAGATTGCTAATGCCTTGTTTTATTACATAATAGTCATTTAGAAAGCCAATGTTTCTCAATGAGGCTGAATTTAACTAAAAGCACACAAAGTACAATTAGGGCTTGCTTACTTAGACCAAATTGTTTTTATGATAGCTAATGGAACTGATTAATTTAGGTTGCAAACCAAGCCCCCTAAAATACAGAATTGCTACTTGAAAATGTTTTTCTGGGCATCTTTTGTGAACTAAGTCCTGTGCTGAAAGAACTGGAGTCAGAGAAATATGATAAGCTCTGCCCTAAGAGGTCACTCTTGGGGCAGGGAGGCGTACAGAATTAAAAAATGTAACAAGGCCAGGCACAGTGGCTCACTCCTGTAATCCCAGCACTCTGGGGACCGAGGCAGGAGGATTACTTGAACCCAGCAGTTTGAGACCAGCTAGGGCACAATAGTGAGACCCCATCTCTACCAAAAAAAAAAAAAAAAAATGCTGCGTGTGGTAGTGTCTGTGGTCCCAGCTACTTGAGAGGCTGAGGTGGGAGGATTTCTTGAGCCTAAGAGGTCAAGTCTGCAGTGGGCCATGATTGTGCCATTGCACTTCAGCCTAAGTGACAGAGTGAGACTTCATCTCAAAAAAAAAAAAAAAAAAAAAGAAGTAATAAGTACTATAGGAACCAAGGGGAGGAAATAAGCAGGGGGCTTCAATGAGAAGCTTCTGAGAAGGTGATAATTGACTTAGAGGCAGCTCAAAAATCTGCTGAGAGCCTAGCAAGGAGCACATTGTATCTGCAGAAGGAAAAACTAGAATATGTATTTAGGAAACTAAAAGTTGGAGTGTCTAAAATTGAGAATGGCTAAATGGGTCATTCTAAATCAAGGCATGATTGAGGGCTGGGGTGAAAAAGAGGTGCATGGCAAGCATTCCTAAAGGGAGGCGGCACAAGGCTCAGAAGAACACCGACAACCTGCAACAGGCTCTGCAAACCATGCTAGGCTAGACACCTGACCATGCAGACAAGGGGAAGCCAGGAATTTTAAAGCAGGTGGTGTTTTTATAATCATGAAAATAAAATACGGAGACATAGAGAATTTGGAATATCAAAAAGAAAAGGAGGCTTATCTTAAATACAGATACTGTTTAGGTTCTTATTAATTTTTTAAAAATACAGCACTGTGACTATACTACACAGAGGGATTTTGGATTTAGTTCAGGTCACATAAGAATGGTTCATTCATGAATCTGTGTAATTGGTCATGACATGCGTATACACTTGTTGCATACCAACATTAAGTAAGCGTCTATCTGGGATGCTGGGATCATGTAATTTGGACTTTTCCTTTTTTTAAGCATCATTTGAAGCTAAGGATAGCTGAGTTCTTACCTAAAAGAACACTGTCCATCACATATGGAAAATCAGGCATTTTGCCTCATAAATACACAATTCATAATTTATTCCATCTCCACTCATCTCTCTTCTACAGGCTCAATACTATTCAAACTCCAATTATTATCACAGCCTTGGTACTTTCCATCGGGGGCTAGATAAAGAAGAGCAAAGTTTTCACCTACGATGAACAAAATGGCAGGACTTAAAGATGACTTTCCTGAAGAGTGCAATGCCTTCTGTCTTTTATTTATGGACTGAAAAGAGAAATCCCTCAATGTACACGGCAAATCACATTCCCCTCACTCTAAGCCATACTTACGGAAGACATCCCAGATTCTCCTGAATGCAGGAAAGTACCACGGTTACACCAATCTACTCCGTCAAACCAGGTACTAACTATGACTAAAATTATATGTGGAAAAAAAAAATCCAAATGAGATTAGTAACAGAAAACAAACAAACAAACAAAAAAACAAGTATGTGTGTAGGGGGGTGGATAGAAGGCAGTCTTGAAAGCGTCAATGCTAGACGCTTTTTTTCTCTTTACTGGGAATTGCAATCAACCAAACCATGGGTCTGTACCTGACCTAGAGCCTTTAACAATGCAACAAGACTGTGAGAACTCTCACTCAGGGACACCTGCTCTTAGCCTATTATGGAACTACTGCCTGTGTGCAGAAGTATCATTTGGAAACATGAATTTTATGCTCAAAGGGTAAAATGCCCAAGAGGCTTTACTCATGCCAAGTTCCCTAAGAACCATGGGGCTTCTTTTTGCCTTGGGAAAGGAGGTGAACTTTTTTCTTATTCTTTTTTTTTTTTTTTTGAGACAATCTCGCTCTGTCACCCAGGCTGGAGTGCAGTGGGGTGATCTCAGCTCACTGTAACCTCTGCCTCCCAGGTTCAAGTGATTCTCCTGTCTCAGCCTCCTGAGTATGTGGGACTACAGGTGTACACCACCATGCCTGGCTAATTTTTGTATTTTTAGTAGAGATGGGTATCGGGGGAACCAGCCCCAATATTTCAAAGTAGGTTCTATTTTCCCTAAGTGTCAGCCGGTCTGAGAAATAAAGAGAAAGAGTACAAAGAGAGGAATTTTACAGCTGGGCCTCTGGGGGTGACATCACATATTGGTAGGACCGTGATGACCCCGAGCTGCAAAACCAGCAAGTTTTTATTAGGGATTTTAAAAGGGGAGGGGGTGTACGAACAGGGCGTAGGTCACAAAGATCACATGCTTCAAAGGGCAATAAAGATCACAAGACAAAGGCAAAATTAGAATTACTGATGAGGGTCTATGTCCTGCTGTGCACGTACTGTCTTGATAAACATCTTAACAGGAAACAGGTGAGAGCAGAGAATTGGTCTGACCAAAATTTACCAGGCTGGAATTTCCCAATCCTAGTAAGCCTGAGGGTACTGCAGGAGACCAAGGTGTATTTCAGTCCTTATCTAAATTGCATAAGACAGACACTCCCAGAGTGGCCGTTTACAGACCTCCCCCCAGGAATGCATTCCTTCCGCACGGTATTCCTTGCTGGGAAAATAATTCAGCGATACCCTCTTACTTGCACATCCATTTATAGGCTCTCTGCAAGAAGAAAACTATGGCTCTATTCTGCCTGACCCCGCAGGCAGTCAGAACTTATGGTTATCTTCCCTTATTCCCTGAAAATCACTGTTATTCTGTTCTTTGTCAAGGTGCACTGATTTCATATTGTTCAAACACACGTTTTACAATCTATTGTACAATAGTGGTCCTGAGGTGACATACATTCTCAGCTTATGAAGATAACGGGATTAAGAGATTAAAGACAGGCATAAGAAATTACAAGAGTATTATTACAGAAGTGATAAATGTCCATGAAACCCTCACAATTTATGTTCAGAGATTGCAGTAAAGACAGGCATAAGAAATTATAAAAGTATTAATTTTGGGAACTTATAAATGTCCATGAAATCTTCACAATTTATGTTCTGCCCATGGTTCCAGGCGGTCTCTCCATTCGGGGTCCCTGACTTCCCGCAACAGATGGGGTTTCACCATGTTGGCCAGGCTGGTCTTGAACTGCTGACCTCAAGTGATCTTCCCACCTCAGCCTCCCAAAGTGCTGGGATTACAGGCATGAGCCACCGTGCCCAGCCTGAAAGAAGGTGAACTTAATTAGATGCCAAGGATTGCTAACTACATAACAGTATTTACAATGTGGTACCCTTGATTAATCTGACTCAGTCCACCTACCTTAATCAGCATTTCGAAATGTTAGGGGACCATCTGTTCATGAACTGAGAACATTATGAAGTCTCTCATTCAACTCAGGATATCACCCTGAACTTGATGAACTAAAATTTATTTGATTTCTATACTTTAATGACTCTGATGTCATTCATTGCTTTCAATGTTATGACTGATGTTTTAATAAGGCCATTGTAAATATACCATAAGTACCACAATCTCTGTGTCAGAGAAACACTTTGCTTGATTGCTTTTCTTCCTGGATAAACATGTAGTGAACAATCAGTGAATATATACTTCATATTATAGGATTGACTCAAAGAGTTCAATAATATCTAATCAGAGGCAAGGGTATGTTTATTAAGGGACACATCCTTCAAAGGAATCAAACTTTATATATAAACAGAGGTAAAGTGACAAGCGTAATTAGACAAGAATTAAAAGACAAACAGATTTGGGTAACATCATTTATTTTCCACTTATATAGCATCTTTCATTAAAAATGTCAATAAATCTTTCCAACTGTTCTTGTTCCCACCTAGGATATGATGATCTGAAAGTCTTACACATCTGTTCTGAATTTCACACTCCATAACTGACAGCTATTCAGTCTTTGGGACTCATCACTCAATCTCCCCTCTCCCTTGCCTCCCACATACTCTAACATCAGACCTTTTTGCTCCCTCCAACACCTGACACCTGCCTGGTCTAGGTCTGTTACACTGCACACCTGGACCATGCAGCAATCTAACTCCTCTCTCTCCAGGTTGATCCTCTCAGTGGTCACCACCGTAGACTGGCTACAGGATGAGGTTTAAACTCCTGAAGCCGGAAGCCAAAGTCCTCATTATCTTGACTCAAACCTGTCTCTGTCCAGATCCTGTACTCTCAGCCTCTTAGCTGGACCACATAGTTGGATCCAGGTGAACTCTGTCCAGCTCAAGCAGAGCATGCCAAGGTCATT
Organism: Homo sapiens; assembly: GCF_000001405.40. Taxonomy (NCBI): domain Eukaryota; kingdom Metazoa; phylum Chordata; class Mammalia; order Primates; family Hominidae; genus Homo; species Homo sapiens. The sequence goes on from NC_000012.12 coordinate 94,608,761, forward strand.
TTACCTAACTCACTTCACCCTTTATTCAGGAGTGCCACATGTATGTAGACGTTACTGTGCCTTCCACCTCCACCATCTACTCTGCGCCTGTATGTGCACATCAGCATGACAGATGTTTGACACATTTTATTTCTAGTTCTCACCTCATTATACTAGTTATGTTTAGTGTATCAAACATATCAAGGAATTTGGGCCAGGCGCTGTGGCCCATACCTGTAATCCCAGCACTCTGGCTTGAGCCCAGGAGTTCGAGACCAGCCTGGACAACTAAGCAAGACGACCCCTGATGCCCTCCAGTCTCTACAAAAAATTTAAAAATTAGCTGGGTGTGGTGGCATGCACCTGTAGTCTCAGCTACACAGAAGGCTCAGGCAGGAAGATCCCTTGAGCCCAGGAGTTCGAGGTTGCAGTGAGCTATGATCACACCACTACACACCAGCCTGGGTGACAGAGTGAGACTGTTGTCTCCAAAATTAAAAAAAGAAAAAGAAAAAAGAAATCAAGGAATTTGACAAGGTCACAAACTAGGGAGTAGCAAGCCAGGGTTTGAACCCAGGTGTGATTCAACAGCCTGTGTTCTTTCTAAAACCTGGGGCATCCTCATCCCCAGCTCCCTATTTACCAAAACCCAGAGGTTCCTTCAGAGTCTGCTCAATTTCACCTCTCCCACACAGTCACTTCTGATCACCCCAAGTCCAGTAATCAGTGGTTACTCAGAACTTCTGCTGCTCTGACCTCATATTCTTAGCAACTTGATTTTTTGCAGCCCCAGAGCCTCATATTAACAGTCTCTTGAACACAGCAGGCACTCAACTATCTTACCTGAGTGATTTTGCTATTTTCATATTATTTTCTATGGGTAAAATTATGTATCAGGTAAGATAACTTCAGTAACTGAATAAAATCAGTTTCAATAATAAGGGCACATCTATGGTCTCCTAAACTAAGAACAGAGGGCAGGGCTAATTCAACGGCTTACAGATATCAAAGACCCAATCGCTCTCCATTTTTTCACTACACTATCCTCGGGCCATTTGCTTCTGCTCACATGGAGGCAAGAGAGCTACTGTAGTTCCAGAAATCACGTGTAGACAGTTTCTGGCTATAGATGAGGATACTTATCTTCTTTCATATTTTATTAGGAAGGAAAACATTTTCCAGAAGCTCCTCAGGGGTCCCTTTGGCCGGGGCTGAGTCCCATGTCCATGCCCTAGTTGCAAGGGAGGCTGGGGAGGCAGCAGATAACATTTTCGGCCTCCACTCCAGGAACAGGCTCTGCCAGCCAGGGAGAAAGGGAAGGAAAAGAGTGTTTGGAAAGGCACTCCACAGGGTTTGCAAACACCACCTCGAATGGATATTATGCAACGACCTACTCTGTATAAGGAAAACTCCCCCATCCAAATAGATTATCATTAGAAAGCCTTGCTAATCAGGTTACAAACAAATAATCCAGTTACCATAGAGTGTATTTGCACTGGAGGTAGAAGAAAGGGAATCGGAACCTTCTTTAGCCACCAAGTGTAAATACATTCCTTTTCCCCAGTGTTTTGGTTACATATCATAATCTCCTTCACCATCATGATCACCACAAGGAAAGAAGGGCTAGGAAGAAAAAACCATCTAGCCCTTTTGGGCTTCCATATAGTTCTGAAAACACCTTAAGGCAGGCAAAAAAAAAAAAAATTTTTTTTTCAAGAGATATAAAGAACAGAAATGGAGATGAAAATATTTACAAGTCTTCTGCCTCTTTCTCTGATTCTTCTATGCTGCTTCTAAAAAAATGATAGTCTGCCACCCCTACCACCACCACCACCACCAACCACCCCATCTGCTGCCAATTCTGCAAACAGCATAGACATCCATCAATAGAGAACCTCTTTTTAAAATTCTAGTACAATGGGAAATGATGCAGCCACTAAAATGGAAACGGATCTGAATGGGCTACCATGGGAAGCTATTCAATCTAAACTGTTAAGAGAGAAAAGCAAGACGCAGGGCTATGCCTACTGTGCACGCTCATCTGTGCTTAAACGAGGGGTGGAGGGATTTATGATAGATATGTACAATTGTATACTCTATGTGTATGAACATTTCTAGAAGCTGTCTTAAGAACTGTGGATGGTAGTTACCTCTGGGGAATAGGACTGGGAATCTGCAGACACAGATACTTTTTGTTTTATATTATCTTTTTGAGAGAGTAATTCATCTTATTTTCATATTAAAAAAAAATCCCCAGTGCCTGAATTTCAAAGTGAGACTAATATGCAAATACCTGCAAAATTTCATTAGCACACTTAAGATACTTCCTTGTCTCCTCCAGTGACCTATGATTTTACTAACAGTAGCAAAATAAATAATCTATAGGATAGTAGGCATTTTTGTAACTCATCCTAACTGAATTTTGTTTATGTAATTACTTTTAGAAAAGTAACTCCCTACTGAAAAGAGAAATTTTAAATCCCATTTCCCAAGGAAATAAAACCATGGCTTAAAAGGTAGTTCTAAAACAAATTTTATGGGACTAAGCTGGAATTGCCAAGTCATAAATATAAGTTTTCAAGTAAAAGTCCCATTAAAATATTGAATACTAATGTTACATCTTTCTTAAATAACTTCATAAAATGCTGTCTTTTTAAGGGACCAATGCCACTGAAATATTTCTACTGAGAACTGGGTTGCCCAAGGCTCACAGCTTTGAATCTGTATTTCATGGGCAATGATGTTTTCCATAAAGACTCTTCACTGAGAATACTCATACAAGCAGACCATGGCAGTGTATGATAGGCGTATATATACAGTTGTCCCTTGGAATCCATGGGGGATTGGTTCTAGGACCTCCTGCAGATACCAAAATCTGCGAGTGTTCAAGTCCCTGATATAAAATGGTGTAGTATTTGCATATAATCTACATACATCCTCCTGTATACTTTAAATCATCTCCAGATTACTTATAATACCTAATACAATGTAAATGCTTGTAAATAGTTGTATTTTTTAGGGAATAATGACAAAAAAAAAAACACTCGGTACCTGTTCAGTACAGATGCAATTTTTCTTCCTAAATATTTTTGACCCCTGGTTGGTTGAATCCATGAATGTGAAATCCGTGGATGTGGAGGGCCAACTGTATATCCATTCATGGCAACTGAAGGGTCACAGAGTTCATCTAGAGACTGTTTACATATAGTTCATGTGATTCCTGAGGCTAGACTGTTTTACCTGTGATTCTCAGGTTTGGTGTTTTTGTTTGTTTTTTGAGACAGTGTCTTGCTCTATCAACCAGACTGGAGTGCAGTGGTGCAATCACAGCTCACTGCAGCCTTGATCTCCTGGGCTCAACTGATCCCCCTACTTCAGCCTCCTGAGTATCTGGGACTACAGGTGCACACCATCATGCTCGGCTAATTTTTGTATTTTTTTGTAGAGACGAGGTTTCACCATGTTGACCAGGCTGGTCTCGAACTCCTGGGTTTCAAGCAATCCGCCTGCCTTGGCCTCCTAAAGCTGGGATTACAGGCATGAGCCAGCGTGCCCAAATGGTTCTCAAGTTTATTTTATTTATTTTTTTTGAGATGGAGTCTCGCTCTGTCACCAGGCTGGAGTGCAGTGGTGCGATCTCGGCTCACTGCAATCTCCGCCTCCCGAGTCCAAGTGATTCTCCTGCCTCAGCCTCCCGAGTAGCTGAGACTACAGGTGCCCGCCACTACACTCGGCTAATTTTTTGTATTTTTGGTAGAGACGAGGTTTCACCATGTTGGCCAGGCTGGTCACGATCTCTTGACCTTGTGATCCACCCGCCTCGGCCCCCAAAGTGCTGGGATTACAGGCGTGAGCCACCGCACCTGGCCTCAAGTTTTAAAGTTTGGTTTTGTCCTTCAAAAATTGTTTCTACAGCTACAACTACAAAAAAGGAATAATGTTATCTCCTTAAGGTTAAAGTCAGTTTCTCAGAAGACAAAGCAAGACAGAATTACTTGCACTTTTAAAATTTTTTCAGTGGTTCTAGGATTCATTTTAAAATGAAGCAATGCTAAAAGCAGACTGCAAGGTATATTTGCAGTGTTTGATTTTAACTGATTCTTAAAACATTAAAAACTGTTTGGCATTTGAGCATGTGCATCCCCTAGAGACCCAGAAATTCCATTTGTAGGTTAGAGGAGCAAGTGCCCCTGTTAGGAGCACATTGAAAATATACACAGCAGCATCACTTGCAAAAGAAAAACAATAAAAGCAATAACAAAAGACAACCCACAAATAATCCAAAGCCTATGGGCAATAAAATGGAGAGATATATATACACGCACATTGGAGATATATATATATATACACACAATAAAATGGATACACACACACACACACACACACATTGTGTTTATTTGTACAGTGGAATGAAATAAACCAGAACTACAAGAATTAAAATGGGCCAGGCACAATGGCTCCCACCTGTAATCCCAGCACTTTGGGAGGCCGAGGCTGGTGGATCACATAAGCCCAGAGTTCGAGATCAACATGGGTAACATGATGAAATGCTGTCTCTACCAATAATAATAATAATAATAATTAGCCAGGCATGGTGGCACACACGTCTGTAGTTGCAGCTATTTGGAAAGCTGAGGCAAGAGGATGAGCCTGGGAGGTTGAAGCTGCAGTGAGCCAAGATCACGCCACTGCACTCCAGCCTGGGTGACAGAGCGAGACCCCGTCTCAAAAAGAATAAAATGATTAAATCTTAAAAGAAGCAAATCAAAGAACACATACTTTATGAATTCTACTTTATAAAGGTCAAACGCAGGCAAACTCTTTTTTAGGTATGAACACACATGTGATAAAAAGAGAAAAATCTTGAGAATAGTTAAACCTTATGGCAGCGATGACCTCTTGGGGGTGGGAAGGCTTGTGATGTAGGGATGCTCAATCAGGGAAGGTCACAGGGTCAAGTTCATCTCCTCACCCTGGGTATAACGTACAGGGGTGTTTCATGTATTTTTTAATGGAATATCTTCTTTGTATGATATTAGTTTACAAACATTTTAAAATAAAAACTATGGAGTAGGCCGGACGCAGTGGCTCATACCTGTAATCCTAGCACTTCAAGAGGCCGAGATGGGCGGATCACAAGGTCAGGAGATCGAGACCATCCTGGCTGACACGGTGAAACCCCATCTCTACTAAAAATACAAAAAAATTAGCCGGGCATGGTGGTGGGTGCCTGTGGTCCCAGCTACTCGGGAGGCTGAGGCAGGAGAATGGCGTGAACCTGGGAGGCGGAGCTTGTAGTGAGCCGAGGTTGCACCACTGCACTCCAGCCTGGGCGACAGAGTGAGACTCCATCTCCAGAAAAAAAAAAAAAAAAAAACTATGGAGTAAATTACACAGTAAAATAAAATGTGTGTGTGTGTTTGCTTAAGCTGTAGAATGAATGTCTTCTGTCAATCCTATTGCTTTATCTCTGGCTCTATACTTAACTCGTTGGGTAATAATGTTAAAATCTAAATTTGAGACCCTACTTAAATTGTGACCTGGTCTCAAAGGTCCTCGGGTCACCACTGCAATGATCTTCTTGGATCATTATCCTCACTGGTTACACACAGGAATGTGAAGCATGCAGTCAGGAGAAAGCCCTGTAATTGCCCCCAGGCCACAAGTAATCCCCCTGGAAGCAAAAACAACCTCCTCTCCATAAACTGACTAGAAAGGAACAGGTGGGAAGGACAGCAGAGGGGTGGCCAGCATTGTCAGGGTTTCTCCAGAATGGCCTGTCAACCAGGACAAGCCCTGTTCCCACATCTTTTTGAACAGCCTGGCACAGAAAGCAGCTCTGACTGTTTTACAAGCAGCACTCTTGCAGTTTGGGGAGCCATTTTCCCTTTTATTCCAATTGAAACTGTGTGCATCAAGCTCTGTCAACTGTTGCACTCACAGTGTTACGAGGCTATTGCATGATATGCTGTCGGAACAACTGGCCTCTCTGACTTTTTTCTTTTTTTAAACAACAGACAGATTTTTTTTTTTTTTTTTGGTTTGAGACAGAGTCTCACTCTGTCACCCAGGCTCGTGTGCAGTGGCGCGATCTCAGCTCACTGCAACCTCCACCTTCTGGGTTCAAGTAATTCTACCTCAGCCTCCCGAGTAGCTGGGATTACAGACGCTGCTACCACTCCCAGCTAATTTTTGTATTTTAAACAACAGAAATGTAACCTCCAAGACCCAAATGATCAAATGACAAGCAGCAAACTTTTCCAACTTTCCCTCCTCTCCCACCCCCAGGTGTTTTGGTTTCTGAAGACTGGGGATCACTATCAACAATGGGCAAACCTTTGCTACAGAACTGATTAGGACAAAACCACCTGAATTAATAAATGTGTGCAAATATTTTAATGTTCAGGGAAGGAAAGAAAGATTGCATTTTGTGTCAATATAGAGAAGTCTTCTATGACAAAGAGCCACAAGTGAACACAGATTTCCTGTGAGATCAAAGGCTCCCCCAGGCAGAAATCACATGAACCTGAGCCTTCACCACCCTATGGGGAATGAATCCCACACTATGGGGTGTCCAAGCATGGTCCGAGGAGGCCCAGTTCAGACGCACTCTCCATTTCCCCCATGGCTGCTTCCTCTCCCACAGCTCGAGGCAGCCACCACACCCTTCTTCCCCAACGTGGGCTGGGCAGCATCACACAAAGTCAGTTTTACAGAGTTTCAAGTTTCCAGGCAAAGGCAGGATGACTCAAAGATGCCCACTTGTCGAAAGACTAGATATTAAAGTACAAAGTTAGATTCCAACTCAGAGCCTGGTTAGACCCGGGGTTACTTTCGAACTCCCAGGGAGGTGGGAGGAGACCTGGCTCTTCTCCAGCCAGTAGCTGGCACAATCCAACCCAGATATTTGTCCATCTGTTAAATCACTCACACTGGACTGACATTTTTAAAAGGACATAACAATAAGGAGACTGGTGGTTCATTAGGCGTTTAGGCAGTTTAAGTATCTAGAAACCAACTGAGAAATTAGGGAGGGATTTGGGCAAGCACAAAGATAACTATTAAGAGCACAAAGACAAATTGCATTTCTTTCTGGCATCTCCCAGGATATTAAAGACCACAAAGCTCCACAATACATATTTACACACTCTGGCTGAAACGGAAGAGTTGTGAAGAGACTTACCAAGGGCCACACAGCAAACCCAGGAGCAGAGCAGGATCGGCAGCTAGCTCACCCTCCTGCCCGAGGCATTTGAATCTGCAAGGCAGGCAGGCTAGATATTCCAAACAGCACCTACCATATGACTCAGCCTGGACTTTGGAGATACTGCTCACATTATCTCGGGGTATTCCTGTGTTTGTCTCAGAGAAACTCCACGCCCTGCACTGTACCCAATACAAATGTCAGTAATAATGCACCGTATTCAACACATTGCTGTACAAATGGGCTCTTTGTGCAGTCAGCAGAAGAGATCCACATTCTATATCTTTGCAGGGAGGTCGACTAGAAGGGCGCCTGCTATCAATCACCCCGACTCTGGGATTGCAAGAGGACATTCAGTCTGGTACTCTCTCTTTACCAATAAGGAAATGGGCTCGGCTCAACAAACCTTGTTAGGCAGAGCAAATGCCAGCAGTGGACTGGGCACAGTAAACACCAATGTGATGAAGGCAGAGCAAAGGGGCCAGCCAGCACCAAGGGAAGGGAAGTGGCTTAAAGACAGTGAGCAGTCAGGAGACTCTCTGTTGATTCATTCATGAGACAGACACTTGCTGGGTGCCTCCTAGTGTCAGGCGCAGCGAGGCGTGCTGGGGAGGCAAAGGGGCATAGCCGCCTCCTGGCGTAGTGGCCGGGGGAGAGACACAATGACAGCCACTGATAAGTGTCAGGAGAGTACTTGGTGCTAAGCGAGCACTTGGAAGGAGCTGCTAAGGGGGAGATAAGAGGAAAGGGGGAGGGGAAAAAGTCAATGGAAAGCAGAAAGGCTTGTCAGAAGGTGAATCAGTTAGACAGAGAAGTAAAGATTTGGAGGACTTGGTGCAGTTGAAGACTGGGACAGCAGATGGGTCACACCCGGAGGGTCCCACTTAACTCATACAGAGGTGTTTGGGGTTCATCCTGTAGGTCCCTTGGCAGCCGCATAGAGGATTAGGATGATCACATCCTGTTTTAAACAAGTCCTTCTGAGAAAGCAAGATGGAAAATGCATTTCCATGGAGCCAACTGGAGCCTGGAGCCTGCTGCAGCAATCTATGGCAAGAGCTGGTGAAGGCTGGATGTAGGGTGGTCGTGAGAGGTCTATGAAGGAGGTGGAATGAGAGGACTTGCCACCACCTGGATGTGGGGGTGAAGGGACGAGTCAAGGAAAACCCCACTTCTGTTTCATTCCTTCTGGTAGCTAAGCTTATTCACAAGATAGGCAAGAGGAATTTTCAGCCTCAGACATGATAAACTTAAGGTTCCTATGGGACCTTCAAACACAGACGTCCTGATGAACAGAGAGAGAAAGGGACAGAGGAAACAGCACTGGAGCCCATTGGTGACAGCGCCTTAGGCAACTCTCTGAGGAGACAAGCATAGACAACCAGACCTAATCAAATCCCAGCTTCTGCCTCTTAGCAGCTATACGACCTGGGGCAAGTAAATTAACCTTTTTGGGACTCTGGTCTCACCTAAGGAAATTCCTTTTGGGATTTAATGAAATCAGAAAAGGACATGATGTCATGGCAAACAGAAGAGATTTAATATTTTCCTCTTGCCCTTTTGTGATCATATACTGCTTTGTATTATAATTGAGTACTTAACCTTTGCAGCAGATTATAAGTTTTCTTGCTGTCACTCATCTTTAAATCCCTTTTGACCATATTTGTAGGCACAGATTCTCAAATATTTGAATTGCCACAAGTCATATGAAAAACTAAGGCCAGACTGTTCTGGGGGACCAGGGGTTTCCTGCTTTTGACATTAAATAACAAATGCAAAGATCTCAAAATTGCTATGTGGCTTAAGTGGTGTTGATTTAACTCTGTGTTGGGGGTGGGATGGAGAGAAAAGGGCAGTGGGGTTTGGAAAAGAGGGAGAATTTTGTCAGCCTAATAAAGGCTAGTCAAAGCCTACTCTGTGAAAACTCTACTGTAATATTTAAGAGGAAGAGTGTCTATCAAAGTTAATATTGCATAGCCTCTATCCTCTGGCTCAGTTCAAGTAAAGGTCTTAAGTCATGTTAAATAATGAATTCCAGCAAATGGATCTTGCCTTAAACCAAATGTTAAGTCAATAGTACACTCCGTATATGAGACGTATATACTTTCTTTGCTAGGTCATTTTGCTAATTCTAACTCTTAAAATGAATATTTTAAAACTACAATAAGATTTTTAAAACCAGACTGACCAGTAAGGCATACATAATTCAGTTCCACAGAGCTAAGCTTGTTCATTTTTCTTCAGCGTTTGCCTTTAAATTTGGGATCTAACTTGTCTTTACCTATTTTTACGGCTGCCTTCCTAGTCTGAAAATATCTTGGTCACTAGATATTTTGTTTCATCTCCAGCTTAGCTCCTAAAATACATTCAGGATCACTTCTTCCTTCCCCCTTCTTCCCTGGTAGCTTCATATATTCCCATCCATTCACCCATAGCCCAGTTCAGTATACCTACCTCACATTCTGTGTCTCAGTCACAAATATCTTTTTTAAAAACCTGCCCAAGTTTCTAATACAGAATGATGTGGCAACTGCCTCAAAGCTCACTGTTTGGCTCATTTAATCATTTGGATTAAACGTAGACAATGATCCAATTCAGAGCTAATGGTCTTTAGGACTACTCTTATTCCTGGCTGTCTTCAACCTGGGCACATGTGACATGCCTCAAGCATGACCAGTTTGAGAGGACACTTTGGTCCCCAAGGGCCGAGGAAGAACAAGTTCCTCCTCGCTCACATATGTAGTCTGAACCTGAGGTTCTTGATTCTCTAGGATGTTTCTGAACTCTGGGTGGTTCCCATTAAACACACAATACACATCTCCATCCTTCTTAGCCAACCTCTAAGATTTTGACACCCCACTGACATATAGAACCAAGATACCTTCCAGTTCTTCTCTGCCTTGAATAGACTTGAACTTCCCAGCTGTGAATAGACTCAACTTTTTGTCGTGTCTACAAGATGCTCTCCTACCCCACTGCCAATAGGGGGAAAAATGAAAGCAGACAGATGGCCACATTAGATGGAATCTGCCATTGAGGTGGCAACTTCCCCATGGCACCCAGCCCGTGGTCTACTTGAGTTATTCCTCAGACACTGACGAGAGGTGCAGAGTCTCAGGGAGAGACTACTGAGACGTAATCCTTTCCCTTTAAACATGACTTTGACATATGCATTACACACACTTACACACGTCTGACTCCACCATGACTCACACTGGAGGTGGTGTTTAAAATGAACAGCATCTCCGTGCTATTATGATGCTTCACTCAAAATTGCTTTACGGCTTCTACTACAGGAGCAGGTCACATCCAGGAAATGGTTTGCCTGATCTAGAGCAGGATTTTCTCACTATTACCTTATGCCCCAGGGCTGCCTTACTTTCTTCAAAACCCAGATCAGGACCTGCAACCTATGACCCAAAGCACTCTCCTTGTAAATTCAGGATTCCCTACTAAGCCAGTCCCTAGCTTTTTCTCTCTCTGAACTCTTTAAACACCTTTTACATTCTCCTCTTTCTCATAGCTCATGTCATTCCTCCAGGCAGAGGCCCCTGAGTTTCCTGTGGTTAGTAGACATGGATAGCTGCCTGCTGCATCAGACTCAGCTGAGCCCAGGAATCCTTCTGAAAATAAAAGATTTATCCTACAAATTGGTGCAACCTTTGGGAGGACAATGTGTTTGCCTCTATTCTCATTTAAAAGGCACATGCCCTTTGACCTAACAGTTTTGCTTTTGGAAATTTATCTAAATATGGTTATAGAGAAAAATGTACACAAGTTTTCAATACAGTATTACAAAGCAAAAGAAACATGAAAAAACATCATCCTGGGAGGAACTTAAATCGCATATCAATAGGCGACTGGTTAAATAAATAATAGATATGTATATTTTGTGTCAAGACTATTTCTGTAAAGACACATAAGAAACATAACATTGCAGCCAGGCGCAGTAGCTCACGCCTATAGTCCCAACACTTCAGGAGGCCGAGGCAGGTGGATAACCTGAGGTCGGGAGTTCGAGACCAGCTTGACCAACATGGAGAAACCCTGTCTCTACTAAAAATGCAAAATTAGCTGGGCGTGGTGGCGGGTGCATGTAATCACAGCTACTGGGGAGGCTGAGGCAGAAGAATCGCTTGAACCCGGAAGGCGGAGGTTGCGGCGAGCCAAGATAGTGCCATTGCACTCCAGCCTGGGCAACAAAAGCGAGACTGTCTCAAGAAAAAAAAAGAAACATAACATTATTATCATTGCTATCTCTGGGGAAAAGGACAAGAAGCTGGAAAAAGACACTTTAATTTTGCTTTAAGCCCTTTAGTACTGTGGAAATTTTTTTTTTTTAATAATTATTATTTTTTTTTTGAGACAGAGTCTTGCTCTGTCGCCCAGGCTGGAGTGTAATGGCGCGATCTCGGCTCACTGCAACCTTCGCCTCCCAAGTTTAAGCGGTTCTCCTGCCTCAGCCTCCCGAGTAGCTGGGATCACAGGAGCCCACCACCATGCCCAGCTAATTTTTGTATTTTTAGTAGAGACAGGGTTTCACCATGTTGGCCAGGCTAGTCTTGAACTCCTGACCTCAGGTGATCCATCTGCCTCGGCCTCCCAAAGTGCTGGGATTACAGGCATGAGCTACTGTGCAGGGCCTGTGGAATTTTTTTTTTTTCAAATGAATTCACACTTAAGCTACTTAATAGAAAAAAATGTGAACCTTTATCATTTAGAGCTACTAAACACTTCATTAAACAATATCACTTAATCTTTGCTAAACACGAACTAGAAAAACTAGGCACAAATAGAAACTGTATAGACCAGATATACATTAGAATGGGTCTGCTTTAGCAGTTAATGGTTTAATCATTAACCAGGTCAGGGTATTTTTCTCTAAGGCACTTTATGTGTTGCTGACTCTTCTACAATCTAAGTGGCTCAATGTAAACCATTCCCCTTGTGCTAAACATGCGTGTTTATACTTAAAGTCGATTTCACTGAGGAAATTAGGGTAGGGTCAGTTTGTAAGGTTTTGCCCTAAACCTTAAAAAGAACACAAAATCCTTCAGGTCTTAAGCAAGATTGATGCCCAGGCCCTATGAAGGACACATTGAATCTTCTGTATATTTTTTAACAAGCTCCACAGGTAATTTGGATGTGGCTGGCATTGCCTCGTGCACACCTAAAGTAACCATGCTTAGAAAACGCTGTGTTATCCAAAAGAAACACAGCACAGAGAATTCTATGAACAAACTATTGCAGTACTCTAAGATTTTAAAATAAGTAACTTTCTCAAACACTGATATGGGGTTTAGAGTTAACACTGCGGGTAAGCAAACCCACCAGGCTCTCTCAGTTGACACAGCTCTTCTGGCTCCTTCGAGGAAGTGAGGACCAGTATGTGGAAGAGCCTTTGGGGCTGGTGTTTCTCAAGCTACAGCTTCAGGCAATCTCAGGGACAGAACCTGGACTGTGCATCTGACAGCCGCCTTTCTACCTCCCACCTCCACCCCATTCTTATGTCCAAGTAGTTTGAAACTATTGAGCTAGATCAGTATATCCCGAACACCAAATTGTTAAGAGTGGATGGAGCCCCAGTGATCTTTCCCACTCCCCAGACCAGTGAATCAGGAAATCTCTACTGGAGGTTCTGCAGTACCCCAGGTTCTTTATCTAAACAGGAAAGTTAGGAAACACCAATTTAGGTCAAACTCATTTTAAGATAAGGAAATCAAGGCCCAAGAAGTTTAAGTGATTTCACCAAGGACTTATAGCTGATTAATGATAGCTGGGAGCTGTGAAACCTGGTGAGCTAATTCTTCCCTCTTAGACCAATACTGCTTGTTATATTATGTGTAATCATGAGAGCCCCAGTATCTGTGCAGTTTCTGATTCACCAGGAAGAGGCCCCAAGTGATTAATAAAGCCTGAACCCAGGGGCATGTCAGAACGCACCACTGGTTTAAAGGATGACTGACATGGTAAAGTGTCCAACGTCAACCTGCCCTCGGAATTCTTTCACTTTCAGTATCAGTAGGAGAAATATACAATTGTACATTTCATAGAAAAGTAAACCCAGCCCCACACAGTTAACAACCAGGTGAAGCGGGAACACAGGACAATTCAAAGTTTTCGGATCACACCATTTCTTGGTCAAATATTAGTACCTTCAGCAAAAGACCTCTAATTACCACACACTTTTGGTTATGGCAACAGCCTGCTCCTTACTTTTGGGAGAGAGGAGTACTCCACACCCATGGCCTGAAACCAGGATCTCCAAACCCATCAAAGAGAAACATGGATGGGAAACCAAACCCCCCAAGCTTGGAAAGCATCCAGCAAGCTTTAATTCAGGGAGAGTTCAATCGAGATATAATTGCCTCTAATTGGCCCTCCCACACGATCTCACAACATACAGCTATAATCAGTTCCACAAAGAATATGTTATATTTCTTTTCTCCCTTGAAAAGCCAGAATCCTCTCTTGTTAGGTACTTACCATCACTGTTTTGATTTTTGTAAATATACCGAGACATTAAAAAAGGAAGAATGAATGGGTAAAAGCAAAGAAGTAGATGGATTTCTTTTTTAAAATAAGCACTGATCCCTATGACCTTAATGATAACCCAGTGCGATTCAAATCTGTAATGGAGACTGATGTCGACTCAGGAAACCTTTCTAGTCCAGGGCACATGTGATCCAAAAAACACATTCATCTGGTCGGACATTTTCCATACTCTGATTTTTATCTTTCTTGGCATGCTCAACTCTCCTTTAATAAAGTCACAACCCTTTGTTGCCATGGAACCCAATCAGACACGGAGCCTGTTACTATGACTTCCCTGCAGATATAAAAAAAGACCCAGTGACCAAAAGACCAGCTCTTTCTTAAAAAAAAAAAAAAAATTACAAGGCAAAGAGGCTCCAAAAAAACCTCAACACTTCTGTATTTACTGAAGTTTAATCTTTTATGTAGGCTCACCTGAACTCTTCAGCCAAAGCTAGCTCATGTTTCAGCTGGAACTTTCCAAAGAAAATGATTTTACAAATAAATACCTAGGCAAAGAAGGTAAAAAATATTCTTGGGATATCTTACTTTTCTTCTTCTTCTAGGCAAGCTTTCTGAAATTTGAGTAGCTGTTTAGCAAACATGTGTCAATCAGCAGCTGCCAAATTGCAATATTCATTTCCATCAATACTTAATGTTGCCAAGAGCTCATTATTTCTCTGAAAAGAAAAGATATTCTAAACAATACAATCAATCCTGTGTTCTGGACCTGGACTAAATCTGCAGGAAAAAAAAAAAAAATCTGAGACTAAGCAGAGTGGACTGAGCAGAGCTACTTAAGGGAAGAGAATTAACATTTGTTGAGTGCCTACCATGAGCTGGGCACTTTTACGTCATCACGTCAGGACCCTGTAACTGAGGCAATGCCACCTCTGTTTGGCAGATGAGGGACCAAGGCTCAGAAAGCTTAAGTACTTAAGCAGCTTGTTCAAGCTACCAGGCTAGAATGCTGCCTGGCTCCCAAAGCCAGAGCTATTCCTTCATTCAACCAGCACTTATTTCTGCTCTCACAGGTGTTGTACATTTTGTTATGCTTCTTATTCTTCAGGAGCGAATTCACAGCCTGTAAAGCTTGGCTGTAAAGAGAGCACGGTGTCCATCTTTACCGGCACAGGGGCCAGTCTGGCTACACCCACGTACAACTACCACCACGTCTATACAACACCAGCTACCCCTTGGGGGAATCCCGAATAAATGCCCTGGCTACTTGCCTAAGGAAACACGTGTGGGCTAGGCACCCATTACACCCTTCCAGAGGTTGGGCCACGGCCCAGAGCCTTCCAACCCTGGACCTCATGGTGGGGAGGACCAGGAAGCTCTGGGTGGCCTTTTCATGTGCAGTACCATCGGCAAAGTAAAAGTCAAGCCATGCAAACCACAACAGTTTCTCCAACCTGGTTTTGGACAACCAGCTTCAAGAAATGACTAGTAAGAAGGAATGTGGCAAGCCACAAAAGTTATAATTTATATTATTAATTATACCAGCCTCTCAGCTAAAGAAAATTTACCTATTTCATGTACAAAGATTATAACAACTGCTTTCATTAAAAGAAATTTTTAAAATCACCCAAAACTGCAATACGATACCACTTCATACTTACTAGGATGGCTGTAATTAAAAGACAGATAATAATAAGCACTGGTGAGGATGTGGAGAAATCAGAACCCTCATACACTGGTAGTGGGAATATAAACTGGTGCAACCACTTTGGAAAACACTCTGGCAGTTCCTCCAAAGGTTAAACAGAATTACCATATGACCCAGCAACACTCCTTCTAGGTATGTACCCAAGAGAAATAAAAACATATACCCCCACAAAAACTTACACAGAAGTGTTCATAGCAACATTATTCTTCATAGCCAAAAAGTGAAAACAACCCAAATGTCCACCAAATGTCACATATCCATACAATGAAATATTATTCAGCCATGGCCAGGCATGGTGGCTCATGCCTGTAATCCCAGCACTTTGGGAGGCTGAGGCAGGTGGATCGTCTGAGCTCAGGAGTTTGAGACCACCCTGGGAAACATGGTGAAAACCCGTCTCCACTAAAAAACGAAAAAATTAGCCAGGCGTGGTGGCGTACGCCTGTAGTCCCAGCTACTCAGGAGGCTGAGGCACGAGAATCACTTGAGTCTGGGAGGCAGAGGTTGCAGTGAGCCGAGATCACACCACTGCACTCCAGCTTGGGCTACAGTGAGATTCTGTCTCAAAATTAAAAAAAAATATATTGTTCAGCCATAAAAAGAAATAAAGTACTGATTCATGCTACAACATGCGTGAACCTTTTAAGAGAGGGGGAAATGAAGAATAACTGCTAAGGGTATCTTTCTGAGCTGATGAAAATGTTCGAAAATGGGCCAGGTGCGGTGGCTCATGCCTGTAATCCCAGCACTTTGGGAGGCCGAGGCGGGTGGATCACTTGAGGTCAGGAGTTCGAGACCAGCCTGGTCAACATGGTGAAACCTTGTCTCTACTAAAAATACAAAAAATTAGCTGGGTGTGGTGACACACCCCTCCCTCCTTGCCTACTGGGGAGGCTGAGGCAGGAGAATCGCTTGAATCCGGGAGGCCAAGGTTGCAGTGAGCCGAGATTGCACCATTGCATTCCAGCCTGGGCAACAAGAGCGAAACTCCATCTCAAAAAAAAAAAAAAAAATTTTTTTTTTACAGAGGTTTGATTACCTCTGTAAAGACTGTATTTCCAAATAAGGTAATGTTGTGAGGTAGTGGTGGTTAGGACTTCAACATATCTTTTGGTGGGGGACACAGGTCAAACGATAACACTGACTTTAATAGTAAATGGGCTGGGCGTAGTGGCTCATTCCTGTAATTCCAGCACTTTGGGAGGCTGAGGTAGGCAGATCACCTGAACCTGAGGTCAGGAGTTCTAGACCAGTCTGGCCAACACGGTGAAACCCTATCTCTACTAAAAATACAAAAATTAGCCAGGCGTGGTGGTGCACGCTTGTAGTCCCAAATACTCAGGAGGCTGAGGCAGGAGAACGGCTTGAATCTGGGAGATGGAGGTTGCAGTGAGCAGAAATCGTGCCACTGCACTCCAGTCTGGGCAACAGAGCAAGACTCCATCTCAAAAAAAAAAAAAAAAAAGTAAATGATATGGCAGTTCCAGAAGGGCAAATAGTCTCACCGTGAACGAAGGTGTCACCACACACAATTTTTCTAACAGAAAAGTTACGCAAGGGTTGAGGCTTTCCATCATCCAGGAGGCAACAGAAGCATTCCAAATTCCACAGAAAACCTGCCCTGCAGCAGTCACTACTGTACTGACACATGGGGAGCGATCTAGAGCACCAGTAACTTCAGTTAACATTCATTTAAATTATTACCTTTGTATTTTGTACGCATTTGTTTGAGATTTTCATAATAAAATGTTGAGGTAAAAATTTCCTCAGAATGTTGATAAAATCTGCTGTATTAGTCTGTTCTCACACTGCTATAAAGATACTACCCGAGATTGGGTAATTTATAAAGGAAAGAGGTTTAATTGACTCACAGTTCCGCATGGCTGGGGAGGCCTCAGGAAACTTACAAACATGGCGGAAGGGGAAGCAGGCACGTCTTACATGGAGGCAGGCAAGAGAGAACGCATGTGTGAACGCAGAAAAAACTACCATTTATAAAACCATCAGATCTTGTGAGAATTCATTCACTATCACGAGAACAGCATGGGGGAAATCGCCCCCATAATCCAATCACTTCCCTCCCTCGACATGTGGGGATTACAATTTGAGATGAGATTTGGTTGGGGACACAGACAAACCGTATCATCTGCTAACAAAATCTTTATTCTTAAAGAACACCTAAGTAAAAACACCAATTAGCATCTTCAAACAAACATTTTTCACAAGCCAAAAGTAGAGAGAAGATAAATTTTGAAACACAGAAACAAGAGTACATGTCTTCCCTGATTAGACTTATTTAAATTAATGTAGCCAAGGCCTTACAAATCCTTTGATGTATTAAACACTGAACCCTGGGGAAAAAAAGTCCTGCTTTCTGTTGAAATAGTGAACTCAAATATTATACCAATATCAATGCATGAAATTCTTAATGCATTATTTCTTTCCTTTCATGCTTCCTTCCATTTCTCTACCCATTTATTCTGCAATCTCTGCCCACCTCTGGGTAGAGAGGGACAAGTGAGTCACAAGTTACAAGGATGCCACGGCTCATGCAGACTTGGGCACAGGTTGGGTAGAAGAGCACCCAAGCCAGGTATGAACTGAGAAAGGGACTCAGGGACGACCTTGTATTTACGTTATCTTACATAAGCCTTCCACATCCTTATAGGGAAACAATTACACTTAATTTGTTTTTGTTGTTGTTGTTATTGTTTGTTTGTTTGTTTGTTTTGACAGGGTCTTCTTGTTCTGTCGCCTAAGCTGGAGTGCAGTGGTGTGATCTTGGCTGACTGCAACCTCCACCTCCTGGATTCAAACAATTCTCCTGGCTCAGCCTCCTGAGTAGCTGGGACTAAAGGTGTGCACTACCACACCAGGCTAATTTTTGTATTTTTAGTAGAGATGGGGGTTTCACCATGTTGGCCAGGCTGGTCTCGAACTCCTGACCTCAAGTGATCTGCCCACCTCCCAAGATGCTGGGATTACAGGTGTGAGCCACCACACCCAGCCACACTTATGGAAACTGAAGCTCAAATGGGTTAAGCAAACTGGCTAAGATGATTTCATACAGCTTGTAAGAGCCAGGATTTTAAAACCAGGCCTGTTGCCCCCAAAGCCCTGGCACCATGCTGCTTCCTCACTTCACCATGCACAGCTGTCAGCACACTAGGGGAGGGCTTTACCACAGCCTGCATTTAGAAGACCTGACCGCTTCTCATCACCTCCACTATCAACATTCTAGTCCAAGCCACTCTCATCACTCCTACAGGTCTACCTGGGCCAGCCCATGCCCACCTACAATTTCTTTTCAATCCAACAGCCCGGGAGATCCTTGCAAGGCCTCTACTGGCTCAGGAACTGGCCTCCCCACCACCTCTCAGACCCCATGTCCCAGGACTCAACTCCCTGCTCACACTGCCCCAGCCACACAGCCTCCTTGCTGTGCCTCAAACACAACAGGCACACTGCTTTATCAAGGAGTCCATGCATGCTGTTTTCCTGCCCTGGAATGTTCCTCCCTTAGATGGCTGCACAGCTTACTTCCCAGGTCTTTTCTCAATGTTTCCCCTGACAAGAGCTTTCTTTGAGTGTCCTGTTTAAAACTTCTTCCCTCTACCTCCACCTTGGGCCTCCCCAGCCCTCTTGTCTATTTCTCAGCATTGCACTTATCCACATTTAACATACTATATATTTTATGTATAGGTCTGGCTTGTCTGCCTTGCCCTACCAGAATACATATTCCACAAGGGTAGGGATTTTTGTTTTGTTCCCTGAGATGCCTAGCACATAGTAGGTGCTCAATACACATTTACTGAATGAATGTACTGAATTGGGCTGAAAGCCCAATCATTTTAAGTACAATCCACATCTGTATTGCTCATGAATGGACTCTGGCCTGACGTACCACATAGCCCGCTCCTGACTTGGTGGAAGGTTGGGCAATGAAGAGACAATTATCCAACCCAAAGAGCTAAAAGGAGCCCGTTCTTAAATTCAGTGCCATGAAAGGTGCCCGAGTGACTCCTTTTCCATACCACATGTTGTGGAGACATAGGTACCACTAACCTCAATGCTACTCAACCTCAAGGTGTGGTCCTGGGTGAAGGGGACTCCTTGGGCCAGGACATTAGGGGAGGCAAAGAGCAGCCTACCTTTTTGTCTTCTCTGCCCAAAGTGCTCATCAATAAAAAACCCGCCTGGAGGCTTGGGGGCATCTCTGTTTTCCCTGGTGAAGCTCCACCTATCCACAAAAGGGCTCTTTTCTTACACTGACCTTCTCATACTCCCCATCTATGAAACCTCACCAGAGCTACCAATGACAGGCACACGGGTTCAATTCTCCAAGAGGTCTCAGGCAGCAAAGGGTGAACTCTGAACCTGCCTACAGAATGACTGGCAGGAGTGAGCTATTCTAAGCATCGCAGTGTCTGCTGGATGGTGAGGAAACAAGCGCAACAAGGCTGCACAAGGTCAAACAGCAAAAACAGTGCAACAGCGAGATGGACCCTTTCCAAAGGGGAGCCTGTGCTGCAGAAGGTACAATGTCTGCCAGCTCTAAACTCATCCTCATGCTAAGTCCCTTGTGGGTTAGACTGGTGGTGGAGAAATGGGGATGACAAATAATGGGAAAGCCATAAGCGCGTGACTTTTGTAAAATTCTAGGGCACTTAAAGGGTGCCGTTCTGCTCTGAAATTCTACGAAGGGACTAAAATCACTGCAAGATTGCTTCCAAACAGCAAATAAAACCTCACTGAGAGATGGCACTATAATTTCTTGAGTTTGCGTCATTCTGTTTTCTGTAGTTAGAAAAAAGGTGATGGATTTGGGTTACAAAGGCAGTGTTCCACTATAAAAACCTGCTGGTTGCCATGACAATTAACATTCCTGTTCCTCCCTCTTCTGCAGCATCCTTCTTCCATCTGAGTCAAATCAAAGAACCTAGCTATGACGCTCATGATTTAGTATTTCCTCGGCACAAGGATATAAATATATACACACATATACAAAATACTTATCAAAGGCTAATCACAGGTGAACCGAAGCCTTGAAAATTGATACCATCTGTCCTCTACCAACAATGTCCTACAAACAACAAGAGACATCCCTGCAGGAGGGTCCAAGCAGGAAGGGAGGGTGGGCCAGGAAGGCTTAACAGCCAACACCCAGTCCTCCAGTCTAGAGTCTCTCAGGGTGGACTCTGGGGGAGTTCTTCCTTGGGAGGATCCATGAGAAGCCAGGACCCCATGGAGAACTGTCCCTGCCACTCTGCATCATTATTATCTGTCTGTGGGTCTGTCCTCCCCAGCCTGAGCTCCTTGAGGGCAGTGCCCACATCTGACTGATCTCAGGGCCTCGCACAGTGCTGGGCACACCGTGAAGCACCAAGGGTGATGGAGGGCACTCTGGGGTAAAGCAGCCTCCCCTTACATTTTCTACTGAGACCTCACGATCGGGCCTACCCTGCTTCTAATTGGCCCTGTCGGAGAAGAAAGCCAGGGGAGAATTCTAGATCAAAGCTCTGAGGTATGAGCTCGGGACACCTACAGCACAGTGTTGCCATGAGCTCCCATCCCTGGGTCAAAAGTCTTGACCACCAACCCTTCCCCAGACCTGGAGCAAAATTAAGAATAACTTAGAAAATAATAGCATAAATGTGATTTATCTTCTTTTCAGGACAAAGGCTGATCATTCAAATTTCGAATAAGGTTCAAATGGAGACCCTGCTATTTGACTATCATTATCACTCTGTTTAAATTTATTTTAAATAGAAGTTATATATGCCCATTTAACATTTAATTGCAAAATATGCTTGTTTTACAAAAGATATGAAGATACAGGCCAGGCGTGGTGGCTCATGCCTGTAATCCCAACACTTTGGGAGGCTATGGCAGGCAAATCACTTGAGGTCAGGAGTCCGAGACCAGCCTGGCCAACATGGCAAAACCCCGTCTGTACAAAAAATACAAAAATTAGCCAGGCATGGTGGCAGGCTCCTGTAGTCCCAGCTACTTGGGAGGCTGAGACATGAACCCAGGAGGTGGAGGTTGCAGTGAGCCAAGAACGTGTCGCTGCACTCCAGCCTGGGTGATAGAGAGCAAGACTCTGTCCCAAAAAAAAAAAAAAAGAAGATACAAAGATACAGAAAAGGCAGAGGAGGAAAATAAAACCCCCATCATCCCATGACCTGACCTGGAGGTAGCTCGGGCCTACATTTAGGTTTTTATGAGGCCATCCTTGCAGATGTCTGGGTGGTTCTGTCTACTGGTTTAGGGGCACAGGCTCTGGAACGCAGAGCTACCTGGGTTCAGGTTCTAGCCTTTTCACTTAGTGGGATGATCCTGGACAAGTCGCTTAACCCCTGTTTGAGCCTCAGTTCTTCTTTCCTAACAGGAGGATAGTTGTGTCTCTTTCTTGGCACTGCATGAGAGCTGTTTTAACCCAGGTGGAGCCTTGTCATAGTGCTGGCAATGGCACTCCTACCCATTTATGCTAGCTTCATTAATATTCTACTTGTATGTGGCACTTTTTAAACAAAAATGGTACTTTCTGCGTATATCTTGTAAACGTTTTGTGTTTTTGTTTTGTTTTGTTTTGTTTTTGAGGCAAAGTCTCGCTCTGTCGCCCAGGCTGGAGTGCAGTGGCACCAAACTGGCCCGCTGCAATCTCCACCTCCCGGGTTCAAGCGATTCTCGTGCCTTGGCTTCCCAAGTTGCTGGGATTACAGGCACCCGCCATCACACCCAGCTAATTTTTGTATTTTTAGTAGAGACAGGGTTTCACCATACTGGCCAGGCTGGTCTCAAACTCCTGACCTCAAGTGATCTGCCCACCTCCCAGAGTGCTGGGATCCCTTCCAAAGTGCTGGGATTACATGCGTGAGCCACGGTGCCCGGCATAAATGTTTTCAATCAACATAAAAGCATAACCACTTGACATGTCAAAAAATATATTTTTATAACATTGATGGTTTTACTTCTGAAACAAGAGCTCACTTTAGACCAGTTCTTCCTCATCTTTTTAAACGGTTTTCTGCCACAACTGAGAATCATTCCAAAGAAAGCTATGGAACCTCTCCCTAGAAATATGCACGTATGCACACACACACATCAAATCCACAAAGCCTAGGGGATATGGGCTGATTTGTGTACTCTTAAAAATTCATACTGAAATCCTAACCCCCACTACCTCACAATGTAACCGTATTTCAAGATAGGGACTTTAAAGAGGTAATTAGGCTCAAATGAGATCATTAGGGTGGGCCCTAATGCCATTTGACTGATGACCTTATAAGAAGAGAAAATCTGGACACAGACACGTAGAGGGAAAATGATGTGAAGACAGGAGAAAGACGGCCACCTACAAGCCCAGGAGGGAGGCCTGGAACAGCTCTTTCCCTCCTGGTTCTCAGAAGAAACTAGCTCTGCCAACACCTTGATCTCAGACTTCCAGCCTCCAGAACTGCATGAAAATAAATGTATTGTTTAAGCTACCCAGTCTGGGATACTTTGTCAAAGCAGCCCTAGCAAATTATCACATTAGGTTAAGACAACACTGGCCCTAATCTCATGTAATATATATAGCAGTGTTTAATGTATAACCTTTTCTATTCTGAAGTAACAAAACAACATTTAAAAAGTAACAGGATTACAAACTAACCTACTTTCTAACTGTGGAAACTGACGCTCCAAACTTTTCATAATGCTGCAGTAGTAACATGAAAAAACAGGTAAGTTCAGAAAAACAGATGAGGTGTGGGATTTCAGCCTTCTTCATCTCTGTTCATAGATGCATTACTCTTAAAAGTATATTGACACTACTCACGAATAAAAAGGAATGAACTCCTGTTACATGCAACAACATGCAATTGCAAAAGCATTATGCTAAATGAAAGAAGCCACACTCAAAAAGGCTGCG
The DNA here is from genome assembly GCF_000001405.40 of Homo sapiens. Classification (NCBI taxonomy): domain Eukaryota; kingdom Metazoa; phylum Chordata; class Mammalia; order Primates; family Hominidae; genus Homo; species Homo sapiens. The sequence continues at coordinate 94,632,062 of NC_000012.12, forward strand.
TATCACATGATTCCATTTATACTGCATTATGAAAAAGCAAAACTGTAAGGACAGAAATGAGATCAGTAACTGTCAGGTGCTAAGCAGAGAGAAGGCTGACTATAAAGAGGCGAAAGAGAACTTTCCGGGGTGATAGAAATATTCTACATCTTAATTGAATGTGGGTTATAAGACTGTATGTGTTCTTCAGAATTCATAGGACTGTGCACTTAAAGCAGGAAATTTTACTGTATGTAAATTTATCTCAATAAATATTGACACATTTGCTTTATTAGGCATTAACAAGAATAGAGATGTAAAATTATTGACTAGGTACAAAAACTGCCTAATAGCAAATTCAGAATAACTTTATATTTGCTTTCAGGTAAAATTAAAGTACACAAACTACATACAAATACCATTCAACACCTACATAGACAATCTATCAGCATCATAAAAATTTTCTCTTACAGATATTAAAATGTGGCCTTAAAAAATCACTACTGTAAGTACAGCAGTGATTACAGTACTTGAGAAAGCTCTTTAAGAATGGATGTCAAAGTTGAAGAAGTTCTTTTTTCTTTGCCCTAGCAATGTCACTTCCTGGTATCTCCCCTTAAGAAACTCTCCCACGAGTACAGAGACTGTCCCAGAATCAACCTACCTGTTTGCCATTAGAAGAATGGCTGTAAATACACTCTGGTTTTATTCATGTAGCAAAATAACATACAGCAGTAAAATATGAAAATGAAGTAGGATAAATTATAAAAATACCACATTAGAAAACTGTAATTACAAGGCTGGGCATGGTGTTCCAACACTTTGGGAAGCCGAGGCAGGCAGATCACTTGAGGTCAGGAGTTGAAGACCAGCCTGGCCAACAGGGTGAAACGCCATCTCTACTAAAAATGCAAAATTCGCTGGGCATGGTGGTGCGCACCTGCAGTCCTCGTTACTTGGGAGGCTGAGGCAGGAGAATCACTTGAACCTGAAAGGTGGAAGACGCAGTGGGCCGAGATTGCACCATTGCACTGCAGCCTGGGTGACAGAGTGAGACTGTCTCAAAAAAGAAAAGAAAGAAAAGAAAAGAAAAGAAAAATTGTATTTACAAGAGATGCCATGTATGCAGAATTGTAACCCAAGAATACATATATTTAATTAAATACATGTAATACAATAAATTGTTTATGGATTCATCCAGTGTGTGAAAACACGCAAAGGAATGATACACAGCTTCAGGTTATGGAGGCCTCTGAGGAAGCAGGAAGAGAGAAAGGCATCTAGATAGCTGTTTATGGGACCATTTATTTCTTAAAAACAAGTGACAGAAATTTGATGTAAACATGGCAAAATGTCAACATTCATTAAATCTAGGAGGCAGATATATGGGTATCATAGTTTTAAAATTTTTTTCCATGTTTGAAGCACTTAATAATTCAATTTGTCTGCTTACTATTTAATCACAGAGCCACTTGGTTAATGATTACGGTTTTCTCCAGGCACCAAACATTTGCCCCTCTTTGTGAAACAGTTGCTGTTTCTGATGGGCCATTTCATTACCTTATAATTTTGGAATCTGATGTCACTGCATTTACTTCTACATTAACTTCAACCTTAAATTAACAACCACAGCAATCATAAACTTAGGAAAATTAAAATCCACTGAGAAGTTAATAAGCTTGCTGCCCTAGAAAAATATCTAGGCTCATTTTAGGCTGTTGTGTAAATAAACTAAGAAGCAATTATTTTAAAGAATTATTCACTAACAGTTCGCTGAATGAGTTACTAACAAGTAACTGTGATTTCTGAAATATCCAAAGTATCAGGAAACATTAACATAATCTTTGTATTCAGATTTGGTATTCTTTGTTTTTCAATAGTACATATATATTATTCTTTTTGTTTTTTATTTTTTTTTTTTTTGAGACAGAGTCTCGCTCTGTTGCCCAGGCTGGAGTACAATGGTGTGACCTCAGCTCACTGCAACCTCCGCCTCCCGGGTTCAAACGATTTTCCCTAACTCAGCATCTCAAGTAGCTGAGATTACAGGTGCCCGCCATCACCAGCTAATGTTTTGTATTTTTAGTAGAGATGAGGTTTCACCGTGTTGGCCAGGCTGGTCTCGAACTCCTGACCTCAGGCAATCCGCCCGGCTGGGCCTCCCAAAGTGCTGGGATTACAGGCATGAACCACCGTGCCTGGCCCAGTATATGTATTATTCTTATTTATCTATCTGTTACCATTCTAATTACCCCAAACATGCAAAAAATTATTTAAGAAATGAGGGTTGGGAAGGATCAACATTTAATTTAAAGAAAGCCACAAGAATGCAAGACTATTTCATCCATTTCCTATTTGGCCAAAAAAACAAAAGTTTAAAAAAAAAAAGTCTGTTGGAATGGTAGGCTCACTTTGCAAAACTGTCCTTAAACAGCAACAAGTCTCAAGACCTCTCATTTTAAGTCTTTCTTTAAAAATAAGAGCTTCATTTGAGCCCTGAGTACTTCAAAAACTTTCTTGGTATTAGATCATTTTAAACAGCCAGAGTGCGAGTCAAACTTCTCAATAGTTGAATTTAATGTGCTCCCACCTACCCAAACAATAAAAGCATTTCTAGGTGGTAGAAACAGATGCTGATTTTGCATAAGTAAGTGTCCCTACTGCTCCCCAGGTAGGGCATAAATGAGCCACCTGAATGAAAGAGACTCACTTTAATTTTGGTGCCCACATGCCTAACAGACACCAATTCTGTGAATGCCTCTAAATTGCCCAGCACATGAGGTAAGCTTTGGCTGGCTTTATGCAACACATAGTACTTGATAATTTGCTTAAGTCAGGAGGCTTCTACAAGCATGGTGCCTTTCCCAAATGAAAGCACATGTAAATAGCATATTCATTCCACTCTTAATATGCTCTTGAATCAGGTTATAAAATGTTAAGTGTTAGTTTCTGGGCACAGCCCAGTTTTAACCTCCTTCTGTGTCAGATGCAGAGATACAAGGCAGGTGGACCGTTCAATAATTAACACAAGCGCATCTAGTGATATTTAGGAAGGCACAGGAGTAACATACAAGTAAGAATTAAGCCAAATAAGGAAACAGATCGTTACCTACAAATCAGAAATCTTGTTATATTCGCCATCCTAACATAAGTGACAAACCAACTTAAATTTCCCAGTACAGATCCCAGCACAAGGATATTAAATATGTTTATTAAATAGGAGGAATGTGCAGGCTTGAAAGCAGTCTGGGGCTAACAAAGCAGAAGCAGTAGTCCTGTGACCTGCAGAACACAAAGTTAGGCTGGGTTCCTGCTCTTCCATCTCCCGAGCTGCGAGCTGCGATGGTGTGTCACAAATTACTTAAGGTGGCAACAGTGGTTTGGGAAGCAACAATACACATTCTATGTACCATAACAGTGTTTGCAAACTGTAGAAGGGCAGGATTTTATAACATTAAGTCGAATTTGATGAGAGGTAACACTTAGTTCAAAAGAGAATTAAAAGCAAAATTTTAAAACACACACGCACAAAACTTTGCTATCTTTTCCTCTCAGCCTTTTGGTCTTTCCTTACTGTAAATAATACTGGAGTTATGCCTGTTTTTGTGTGTGTATGTGGGTTTTTTTTTTTTTTTTTTTTTTTGAGACGGAGTCTGGCTCTGTTGCCCAGGCTGGATGGAGTGCAGTGGCACGATCTTGGCTCACTGCAACCTCCGCCTCCCAGGTTCGAGCAATTCTGTCTCAGCCTTCCGAGTAGCTGGGATTACAGGTGCCCGCCACCATGCCCAGCTAATTTTTTTGTATTTTTAGTAGAGACAGGGTTTCACCATGTTGGTCAGGCTGGTCTGGAACTCCTGACCTCAAGTGATCCACCTGCCTCGGCCTCCCAAAGTGCTGGGATTACATGCATAAGCCACTGAGCCTGGCCTCAAAATGTTCATTTCAAATCCCTGAGGGGAGAGGTTGGGAAGGGAAGAGGAAGAGGACTATCAATCCAGAATAAGTGTGGCAGAATTACAACCTTCTGTGTTCGACAGATTTAAAACTCATGGAAAAAGTAGACATTTATAAAAACAAAACTTGATACATATGAACAGCGGTATATTTTTAAAGACAGGTAACAATGCAAAAAATTGCCCTGGGATAACTGTATAGACATCTGAAAAGGAATTGAATAATTCTAACTCATTCAAAGATTCAAATATACAAAAATAAAAATCATAAAATATATTAGGAGAACATGGGCATGTGGGCTTTTAAAAAATCTCAAAGTACAAAGGCCATTCTAAGAATGATACAAACCTATAAACCAGAAAATGTGTAGATTTCTTCATGGCAAAATATGGTTAGTATTTATTCAGCGCTTGCTATCCACTAGCTCTATGCTCAGCACACACCAAACATATAATTCAGGGCAACAGGCAGAATTCTAAGATGATTCCCACGATGGTACCCTCCCACAAGCAAGACTTTTGAACATGATGGAATTTCACTCCTATGGCTACATTATGTTATATGGAAAAATAAAGGAATTTTGCAGACATAATTAAGGCCCCTAATCAGTTGATTTTAATTAATCAAAAGGGAGAGTGCCTAGGTGGGCCTAAACTAATCAGGTGAACTCCTTAAAAGAGGATCTAGAAGTAAAAGACAAAATGCAACAAAGATGCTGTTCATTGGCCCTGAAGAAACAAACTGTCGTGCTATGGAACATGCCCTGTGGCAGAAAACAGTGAACAGCCTCTGGCGGCTGAGGGCCTCAGGTCTACAGTTGCAAGAAACCTAATCTTGTAAATATCCAGTGAGCTTGGGAAAGGATCCCAAGCTTAAGAAGAGATTGCAGTCCTGGTTGACACCTTGATTTCAGGCTGATGACACACTTGGCAGATGATGCAGTTAAGCTGCAGCTGGACTCCAGGCCTATGGAAACTCTGAGATAATTAAATGGGTGTTGTTTTTTGAAGTTGCTCAGTTTATGGTACTTTGTTACACAACAGTTAAAAAAAAAATAGAGTCAGGAATGACAAGCTGGGAAAAATGTACTTGCAAAGCAATTAATTTAATTAGTAGAAAACCAATACAAATCTATGTAAAAGACCAACAGCCAATAGATAAATGGCAAGAACATACATATAAACAGCTCATAAACACAGACAAATGTCTTTTTAGTCTATGAAAATATGATCTATTGTACTATAGTTACATAAAATGCAATCATTGGGAGAAGCTGGGTGAGGGGTACATGGGACATCTCTGTACTATTTTGTGCAAATTTCTGTAGAGCTGTAATTATTTCAAAATAAAAATTTTAAAAATATGACCAACCTCATCCATACCAGGAAAGATATACATTGAAATGGGCTAGGAGTTTTCACCTATCAGATTGGCAAGGATCAAAACAGTTGAAAACATGCTGTGTCCGAAGCGATGTGGGTAAAGGCATGTTCACACATTAATGATAGTTACACAAAGTTTACCAGTGTTGTTCAGTGCTGCATCCTTAGCTCCCAGTGTTCAACACAGAGTAGGTGCAGTGTTCAGCGTGGTAATATCATAATTTAAAATGCACATGCCCTTTGGCTGAGTAATTAGATGCTTGTGAATTTAGCCTGCTAACATATTCCTCACATGTGCAAAAATAAGTAATGACCAAAGACTGGAAGCAATATACCTGTCCTTTAATAAGAAAATGGTTAAATAAATGATGGTATAGCCATACATGGGGATCCTGTGCAGCAATTAAAACAAGGCAAATTAATCTGAATTGATATGGATCAAGAGTAGAATAAGCTTTCCAGCTTCTCAAGTCCCACAGTACAATTTCACAACATACACACATTCACTCATTCAGTCAATATTTACAAAGCTCCAACTATGTCCAATGCTCCATGCCTAGAAAAAAGAACACAACTATCTCCATGAGAGAGGATGGGGCAGGTACCCACAGGCACAGAGGGAGGCATGGGAGTCCACAAAGAAAGGAGACCGGAGTTCAAGGACCAAGAGTGGGTGAAAAGCAAAGGTCAGATGAGAGACTCTGGGTGTCTAAGAAGCTGGGCTTCTGTCCTATTGAAGAATTTGAAGCAAAACATTGACAAGACACTACGCAAAATATACACTCAATGTAAAAATAAAAGAGTGATCTAGCTGGAGAAGGTCATAATCTGGGGACCATCTCTGATGTCACTAGAGGTGTCTTAAGGTATCTCAACTTGAGCACTTAAGCTGAGTCACGTGGGACATGCTCTTTCCCCCATGCCTGAATATGTGCTCATATTAAAAACATGAGGACAGCATGAGGTCCTCTTGCACCATGCCATCTTATGGGGTGGATTCAAAGGAGACATTTGCCACCTCTTCCTCCTCTGGAGAAATATCTATAAGCACCCCTCTCAAGCATCTTCACATGCATCCCTCGACCATATCCTTTCACCCATTCTGCATTCAACATGTAGGATGGAATGGAAGCAGCACACTCTTCCTTGTATTTCTTCCATCTTCCTTCCTGTCTCCCGTGCTTTCTAGTGGGGCTTTCAGGCACTTTGCCTGATGCCAATACATAGAGTCTGAACAGCTCTTACTGAATGGGCTTCATATTGTCAGATAAATTAAATCTATGCCAACCAGTGATTCAGCTGCAAATAGAGGCCACCTGTTCCAATTAGTGAGATTAAAATAGTACCCTGCTGACTATCTGAAGCCAAGTTCAGGCTTTCTGGATGATCACAACATCTTGACAAAGACAGAGAAAAGGGACTTTTGGCCCCAACACAGAATTGAACACACTGGAGTAAATATATTTAGGTGCTGAAGCACAGCTTTCACTAAAGGCATTCTTTATTTTTGGACAAGTGCTTATACTGAAATTTCTGTGGAAGGCTGCAGCTCAAGACACCATTTAATTTCCTTCCATTACAACAAGCCTACATACACATCTTAATTAGGTTCAACTTTACTTTAGAAAAACATGTAACTCAAATTTCTTCTCCACCCACTATCTGTCCTTGCCTGAAATTCCCAAAGAATTCATATTTTCTGGATGTTCCACTCTTCGGCCTATCGTCATCCATTACCTCAGTTTCTCCCAGGTCATGGTCGTCAGAAGACTAAAGAGGAAATAATACAGAGAGAAGCAAGCTCAGCTCATTTCCAAGCTCCTTCAAGTATTTCCACCTAGATGAGACTGCCTTTGACTTATCAGATTGGGCTTCTGTTCATCCCAGTAACAATCATTTATATTGAATTAAATCAATTGATGAGGCCGAGTATGGTGGCTCACTCCTATAATCCCAGCACTTTGGGAGGGTGAGGCAGGTGGATCACTTGAGGCCAGGAGTTTGAGACCATCTCAGCCAAAATGGCGAAACCCCATCTCTACCAAAAATACAAAAAAATTAGCTGGCATGGTGGTGGGCACCTGTAGTTCCAGCTACTGGGGAGGCTGAGGCAGAATTGCTTGAACCTGGGAGGCGGAGGCTGCAGTGAGCCAAGACTGCACCACTACACTCCAGCCTGGGCAACAGAACGAGACTCTATCTCATAAATAAATAAGTAAATAAATAAATTGATGAGTACCTCATTTGGTATACAAGGATTTAAGATAGATTACAGGAAACACATATATGTAAACACACACACACACACACACACACACACACACACACATTGAAACCAGGCCAGAAAAAAATATAAATTAGAAAAGGAAGCCAAAATCAAGAGGTAAGAAAAAAAAAAAAAAAAGAAGAAGAAAAGAAAAAGAAGCAGGCTATAAAAATCTCACTCGGTTCTGCTGAAATTTGGATCTGGGTTCCTGTTGGCCAAAATAAAAAAGGAAAACACTCACTAACTCAAATTTTCACAACCCATGAGTGGGAAAAATGTTTCTAAGCATCTTCTAGACCATGGGTCTAAAGATAAATATTTCATGAAGGAACGAAAGGAGATGATACATTAAGACCAGGGTTTTCCTAGATGATTCTGAATTATTTTAGGTGACATAAGACAAAAGCATTAAATAACATAGAATCACAGTGAGCGAGTTATTTCCTTTTCAATCCTCAATCCAATTCAGTTGATTCAGTCCAGGAAAAGTCTTTGGTGCTAAAAACTTTCTAACATTGCTCCAACACTTGCTAACTAGTTTTGTTGAGACAGGGTCTCGCCATCACCCAGGTTGGAGTGCACTGATGCAATCAAGGCTCACTGCAGCCTCACCCCTCCCACCTCACCCCTCCCAGGGCTCAGGTGATCCTCCCACCTCAGCCTCCTGAGTAGCTGAGAGCATATGTATGCATCACCAAGTCCAGCTAATTTTTGTATCTTTTGTAGAGATGGGGTTTGGCCATGTTGCTCAGGCTGGTCTCAAACTCCTGGGCTTAAGCAATCCACCCACCTTGGCCTCCCACAGTGCTGGGAATACAGGCGTGAGCCACCACACCCAGTGCTAATCTACTTCTTAATCTGCTGCTGGGAGGCCTCAAACTCAGAAGATATATAGCTAGAATAATGACACTGATACTTTGAAAATAAATGTAAGTTTTAAGGAGATAACTGATTTAGAAATATCAAGCAAATAACAGTGCAGGTGGTATGAGGCTGTGTGTCGTAGATGTGGGAATGACTGAACTTTGGGAAACTGCGGTAGACCACGAATGACTCAAACTCAGAACAACAAATGTTGTAATGGGTTTCCCAACACCGCTTCTAATGGCTGCTCACAAAGCCGCTAAGTGAAAGAGCTGACGTTCAAGTTTCACTCCAGAGTCCATTTCCTGATGCTTCACTCTGTTGCTCAAATCCAGAGGTAAGCTTAAGAGAGGGATGTTGGGGGCAACGAGGAAAAGACAGATGATCGACATTTAAGAAGTAAACCATTGGGGCCAGGTGCAGTGGCTCATGCCTGTAATCCCAGCACTTTGGGAGGCCAAGGCAGGCAGATCACCTGAGGTCAGGAGTTTGAGACCAGCCTGGTCAACATGGTGAAACCCTGTCTCTACTAAAAATACAAAAATTATCTGGACATGATGGTATGTGCCTGTAATCCCAGCTACTCAGGAGGCTGAGGCAGGAGAATTGCTTGAACCTGGGAGGCAGAGGTTGCAGTCAGCCAAGATGGCACCACTGCACTCCAGCCTGGGTGACAGACCCAGACCCTGTCTCAAAAAAAAAAAGAAAAGAAAAGAAATAAACCACTGGATGCCTGGGTAGGGTGGGGGATTGAGGGAGCAGCTCAGGCATCTGGTTTGCTGACTGGCTGTATGGGAAAAGTATAATATTAACCAGGAATAGAAGGGCGGTTCAAAGAATGAATCTGATATACAGACTTTGAGGTGCCTGTGGAACAAGAGGTAGGTGGAAGTGTCTCATAGGATACAGTAAAAGCCACATTTTACTCCCCGGCTGGGCTCTCAAATTGGCGTGTAAGGCAGAAGTCACACGGGCTTTTTCTAGGGGGACGCTTCACTGGGTATTGCACCAGACATGCTGTCTCTCCATGGGCCATCGGACTCAAGTCCTGTCTTTCCCCTAGTGTTGGAGCAGATAATTGTTTCTTTGGTCAAGGACTAGGTGAAGTTTTAGGCTTGGGTTTAAGGGTTGTGTTATATTGTATGCAAATTTTATATATTGAAAACACTCGGTGCTAGAAGAGACCCTTAAGGCGAGACTCACAGAACGGAGAGCTTTGGAGACCAGGGCAGACTTGGGTTGAATTCTAAGTCAAACGCACAGATGATGAGCTCCATGGCTTATGCATCTGGCATACTTTTTTCCCCAATATCCCACCCCAACAAGTGGAAGGTCAGGACATGGATGAACTCTTCATTTTGCAAAACTTTATACTGAAAAAATGAAGACACTAAGAGGAACCACAAAAAATATATATATATTTATATATATATTAGCAACAATACAGTGCAAAGTAGTTTGATACATGAATTGTCACCCCTCTTTTCCCCAGTGCCCCCCAAAAACCTGTAAATAAATTCAGAAGAAGAATGGCCTAACATCGTGTCATTCAAATTCACTTTTTTAACCTAGAAAAGTCACAAAAACTTAAATTTGTTCATACCTACTGAAAATAATTTTAAATTCTCATTCCACCCCTATAACTTAGCAATTAATTTGGTATTTAAAAATTATGTAAAGCAATCCTTTTTAAAGACAGAAGATGGTATAATGGTTAGTCCCAATCAGTCTGTATTAATTACATAATTTTACTGGTTACAGTCTGGCTGGTGTCATTTTCTGCTTCTGCAAATGGAATGGTCTGGAGTTAATAATGTCTAAATTCCCTTCCAGTTCTACCATGGTAAAACCTTGAGTCTAACTTTCCAACCCTCTGCCTTCGTACCTTTAATTCAGTCAAGCCAGGGTTCCACAGGGAGTTCTGGTGTGGACACCGGGCTATGTTTTCTAGTTGCTTTAAACTGCCCTTTGTAATGTTTTTAGTTGGCACAGTCTCCTCGAATGCCTTTAAGACCTGAGGAAGATACAGGTTTACAATCAGCCATTTAAAATGTGGCTTCCTCAGGGGACCGGCACTAAATGGGATGCATTTCAGGAAGCAATCCTTGAAAAGATCTGGTCTCTGGAGAGAACTCAAAGTGTTGGAAATCACACCCACGGTCTCTGCTCAATTGCAGCTCCTGCAATGGCCAGACAGCTACACCACTGTTACATACTGTTATTATTCTTCCTCTCCCATCTGAACATTAACCGAGCATTTAGCAGGTGCTGGCACTCAACAGTGCTTTACACGTACTACACCGTTTAATTCTCACAACAGTCCTCCAAGGGAAGTACTGTGACAACCCTTGTAAAAACCTAACTTTGGTACCATGCGGCAGGGTACACTATAGAAAGTCAACCGGGCCGGGCGCAGTGCCTCATGCCTGTAATCCCAGCACTTTGGGAGGCCGAGGCAGGCGGATCACGAGGTCAGGAGATCGAGACCATCCTGGCCAACATAGTGAAACCCCGTCTCTACTAAAATACAAAAAAATCAGCTGGGAGTGGTGGCGTGCACCTGTAGTCCCAGCTACTCGGGAGGCTGAGACAGGGGAATCACTTGAACCTGAGCAGCGGAGGTTGCAGTGAGCCGAGATTGCACCACTGCACTCCAGCCTGGTGAAAGAGCAAGACTCTGTCTAAAAAAAAAAGAAAGTCAACCGAGGCACATAACTCCAAGACTGGCACTCTTAACCACTCCAGTGCACTCCCCCAAAGTGTGATGTTCTGCAGGGGACACAAGAAGGCATGGTTTAATATTACAAGAGCCTTCACAGAAAGATCACCAGGTAGGTGACTGATGACATGGCTCAAAAGAAGGTGTGAACCCACAGGCCAGTCATGAGGATCTACTGAGGAGACACGTTTGCAGGCATGTCTTGAACTCCATGTTCACAAGGAAGCACCACCTTCACCTTGCTATTCAACAGTCCATCCTCAGGAGACCAAACATCAGGCAAAAACACGGTTCTTTAATGATCTTAAATCATGAGCTTATTTGACAGCCTTTAAGACTTCAAACTACTAGCAAAATTCTCATATCCTAGGCATTAAAGTTCATGAACTATCATTCTGTATCATTCATTCACATGTTTACTGGGAATATATGACTACGTGCAAAAGACTGGCAATGTGCATGTCATAAGAATTAGAGCACACAATTAGGGTAAGTGCCCAGCAGATGCTGTACACATCCTTCCCCAGGCACCCAACTAGTTTAGAAAGACTGGGCTGCTCTCCAGTGTTCGCCACGGAGGCAGACAGGGAAGTGGTAAAGAATCAAGCTCTGGAGTTGAGACATACACAGGTTCAAACCCTAGCTCTACCATAGTTTCCTAATAGCCACAAGATCTTAGAGAAACTAATAATCTGTCTGGGCCTCAGCCTCCCCATCTGTAAAATGGAAAAGTGGGATATTGTGGAAGACCAAGGAGATCATGTATTTGAAGTGCTTCATGTTGCCTGGTGTACAGTAAGCACTCAGTACACATTAACTATTATTGTGACTGCATTCTTCCTTTCACCTATGTTCTTTTTACCTCCTTACAGAGGAATAATCCACAAATATACTATGGTTCCTTTCAGGCAGCACCCCTCCCAAGTCGACGGAAGCAGTTGGCCTATGCACAAATCATATATCCTGATGTTCTCTTTCGAAGGAATGAAAAGTCCTCATTCTGATTCACAGTACAGTGATTCATGGTTCTCTTCCTCTTCTCTTGTCACCCTCCTCCCCTCCACTGAAAACATGAAAACACAATTAAGAAACCACAGGGCTGAAAGCTGCAGACTCTTCTAAGTCAAGCTGCGGGCATTTTCCAAGTAGGACTAGGTTGATTTCTGACCTTAGCAGCAGTCCTGGAGATGCCGGCAGAGGGTCTGAAGCAAAATACACCCTGAGATCCAACTTGGTAGCAGCTGTCTTGGTGATCTCTACAGCGGATGTGACAGGCGGGTGAGCTGGTGGTGGCCGGCAGTTCCTTCTCCTCTAAAGGAAAAGCCTGCAACAAAGTACAGCTCGAAAAACACACACCGCATCACTTTGCTCATCCTAAATGTAAGAAAAACCTGGCTTGAGACACTCACCATTATTCATTCTCTTTAAGAGGCTCTTTAGAACAAAACAAATCACCGGTGAAAACGATATCTGTGTACTACTCAACTTACCACTTCACCGGGTCAGTGTCCTCCAGGACAGAGGTCAGTTTCCACTCCCCCTATTTCCTGCCCAGGGAGTAAGCATGTGATCATCAACTTACTACATCACTGCCCAACCAGTTCCACTGTGAGAAGGGCTACAGCATCCTCTTCTTCACTGCCTTTGGTCATTACTCATCATGTAATTGTAGATGGATTTCCAAACCACAGAACACTTGAAGATATACTACAGGTGGCACTCACGCTTGACACAAGTTTTACTTCAGATGTTAGAGATTTCTGCATGTATTATCATCATGTTCTCCTGTACAAGACAGGGGTATTGTCCGGAACCACAAGAATAAATGAGATACACCCACCAGATATTAAGTTTCCACAGAGACCAGACTGTTTCATTTACCATTGTATTCCTGATGCCTAGATCAGCAGCCAGCACACAGAAGGTGCTCAGTAAGTATTTTTTGAATAAACGAAGCATCTTGCTCTCAAAGTGCCAATGTCTATAGTTTATAAATACATGTAAGCATTAAACATATAAACAGTCAATGTCATGAGAAACATGACGCAAGGAGGCACAAAATGCTAGCAATGCTAGAAAAGTCTATACTTTTCACAAAATTAGCAGCCTTTCCGTTTCTAAGCTCACAAATCCCTCTTTCATATAGTACAGGTCCCCTATTCAAAATGCTTGGAACTAGAAGTGTTTCAGATTTCAGATTTTGGAATTTGTTTTGTTTAGTTTTGTTTCGGAGATGGAGTCTCCCTCTGTTGCCCAGGCTGGAGTGCAATGGCACAATCCTGGCTCACTGCAACCTCTGCCTCCCAGGTTCAAGCGATTCTCCTGCCTCAGCCTCCCTAGTAGCTGGGATTACAGGCACCTGCCACCATGCCGAGCTAATTTTTTTGTATTTTTAGTAGAGACCGGATTTTACCATGTTGGCCAAGCTGGTCTCAAACTCCTGAACTCAAGTGATCTACCCACCTGGCTTCCCAAAGTGTTAGAATTACAGGCATGAGCCACCATGCCCGGCCTAGGAATCTTTGTATTATACTTACTGGTTGAGCATTCCAAATAGAAATATCTGAAATCAGAAATGCTCCTGTAAGCATTTCCTTTGAGCGTCATGTTGACGCTCAAAAAGTTTTGGATTTTGGCTTTTGGATTGAGATGCTCGGCCTATAGTAAAAGTGGTTAACATCTATTGATTTCTTATTGTGCACCCGGCATGGAGTTAAACATTTTATAGACATTACTGAATTTATTCCTCAAAACACCCCTATTATGTAGAAGTAGGAACTAAGGCTTAGAGTGATTACAGGATCCAAGATTACACTGGTAGCAAACAGCACTGGTACAAGATCTGTATTCTGGGGACTATCCTAATGCAAATGGTTCTGTAGGGAAAATAATATGGTCCTTGCATGCAGGATGGAACAGAAGTTGGTGAAGGTCATAAGTGACTAAGGTGGGGGATGATTGGGAGATATGGAAGAAACCAATTCCAGAGAAATGTCAGAGAAAGGTGCGGTGGTATTGCTAATAGGTTAGAGAGATGGGGGAGGGCAGGCACTCAAGATGACTAGCAGTTCTGATTAGTAGTGGCACCAACAAAATAGAAAAAAATTATTAACCTGACATATAGACAAATACAGCTTTTTCACCCAGTGAGAGAACATAAATTTAAAAAAATTTTTTTAAATAGCTAATATTTGAAAGCACACACCTTTTTTTTTTTTTTTTTTTTTTTTGAGAGGAAGTCTCACTCTTGTCCCCCAGGCTGGAGTGCAATGGCACGATCTCAGCTCTCTGCAATCTCCGCCTCCCGGGTTCAAGAGATTCTCCTGCCTCAGCCTTCCGAGTAGCTGGGATTACAGGCACCTGCCACCATGCCTGGTTAATTTTTGTATTTTTAGTAGAGACAGGGTTTCAACATGTTGGCCAGGTTGGTCTTGAACTCCTGACCTCAGGTGATCCACCTGCCTCGGCCTCCCAAAGTCCTGGGATTACAGGCGTGAGCCACCGTGCCTGGCTTTTTTTTTTTTTTTTAAAAAACAAATACTTTCTTATTTAAGACACACAATCACTCCCAGAAGAGTGGAGTATTACCTCTTTTACAGATGGGAAACTGGAGGCTCAGAAAGGCTATTTAGGACCTTGCCCCAGTGGTCACCCAGTTAAGAAGCTCGAAGAGCCAGAATACAACCCACGTAGGTCCAGAGCCCCAGCTGTCCACCACTATACTCAAGTGGCTGGAGAGGGCATTTTAGAACACTTAAAATGAAAACCAACTAAAAGAAAACCTAATTCACACATCATTAATAAAAGCCAGTTACTGTATAGAAAGCAGACGGCCTGTATTCTTAAAAAGATGATAGGCTTTAACTATCTAGGGCATGAAAAAAAAGTAGGAGTCTAATTATGGATGCTCTTTCTTCTAAAGTAGAGAGATATGTGCATCAAGTTAACAAGCACCATTTCTGAGTTTTACAAAGATGAAGTTTTAAAATGTGAATGATCCTGACTTGTCAGCTTAGCAACAATCACAGAATTCATTACTTACATTTTCACTAAGGGGGGAGGGGTTATCTAGGTCAGTCCACCTAGATGTAAAAATAGATTTCTGCAATGTTGAAAGAGTACACTGCCTCATTATTATTCCAGTCTCAAAGGCTGAAATAAGCCCAGCAAGACAGACCATGTAGTTTCCCTGTTATCTCAACAGGTATTGATTTTGAATTTAAAAAATGACCATTCAGTAACTAAGAACTTCATCTCATGGAGTCTTTGCCCACTTCTAGGCAGAAACTCCATATCCCTGAAAGATTAGTCGACTCTTCCCATGACCCCCTAGTTCTCATTGGCATTTTTAGGGGAGCTAATTCACCAAATGAGTTCATAAAAGGGTTCTTTTTAAATCCTATACTAGTTTCCTCCCAAGGAGATGGTGACATCAAGAAATTAGCACTCGATGTCTTCCTCTCGCATCACATACGTTCTGGGTGTCAGGAAAACATATCTTTACAGCTGCATCCAAGTGAGTTCCACAATACAGGAGCTACGATCATTTAAATGGATGAATACTTTCTGCACAGTAAAATTGTTGCTTTCCCTTCATTACAACAGACTTATTGTAGCCTCAGGACAGACTTGAAATTACATCAACCCTGCTTGAGAAAAGTTATTATTATGAGTTTACAAAAATTTCACTAGTTCTACCTATTCCTCGCTGTCTCAACAATAAAAAACCTAAAAGCAGATAGCTGAGAAGTTTCAACTGGGACCTCAAGAAGTCCAGCATCACTGTAGTAGAATTTGTGATTACGGTCTGCTGAAGTTCTAGCCCTTCTCTGATTTCCTCTCTTCACTAGATCTGACTGGCCCAATGTGCTAATTTACGATAATCCGCACATATAATGTCTAACTCAGTTTTAATACACAGCTTATTTAAAAATCGGGTATCTCCATGCTAACAATACAAGGCAGCAGGTACAATAACATTGTCAGTAGAATTGTTTTATTTATTTATTTATTTATTTATTTATTTATTTAAAGACAGAGTCTCGCTCTGTGCCCAGGCTGACGCGATCTCGGTTCACTGCAACCTCCGCCTCCCGGGTTCAAGTGATTCTCCGCCTCACCCTCCCGAGTAGCTGGGATTACAGGCGCCCACCACCACGCCCGGCTAATTTTTGTATTTTTAGTAGAGACAGGGTTTCACCATCTCGGCCAGGCTGGTCTTGAACTCCTGACCTGGTGATCCACCTATCTCGGCCTCTCAAAGTGGTGGGATTACAGGCATGAGCCACCGCCCCCGGCCCGTCAGCAGAATTTTAAAGAAAATCAAGAAATCACATAAGGTTTTGACCTTTTAATAGAAAAGACTGGCGTAGACAGGCAACAGTGGCAGATGCGGCAGAAACACTCTGCAGTTACCTTACACAATTGCTTTACCACATTCCACCTAAGCAGTTGAGGCACAAACTTTATCACCACCATTTTACAGGTTATGAAGAGTGAGTTTTGTAAAGTTGCATGAGTTTTGCCAAACCACTTAAATGAGTTGACAATGAGCCATCCATCCCGCTAAGATTACTAATCTTGTTTACACAAAGAAGATCACAGTTGTGACAAGAAAAAACAAGCTTTCACATTTCAAGTCTGCAATATTAACTTTACAGAATCCTCTCAATTACAAATGCATTCGAAGATGATCTCCTTTTCTTCATAGTTCTGTTAACTAGCATTACAGCTATCCAAGAAGAAATGTCTACCTGTGGGTAAGCACATTTCTTCAATGTTTATTCCAAATGGAGTTTCTGGTTATTTTCACAGCAAACTGTTACGAAACTTATACACAAAGTGCAAAAACAAGAGAATTGTAAGATTGAGATGAGTGCATGAGGTATTATTCCACCAAATATATTCAATCTGTAAAAACTCAAATCATCCTTCCAAAATGATTAACAGATGCTAAAGGAAAAAGGGAAAGCGGGCAAATAAACCAGAGACTCATTGCTTCACTTCTGGGGCAATCGATTACTACTTCAAATTATGAGTGAAGACCAAAATCCTGCACAAAGGGCCGCGACACAACCCCGTCACTATTGCTACTATTTCCATCCAGTTGGTCTCTCGATCTTGGAAGTGGCAGGCCAGAATCTGAGCCCGGCTCTCCCTCCGTGAACTTTACACAGAGGCTGACACCCAAATCCCCAGTTCTCGGACAAGCGAGTAAGTAGTTGGCGGAGCAAAGAACAACTCCAGGTGCCTCCTGCCAGAACAGATGCCAGCGTGGAGGAGGTGCTTTGTTAAATGGCACTTCAATCAGCCCTGGGGAGAACGGGTTACAGAGCCTCACATCCAGCCTCGACGATTCAACAGCCCGGGAGGGCAAAGGTATTCACCGGGGAGGGCGAAGGCTTCCTCTCCCAGGACAGACCCGCGCTTGGGCTGCGGCCTCCGTCTTTATTTTGAAGCCCTACAGGGCTCGTCTCTGCAGCAGGCTCAGAATGAGCTATTTTCGCCCACAGCCAAAATCAGCAACAGCAAATTACACTGCAAACAATGGCGAGGGCGCCTGCTCGGCTCGGCTCGAAACTCCGGAGAGGCAGCGCAAAGATTCTGACTTTTCACTTGGGCAGAGCCCGTCCGCCGCCTCCCCGCGCTCCGGCTGCGCACCGCGCTCGGGTTCCGGCCACACGCCCCGAGGACAGGGAGACAGGGCGGCCGCCGGGACGTTCGGCGGGGAGGGCACCGTCACACCCAGGGCGAGACCCCGGAGACCTGGAGACGCGGGGCCGCGGGTGGCCGGGTGGCGGGATTCCCTCGCGGAGCGGCGGGCGCTCCCTGGCGGGGAGGACAGCAGAGCGCGGGCCGTCGGGGAACCGGGCGTCCCGCATAGCGCGCGGGGACCTGGGCGCCGTGAGGGGCAGGCGGACCTGGGATCCCAGAACCGCAGCCTGGGCTCCGACGCCCCCGACGCCCACCCTTTTAGCTCGGAGGATCGGGGAGGCACGGACCTCCGGCGGCAGCGGAGGGCGGCGGCGAAACGCCGGGGGCGCGTGGGTTAGCACTGAGCCGCCGCCCCAGCCCGCCTCGCCCCCGGGCCCGCGCGCACCCGCCGCCCCCCAGCCCGCTGCGCTCACCCGGCTCTTGCAGCGGTGGTGCCGGCCGGGGTACGAGTAGGTCCGGTCCACGGTGAGCGCCGTGTCGCTGCCCGGCATCTCCGCGCTCCGGCCGCGAACTTTCCCGTCTTCTGGGGCTGCCGCGCCGCGAGCCACCGGCTGTGCTCGGGATCACCCTGGGAGCCGCGGGCGAGGGGGCGGCGCGGCTGCTGCAGCTGTTGCCTCTGGTGCCAACACCCGCGCGGCCGCCCTGCGCCGCCGCCGCCGCGGGGTGGGGGAGGCGGGGCAGGAGGCGAGAGTCTCCTCCCCCTTCCCTTCTCCCCGCCTCTCCCGCGCCCCGCAGCCGCCTGGACCCCCCACCCACCCCCGACCCGGGAGGCAATGTCTTCGCCTCCCTCCCTGGCTGAAAGTTGATTCCATCCCCTCCCACACAGCCCTCTTTCTCCCCAAAAGATAAGCGACATCCACACTACACTATCTGTTGACTTATTTTATATATAAAAGGTGACTGTTACTGCAAGAAGTTGACACTTGCCTTAAATGCCTCTTTTTATGTTATTCTCCATTCAACAGGCACTTACTGGGCAGCTGCCATGTACCAGACGCTGGACTAGAGACCAGAGATTTAAAGTAAAAAAATGAAATAAAATAAAAACTCCCCCCGACCATGATTGCCCTGAGCATAGAGCATACTTCCACTTAAACTAAGATCCTACTGTGTTGTGTATTTTAATTTTGCATATCTGGCTCACCTTTATGTTTCTTTCTTTTTTTTTTTTTTTTGAGACTGAGTCTCGCTCTGTCACCCAGGCTGGAGTGCAGTGGCGCAATCTCGGCTCACTGCAAGCTCCGCCTCCCGGGTTCACGCCATTCTCCTGCCTCAGCCTCCCAAGTAGCTGGGACTACAGGCGCCTGCCACCACACCCAGCTAAATTTTTTTGTATTTTTAGTAGAGACGGGATTTCACCATGTTAGCCAGGATGGTCTCGATCTCCCGACCTCGTGATCCACCTGCCCTAGCCTCCCAAAGTGCTGGGATTACAGGCGTGAGCCACTGTGCCCAGCTTACCTTTATGTTTTAAGCTACTTGGAAGTCAGGATATCTTTTCATTTTAGTATTCCCCATTCCCAGTCATCAGTCCCTGCCCACAAGGAATTTGGAGTTTAGAAGAGGAAGGACCATTGGTGAACAATTTAAATATCAGTAACCCCAAACAAAATTCAAAACACCTGTTCTGGCTCTGTAGGGTGTACAGTGGGAGACTGGGCTGAAATATTTAAAGTGCAGCTGTTCCAGAGAGGACCTGGAGCCCAGTGTGACCAGTCCAGGGGGAGGGAAGGATTTCCCTCATAGGGTTCAAAGGGGACGGTAGAGCAGGCTGAAGAAAACTTTGGAGCCCCTAAAATCAGAGGTACATTTGGGAAAACCTCAAGTCATCAGTTTTGGGGAGTGTCCTCAGGAACAGGAAGACATGATGGAAAAGAAGGCAGAGACCATGCAGAATCTTCGTTCAAGGGTAAGAAGTTCAGCCTTATTCTGTGGGAACTGGGTAGCTGTTGGAAATTCTTGAACAGGGAAATGATAGCATGGGAATGGAAGTTTAAGGAGAAGGTATATCTGACATCAGGGTGAAGCAGCGATTGAAGATGGGCAAAACACACTGGCTTCTTAGAAGGCCACTGTAAAGACAGAATAGCCTAATTATCCTTCAGAAGGAGACTAAGTAAATAAATGATGGTACATCATCCAATAGAATATTAGGTAACTGGAATAGAAATGAGGCAGCCCTCTATGAATAGCTTTGGAAGCAAATCTAACATACATGGTTCAGTGGAAAAAAAGCAATGTGCAGGATAATATATATGGCATTCCACCATTTATGTAAAAACAATATATGTTATGTGCTTCTACATGCACGACATATATCTGGGAGGATAAATAAGAAACTAGGGAAACAGACAAGAAATTGATGCCAAGAGAGGGGAACCAGGTAGCTAGAAGGCAGAGATGGAGAGAGATCTAATTTTCACTGTGTATACTTTTGAAACTTGAATGTTTATACTGTGGGCATATATTAACTATTCAGAAAGTAAAATTTTTTAAAAAATGTTTTTTAGAGATAGGGTATCTGTTGCCCAGGCTGGGGTGCAGTGGCACAATCATAGCTCACTGCAGCCTCAAATTCTTGGTCTCAAGGGATCCTCCCACTTCAGTTTCCCAAGTAGCTAGAACTACAGGTGTGTGCCACCATTTCTGGCTAATTTTAAAAATATATTTTTTTGTAGAGAAAGGGTTAAAACTAACTTAAGAAGAAATTGAAAGTCCCATGTAGTCCTTAAGCCATTCAAAAAATTAAATCAACACTTTTAAAAATACCCATCTACCACTACCCCAACACACAACTATACTAGACCCAGAGAGTTTTTCAGGTAAGTTCTTTGAAAGAAGAGAAATACCAAACGCTGGGGTGTGTGTGTGTGTGTGTGTGTGTGTGTGTGTGTGTTGGAGGGAGATTTTAGCTAGGGTGGCTAGAGAAGTCCTCCATGATAAGGTGACCTTGAGCAGAGACTTGGGAAATGAGGAAGCCAGAAGTATAGACATTGAAAATTTCCAGCAGACAAACAGAAAGTCAAGGGCCCTGAACATTTCGGGAGTGTTCAAGGAAGAGCAAGGAGGCCAGTGTTCACTGGAAAGAGATGAGGTCAGAGACATTTCAGAGGGCCAGATCATATATGGACTTTCATTCTATTTTAAGAACTTTAATTTTAGGCAGGGCGTGGTGGCTCACGCCTGTAATCCCAGCACTTCAGGAGGCTGAGGTGGGCCGATCACCTGAGGTCAGCAGTTCAAGATCAGCCTGACCAACATGGAGAAAATCTGTTTCTACCAAAAATACAAAATTAGCCGGACATGGTGGCGCATGCCTGTAATCCCAGCTACTCAGGAGTCTGAGACAGGAGAATCGCTTGAACTCAGGAGGCAGAGGTTGTAGTGAGCCAAGATCATGCCATTGCACTCCAGCCTGGGCAACAAAAGCAAAACTCTGACTCAAAGAAAAAAAAAAAAGAAAAGAAAGAACTTTAATTTTGGGGAATATGGGAAGATTTGGAAATTTTTGAGCAAAGGAGTGGCATGATCTACCTTTTCACTTGGATGAAAATAAAATTGATCTCTACCTCACAGCATAAACAAAAACCAATACCAGATAAAGGAAAAATAAAGAAAAAAAATTAGCTGGACATGGTGGCTTGCACCTGTAATCCCAGCTGTTCAGGAGGCTGAAGCAAGAGGTTCACTTGAGGCCAGGAATTCAGCCTGGGCAACAGAGCAAGACCTGTCTCTAAAAAAATTAAAAATTAAAAAAAAAAAACAGATTAAAGACTTAAAGTGGAAAAAACACAACTTAAAATTGTCAGAAGAAAATGAAAGAATATCATTATTATCATCTCAAGTAAAAAAAAAAACAAGACACAAAAAGCATAAACCACAAAGGTTTGACATTAAAAAAATTAAACTTCTGCTTATGAAAATAAACAATAAAGTAAAAAAATAAGCCACAGACCAAACTCCAGCTAAAAAAAAAAATCAATATGGACAAATTTCACAAACAATACTGAGAAACAAAAAAAGCAAGCCACAAAAAATTACTTGCAGTAAGATTCATGTAGGCTGTGTGGTAGCTCATGTCTATAATCCCAGCACTTTAGGAGGCTGAGGTGGGAGGATCACTTGAGCCCAGGAGTTCGAGACCAGCCTGGGCAATATAGTGAGACCTTGTCTCCACAAAAAAAAAAAAAAAAAGATTCATGTAAAGTTTTTGTTTGGTTGGTTTTTTTGTTTGTTTGTTTTTGGTTTTGAGACAGAGTCTCACTCTGTCGCCCAGGCTGGAGTGCAGTGGCACGATCACAGCTCACTACAACCTCTGGCTCCCAAGTTAAAGTGATTCTCATGCCTCGGCCTCCTGAGTATCTGGATTGCAGGTGTGCACCACCATGCCCGGCTAATTTTTGTGTTTTTAGTAGACATGGGGTTTCACCATGTTGGCCAGGCTGGTCTTGAACTCCTTGCCTCAAGTTCAAGTGATCCACCCGCCTCACCCTCCCAAAGTGCTGGATTGCAGGCGTGAGCCACCACGCCCAGCCTTCCTGTAAAGTTTAAGAAAAGCAAGAGGATAATAAACACAAATTTCAGGACAGTATCTCTGGTGGGGAGATGAAGAAGGCTTCAATAGAAAAGGGGTACACAATTATAAATATATAATGCTCTTTAACAAATGACTGTTGGTACACTGGATGTACATTCATTCATACATACACACAATAGTGAAGAATAATTTAAAATTTTAAAGGTAACAGAGTCTCAAAGGAACAGATATGGTGATATCCTTAATTCTGGAATTCAAATCACCAGTTAGGGGTACCTTCTCAAATAAATAAACATAATAGCACTTTACGTGTGAATAAACTCAGAGAGGCCCTGACAAACCAGGGTTGGGCTTTGCTTGGGGGTACCAACAGGCATCTACTTTCCATTTCTATTACTGTCTTGATGTTTCTTAGAATTCCATCCTGGAATGCTGACCCTCAATGAGAAGGATAAATTAAAACTTTATTAGGCTCATTTAAATGTCAATTAACAAAGGATGTTCTTTTTTAGATCATTTAAATTTATTTCATAAGCTAGTTGCCCAAAAGCTGCTCTGCTGGGCACTCATACAAAATTATTTTTTAAAAATATACAAATTAAATAGCAGAAGAGCAAGCTCCCCAGAACAGAAAGAAAACAAGCAGTGCTGATCACCATCTGGGTCTCCTTTTGGGAGGCAGAACCCAAGGGGAAAATAGACCACATCCCCTCCTTTGGACGCAATGCCAATGCCTAGGGTTTTGTCAGCCCTGGAGAGAGAGAGAGAGGGAGAGCGCAGGTGCAAATTCCTCCTGTCAATGTAAGAATTCTGTGCTTTTGATACCTCCAAGAGCCTCTCTCTGCAGAAAGTATGGAAAATATCGCACTGTTAAAATAACAAATGCAGTCAGAACAATAAGAAATACAAAGGTTCATACCTAAGGTGTGAAATAAGAATTTACTTGCAAACTATAAGGAAGGAGCACAACAAGACAGCAGATGCTAAAAGCACCAAAGAAGAGACCAGGTCATTTGAGCTGTAATAGTTTAAAGTTTGGAGTGAAAGGCCTATGGAAAGAGGTAGGACTACACTTGACTTTTGTAGTGCGTGTTTGTTGTTTCAGCCTGCCCAGGATCCCACCCCTTATTCTGAAGACAGTACCTAGGTTTTCTATTGGGACCTACCCTACTCCTACTTTTAATCCAAATGGCTTAGATAAGGTGGACCATTCCCATCCTTGGATCTAGAGAGTGGCATGTCATCCAGCCTTGGCCAGTCAGAGTCACTGTGGCTTGTGCAGGGATGGGCACATGAGCTAATCAGAGCAGATGAGAGTCATCCCCAGACTTTTGTCAGAACTGCTGGGAAAGCCTATGCCCTTCCAGTGGGCATTGCTAAGCTGGTACAATGCAAGCCTGATGCTGTAGTGGACATCCTTCCACCATATAAAGACAGCCTCCCTGGGAAAGCAGAGCCATGAAACGGAGAAAGACTTCTTACTAAATCCTTAGAGCACTAGATCCAGCATTTTCCATCTGCTATCGCTGCATGACAAACCACCTTAAAATGCTTTGGCTTGGCCAGGTGCAGTGGCTCACGCCTGTAATCCCAGCACTTTGTGAGGCAGAGGTGAGTGGATCACCTGAGGTCAGGAGTTCGAGACCAGCCTGACCAACATGGTGAAACCCCATCTCTACTAAAAATACAAAAATTAGCTGGGAGTGGTAATGGGCACCTGTAATCCCAGCTACTCAGGAGGCTGAGGCAGGAGAATTGCTTGAACCCGGGAGGCGGAGGTTGCAGTGAGCCAAGATCACGCCACTGTACTCTAGCCTGGATGACAGAGCGAGACTCCATCTCAAAAAAAAAAAAAAAAAAGGTGTTGGCTTACAACAATAACTACCTCTCATTAGCTCATGATTCTGCAATCTGGGCAGGCCTCCAAGGGAGGTGAGGTGGCTTTTCTCTGTTCCATGTGGCACTGGGGGGGGGGGGGTAGGGTGTCCAAGATGGCTTCATTCATATGAGTGACATTATTATATATATATATACATTGGTTTTCACCCATGGTTCCTGGCTTATAATTACCAATGCCCCTGTAATAGTCTCTTGTCATGATTTTGGGGCACTTTAGATCCCAGAAGCCAGCCTCAGAAGCCTTATCCTACCCTTGTTCCAGCTGCTCTTTTCTCTCCTGAAGGAAGGAATCTTCCCCCGCCTTTCTGTCATGCAGCTGGCCATGAAGAAATTCTCTGACCTACCTTGTCTGACTGTAGGACATAAGGTTCATTTTAGAAGGGGTCCTGCTCCATACCCTGGAGGAAAGAATGCTGCACAGAGAAGCCAAGAAGAATCTGAACAGACAGGCCTTGCTGGGTCTCGCCACTCAGTCTCTTAGTACTAGATCATATACCCTTTTGTCCAGTCACATTTCTACATGGTTGTCAATCATGCCCACCCAGTGACGTCTCCATAAAAGGCCGAAGAGTACAGGGTTCAGGGGGCTTCTGGATAGCTGGACATCTATGGAGGGTGGTGTACTCAGGGAAGACACAGAAGCCCTGCGCTCCTTCCCCTACCTCGTCCCATGCATCTCTTCATCTGTATCCTTTCTGATATCCTTTATACTAAACCGGTAAATGTAAAATATAAGGTTCCCTGAGTTCTGTGTGCTGCTCTAGCAAATTAATCAAACCCAAAGAGGGGGTCATGGGAACCCCAACATGAAGCCGGTTGGCCCGAAGTTCTGAAGGCCTGGGCTTGTGACTGGCATTTGAAGGGCAGTCTTGGGGACTCTGCCTTCAAACTGTGGGGTCTGACGCTATCTCCAGGTAGAGGTGGAGGACACCCAGCTGGTGTCCAGAACTGATTGCTTGCTTGGTGTGTGGGGAAACCCCTCTCCCATATTTGGTCACAGAAGTCTTCTGTGTTTATTGTTTTTGTAGTGTGAGAACAGAGGAAAAACATAGTTTGAGTTGATTTTTCTACAAACAACGTGTCAGCACCTATAAGACTTAGGGTGGCTGGAATGGTGGGGGCTGGCCGGGCCTCTGTCTTTATTTTTATATGTTTATAGTTTTTTAAAAAACTTTTTATCTTACTCTGTCACCTGGGCTGGAGTGTGATGGCATGACCATAGCTCACGGCAGCCTCAAACACCCAGATTCAAGCTATCCTGCCACCTCATTCTCCTGAGTAGCTGGGACTACAGGTGCATCAGCACGCCTGTCTATTTTTTGTAGCGACAGGGTCTTGCTGTGTGCCTAGGCTGATCTTAACTCCTGGCCTCTCCCACCTCAGCCTCCCAAAGCTGGGATTATAGGCATGAGCCACTGTAGCCGGCCTGTTTATACTTTTTTAAATAC
Organism: Homo sapiens; assembly: GCF_000001405.40. Lineage (NCBI taxonomy): Eukaryota > Metazoa > Chordata > Mammalia > Primates > Hominidae > Homo > Homo sapiens. Next base: position 94,657,824 of record NC_000012.12, read on the forward strand.
TTTTTTTTATAGTCTCTCATCTCTCCATCAGGGTAGTTGGATTTTTTTACATGGTGGCTGCCTTCTAACACAGCAAAAACAAAAGCTGCCAAATCTCCTAAGGCCTAGCCTAGAACTGGCAGATTATCACTTCCATCACATTCTACTGGTCAAGGCAAGTCAAAAGTCCAGCTCAGACTCCAGGGGAGGAGAAACGGGGTCTACCTGTTGAGGGAAGGAGTGATGTGCACATAGATGGGAGAAATTGCTGACTGCCATTTTGGCAGCCAATCCACCACACCAGCCTTGCCTAGACCACCTTTTCAGTGATATGAAGCAATGGATTCCTCTTTTTGCTCAAGCCCGTTAGAGATGGGGTTTCTGACTCCTGCAACCCAAAGAATCCTGTCTGATGCAACATTCAATGCAGGGTATGGGCAGAAAGAAGACAAGGAAAAGGGCAGCATTTCAAGAGAAGGCAAGAACTTTGAACAGCACAAATAAAGGGAGAATCAACAGAGGATTCTAGTGGGGGCACCAAGGACTCTAGAGTTTTCTCAGGCCACTAGCTTGAGTCTTCTGTGGTCAGTCCACACCAGATTACCTGTGAACTGCTCAACTATTTACAGTCTGGACTAATTATTTCAATACAAAGGTTATAATACATTATATTCTTTAAATATTTCATGTGATAATTTCTATGCTTCCCCCCTACACACACTAGAGTATAGGTTACCTGAAGGAAAGGACTGTACTTTCCAGGTACATGTAGGTATTCTGGACAGTTCTTAACATAGTATTCAATAAATGTTTGCTGAGTGAATGAGATCAACATTATTAAATGTCTACTTATTTCCTAGGCATTGGGGTTTTAAAAAATGACTCCGACATAAGCAAAAACTAGTGTCTGTTCCTAAGGGGTTGGAATGGGTAATAGGAAAGGATGAAAATTCACTGAATGATGGATGTTACCAATTTTCAGCTACTAAGTAGTTAATGACATTTGTGAATTCTCCCGTCATTTATTGAGCACCTTTGGTGTGACAGCCTCTGCTCTTGGTGCTGAGAATATAGAAATGAGTAAGACATCCAGAAGGGACAGCCCATCTAGACAGTGAGGCAGACACCTCCAAAAACGTTGCTGTAGATGCCAGGATAGTTATGTGCTTGGCATGGTAGTAGGACAAAGGAAGGAGGTGGTCTCCTCATGCAGCTCACTTCCTTAGATGTTTCAGTCCTATGGTCATCACAGCAGGGAGAAGGAGAGACAAGGAAAGCCAGATGTTGAAAACAAAAGTACAAGCCTCTTGTAAAGGAAAGGAAAATGTATTTCTTTTCATATTCCAGTTTGATTTAATAGTGCAGGGAAGTGTTCCCTTTGGGGGAAAGAGTCATAAGACAAAAAGTACAACAAGCTTCCCTCTGCAAGGATATAAGAACAGAGCAAAAGGAAGAATAAATCAGGTTTTTAAAATGTATTCTTCTAGCTTGAGGTGAACACATGCTGATCAGCTCTACATATCTATATTACAGATAGATAGATAGAAATGCTTATGTTGCGGATCAGCAGCTTTCTGGCCTGATGCAAACATGGATCTCTAATTCTAACTACCTGGTTTATAGCCAACTAAAAATGACCACACTCTTAACATCTACATTTAATTTCTAACATACCATGTTCTATGTGACTGCAAATAAACAATCACTGCTACTTATTTAGTATTAGCAATTATCTGGCACAGAAGCCCGAAACTTCCACTTGGCAAGATTTTGATTAAAAACAGGAAAGTAGACAGACTCAATTGAAACTCTGCAGGCTAGGGAACTTGCCTTTGAATATTCCTTTTTTTAGCAAATGCAACAATTCCATGCTATTGATTTCTCAAGAGCAATGAGAAAATTCTCCAGGCTGCCTTCAAGTGTCCTGGGAGATGGTCTTCAACATGTGCCTTGCCTGCAGACTTGAGGCTACATAAAGAAGTACAAAAATGTATTTTACTTCATCAAAAGTAAACGCTTTTGCTTCTCAAAAAACTCTGATAAGAGGATAAAAAGACAAGATACAGATGGGAAGAAAATATTTACAAAACCAAACATATAACAAGTGATGAGTACCTAGAATGTATAAAGAATTCTCAAAACTCTATAGTAAAAAATAAACAATCCTTGGCCCGGCGCAGTGGCTCATATGTGCAATCCTAGCACTTTGGGAGGCCAAGGTGGCAGATCACTTGAGATCAGGAGTTCAAAATCAGCCTGGCCCATATGGTGAAGCCCCGTCTCTACTAAAAATACAAAAAAAATTAGTGGGGCGTGGTGGCGGGTGCCTGTAATCTCAGCTGCTTGCGAGGCCTAGGCAGGAGAATCACTTGAACCCGGGAGGCGGAGATTGCAGTGAGCCGAGATGGCGGCACTGTACTCCAGCCTGGGAGACAGAGCAAGACTCCATCTCAAATAACAATAAAAATAAAAATAAATCCAATTTAAAAATGAGCAAAACATAGGAACAGACATTTCACTGAAGAGAATATACTAATGGCAAATAAACACATGAAAAGATGTTAAATGTCATTAGCTATTAGGGAAATGCAAATTAAAACCACAATGAGATGTTACTGCTCACTTATCAGAATGGCTACAATAAAAACGAGTTATAACACATATTGCTGGCAAGGATGTGGAGAAACTACATAAATCATACATTGCTGGTAGGAATGTAAAATGGTTCAGCCTCTCTGGAAAGCAGTTTGACAGTTTTTTATAAAACTAAAACATGCAAATCTCCCATCTGACCCAGCAACTGCACTCTCAGGCATTTATCCCAGAAAGAAAACATGTTCAAACAGAAACCTATACACAAATATTCATAGCAGCTTTATTCGTAATTGCCAAAACCTGGTAGCAGCACCATGTCCTTCAACATGTGAATGGTTAAACAACTGTGGTACATCCATACCATGGAATATGACTCAACAATAAAAAGGAACAAACTATTTGATATGCATCCTTTTTTTTTTTGAGATGAAGTCTCGCTCTTTCTCCCAGGCTGGGGTGCAGTGGCACAATCTCAGCTCACTGCAACCTCCGCCTCCCAATTCTCCTGCCTCAGCTTCCCAAATAGCTGGGATTGCAGGTGCCTGCCATCACACCCAGCTAATTGTTGTATTTTTAGTAGAGACAGGGTTTCACCATGTTGGCCAGGCTAGTCTCAAACTCCTGACCTCAAGTGATCTGCCCACCTCGGCCTCCCAAAGTGCTGGGATTACAGGCATGAGCCACCGCACCCGGCCCCACTTACATAGCATTCTTGAAATGATAAAACTATAGAAAAGGAGAAGAGATGAGTGGGTACCAGGCTCTAGGAACGGGAGGGGGTAGTTGCAGGAGGGAGGTGGGTGTGTTTATAAAAAGGCAGCACCAAGGATCCTGTGGGGATGGAACTGTTCTGTATCTTGAGAGTGGTGGTGGATAGAATTGCACAGGACTAAATACACACATGCACACACGCAAACAAGTACTGGGGAAATCTGAATGAGATTGATGGATTGCACCAATGTTAATGTGATATTTGTACTGAAGTTTGACAAGATACTACCATGGGAGACACAGATACTACCACTGGGGGACAGGTAAAGTGTACAGAGTTCCTCAGAAGTATTCCTTACAAGTGCATGTGAATCTACAACAATCTCAAAATTAAAAGTTTACTTAAAAATGTGTTTTAAGGCCAGGCATGGTGGCGCACGCCTGTAATCCCACCACTTTGGGAAGCCAAGATGGGCAGATCAGTTGAGGCCAGGAGTTCGAGAACAGCCTGGCCAACATGGCAAAACTTTGTCTCTACTAAAAAGACAAAAACTAGCCAGGCGTGGTGGTGGGTGCCTGTAATCCCAGCTACTCAGGAGTCTGAGGAAGGAGACCTGCTTGAACCCACGAGGTGGAGGTAGCAGTGAGCTGAGATCGTGCCACTGCACACCAGTCTAGGTGACAGAGACTCTGCATCAAAAAAAAAAATTAAATTAAATTTAGATGCAACTGTAGTCATTTTCACAGAAAAAACTGGGTTTTGGGAGGAGGGGAACAACACAAGCAGGAGTGAACTTTTTCTCTGAAGAAGTTGTTCACAGAATATTCTACCAGGTTATGGCCCTTTGCTGCACCAGAGGAGTTGACCAGCTGTGGAAACTGAGGGCAAACAAAGACTGTAGGTGGTGCTCATTAATATGACCACACATGTCAGTACCTGGCCACAGTGCATGCTGTGTCTCAACCACACAAGTTCAGGGCCAACGGCAATGTCCATTATCCTTGGCCCATCAGTGTGGAGCAAAGCACCTGGCACAAAGCAGTGATTCTACAAGGTTTTTATGGAATAAATAATGGATAATTAAGTCCTGATTTGGTTGGAAGAACATATTAACGTTCATAGATTTGGTTCAGGTTCAAAACAATTCATTATATGAGTTGTTTAGTAAAAGGTTACATAGCAAGTTTGAGTAGAGAATTTTGCAAATTCCTTTGAGAGGTGGAGGCGGGCGGATCACTTGAGGTCAGGAGTTTGAGATCAGCCCAGCCAACATGGTGAAACCCTGTCTCTACAAAAACACAAAAATTAGCCAGGCATGGTGGCACACACCTGTAGTCCCAGCACTTTGGAGGGCTGTGGCATGTGGATTACATGGGGCCAGGAGTTTGAGACCAGCCTGGCCAACATGGCAAAACCCTGTATCTACAAAAAATATAAAAATTAGCTGAGTGTAGTGATGCACACCTGTAATCCCAGCTATTTGGGTAGCTCAGGCATGAGAATTGCTTGAACCCTGGAGGCAGAGGTTGCAGTGGGCCGAGATCATGCCACTGCACTCCAGCCTGGGCGACAGAGCGAGACTCTATCTCAAAAAAAAAAAAAAGAAAAGGAAATTTTGCAAATTCATGTGCTTTGCTTTGCTCCATGTTTTATGATTCCTATATTGGTTTGAGTCTTTACTTTATATCATGCACACACAGATTATAATATAAGTGGTTTGCTATTTCTAACCTCTTGACTCTACCACTTGGAAAGAGTTTCACTCTCTGATTATCGTGTATGACTACTGGCTATTTGCTACTGCAGTTTTCCAGAAGTCTACAACAGGGTTAGAAAACAAACATAGATAAAAATGCCTTACTTTTTACTAGGCACGAAATGTTCCATTCAGTTAAACCTGTAACTGGACTTGTGATGCTTGGGTTCCTACTTCACACAACCACAGAGAAAGCAGTTCTCTGGGGATCTCTAGCTGACTCCATTCTATGCACGGCTAGCCCAGGAGAATTGTCTTTCATTAAGCACATACTGAATCTGAAGGATGAGCTAGCTACACTCCAGGAACATATCGTCCGTGAATTCACTTTGCATTTTATCAACTCACTTTGCAGGATAAGGAAAGTGGGAAATGAAACTGCCAGAAAAATCTGATGTGATGTTGTTTTTAAACAGTCCAAGTCACAGTCCTTTCAAAAGAGGATGCTGCTTGCTGAAGCCTTCCTTGTCCACTCCAGTCCACACTGTTATCTCTCTCCCTTCTCTGAATTCTGACAGTATCTGTTGCTTAAATCACTCACATAAACATTCAATTGTAAATGATCTTGTGCTGTTACAGGGAGGCGGTATGGTGTACTGGAGGCAGACTGCTTGGATTCACATCTTGGCGCTGCTCCTTACGAGCTCTAAAGCCTTGGTTCTCACATTCATAAGCTAAGGATAACAATAGTACCCACCTCATACTGTTGTTGAGGATTAAATGATGTAATATATGTAAAGCACTTATAAATAAGAGCTCGATAAATGTCTGCACAAACAAAACAAAACCTAAAGTCTGTCTTCACGTGGTATCTCTTTCTCCTTACCAGTAAGACTTCAGTAAGGATGTATGCTGTTATCCTGGAAAGTGTCCTAGTAAGGTGGAGGATGCATTTTGATGCCGTATGTCATCATCACAAATTTTGTGAATAGGATTAGGATGAAAGTAGGAGCCTGTGGACAAGCTCTGGACCCCGGCCATCCCTCCCTCTCTGCCTCTGCTTGTGCTGTTCCTACCACTGCAGAGTCTGCAAACTTGCACAAGTGACAAGGGCACACTTCCTCCTTTTACACTAACCTCCAGCTCCTTTCATTCCCAAGGCCGTAGCTCCCATGTAGAATACACAGAGTCTTTTTGCTGGTACACTTTGACCAAAATATTCTACTTCTAGGAAGCTATGCTAAAGAAATAATAGGCTGGGTGTGGTGGCTCACGCCTGTAATCCCAGCACTTTGGGAGGCCGAGGCAGGTGGATCACGAGGTCAGGAGTTCAAGACCAGCCTGGCCAAGATGGTATAACCCCGTCTCTACTAAAAATACAGAAAATTAGCCAGGCCTGGTGGCACGCACCTATAACCCAGCTACTCTGGAGGCTGAGGCAGAGAATTGCTTAATACCTGGAGGGGCGGAGGTTGCAGTGAGCCGAGATTGTGCCACTGCTGTCCAGCCTGGCAAACAGGGCAAGACTCTGTCTCAAAAAAAAGAAAAGAAATAATACAGGAAAATACAGAAAAACTTTTACACACAAACATCACACATTTTGTCATTCTGAAAAAATTAAAACAATTCAAAGGATTATTTATTATGAAAAATCATGGACTGATTATATAAATTATGATATATTCATAAAAAATGCAGTGCAGCTATTGACAATTATACTTAGGAAGAATATGTAATCATATGAAGAAATGTTTCTGTAATGATATTATAAAAATTATAACAGGCCGGGCATGGTGGCTCACGCCTGTAATCCCAGCACTTTGGGAGACTGCGGTGGGCGGATCACAAGCTCAGGAGATCGAGACCATCCCAGCTAACATGGTGAAACCCCATCTCTACTAAAAATACAAAAAAATTAGTCGGGCATGGTGGCAGGCACCTGTAGTCCCAGCTACTTGGGAGGCTGAGGCAGGAGAATGGCGTGAACCTGGGAGGCGGAGCTTGCAGTGAGAGGAGATTGCACCACTGCACTCTAGCCTGGGTGACAGAGCGAGACTCTGTCTCAAAAAAAAAAAAAAAAATTATAATAAAAAATCAGTATAACTCTACAAGACTGACAAAAATAGAAAAGTATTATGATACTTAGTGCTGGTAATGATCTGGAGTAGCAGGAACCCTCATGCCCAGCCACTCCATTCCTCAGTATATATCTATCCCGGAGGCCACACATCAACCAGGACACACGTACAAGAACATTCACAGTGGTAACAGTCCCTATCTAGAAACAACCCAATTGTCATTCCACAACAGAATGGATAAAGAAATTGTTGTACAGTTATTTCACAATTAAGGTCAGTCATTTGTTGCCAAAAATCAAATGTTCCATGTGAAAATGCTAACAGGGAGCCTGTTATCTTAACTCATTTTGCAAAGTAGGGTTTTTCTGTTATGTGTATCAAACCTAATACTGACTGCTACAGAGCCTAACAAAATGCCCCATGCAAAGTATCACAAATGTCGATATCTTCTGTCCCACCCCACCCCCGGAAAATATTCAGGGCAAAATGGTCAACAGAAGTCCAAAATATTTTGCTACTGAAGAGTAAGAGAAACATCTTTCTCCATTTCTTCTGTGTCTTCCTATAGCATCTCTATAGGACTTTGCACAGAGCCAGTAAATTGCAATAGTTATTTATTTTGCCTACGTCTTCTGCACCAGACACTGTCAATACATCAACTGAGTTACTGCCAAACTCTTGCCCCCCCATCTCTATGATGGAAGGTGCTATGATTTTCCCAATATCCGGAGTAGCAACCAGGACATCTGAATAGATCAAGTGATTTGACCAAAGGTACTCAGCTAATAAATGGCAAAATTATTGTCCAAATTCCAGGTCTAAGCTTATTTACTAGGTGCATATCCTTGGATGAGCTCTTTAATCTTTATAAGCCTCAGTTTCCTCAATTGTAGAATGGAATTTGCAATTGTAGAATTGCAATTGTAGAATGGAATTGCAGATGGAATTCTAAAAATTATACCCATTAAACGATAACTATCTCTTGACTAAAAGTCAAGGCTGGCACTGCTGAGAATATGAACAGGGAAGAATCTCAGTGCATCTGCAGAGTACACTGTTGCAGGTTCCCTCTCAAAACATTTAACTTAAATGAGCCTGACTTGTCCTCATTCCCTGTCCAGCCTTTCCCTGCTTCTCCATAACAGTTTAACACACATCCACTATTACTAATATTCCCATGAAGATGATTTCTACATTCTAAGCCTCTTGTTTCCTGTTCTTCCCATGAAGAAAGAAAACGAAGCTTTTGAAATTCAAAATTATATCATCATGACTTTACCCTTTATCTGAAGGCTCCTTGTAAATCTTTTCCATCATTTCTAAGCACTTCTAGATTTTCAGTTTTGCATGTCAAGTTTCACAAAATTAGAAGTCAATTCTCCTATCACGTTGGAAGTGAAGGTTCAATTTCCTGCGAGTATTTAGAAGTCCTCACTGTCCTAGCTGACAGTTTTGAAAGGTATTCTATAGTTCTGTTATTTCTCACTGCTTCTTCCTACATCAGCTGTGGCTGATGCACTCCCAGTTAATATTTCTGACATTCTATTGATTTTCTTCCATTAGAAGGAATATCTTTCACAAAAGGAGAAGAATGCTATACAAGGCACAAGATTTAAAGTATGTAATATAATACCATGGAGTGTAGGATACCCAGCAGGCAAGTACACCCACTAACATGCATGTACACACACATACAAAGGAATTAGTAGAAGTTATCAGGGGCCAGGTACAGTGGCTCACACCTGTAATCCTAGCTCTCTGGGAGGCCAAGGCAGGCGGATCACTTCGGCCAACGCAGGCGGATCACTTCAGCCCAGGAGTTCAAGACCAGCCTGGGCAACATGGCAAAACCCCATCTCTCCAGAAAAATACAAAAAGTTAGCCGGACATGGTGGCTCGCGCCTGTAGTCCCAGCTACTCGGGAGGCTGGGGTGGGAGGATGGCTTGGGCCCTGGAGGTCAAAGCTGCAGTGAGCTGAGATGGCGCCACTACACTCCAGCCTAGGTGACAGAACAAGACCCTGTCTCAAAAAAAAAAAAAAAAAAAAAAAAAGTTATCAGGAAATCAAGAATATAACATGTAGGTTTTTCAGAACATTAGCAGGATTTGGTCATTTGGAGTTTACAACAACAACAAGCTTCCTTTTCAATTGCTAAAAGGAACTGAGGTAACGGAAAAAACAAATACAAGATCCAAGAAGATGCTGACCAATTTATAGAGCTCTATTTTGAATTTCTGCTTCAATGAAAGAGACAGAAAATCCATAAATTTCATTGCTGCTTCTTGACACTCACGATTGCAAAACCATTCTCTGGATAAAGCTCTACTGAGATGGGGCTTTTCCCATTGTCCATTGTTTACCTCTAATCCTTTTACAAAGGGAATCGTACTTTCCACAATCCAAAAATGTCAGAATGTTTTACATATAACCAATTAGAAGACAGATGATTAGAATATGGATTATTCATAAAACCCCAGCCCAGGACCTATTTAAACTACTATGCTTTAAATATTTTCCCTCATTTAGATATCAAGATGAAGTGTACAATAAATGATTGTCTGAATCTGCATACTGAATACAGTAGATGCTGGTCACATGAGCGCACCGAGGACTCGAAATGTACCTATTGTGACTGAGGAACTGAGTTTTAAATCTTACTTAATTTTAATTAATTTACACCTTAAAGACAGTACAAACAAAAGAAGGTAAAATATCTCATAAATATTCTATACTGACTACATGTCAATATGAATCACAGAGCCCATGTTTAATTATCAAAATGTCAAAACACAGAGACTGACAAGTATTCTTCACATCTCATTATATAAAATGAGCCAAACATGAGCTAAACATACAAATACTAGTACTATACATGGCTCTGGGAGGGATCCCAAGGGATCTCTCAGGTTTAAATTAATCCTCCTTCCCTGGTAGCATCTTATGTATAGCTTTAGCATCATACTTACCACAGTCTAATTTATGTGAAGTAAATTGTACGTACGTCTACCACGCCTCCCTTTAGTAGACTGTAATCTTTTTAAAATAGAGGACTTACTTGCTCATTCTAAAAATCCATCAGTCCCCAGCATGGTTGTTATATTGGAAATCCTTCCATAAATGTTTGAGGATTTAAATACAGTGTGTACTAATATTTTTTAAACATTCGTTTTTCTATAAAAGCAAGCCTAAAACTAATATTAAGGTCATACTCATGGAGGAAAAGATGCAGTATCAAACAAATGTCAGTTTTCCCTAAAAGTCAATCAATAAATGAAACACAATCCAGTAAAAAAGGATTTTTCCAAAAACTTGACAAGCTTATTTTAAAATTTGATGGAAGAGGCCAGGCACAGTGGCTCACGCCTATAATCCCAGCACTTTGGGAGGCCAAGGCAGGTGGATCGCTTGAGGCCAGGAGTTGGAGACCAGCCTGGCCAACATGGTGAAACCCTGTCTCTACCAAAAATACAAAAAAGTTAACTGGGTGTGGTGGCACGCGCCTGTAGTCCCAGCTACTTTTCAGTGAGCCGAGATCATGCCACTGCACTCTAGCCTGGGCGACAGAGCAAGACCCTGCCTCATTAAAAAAAAAAAAAAAAAAAAAAAAATCAGCGTAAGAGGGGCCAGGCGTGGTGGCTCATGCCTGTAATCTCAGCCCGTTGGGAGGCCAAGATTATTGGATTGCTTGAGACCAAGAGTTACAGACCATCCTCGGCAACATGGCTAAATCCATCTCTACGAAAAAAAAAAAAAAAAGCTGGGCATGTGGGCATGGTGGCACTGCACGCCTGTAGTCCCAGCTACTTGGGGAGGCTGAGGTGGGAGGATCGCTTGAGCCCAGGAGGTGGAGGTTGCAGTGAGCCAAGATCGGGCCACTGCACTCCAGCCTGGGTGACAGACCGAGACCTTGTCTCAAAAATAATAAGCAAACAAAATGAAAAATAAAATTCAATGGATGAAAAAATACAACTTGGGGGAAAAATATGGGGAGTAGGGGCAGACAGAGTGAGCTCTCCCTACCAGGTAGCCAGACATTTTATTGGCAATAGTTCAGGTGATTAGGAATTGGCACAGAGACCCAGGAAGAGAGAGCTCAGAAACAGGCTCATGCACATATGAAAGCACAATCTAGGATGGAGGTGGCATCAGAAATCAATGTGGAAAGGAAATAATTGGTAGTTCATATTGAAAAGAGTGAAACTGCAGTAGATCCCTGAATACCAAACCAAAATTTAAAATGCAGGTGCAATTGTTTCATCTCAGAACATTCTTGGTTTTTTTGCTGTTGCTGTTTTTGCTTGTTTTGCTTTTTTTGAGACGGAGCCTCACTCTGTTGCCCAGGCTGGAGGGCAGTAGAGCAATCTCTGCTCATTGCAACCTCCACCTCCGGGGTTCAAGCGATTCTCCTGCCTCAGCCTCCTGAGTAGCTGGGATTACAGGTGCCCACCACCATGCCCGGCTAATTTTTGTATTACAGGTGCACACTGCCACCCCCAGCTAATTTTTGTATTTTTTGTAGAGACGGGGGTTTCACCATGTTGCCCAAGCTGGTCTAAAACTCCCGATCTCAACTGATCTGCCCGCCTCAGCCTCCCAAAGTGCTGGGATTACAGGCGTGAGTCACTGTGCCCAGCCCACATTTTCTATTATTGATAATTCATTGGGAATTCTAGATGGACTGTATAATACATAAATTATACATTGATATCCATTGTTCCTACTTGATCAATAAATAGGAATAAATTAAGAACAATAAAAGGAACAAATGATTTTTAAGAAACTATCTTGAAGAGGCCTACACCACAGGGTACAAAAACACATTTTTTTCCTTCTTTAAAGTACTGAATCAAGCAAAAGTCCCTTATGGCTTTATAAAGGTCACACTTTTAGAATGGAGCTGGAGGCCATCAAATATACAGAGGGACTCCATGACTGTGCAAAGTACTTCTAAAGACTTCTTTGAAGCTAACTCTATAAAGCTGAAACCAAAATCCAGCCAAACAATGACTGCTCTGGTGCTGTTAACAGCACCTCTCCACTCATCTCCATCTGGGCTGTTAACCGAGCGCAGCTTGGCTTTATCTTAATTCACCCGGATCGAAGCGGGTTAATTCTCAGCGTAACCCCATGCATCAGACATTCCTAGCATTCAACATCAGCATGAACACAGCTCTCTGAATGCCACATAGTTTCCTTACACTTCCGTATGCCTGAACCTGTGGTCCAAATTTTTCCCTGACTTCAAAGGAGGTCAAAATCCCAAAACTGGGCTTTGATGGGGAAAAAATGTTCCAAAGACGTCATACACCTAGAACATGTTTCACACACGTGCTAGATCATCTCTCCAGAGAGTTTATTTCCTGCTTGAAAGTGGTTTCACCTGTTTTTCTAGGTCTCCTTCTTGGATTCTCCTGTTTGATGCTGCGGCGATCTCATAACAGAAATGTGATATTGCTATAACTATTTGTATTACTTTGCTCAGGCTGCCATAGCAAAATACCACAGACTCGGGGGCTTAAACAACAGAAGTTTATTTTCTCACAGTTCCAGAGGCTAGAAGTCTAAGACCAAGGTGCCAGCAGGGTTGGTTTCTCTGAGGCCTCTCCCTTTGGTTTGCAGACAGCTGCCTTCTTGCTGTGTCCTCACATGGTCATCCCTGGTGTCTCTCAGTGTGTCCAGGTTTCCACTTCTTCGGTTTTTTTTGTTTTGTTTTGTTTTGTTTTGTTTTTTGAGAAGGAGTCTCACTCTGTGACCCAGGCTGGAGTGCAGTGGCACAACCTTGGCTCACTGCAACCTCCGCCTCCCGGGTTCAAGCGATTCTCGTGCCTCAGCCTCCTGAGTAGCTCGGATTACAGGCTCATGCCACCACGCCCGGCTAATTTTTGTATTTTTAGTAGAGATGGGTTTTCACCATGTTGCCCAGGCTGGTCTGGAACTCTTAACCTCAGGTGATCCGCCCAGGTGGATTACAGAGGCGTGAGCCACCATGCCTGGCTGGTTTCCTCCTCTTACAGGGACATCAGATAGATCAGAACCCAGCCTAATGGCGTTGCTCTAACTTCATTACCTCTTTAAGGGTCCTATCTCCAAATGCAGTCACATTCTGAAGTACTAGGGTCTAGGGCTTCAACATACCAATGTTACAGGGGCACAGTTCAGTCCCTGACACCACTCATGCGATGATGAACTTGGCAAATGTATGGAAGCAGCTGTGCCTGGAGATAAGGGGGAATAGCAGCTGGGGAATGAGAGAGTAGGGATCTTGAAACCTACAAAGAAACTCCACATTCCTGGGAAAATAAAGCCCTGATTTCCTTTGTTGAAATCTGCTCATTTTGATTAGGTACTTTCTTAAACCCCTACTTTAATTTTGCATAGAGATAGAGCTACATAAAAATTTCCATCCAAAGAGATAACTAAAGAGGTAATGACCCATAGAATGTCTTTAACAGCTCTTCCTAGTATGCAGTCTTCTTTTCTTAAGAACAGCTACAATTCTCAATATGCCATTTCTCTGCATAAAGTATATGTGCACAGCCTGTGATATATGAATAGAAAGGGAGAGTGTGGGGAGAGGAACAGAGGAGATGAGGGAACAAAGGAAGGCAGTGAATGGAGATTTTTAAAGAAAGAAGTTCAGTGTGAAAAATACACACAAACTCCTGAGAGGTAGGAATGTACTGCAAAGATGCTTCTCTGAATGAGAAGCCAGGGCAGGCCCAACCAAGTGAATTTCTGGTATGAAAAGAGGTACCAGGAAGGAAAAAGAAGTATAAAGTTTTTAATAAGACCAAGTGATTCAGTTTTGAAATGAGATATAATCTAACTTAAAGGACTTGGGAGACAAGTGAGAACGTGGAGTTATCAGTGGAGACAGTACCATAGCAGCTGGGGGCAGAAAGTTCTGCCTTTGTCTGTGGGTTTTGCAGGTCAAATAAACAGTATCCCCAAAGATTCAAACCTGAGGCTTGCAAAGGACTCTCCAGTTCCAGATTCTGGTGTTAAAAGTCTGTATCATGCCTAAATAAATATATTTAAAGAGCTGTGGCCAAAGATGTGGTTTTATAATTACATATTGATTTATATTGGATTTCTTGGTTGGCTGCAGAGTTTGGAATCTTTCCAGCATTACTTTCTTGCCAATTTCTAGGTAGCTTATAGCAATTTCAAAGTACCTCCAATTATACATTTTCAACAGATGGGATTATTAAATGCTTAGTGCAAACAATGATCCATAGATGTGTTACCACCCACCAGTAGACAAAGCCGAGCTTCTCTCTGCTCCACTCTCATTCCAATAAATATTTACATCCTTCCATTTACTCATTTCAAGACTGTAGGATATGGAATTTCATTGCTCTTTTAAGGTGAGTGCAAGAAATTGTTAATGGTTTCTGGATTTTCCAATTAACTTGCTCTCAGAAGAATTTATCTTTAGTATAAATAACAGAATGGTTCATGGTCTGTAGATATTTTCATCTACACATCCAAGTATGGTATCAATTTTTAAGTAGGAAACTTTTTTTTTTTAAGCATTTATACTTTTAAAGCCTAGACTGTAGAACTTTTCAGAACAAGGTGTGTGGTTCAGCCTTCTTTTTCAGATGAGGAAACTTGAGGCACAGATATGTAAAATGGCTTGCTACTTGGTAGCAGAGCTGAAGGAATAGGCAGTAGAAGAGGGAGAAGAGACTCTGCAGTTCGTGTGGGCACCTGCTGGGTGGCCAGGTTCTCATCTTTGTGGCTTCACAAACACACACCTTGCAGCCAGCATCCTTGTCACAAACTCAGGCTAGCAAGGCTGAGACGGAGACAGGTTAGGACAGTGGCCCGCTGTCATTCACAGTAAGTGATTTAAACCCAAGTCTGTCTGATACCCCAGACCAACCCTTTTCCATTTCCCTACACTGTTCCCTAAACAGAACCAAGTTATATTATTGAGTTTAAAACTGATATTTATAATGGCATTAGATAAAGTTAGATTCAATAGCTTCTCCAAACCCTAGGTTTATTTTCTAGTATTCAATCTCTGAATTGTTATTGGTTTCTGTTTTGGCAGCATAACTGACATTTACTTAAGAAAATATGAATTAATACATATTTAGGTGTAAATCAAGTGAAAGCCTAGCTGTTTGACCTTAATTAATCATTAATGGAAAAAATTCCCTCATCCTTTGAGCCTTTCTATTTTGAATGCAATTATTTAAATGAAAATGTAGGGCAGTCCTCTTTACCATGTCTTACCCGAATAGGAAATTCACGGAGTGTATCTCATACGTCCATCCCCAGTGTTCACGGTGAGAGACATGAAAAGGTACAAGAATCAGTCAGCTAGTAAGTGATTCAAACTCAAGACCACCTGACACCCGAAACCAAGCCTTTTTATTATCTAACGTTTCCCAGGTAAAGGAAGAAATACATACAAGGATGTATAGAATGCACCTTTAAGACATTATCAAGCATATTCAGATGTAAAAGCTTCTTAGAACCTTGTGCACTGGTATTCAATTTCTGTGAAGCTATTCGTTAGAAATAGTTTTACTTAGCAGAGAGAAAAAAATTATAGTTATTTTATATAGTTAGGTAATTAATTACTCACCCACAGCTAAACTCGCTGCCAAACACAGGTGGACCACAGGGCTATGAGGCCTAATGCTTCACACCTATTAACCCAAAATGCAGTGGACACAAAGGGCATCCTTAACCCCCATATGGTAATTCTGAACTGCACGAGCAATTAAGTAAGAGTGTGACCTATTACCACTGACATAAAAACAGCTCAAAGGCCATGTACTATTTACTATTCATAGGAGTCCCGTGGCATACATTGGTTTTCAAAAGACAGCAGGTGACATTCATCAGCAGACTTTCTGTGTCCCTCTGCTCACACTTACAGCACAATTTTAGAGTCTCAGGTTAAGGCTGTTTTTCCTTAACAATACTCAATTTTCTTCTGAATCACTGAGAAAATCTAAGTCTACCGTGGGGTCATCCTCAGTAGACTGGAAATGGGGAAGAGAATGTGAGCTTCTTTTGTTTTTATATCCTCCTGTCCATAATTAGGCAATATTTTTAAAAGAGAAAAACAAAAACGTTCCAAGCACAATAACCTTGATGCCGTTCTGTAATCCAGAGTGGCATACTGGCAAACTGGGTTATTATTTTTTTTTAATTTCAGATAACCTTCTCTCAATTGTCAAGGGTATATTCAGCAAATCAAATCGACTTCCCTCAGCATCATAAATCCCATTTGTATCCTAGTAGAAACACACATTTCCTGAGAAAGGGAGCTGGGTCTTAAAAAAGGAAGTTGAAGTTTTTAAGCTGGAGATAAGGCATTTCAAAAGGGAAGAAACTTTTGGCAGGACTCGAGTGCATCCTGCACTAATGGAAATTGGAAACCCATCCTTCATTTCATGAACATTACTATACAAAATGTAAAACATATTGGTACCACAGCAACCAACTCTGCATAATGTACTTGCAGCTTCAAATGGCAACCCTGGGGGAGATAAAAGTTGATTTTTTTTTTTTGCTATCATGAAATGTTGGAATTTCTTAATTCCACAGATATTAGCAAGTGTATATTTCATGCCAGGAAATGTTCTTGGCTCCAAGGATATAGCAGTGAACACAATTAGGTTGCTGGCTTCATGGAGTTATATTTGGAGGTGGGAAATTTTAAAAATTACTGTATAATATAGCAGATTAGAATATATAGGGATGGTATAATATATATTATGGTATATTAGTATATATATTTATCATTATTACATGTGTCACATATAGAAACATAGTATATAATACCATATTATGCAATATAACAAAATATGTCAGGTAGATATAGATCATATCAGATGCTAGTAAATTTTAGAAAGCAGAGAAAAGGGGATAGATGAGTGTTGCATTTCTGAATAATATGTTTTGGGAAGTTCTCATGGATAGGCTGGGACACCTAACTAGAGAACTGAAGGAAGTGAGGGGGTGATACATGTAGAATATCTAGAAAAAGACCATTCTAGGCAAAAGGACCAGCAAGTGCAAAAGCTCCAAGGAAGGGGAGCACTTGATCCATTTGAGGAACAACAGCAAGAAAACCAGCATGGGTGGAGCAGAGTGAGCCGAGCAGGAGAGCGGGGAGGGTGGAGATGAGGTCAGAGAAGCAGCCTGGGGTTAGAAGAACAGCAGCGCAGATCCTGTGGCATTTTCTGGCAGAGTAAGGACTTTTTATGGGGGGGCCAGGGTGGAAGCCGGGAGGCTGATCAGGAGGCTATTGAAACAGTTCAACGTTTCTCTGCATCTGTCCCAGACCGTTCCCTTCCCATCTTGCTTTCTCTCCCAGACCACTGCTGGCTTTTTTTTTTTTTTTTTTTTTTTTAGATGGAGTCCCACTCTGTTGCCCAGGTTGGAGTGCAGTGGAGCAATCTCGCCTCACTGCAACTTCTGCCTCCCAGGTTCAAGCGACTGATTCTCCTGCCTCAGCCTCCCAAGTAGCTGGGACTACAGGCGCATGCCACGACACCTAATTTTTGTTTTTTTGTTTTTTGTTTTTTTTGAGATGGAGTTTCGCTCTTGTAGCCCAGGCTGGATTGCAATGGCACGATCTCGGCTCACTGCAACCTCCGCCTCCCGGGTTCAAGCGATTCTCCTGCCTCAGCCTCCCGAGTAACTGGGATTACAGGCTTGCGCCACCATGCCCAGCTAATTTTTGTATTTTTAGTAGGGACGGGGTTTCACCATGTTGGCCAGGCTAGCCTCGAACTCCTGACCTCAGGCGATCCACCCGCCTCAGCCTCCCAAAGTGTAATTTTTGTATTTTCAATAGAGACAAGGTTTCACTATGTTGGCCAGACTGGTCTTGAACTCCTGACCTCGGACGATCCGCCCACCTCAGCCTCCCAAAGTGCTGGGATTACAGGCGTGAGCCACCTGCCCGGCCATGGAGCCTCTTGCTCCTATGTCTCTTCTGACCTCCAGCCTTACTCACCCATCCATCCAGTTCATCTACACATGGATGGCTCAGTATGTTCAAGTGTGCCCGCCTTCCTCCATGCCCCTCTGGCTCCTCTAGGATCCCACCTTTCAGCAAATGGCACCACCACTTAGTTGCTTAAGACTTCTCTTGGGAGTGTCCCTCCTTTAACACCTCACATCCAGGGACTCACATCCAGAGTCCTGTTGCCGCAGACGCATTTCATTTCCTTTCATGATAACACAGAGGAGTAGAAGGGGCCAAAGGCATAGGAGGAAAACAAGAAAATACAGTGTCACCGGAACCAGGGGAAGTGTGTTGATAAAAGCAGTGGTTAGCATGTACTTCTCACTGTAGCAGACACTATGCTCACCACTTCCCACAAACTATGTCATTTAGACCTCGCTACAATCTGAGGAGGAAGGTGCTACGCCCATTTTGCAAATAATTTAGAGAAGTAAATTTCCCAAGGTCACAGTGTGTACTAAATCCCCTAAGAGAAATAAATTGAGTCTGAAAAACTCAAGTCCACTGAACTGAGTCATGTGGAGACCACCGGTGACCTTAACAAAAACCTGGCCAGTGTCCAGCCGGAAGAAGAGTGAGAAACAAGAGGGAGATGAGAAAATAAGGACAGGAAGTTAGCCAACTCTCTCCAGGGTTGGCCTGCAAAGCAGACAAGGAGGAAGATAAGGCTATAGTTGAAGGGAGGGCAGAGGGGCTGGGCACGGTGGCTCACGCCTGTAATCCCAACACTTTGGGAGGCTGAGGTGGGTGGATAACTTGAGGCCAGGAGTTCCAGACCAGCCTGGCCCACATGGCGAAAGCTTGTCTCAAAAATAAAAACTAAAAAAGAGAGTGCTGGGGGAGTGTCTAGGGAAGGTTTTATTTTAGGTGACAACAAAGTAATTTAAATTTCTAAAACTCAACCCCTTTGCAGAGTGTGGGTTAGCATGTCTATGTGAGCAATCAGCACAGAGAAGGTATTTGTTTTCTCTGCTTCCTGCTCCAAGGAAATTCAGATTTTGCTTATGAGTTTGGTTTAAAAAATCATTGGCTATGCATAAAATTTGCGTCCCATATCCTAGAAGATGGGAAAAGCTATAGAACAGAAGGTGTATAACTGGGTCAACAAAATAAACAAAAAGAGGATCTACTCTGGTTTTCTTGGGAAGCTGAAAAATCAGTGCTTTAGAAAAAACCAGTCAAGCCAGACTATTCTGTCACAATGTGGTGGAGAAACCCCAACACTGAACCCAAAAGCAGATGACCTAGTGGGCTGCTCTTTCCGGCCAGCCACTGTCTAGCTTTGTCATCTTGTATAAGTCACTCAATTCAGGGTCAGCATCCTCTGTGGATCAAGGAGCTAATATTTATTATGCCACACTTGGTTCTGGGCAGAATCAAACAACTGAATCAGCCAGAAGATTGACAGAGGATGCATGATTTCAAACAACTGAAATCAGCCAGTAAAAACGCTTTATACAAATGCAAGGTATTCCCAATATCTATCATAATTGAAGGTAAGCATTAAAAGATACTTATGGGCTAGGTACAATGGCTCACACCTGTAATCCCAGCACTTTGGGAGGCCGAGGCAGATCGCCTGAGCCCAGGAGTTCGATACCAGCCTGGGCAACATGGTGAAACCCCATCTCTACAAAATATACAAAAACTAGCCAGGCATGGTGGTGTGCACCTGTAGTCCCAGCTGCTCGGGAGACTGGGGTGGGGGGATCACCTGAGCCTGGGAGGTTGAGGCTGCAGTGAGCCGTGATGGCACCCCTACACTCCAGCCTGGGCAACAGGGGAGACTCTGTCTCAAAAAAAGAAAGAAGATATTGTACACAGTCTGGAAGCAAGCTGTTTGGATACATGTACATTCACCAACTGATTCAAGATTTTTAAAAAATTCAGTGATAGCTTAACAATGCCAGATATATAACAACAAACACCTGCATATTTACTTTTCATTACAGCTGGTGCTGTTGAAGCTGATTTCCAGTGAATCAGGTTAAGCCAGGCCTAAACTTGTGGCCATGACTGGTCTGTGAAAATGCTCAAAGTGTGACATACTTTCAGTTTGCTCTGGATCTCACAGCATACCAATTCAGTACACAGGTCCTGCCACAGAGGTGTTTCTGGCCTGTGATTTAATAAGCAAAGAAAAACCAGTACAGCCAGTCTAATTATTAGAGCAGCCAAGCTTTCAGACTCTCTTAAATACTTCCAACATCAGGCCTCCCTCAGGCAGGGCAAGATTACACATGACTCCAGCCCGGTACCAATTCCCTAACTGTCCATTTCCTATGGAGACATGGATATGGCCTTCTCTAATTAGAGGGACAAAGACAGAAGAGAACCATTATTAGGACTTTACTTTTTATCCCGTTTTAGTTCTAAAACATTCAAGTCCTGCCCTTCACTGATCACTATTACAAATATTAAAATGGGGGTAGGAGTGGTGGATTAAGTGCCACAGAGACCGAATGCATCAATTGTTTCACTTATGGAACATTCTGGGCTCTGAGAACCTCGGAGTAGGAGTGAATCAATCGTACATCCAAGCAGATAACAGCTCAAATCACCAGCTCAGCACAATTCTTCTGGGCACCCTCTTCTCTATCTGCAAAAAGAGACTGGCTTTCCTTCCTCCTCTTGCCCTCCCTCCTGCCCCCACCCCACCCCCGCCGCGCCCTAGGCCTGGAGTCTAGGGCTGCCCAATGACAGGAACACCCAAATCAGCACTGTCTTCTGGGCTGCGTTGGCTTCTGTGGTTGTAGCTAGGAATGGCCAGCAGGGCGGGGGTTGGGTGGGGTGGGATGGGGGCCGTGGGGGTGGCTGCACAAGGAATCATACACCTTTGGTAATACACTTACCGTTTACAAAAAGTTGAGAGTCCACATAACCAGGAATGTGTAATTCATGCAGCTTCCTAAAACTGCCAGGGAATTATTCTTGCCTCCAAGTCAGCCCTGGCTAGGATCGTAAGTATTATAAATGCAAAAAGAATAAAAAAAAGACAGTGCAATTCTTATTTAGTGGGTATTCAGCTCTCAAACCTGAGGGATGGACTAGGAGATTAACATGATGCTCACCAGCCTCTGAGACCTTCCACAAACGCCCTCTGACCAGTCTTTCCCACCTACCCTCCTGCACTCCCGCACCCTCTGCCCTGCAGTCATTCTGCCTCACTCACCGCGCCCTGCACGTGCCTTGCCTCTCCCTTTGTGCTTTTGCAGGTTATGGTTCCGCTGCTGCATAGAATAATCCCTCCTCTCTCACAGAAATTCCTCCCATCTGGGCCCAGATCAAATGCTCCTCCTCAAAGAAGACTTCTCTGATTGCTAGGAGCAGTATCTCCTTCTTCTTGCCACAAATAATATTTTGTTTACAGCAATAATAAGAGCTACTTATTGAACACATACTATGGGATGGGAATCCTATGAAGCACTTGATACATTTTATTTCATTTAATCCTACTACTATTCCTAGTTATAGGTGAGAAAGCCATGATTGAGAAAGGTTAAGTACTATCTCTAAAAGGGCAGTGGCGACACTGGACTTGGTCAGGCAGTTGGACACCAGAGCTCCCACACTCTACTACACGTTGCCTTATACTGTAATGATTTGTGCAAGGGTCCCATCTGCTCTGTGAATTTCTGAGGTCATATATCTTCAGATATCCCATTATATGAACTCATGGCTTGGCCTAAGTGGTCACTGGAATTGGAGCAAAAGTGCACTTAGAGACAGGTTGCTATGGCTGATTCTTCCAGGTATGCTATTTTATCTTTAACCCAGCTCTGACCTTTAGGATGGGTCAAGAGCAGCAACTAAAATGGCCTCACAAAGTCAAGGATCCAAGACCCAGGAAGCAGGAGAAATCTGACCCCTGGAATGCTCTGGAAGCACTGAGGGGCCCCACAGGATATGGGCACCATTGTGTCCTAATTTGGATAACAGGTACCTGAGACATACAAGCCTGTCTCTGTGCATATCAGCTAGATCTCTTAGAATGGTGAGTCCCGGAGCCAGGGGCAGGGTAGCTTTCTTTTCCAGTATATAATAAATGCACACTTGTTGCAGTCAATGTTTCTTCAGACTCGGTTTTCAGTCTCCCAGAGAATAATAAATTCTTGTTGAGAGGATAAGACAGCATGGCTCAAAGGTTAAAAGCAAATGGGCTCAATGTTAAACAGAATCAGTCTGAATGAGTCCAACTTTGCCCCAGTATTTGTGATCTAGGACACGATACTTAATGTCTGTACTTCAGTGTCCTCGTCTGATAATAGAGATAATATCACCACCCATTCATTCATAAGGTGACTAGGAGGACAGAGTGAGATAATGCATGTAAAGTGCTCACTATACTCCACTCAAAAACGGTTAGCTCTTATTATTTAACAATTGCTCTTTTCACTAATGCTAATTATTGTTGTTGGTTAGTCAATTTATAGCTAATGAGAGTACATTTTCCATCTGAAAAATTCTTTACTAAAATTCACTGGTTAGTGTTACTCTTTTCTGCTCTACAGAGCTAGCAGTGAATATAGAGATCAACAATTCTGAACATAAAGAATGAGAAGATATGCCAGGCATGGTGGCTCACACCTATAATCCCAGCACTTTGGGAGGCTGAGGTGGGCGGATTGCCTGAGGTCAGGAGTTCAAGACCAGCCTGACCAACATGGTGAAACCCTAAGTCTCTACTAAACCCTTAGTCTCTACTAAAAATACAAAAATCAGCTGCGCATGGTGGCAGGCACCTGTAATCCCAGCTACTTGGGAGGCTGAGACAGGAGAATCACTTGAACCCAGGAGGCAGAGGTTGCAGTGAGCCGAGATGCCGAGATTGTGCCACTGTACTCCAGCCTGGGCAACAAGAGCGAAAATCCATCTCAAAAAAAAAAAAAAGAAAGAAAGAATGAGAAGATATATAGTGATATGGTTTGGCTGTGTCCCCACCCAAATCTCCTCTTAAATTCCTATGTGCTGTGGGAGGGACCTGTGGGAGATAACTGAATCATGGGGGCAGGTCTTTCCCATGCTGTGCTTGTGATAGTAAATCTCACGAGATTTGATGATTATTACAAGGGGGAGTTTTCCTGCACAAGCTCTTTCTTCCTGCTGCCCTCTCTGTAAGATGTGACTTGCTCCTCCCTGTCTTCCGCCATGATTGTGAGGCCTCCCCAGCCATGTGGAACTATAAGTCCAATTAAACCTCTTTGTTTTGTAAATTGCCCAGTCTCGGGTATGTCTTTATCAGCAGCATGAAAACAGACTAATATATATAGCCTGGGCAACATGGTGAGACTCTGTCTCTACAAAATATAAATAGCCAGGTGTGGTGGTGCATGTCTGTGGTCCCAGCTACTTGAGAGGCTGAAGTGGGAGGATCGCTTGAACCCTGGATGTCAAGGCTGCAGTGAGCCATGTCTGCACCACTGCACTCCAACCTGGGTGACAGAGTAAGACCATGTCTCAAAAAAAAAAAAAAAAAGATATAAACATTAGAGGTACCACCTAACAATTAAAGCTGTTCAAAATATGGTGGCCTCTGAGAAAAATGAGCTGCCCCCTTTCCCTACCCAGCAGAAACTGCCTCCTATGGCCATTACATTTGGTTCAATTTAAGACCCTGATATGGTGGGGATTTGTGTCCCTGCCCAAATCTCATGTCATCCCCAGTGTTGGAAGAGGGGCCTGGTGGGAGGTGATAGGATCATGGGGGCAGTTTCTTGTGAATGGTTTAGCACCATCTTCCTGGTGCTGTTCTCATGAGAGAGAGTGAGTTATTACTAGAGCTGGTTGTTTACAAGTGTGGAGCACTGCCCCCTCTCTCAATCCTGCTCCTACCATGTACGATGCCTGCTCCTGCTTTGCCTTTCGCCAGGAATGAATGCTCCCTGAGACCTCCCCAAAAGCAGATGTCGCTATGCTTCCTGTACAGCCTGCAGAACTGTGAGCCAACTAAACCTCTTGTCTTGATAAATTACCCAGTTTCAGGTATTTCTTTATAGCAGTGCAAGAATGAATTAATACAGAACCCAATGGTCTTACTTCTTCTAATATCCTATTTTGCCCCAGCCACTTATGGTGATGATTCTCAAACTTTGGTGGACGTAAGAGTCACTTAGTGTGTTTAACAAATACAGATTCTTGTGTCTATTTGGGATTATGATTTAATTTTATTTACTTTTTAGAGACAGGGTCTTACTCTGCTGCTCAGACTGGTGTGCCAAGGCCTGATCATAGCTGACTGCAACTTGAACTCCTGGGCTCAAACGACCCTCCAGCCTTCCCTCTTAAGTAGCTGGGACCACCGGTGTAAGCCCAACTGGGATTATGATTTAATAAAGAACATCCCAGGTGGTTTCTGATACCAGTGGTCCTGTGAACCAATTCTCAAAAACAGGGTCAGTAACTGACAACTTAGAAATATTTTTCCGTGTAGGCTGGGCGCCGTGGCTCACACCTGTAATCCCAAGCACTTTGGGAGGTCAAGGCAGGAAGAACGCTTGAGGCCAGGAGTTCAAGACCAGCCTGGCCAACATGGTGAAATCTCGTCTCTACTAAAAATACAAAAATTAGCTGGCTGTGGTAGCATGTGCCTGCAGTCCTAGCTACTCAGGAGGCTAAGGCTTAAGAATCGCTTGAACCCGGGAGGCAGAGGTCACAGTGAGCCGAGGTCGTGCCACTGCACTCCAGCCTGGGTGACAAAGTGAGACTCCATCTCACAGAAAAAAGAAAGAAAGAAAGAAAGAGAAAAAAGAAATATTTATCCGTGTAAATTTATTTCCTGTAACAGAAAAAGATGGAAAAACTTTTAATTCTCCAAATCTGGGTCTGCATTTTTTGAAAATAATGTTCCCTGAAGCCTAATCCTTGGATTCGATAATAATGAGTTTGTCTATTAGTTATCACTTATTCTGGTGAGTAATTTCTAAAGTCTCGTTTTACTTCCTTTTTTTTTTTTTTTTGAGGCAGAGTCTTGCTTTGTCGCCCAGGCTGGAGTGCAGTGGTGTGATCTCGGCTCACTGCACACTCCACCTTCTGGGTTCACACCATTCTCCTGCCTCAGCCTTGAGTGGCTGGGACTACAGGCGCCCACCACCACGCCCGGCTAAATTTTTGTATTTTTAGTAGAGACGGGGTTTCACCGTGTTAGCCAGGATGGTCTCGATCTCCTGACCTCCTGATCTGCCCACCTTGGCCTCCCAAAGTGCTGGGATTACAGGCGTGAGCCACTGCACCCGGCTAGTCTCATTTTACTTCTCATTGCTGATGAAGCACCAGTTACTTTATTGTTTCTTCCCAAGGCTGTGTACTGGTAATAATTTTCTTTAAGAGAGGCCAGAATCTTGACATGGTCCTGATTCTGGGGCCAGGAAGCCTCAGTTTTGCTTTATTACAAGCTCTGAGGCTTCTTTTCAAATGGCTACAGTCAGGCTGACATTGGCAATGATGAATATGATGCAGAAACAGCTGCAGTCTCTGAAGCAGAAGGTGCTCACAAACCTGCTTTCTAAAATTCACTAATATCTGATATGACACACATCCATCCCTCAAGGGTCTAGAATACAGGATGTCAGGAGAGAATGAGGTTGTAAATATAGAATCTGCTCCAGCACTGGCCAGTCTGAACATTTCTTTCCCTTGGCTCCAGCATAGCATTAAAGACCAATAAAACCACAGACTCTAAAGGCAGAGACTTCCTGAGTTTCAAATCCCCAGCTCCAATACTTACTACTGTGTGAACCTGAGCAAGTTACTTAACTTCTGTGTGCCTCAAGTTTTAAGTTTTTCATCTATAAAGTGCTGTAGGGGGAAAAATATATTTTCTTCTATCCATCTTAGGTGTCTTGGCTAGTGCTCCTGTAATAAAAGCCAAATTAATAAGAGAGAAGCACACAAATTTATTTAATATGTTTTACATGACACAGCAGCCTTCATAAAGAGAGGAAACCATAGAGAAGCAATTAAACCTGAGTGTTTTTCATAGTAGGTTGATGAAGAGGATGGTGGTGGAGAAATATGATAGGGCAAAGGGTGCAAGGTGAGTGCAGTGACCTGGAGGAACTTAGCAAGGCCTGTTTGGATTCTTCTCTGTGTCCCATCGTCTTCAGAGATAAGGATGCTCCTTCCCTTTGAATATAGGGAAAGCAACTCTCACATGAGTGTTTCATGACCCTCTTCAAGGGAAGCTCAGAAAATCTGTCCTAGATTTTATGATGTGCTTCAGAAGGGAAGGGTAGAGGAAAGGTCAGAGAGACCTTCCTGTGTCTGCATTTTCTCATATTCCTTCAGATTAAAATATGCAGTATGCCAAACTGCCATATATTGGGGTAGTGTGTTCTGAACCCCATCAATGGGATGTTACAAGAATAGAATTGGCACATAGTGCTATGTGAGCATTTATTAGTATAGGATGGTCATATGGCCCAAGCTATCCATGACACTTCATTCCGGTACTTTTGCTGAATGAGATGCTTCTGCTGGAGTTGATAAATCGGTAAATATTTAAGCTGAGAACTGCCAGGGGCCACCTGTGGAGAAAGCCTTCCTGAGAGTGAAGCTACTGCAGAGGAACGAGGGCTGAGAGGTGGAGACAGTGTAGGATTTAATGCGAATGCTTAAGACCTGGGTCCAGTCATGCCTGGATATCTAGTGTGGACTTTTCAGTGACACGGGCTGTGAACTTTCTTTTCTCACTTGAGTTGGCTTGGGTTGGTTTCTATTGTCAGAGGCATTTGAACCAGAGCGACTCCATCTTGAATAGGGGCTGGGTAAAATGAGGCTGAGACCTGCTGGGCTGCATTCCCAGGAGGTTAGGAATTCTAAGTCACAGGATGAGATAGGAGGTCGGCACAATTTACAGGTCACACAGACCCGGCTGATAAGAGGTTGTGGTAAAGAAGCCGGCCAAAATTCACCAAAACCAAGAAGGCCATGAAAGTGACCTCTGGTTGTCCTCACTGTTCATTATACACTAATTATAATGCATCAGCATGCTAAAGACACTCCTACCAGTGCCATGAGTTTACAGATGCCATGGAATGTTAGCAAGTTACTCTATATGGCCTAAATGGGGAGGAACCCTCAGTTCCTGAAACTGCTCACCCCTTTCCTGGAAAATTCATGAATAATCCACCCCTTGTTTAGCATATAATCAAAAAATAACTATACATATACTCAGTGGAACAGCCCATGCCACTGCTCTGCCTATGGAGTAGCCATTCTTTTATTCCTTTTCTTTCTGATAAACTTGGTTTCACTCCATGGACTTACCCCAAATTCTTTCTTGCACAAGGTCCAAGAATCCTCTCTTGGGGGTCTGGATTGGGACCCCTTTCCAGTAACATTATCACCTTCCAACAAAAGAATTCTGACCTAGCTTTATTGAGATATAATTCGCATACCATCCAGTTCACCTATTTAAAATGTACAATGCAGTGGTTTTTACCACATTCACAGAGCTGTGCAACCATCACCACAATTGTTGGATTGTTGATCTAAAGATCCTCAGAGATGGCTCAGTAGGCCTGGGATGTGGAATGTGGACAGGCATGTGTGATTCTGCTTCCAAAGTCACCACGATTTTGTTTTGTTTCGTTTTTGAGACAGGGTCTCATTCTGTTTTCCAAGCTAGAGTGCAGTGGCTCACTGCAGCCTCGACCTCCTGGGCTCAGGTGATCCTCCTACCTCAGCCTCCTGAAAAACTGGGACTACAAGCACACACCACCACGCCATTTTTTTTTTTTTTTTTTTTTTTTTGGTAGAGATGGGATTTTGCCATGTTGCCCAGGTTGGTCTCAAACTCCTGAGCTCAGGGGATCCTCCCATCTTGGCCGCCCAAACTGCTGCGATTACAGGCATGAGCCACTGTGCCTGGTTTCACAATTTTGAAACTACCTTTTTTTTCTTTGAAACTGAGTATCGCTCTGTCGCCCAGGCTGGAGTGCAATGGCGCGATCTTGGCTCACTGCAACCTCTGCCTCCCAGGTTCAAGTGGTTTTCCTGCCTCAGCCTCCCGAGTAGTTGGGATTACAGGCGCACACCACCATGCCTGGCTAATTTTTGTATTTTTAGTAGAAACAGGGTTTCACCATATTGGCCAGGCTGGCCTTGAACTCCTGACCTCGTGATCCACCTGCCTTGGCCTTCCAAAGTGCTGGGATTACAGCCATGAGCCACCACAACTAATTTTAAAGTTAGAATTATCAACTTTTTGATTTGGAAGTAATGAAAGTTCAGCAGAGTATAATGGAAAAGGAAATAAAATAAGAGTTAGCACTCCTGCTTTCTTTAAAGAGACATTAGAAAATCCCTACAGTCCCTTTATACTCTCAATAACTCGACCAGGCACAGTGGCTCACAGCATTAATCCCAGCACTTTGGGAGGCCAAGGCAGGTGGATCACAAGGTAGGGCGTTCTAGACCAGCCTGACCAACATGGTGAAACCCCGTGTCTACTAAAAATACAAATTAGCCGGGGGTGGTGTCGCATGCCTGTAATCCCAGCTACTCGGGAGGCTGAAGCAGGAGAATCGCTTGAACCTGGGAGGCAGAGGTTGCGGTGAGCTGAGATCGCGCCATTGCACTCCAGCCTGGGCAACAAGAGCAAAACTCTGCCTCAAACAAACAAACAAAACAGAACAAAAAACCTCTATAGTTTTCATCAACTTATCTAATATTTCAGATGACAAAACTGAGGGCCAGTGAGGGTAACTAAACCGCCAATAAAACTGAAGGCCAGTGAGGTTAAGTAAATTGCCAGAGCTCACAGAGGTACTCACTTTTAGACACATTCAAGAATTCAGTTCAGTTTTCTATGTTGTTAGTTTCAAGTAGTTCTTACTTTTTCTGCAGGATTTCATACTCAAGACTCAGGTCAGTCTCTTGAAATGCCTGGAGATTAAGAGGGTCTTTGTAGTACTAATCAAACATTCATTCAATTCTGTTTTGACTCATTCAAGAAATACACTGTGATTATGATATTCCCTATATTTATGTTAAATTCATTGCATCTGTCTCTTTAGATAAAATAGTGTTCTACTTACAACCTAGAGAAAAATCAATATACTTGCCCTAAAGCAGGATGTAATAGGAAATTTCAAAAATATTCTATGGTATTTACTGGGTTAGGTAAATAATAAATTGGCAAGTTTCCACAAACATTTACGAAATAGTCTTAGTTTGTAGGACCAGGAGGTTTAATTACCATGTAGTGCTGCTGGGGATAAGGAAGGATGATGGTTAGGAGAGTAACTGCACTCTTTGTCTAATAAAAATAAAGAGATTTGATAACCAAACTGGAAATATAGAATAATTTGACTTCTAATAGCCCTTGAAGCTTCAGATAACTTCTCAAAAACATGAAAAACAACCCTTTAGCTATTGCTAATTACAAATCTGTGTATCTGGGCACATAAGGACTCTCTATACCGGCTTTGGAAATTTTTAGAAACACATTTCCTGGAAGAACCTGAGAGGTTGGATCTGGCCAAAAAAATATAATACAGTCTGTGGCAGGATGCATTGTACTTAACCATATTCAAGGACAGAAAGGCATTTGCTTTATCTGGGATATCCTGTGAAAACACATTAAGAACACCCAGGGAAACATCGTCAGCAGGGATATTATTTGTGGTCATCGTTGTTTTTAACGTGTGTTTTTTCCTTAGTAAATCCTAGACAAAGTAATTTGAACCTTGTAAAAGAGTACTGCAGGCCAACCTGGGCAACATAGCAAGATTACGTCTCTAAATACAAAATAAATAAATAAATTACAAGCAAGAGGCGGTAGAATTTTTAAACTGAGTTCATTGGTGAGGATCTTGGATGGAGTTCAAGGGAAAACAGTGAAAAGGAGATGAAACACTGTCCCTAATCCCACCGTCTTGATAGAACTACTCTGAGAACTTTGGTGCCTTTTTTGTGTTACTTTTCTTCTAAGTATTCCTTGTATATACTTGTAACTGGGAAGTGACAAAGTTCTAAGAGATCCTGGCAAGAACTGCCACCCCCAACTCATCACCACAACACTATCCTTCCCTTCCCCACTCCCTTCCAACACACATACATTCTCAGCCTTCAAAACCAACAAGATCAATCCCATCATGATTTGTTTTTAAAACTTTTTTTAGAGTCAGAGTCTTGGTATGTTGCCCAGGCTGGTTTCAAACTCCTGGGCTCAAACGATCCTCCTCCTCTAGCCTCCCAGTTGCTGGGATTACAGGCATTTTAAATTCACGACCAGAAACTAGGACTGCCAATTGGCAATCCTACCACATTCCCTGGTCGATTTACTCTGCCGCGCTGCTAGATGGTTAATTCATACTCCTCTTTCCTCAAACTTCCGACACCTCTCCTCCTCCTCCATCTTCACTCTTGGCTCATGATCTTGTTTTCTACTTCTCTGAAAAGTAATTGAAGCAATCAGGAGAGAATTTCCACACATTCCCTCTACCACATCTATTCCCACCTGCTCCTGTGCCCATATATACTCTGCCTCCCTCCTGCTGCCATGGATGAACTGTCTGTGACCCTGAGGCCAACCCCTTTCCTCATCTTTCGCAGTCCGAGCCCCCTTCCCTACTTAGGAGCCCTGCACCAGCAATTCTGCCCTCTTTCCTGCATTGTCATATTTCTCTCTCCATGCATCACTTCCAATAGCATACAAACACGCTGGTATTCCCCTACCCTTAAATATCCCTCTCTTGACCCCGTTAACCTCTGTCAAAACTAAGTCAAATCTGGTCATTCCTGTTTGAAACCCCCTAATGGCTCTCGTCTCACTTAGAGAAAAGTCAAAATCCTACAAGACCCTATATAGTCAGAGCCCATCTACTTACTACTCCACCACCTGTGTTCCCTGTTCCTAGAACACACACCGGGCCTCCTCCTTGCTCAAGGCCTTCGTATCTGCTGTTTCCTGAAAGGCTCTCTGAGTATCTGAATGTTCATTCCCTCACTTCACATCTTCACTCAAATGCCATCTTTTCAGAGAGGCTTTCTTTGGCCTCCCTACACAAAATAACCACCACACTCCCTCATATTACCCATCTCTCTTCCCTGCTTTATTTTTCTTCTTAGCACTTCACGCTTTCTAACCTACCATACCAACCTTACTTGTTAGGTTTATTGACTGTTCCCCCCATTTGAATATAAGCCCCATGACAGCAAAAAAAAATTTTTGTCTGTTGTGTTTGCTGCCAAACATATTCTCTAGCTAGCACTGCAGTGCCTGGTACATAGGAGGTGCTCAATAAAAGACACAGACATAATGTAGGTCATCTTAAAGTTTGCACAGTCATGCTCATTTATGATTCTTCTGCAGCCTCTGCTTAGAGTTCTCTGAATCAAACCCATGGACCTCGTCTTACCATGGTCTACTGTGTACATGTCTTTTTGTCTTTCAAATAAAATCTGACTGTAGAACGAGAAAAGCGAAGGACCTGGAGTGCCTTCAGCAATGCACTGAGTCTCTTTCCTCGCTTTCATTTTGGTTTCTACTAAGTTTGGTATGGAGAGAGGAAGCATTTGTGTCTATCTTGGAGAGAGAGCAGAGAAGATCTTGCAGGGGGTTTCAGCATGAGTATTTGGCAACAGAAAGGATGATTCAGAGCTTGAACGTGAAACTCATACAGAGGCTTAGGGGAAAAAAAATAGGAGCTAGAAAGAGAAGGGAGAATCAGTCCTATCGCCTGAGAATATGGTTCTCTGGATCAGAAAGACACTGTGGCCCAAAGCAGATTCCAAAGATGAAAGGAGAAGCGGCATTCCACACCAGGAATAAATGTTTTAGCCTTGGTTAAAAGTAAACATAAAAGCAAATCACCACAGGATTAAGATTTCAAAACAATAAGGAGGCAGTGAGCTCTAGAGTCAGAAAGACCTCGCTCTAAGTCCAGCTTCCACCACCTCGGAGCGCTGGGACGCAGTTCTCAGGGTTGCAGAGGATTTCAATGCAAGCCTGGAGCACTGTCTGGCAAACGGTGGGGCCTCAAGGGATGTTAGTTCCTTCCCCCGCTACAGCCTCCACTGCATCCCCACAGCCCCGCACCACGTAAGACACATAGCAGATGCTCAAGAAATACTAGTTTGATGAACGGATGGGTAACACAAGAGGAATCAGTTCCCAAATCAAGCTGCTTCTGCCCTCACACCAGACTTCATAGAATTCACTTGCTTTTTTATCACTTTCCTGCATCCCCTTGCCCTCTGCCTCACCCACTCCCAAAACCATCTTCACGTTTGTTGTTTGTGTTCCCACTCCACAATGGAGCCGGCGTCAGCTACGTCAATCCTCGAGCTGCCAAACGTTCATTTCCATTTAAAAACATCGTGTTTTAGCAGAGAAACGTGGACTAGGGAGGCACGGTGCAGACACCAGCCTCCATCTATTACTCCAGGCTGACAGATTTTTTTTAGCAGAGTCTTGTTTTTCTCCTCTGAAGGAAAGCTTGTTTCCATAGAAGGATTTCCCCTCTTTGTGTTCTTGCTTCATTCACAGTTTTAGTGTTTACTTTTGCTTTTTATCTTTGCATAATCCTTGCTGTTTTAAGAATCTGAGGAGACTCTGGACTATAGTCCCTCACCCTCCCCTGTAAATATCTCTGGTTCATGCCAATAGTGGCTGACACATTTCCCCAGTTTTCCTTCACATCTTTGTCGTGTGAAAAAA
The DNA here is from genome assembly GCF_000001405.40 of Homo sapiens. Lineage (NCBI taxonomy): Eukaryota > Metazoa > Chordata > Mammalia > Primates > Hominidae > Homo > Homo sapiens. Next base: position 94,690,546 of record NC_000012.12, read on the forward strand.
TGCTGGTAAATCATGTGGACAAGCCTCAGATGACTTGGTATTTGTTCATGGGACATTTTTCAAATCCTTCTGCCAAGATTTTGTGCAATAATCAGTTTGTTTTAATGCAGTTCATGGAGAGAGGGTTCCAGTTCTGCACTGGCTGTGCAACCACCAACCTTTCTGTAAGTCCACCAAGGGTCTGGAGGCGGAGGGCCTCAATGCTTGGAAGGCCAGGAGGCCCACTGCTCAGGGAACAGGTGTGCTCATGGAAGTAAGTGGCTGGCCTCCAGGACTAGCTCATAAGCAATGGGGAAACTAGGGTTGGGAACTGTTTGGTGGAGCAGCAAAAAAAGTGATGCCATCGGGGCAACCCCAGCGTGAGTGAGGGCAGGGGACTCTTCTTGTCTTGTTCACAATGTCCCCAGCACCTACCTGTGTGCACAGCTCAGGACTGGTATTCTGTAAATATTTGTGGAATGAATAAATGAACAAATGAGGTAGAAAGACAGGGTACCACGAGAATCCTCTTGAATAAAATGGAGAGTTTTGAAAGGGATTAAATTGCTATTGTCATGTTTAATTTTACTGGAAAATATTTGTAATTCTACTGAAACACCAGGTTGGTGTGGTCTAGAGAAAAAAAATACTAGACACCATTTTTTTTCCATATAAGACAAACCAAAGCAAGGAACTTCATTTTTTAAAATTTATTATTTTTTTTTATTTTAAATGTTTTTTTTCTGGGTACATAGTAGGTGTATATATTTATGGGGTACATGAGATGCTTTGATACAGGCATGCAATGTGAAATAAACACATCATGGAGAATGGAGCATCCATCCCCTCAAGCATTTATCCTTTAAGTTACAAACAATCCAATCACATTCTTTAAGTTATTTTAAAAATATACAATTAAATTATTATCGACTATAGTCACCCTATTGTGCTATCAAATAGTAGGTCTCATTCCTTCTATTTTTTTTTGTATCCATTAACAATCCCAACCTCCCCGCCAACCCTCACTACCCTTCCCAGCCTCTGGTAACCATCCTGTTACTCTCTATGTCTATGAGTTCAATTGATTTGATTTTTCGATCCCACAAAATAGGGGACTTTAGGCAAAAAAATAATTGATGCCTAGTATGTGCCAAATATGGTGTAAATAGGAGGTGAGAAACCAAGATAACTTGTGTATATAATGCTATACACCTGGAGTTATTATGCAAACATACAGAGTTACAATAATTGAGCACTTGCTGCATGCCAGACACTATGTAATTCTTCTACTACCACTAAGATGTTGTACCATTATTATTTCCATGTTACAGATTTAGAAACTGAAGCTCTGAGACATTAAAAAAAAAAACAAAAAACCCAGCTCAATACAAGGTAACCTTGAAAATAATATGACACTCGAATTTTCCAGTGAAAAAATTACCCTCTTCCAGAGATTTTTGGCTAACCTGAATTAAAAAGCTTTTAGAAATGACAGCACAAAATCTCATACACATTGTTCAAAATAAGAAACCTACCAAGGTCACTGACTTAATTTTTCCTTTGGTCAAAAGAAGAAGAGACAGAAATAAGTTTCTGAATTTATTTCTCAGAGAACAGCTGTGCCCACTGATCAAACTTAATGTAATCTTTGGGAGTTACAGTTACCAATTTGAATAATGTTACCCCATGACAATTAATTAGCATGTAATGTTATTTCCATTGGAGACATTATTAAATTTTAGAAAGTCTAGATGTCTCCAAGTGGGCTTCTTAGAGATAACTCTGAAAGGATATTTAATGGTAACGAAACACAGGGTAGGATTTTACTGTGGGAATGTTTTCAGGCTTCCATTTTATCCAGCAGCTTTCCTCTGAATGGCTTTACTGTTTATCACTCAGTGTCATGCGCTCGCTCTCTCTCTCTCTGTGTGTGTGTATATATAATATATATTATATATATTATATATATTTATATATATATATATATATTTTTGATACTGAGTCTTGCTCTGTTGCCCAGGCTGGAGTGCAGTGGTGCGATCTTGGCTCACTGCAGCCTCCTCCTCCTGAGCTCAAGTGATCCTCCTGCCTCAGTCTCCCAAGTAGCTGGGACTACAGACGCATGCCACCACGCCCAGCTAATTTTTGTATTTTTGGTAGAGACAGGGTTTCGCCATGTTGCCCAGGCTAGTCTTGAACTCCTGAGCTTGGGTCATCCACCCACCTCGGCCTCCCAAAGTGCTGAGATTACAGGCGTGAGCCACTGCAGTCCCTATATTTACATCAACAGCCTCTCTTAGAGGCCTGGAGTTTCTCTATGATATGGTTTGGCTGTGTCCCCACCCAAATCTCATTTTTAATTATAGTTCCCGTAATTCCCACATGTTGTTAGAGGGACCTGGTGGGAGATCACTGAATCATAGGGGTGGTTTCCCCCATACTGTTCTCATGGTAGTGAGTAAGTCTCACGAGATCTGATGGTTTGATAAGAGGAAACCCCTTTGGCTTTGTTCTCATTCTCTCTCATCTGCTGCGATGTAAGATGTGCATTTCACCTCCCACCGTGATTGTGGGGCCTCCCCAGCCACATGGAACTGTGAGTCCATTAAACCTCTTTTTCTTTATAAATTACCCAGTCTCGGGTATGTCTTTATCAGCAGCATGAAAACGGACGAATACAACCAGCAATGCTAAAAAGGAAAAATACACTTTCAAGACCACAGGCAAGATTTTATTTGCTGGGTCTGAATCAGATACACAGACCCCAGACAAATCTAAGGCTAAGTGAAAGAATACGAGAAGAAACAGATTTTCAGGAAGGAATGTGAGACCTATAGCATTTTTCTTCCAGGGATGAAATCATGTGATAATCGGACATCTACTATCCATCAATTTCATTCAATAAACATATTTCAAATGTCTTTATCATGATTAGAGCCAGCCACTTTTAAGCCAACTAACCATTTTCTGAAGTCTTTGTCCTGTCTACTTTGTTTCCTCCATAGAAACACACATGAAAGCAAACACAGCCCCTTCCTCCACTACATTTGTTAAGTAGCCGCATATTATTTCAGAATTTATTACCAATTCTCTAAATTGAACATTGGGTTATTTCCAAATGCTCAATATTACAAAGGACATTGAAATGAACATCCTATGAAGAAACTTCTACACACGATCTTAATGATTTCCAAAGAATAGTTATGTCAAAAGTGTGCATGTGCCTAAGGTTTTCAATACACATTGCCAAACTCTCCAGAAAGATCACGTTATAGTTAAGGCAAACTTTTCACTACGTTTCCTGGTATTATCATTGCCACATTTGCCAAGATTTGGCTGTAACACTCAATAAATTTTTTTCAAAACCATTTTTATTATAGTGTATAAGAAGCAAAGTAGGTAAAGTACACAAGCTAAAGTATACAGTCTGATGAATTTTTACATAGGTATGCCTCTGTAACATCACTTGTATCAAAATACAGAATATTTCCAACACCCAGAATGTTTCATTATGACTCTTTCAAATCAATACTTCCCAGCCCCACCCTGGCATAAGGGATAATCTTTTTTTTTTTTTTTAACTTCCTTCCATAACCACTAACAAGTTTTACCTCTTCCTGAACTTCGTAAAAGTACTCTTTTAGTGTCTGGCTTATTTCACCCAACATGATATCTTTGAAATTCATCCATGTTCCTGCATGTTTCATTAGTTTATATTTTAATTAGTTCATTATTTATATTGCTATGAAGTATTTCCCTGTATAGGAAGCACCACATTTTATTGTATCCATTCCCCTCTTGATATCCACTTGGATTATTAATTAGTTTGGGGCTGTTAGGAATAAGGCCGATATGGACACTATTGTGCATGTCTTTTAGAAGACACATGTACATATTTCTCTTGGTTGTATACCTAGTAGTGGAACTGCTATTCTTGGGGTGGGTATACATTTAGCTTTAGTGGAAATTGCTGGTTTTTCAAAACGGCTGAACCAACTTAAATTCCCACCACAAATAATGTGTGAGAGTTTCAGGTATTTCACATAGTTACCAACATACTGCTTAAACCTTAAGGTACTTGGTAGATATATGACATGACAGTCCTTACGTGTTCAATTTTTACATCAGTAATTTATTCTAGAGTTTACCTGTAGTATACAGATTACAATAATGAGGGAGGAAGTTTAGTCAGTTGATTTAAGTGGATGATCCTAGGTAGAGAGGGTCCCAATTATCCTGGTCAGCATGTCTGAGACCGTCCAAAACAAGGGTGCCCCACTCCGGGGCCATGGACTGGCACCCGTGCATGGCCTGTTAGGAACTGGGCTGCATAGCAGGAGGTGAGTGGCAGGTGACCGAACAAGCGAGCGAGCAAGTGGAGCTTCATCTGTATTTACAGCTGCTCCCCATCACTCACATTACCACCTGAGCTCCGCCTCCCATCAGACCAGAGGCAGCATTAGATTCTCATAGGAGCATGAAACCTATATGAACTGTGCATGCGAGGGATCTAGGTTGGGCGCTCCTTACAAGAATGTAATGCCTGAGGATCTGTCACTGTCTCCCGTGCCCCCCGAGATGGGACTGTCTAGTTGCAGGGAAACAAACTCAGGGCTCCCACTGAATCTACATTATGTTGAGTTGTATAATTATTTCATTATATATTACAATGTAATAATAATAATAGAAATAAAATGCACAATAAATGTAATGCACTTTAATCATCCCCAAACTATCCCTTCCCCTCAACCCGCCCACTGTCTGAAAAATTATCTTCCATAAAACCAGTCCCTGGTGCCAAAAAGGTGGGGGACTGCTGATCTAAAGTGCAAAAATGTCAAAGAAAAATCCATATGACCTTTCAAGTCAAGTTATTCACCTCCAAGATGAACCTCTAAGATGTGACAGTCTATAATATGCCACAGAGTCAACAATCTAAAGAAAGATACAGGCACCTGTATCTCAAATCTAAGAGGGCCTATGTTACTCTGCACATTAAGACTTCTCATCTCCATGAGAAGTCTCAAAAATTGTTAAAAAGTCTATTAAAAATCATAATAAGGCCTATAAAACCTTTAGACTTTACCTAGTTGAGGCCTTACATGTCCCTGAGAAGGATGTATTACCGTGTTCATTTTATAAATAAGTGAACTGAGGTTTTTTAAGAGATATAGCTACTGAGATAATGAATCAGTCTCAAAGGCTATGTAGAAGAACCAATTTCAATTCGTTGTCCTCCAACTAATCCATTGCCGGACTTTTTCCAAATGCACACTTACAAAAAGTAATTTGTAACCGTCTACCTGGAAGATCTAGCCATCTGTTAGACACCTGGAGCCAAGAATGTCTGAATCTGCACGAATGCCAAGAAGTGTGCAAAACTGAACTTGCGATCTGCCCCACCATTTCCTGGGCATGCCCAGGGTGGCAGCGGTGCTGGTACCTTCCACCTGCCCCTCAAGATCCACCCCATCTTCTCTGGGAGTCCAGTGTACATGGCTGCATCCATGGACAAGGCTTCCTGCTGGGCTCGCCCCTGAGGAGCAGCAGCAGGGGGAAGGAGGGAGAAGAGGGAGGCTGGGGTGTTCATTTCCCCTGTTGCCTTCTCTATGGCTCACTGTGGGCTGGCTCCATCCTCTAACTGAAGGGCACAGCTTGGGTCAGGAAGCCCCCTCCACAGAGCCTCTTCACCCCCAGGTTTGGGTAAGTACTCCCTTCCCTCCTCAGGTCTAGGGCTGGTGTTAGCCCTTCTGTGACTAACCTGAAGGAGCTCTGCAATGATCTGCATTTTCTCTCTACCTTTGTAAGAAGTTACTTCATTAATGCTCTTCAGGTTATCTGATTTGGGTGTATCATCTGTTTCCTGTTTGGACTCTAGGTGATACTGTAGTCTTGTCAAAGCCCAGAACTGAAGCCTTCATAATAAATGAAAAGAAGGGCTCCATTGGAAATATCATAAGTGATACATCTAGTCTTAGGAGGCCTGGAGGAGGAAAAAGGAATCAATGAGCTTTTCCTTACTGACTCATAAACCACCCAAGAAGAGTTGGTGGTCTCCTCAACACTGTTGCTACATAGCAAGGGGAGGGTGGGAAGAGGAAGAAGGAGGGAAAGGGCCACATAGTGAGCACTTATTATGTGCCAGGTGCAGTACAGGATTTTCACACACATCATGTGATCACGTGCTGTGTAATCTTGTTTCGACCGTAACCTCTCTTTGTCCCAGTTTTTCATCTGTAAAATGAGAATAATAGTAGGATCTATTTTGTGGTGTTGAGACAATTAAATGAGATAATACCTGTAAAGTGGCTAACACATCATACATGTTCAATAAATATTATCTATTAATAATGATGATGAGGATAATAGTAATGATTTTAAAAGCCTCATAATCATCTTCTAAAGTAGATATTATTTTGCCCATTTTAAAAAGGAAATTAAGGCTCCACCAGTGATGTCACAAAGAAGAGGCAGAAGGGAAATTAATCTGGATCCTGACATAAAATCTTAGAAATTTCACCATCATCACATCACCCTGCCCCTCAGTTGCCTCCCATGTGCCACAATTCACAATCTATATAAGGGATGGCATATATGTGACCCATGTGCTGTCATGCTCTTCTCCCAGATGAGTGATGGACAAGGGTCCTCTTTTGAGCTGACTCTCAGAATGCCTCCTAACATACTCCCTGTCTTAGTCCTTTTTCTGCTGCAATAACAGAATATCACAGACTGGGTAATTTATAAAGGTCAGAAGTTTATTTGGCTCATGGTTCTAGAGGCTGGAAAGTCCAAGACTATGGCAACACTAACTGGCCAGGGTCGTCACCTAGAAGAAGGTATCATGTGGCAAGGAAGCAGGCACACAGGAAACAGAAAAAGGAGGCCAAACGTATCCTTTTAACAGGAACACATTCCTACAATAGCAGCATTAACCCACTCATGAGGGTAGATGCCTCACGGCCTAATAAGCTCTTAAAGGCCTCACCTCTTAATACTGTTACAGTGGCAATTAAGTTCCCAACAGATAAACTTTTGGGGGACACATTCAAACCACAGCACTACCTAAGCACCCACTAATAATCACTCCCAGTTGACCTGTGAGGTAAAGCTAATTTATCCTTGAAGAAAAACATTAATGCAGATGAACAGGACAAAGTCAGATTCAACAAAGACTGTGTGCTCCATAGATCAAAATTTTGTTTTGTTCACACCAGTATCCCTAGGGCCCAGAACAATGCTTGATATGTAGAAAGCACTCAGTAAATACTTGCTGAATAAGTGAATGAATAAAAGGTATTATATAAAGACCCATGCCTTCAGAGAATTTACAGAGAATGAAGACAGACAAAAGGAAGACCATAAACAGACCTAATGCAAACTAGCCTAAGATAGGCACCATAAAAGCATAGTCAGTTGTGGGTAAAATAAGAAGAGAGGGAAGTCTGAATTAGTCTGGGTAACAGCATTTAAAAAAGAATATGGTGTTGCTTTCAAGTTATCTTAATCTAAGCTCACCCTCTTCTCAGGCAGATACTCTAATAGGCCTGCTTTAACAAGCAGATGAAAATAATTTATAATTAGTAACACTATTTACCTTAAACTGTTTACAACTTAAGTTCATAAATCTCTTTGGAGAGAACAAATGGGACTTTCAACCCAATTCTGGGTGGGTCAGTGTGAATAAATGAGATCTTGAATTATTCGAACAAGAGCCCTAAGGTGCTATCACTTGTCCTTTTCTCACTGAAACCTAACAGGGGCCCACACAGAGACTTTCTCCTCTTCCTTTGCTCTAACATGGAAATATTTTTTTTTTTTTTAATTTTAAGAGCCATAGGCCAGGCGCTATGACTCATATCTATAATCCCAAGACTTTGTGAGGCAGAGGCAGGAGGATAACTTGAGCCCAGGAGTTCAAGACCAGCTTGGGCAACACAGGCAAACATCATATCTATTAAAGAAAAAAATTTTAAAAATTAGCCAGATCTGGTGGTGCATGCCTGTAAGTCCCAGCTACTTGGGAGGCTAAGGTGGGAGGATCACTTGAAACCAGGAGTTTGAGGCTGAAGTGAGCTACAATCATGCCACTGCACTCCAGCCTGGAAAAAAGTAATAATTGTTCTAAAAAGTTCCAAAAATACAAAAATTTAAACAGTAGAGAGTGAAAGCAAGCAAACAACTTCTCCCCAACCCAAATGACAACAGGCGTCAGCAGACTATGGCCTGTGGCCAAAGCCAGTCTGCACCTATTTTTATACCGCCTGTGAGCTTAGGATTGTTTTTATACTTTTAAATGACTGAAGACAGGAATAATATTTTGTGACATGTGAAAATTATATGAAATTCAATGTTCAATGTCCATGAAATTTTGGTGGCACATGGCCACGTCCATCCCTTTATATATAAAATCTGTGGCTACTTTCAAGCCAGAGCTGCAGAGTTGAGTAGCACCCCCGATCTAAAAGAATAGATTCTTTGGCCTTGCTAAAAAACACTTCTCTTTCCAACTCACCATCTCTTTTTTTTCTTTTTGAGACAGAGTCTCGCTCTGTTGCCTAGACTGGAGTGCAGTGGCATGATCTCAGCTCACTGCAACCTCTGCCTCCCAGGTTCAAGCAATTCTCCTGCCTCAGCCTCCCAAGTACCTGGGATTACAGGCCTGCACCACCACACTCGGCTAACTTTTTTACATTTTTAGTGGAGACGGGGTTTCATCATGTTGTCCAGTCTGGTCTCGAACTTCTGACCTCAGGTGATCCGCACGTCTTGGCCTTGCAAAGTGCTGGGATTACAGGTGTGAGCCACTGTGCCCAGCCCTAACTCACCATCTCTTATTCATCCATCTATACATCAAACAAGTTGTGTAATATAACACCTCCCGTTTGTCAACCGGTTTTTTTTTCATTTAACTATTTACTGTGGCTATCATACTCCAATCAGGCTGCTATAAAAAAATGCCATGGATTCTACACGACTGAAATTTATTTCTCACAGTTCTAGAGGCTGGGAAGTTCAAGATCAAGGCATTGGCAGACTCAGTGTCTGGTAGGACCTGCTTCCTCATAGATGGAGCCTTCTTGTTGCTTCCTCATGTGGTGGAAGGGGCAAACAAGCTCCCTCAGCCTAATCCCACTCATGAGGACTCTACCCTCTTGACCTAATCACCTCCCAAAGGTCCCACCTCCTAATACCATTGCACTGGGGATTAAGTTTCAACATAATGACTGGGAGTGGAGGCACACAAACATTCAGACTAGAGCAGTGGCCATCATTCTTCAGGTTTTCACAGAACAATCAACTTTCTAATATGTATGTCAATATCACCCATATCCCTATCAAGTTTCTTACAGGCATTTCATGACCAGCCATGCATTCAAAAGCATCTCTTCCCTACCTCACTTATCTTGCTGGGGAAACAGCACAGAGAGTACAGACTGCAAAGGGCTCATAAGAAATGGGAGCTATAACCCTGTGACTTCCCTTTGCAGTAAACACATGACCCTGGTAATCAGTCACTCTCCAACTTGGCTGGTCCGGTGTGGTAGAACACACCCTGGGTGACTGTGCAGTTTGGTTGGGAAAATATTTGCCAAGCAAATGTCTTGGGTAAGTGGGGAGTCCCAACCAAAAATGTGAGATGTTAGTCTTCTGCTCATTTAGCTAATGTGAAGAACTAGCTTTAGACTGTATAGTTTTCATACCTAATTCCTAGCAACTCACAGATTCATAGATAAACTGATTTTACATTGGCTTACTTCCTACAATTATTTTGATGGCACTTTGTTGATATTCTACTAACAAATGTGTTTTTTCCTAGAAAGTTTCAATTTAGTCAGTAAATATGTACTACTGTAGGTGGTCTTTGGTATTTGGTTTAGTGAGGATAGAGAAAAAAACATCTTTAGCATGCGAAAATTATTCCTGGAATAATTTTCAGGAATGGCTTAATTAAGAGTTAAGTTTTTGCTAGAAGAAACTTTCTATGATAGCACTAATATTAAAGAAAGCAAAACATTTTTTGATCTCACATATGATTCTAACGTATATTAGTTAACCAAATTGGCTGGTGTTCCAGTTACTGCTATATAATATGCCATCCCAAAAATTGGTGGCCTAAGACAATACTAGTCATTTATTTTTCTCATGAAATCTGCAATTAGGGCAGTGCTCAGCGGGAACAGCTCATCTCTGCTCTATGGGGCATTAACTGGGGTCATTCAATTGAGGCAGGGGATCCACTTCCAAGATGGCTCTCTCATATGGTTGGCAAGTTGCTGCTGGCTGTAGGATGGCAGCTAAGCTGGGCTGTCAGCCAGTGTCCACATTTCCTTTCCATGTGGGCCTCTCTATGGGCTTCTTGCAGCTTGGCAACTGGATTCTAAGAGTCAGTGTTCAAAGAAACCAAGGCAGATGCTACAAATCTTCTTACAGTCTACCTCATAAGTCAAGCAATGTCATCTCCACCGCATTCTACCAGTTAAGCAAATTGTTAAGACCAGCCCAAAGTCAAGCAGGGGATAATAAGATCCCACATCTCAGTGAAAGGAGTTGCAAATAATTCATGGCCACCTTGAATCTACCACAGCACATAAAAGAAACAATATAAATGAATCTCTGAAACTCATGGTTTGGATATCGAAGTGGCAAAGAGAAGCCAAGAGTAGAATTAGAGTCTCTCATGGTTGGACCAACTCTCTTGACAAGAAGGAAGACACAGTGGTCAAGAGCACAGGCCAAGGCCAGGAGCTATGGCTCACTCACACCTGTAATCCTGGCACTCTGCGAGGCTGAGACAGGTGGATCACCTGAGGTCAGGAGTTTGAGACCAGACTGGCCAACATGTGAAGCCCCATCTCTACTAAAAATACAAAAATTGGCCAGGCATGGTGGTGCACACCTGTAATCCCAGCCACTCAGGAGGCTGAGGCAGCAGAATCACTCGGACCTGGGAGGCGGAGGTTGCAGTGAGCTGAGATCACGCCATTGCACTCCAGCCTGGGTGACAGAGCGAGACTCTCTCTCCCCGCCAAAAAAAAAAAAAGAGCACAGGCCACCCAAGTGTGACTCCTATGTTCTGTCATGTACCAGCTGAATGACCATAGACAAACTGTCCTTTCCATGTCCCCATATCTTCATCTACAAAATGGGGAAAATAATGATGTCCACTGCAGGGTTTATCCAGAGAAATCAAGATTCTGCTTTTTAATTAACTTTAAAATTTTTTTAACCTGGTATATAACATGCTCACAGAAAACTGCAAAATAAGTGCTCTGTGAATTTTTACTAACTGAACAGACTTAGCTGACCACCACCCAGACCAAGACGTGGAACACAGGAAGGACTGGGAAACAACAGGGAGCGGGAACAATAGGGAGTGGGGAAGGGGAGTAGGAAACAACAGAGGGTGCTGGAGACTTCAGGAAACAGGAGACCACAGATTCTTGGCTCTTGCCAGTAATAAAGGTGGGATGTGTAGATTAAGCAAAACATGGCAGAGGCCAGACTTAGTCCACATACCCCTGTTTGGAACCTTGAAAATAGGAGGTGTTAGCAGCTTGAAGAAGTGGGGAGGGTTTGGAATAGTGTTAAGGGATGGGAAGATGGAGGTGCGTGAAGAACAAGAAGGGAATGTCAGCATAAGAGAGGCTGACATCATAGGTATAGCTCAGTATGGCAGGGATAATGGGCGTGGGGTTAACTAGGCTCAAGGTTCTAGAAGGAATCTTGGTGTGAAGTTGTCCTAATACAGGAAGAAGCCTACCAGGTGCTGAGAAACGCTCAGAGACAAACCTCTTGCCACAAAGCCAAGTGATCACCCTTCCTAGCTGTCACCTATTTAATCACTAAAACATCACAAGGAGCTCCACTCCCATATGCAACTGTGCTCAGTCTTTCTCCCCCTCTCCTTTTGCTCATTCCCACACATAGTAAGACGTTTGTTTTCTCTCCCTTGCTCACTTTGTCTTGCTTTTGTGTATACTGCCCCTCTGCGTAGAGTTCCTAAAATTTCTCTCTCTTATGAAACATCTCACAGCGCACATACTGTTGGAAGATTTGGGCACTTCAAATCCTTTTTGGAAAGAGGCAGATACAAAATGAGGAACACGAAAAGTGAAGTCCTGTTCACAACTCTGGCTCTGAAATCCAAGGTATCTGGTAGACCTCTTGAAATAATCCCGAGCCCTCCTCACCTTGGCTACGGCAGGCAGTTTAAGAAGTATGTAACTAACCTGCACAATGTGCACATGTACCCTAAAACTTAGAGTATAATAAAAAAAAAAAAATTAAAAAAAAAAAAAAAAGAAGTGGCTAATGAGATACTCAAGAGTGGTGGGAGGAGGGGAAATCCGGAATCATTAGCAACTAACTGGGTGACTGGCAGATCTGGAGATGACGGCCCATGGCATGCAGCTGGCAAGGGTAACATCAAGAAGAAGACTAATTTATTTAGAAATATTTAAATCAAACTCCCATCTGAACATTAGAATATGCCTGCACCTTACTAGATGAGACAGCACACAATAAGCATTTCAGTTTAGTGCTTGGCAAAGAGCAGGTGCCTCTAAACGTTTTCCCCTTACTCACCCCTTTTCCTTTCTTCTCCTACTCTATCAGGCTGTATATGGTTACATGAAGCCTTATTTACTTAGGGACCCTGCTGGCTACAGTCAGCTCTTCTTCTCAAGCTGTGCCCCTGGCCTGATCTGAACTACATGGCCACACTAGTTTTCAATTGACTTTGGAAGAAAGATTTTTGAATCATTTCATTCATGTGTTAAAGGTGAAGTCTCTAGTTCACAGATCTTGAGTGTCTTTGGAAATATGTTCTGCCTTTTATCATCCCTGCCTTTTATCATACTACCTTGGAGGCAGTGTGATGGTGCAGCTGGTTAGTTCATGTGTGTGAACACTTTTTTATGTTCAGTGCATGTTCTATTGAAAGATACAGGTACTTTACATATATTTGGAAAGAGGCAAGATGTAAATTAATGAAATCAAAGTGAAGAAAATCCCATTTGCCACTGAAATCCCATTTTTCACCCTGTATTTGTAAGTATAGTGTTGTTTTTTTTTTTATGAAGCACTGTTTTGGGTATTTTAACTACTGTAGCATAAAATAAAACTAAGGAACAATAACTATTTGCTGGCTTCTCTATAACACAGCTCTAGATTCTTCACACTGTGAATGAAAATTCTTACTCAATAATTTAGGATGAACTACAATTTTTATTTAAGAAATTCAGGATTATTTTGGAGAGGAAGCATATGGGTGGTGATGGGAACATGTTTTAGGCTCTACAAAAATGATAGTAATTTATGAGAGGACCGTTTACATCACTCAGAATTTAGCACTGAGAGTCCACATTTTGGTTTAGAATTAAAACATTTTTATTTTCATTTACAGTTTAAAAGCATTTAAAATTTAGCATATGTTCTTTTAGAAGTGTACATGCACACATACATTTTGTATAAACTGGACTATATGAATGCATTTTGAAATATGTTTTTTCAAAAATTTAATGCAAGCCTTTCTATTATGATTGCTACATCTACAACACTGAAGCCAACCAGTGTCTGTCTTGTTGGATGTTATCCTCAGTGCTTTACTATTTTAAACAATGCTTAGATGGTCATTCTTTACATATATCTTTATATGCCTATCCCATTGTTTCCTTAGGATAATCTCTAGAAGTGGACTGACTGAAACGAAGGATAAATACATTTTAAAGTCTGGAATATATATTTCAAGCTGCCCTCCCCCTATATTATGTTGATCTATAATCCTGCCAGAGTACTCTTCTTCATACTCTTGCCAGCATTGGTTCCTGCATTTCTTTGCTATCTTCACAAGTTTAATTATACATCTTTTGTTATTTGCAAAGTTTAATTTTGTTCACACATGTATTGCCACCTGAATTTCTTTTTCGGTGAAGTGCCTGTTCATGACCTATGCAGGCGTGAGGTCTTGCCTGTGGTTTGATCCTACACTGATAAATTTCACATATTTCATATATTGTTAATGCACAGCAGACATCGCAGGCCTCTGATGAATGGCTGTGTGTATTTTTGAGGCAGTTCTGGCTGTAAAATATAAATAGGGTAGAAAAAGGAATGACTCAAAGCTCTTACTTCTTGTCTGAAGTAAACAAAACATGCGCTCCAGTATATTTGGGTCAACACAACCAGCATTTCTAGCTAAAGAAAAAGGGCTGGCTCTGGCTGCTGAGTCACTTAAATCATGTTTCACTTGGCAACATGACTCTAAGTCCTTCTGCAAATAAAGAGGGGCTGATAGCTACTCCAAGCTCCAAGCAATGCATTAATGACAAAAAGATAAATTTACCCACACAGAAACATAGAAACAAGAGCAGGAGTCCAGCTATTTATACAAGTTCAATCACTACTTTATTTTTAATCCAGTTCCTCTTTCTTTTTAAATTAGAATTTAAATGCCAAATGCTGTGAGGCTAGAGGTCATTTTAAACCAAACATCTGAAATCCAAAAGCCCTTTCTGGCCATTTTTATTACTTTAACTGTTAAACGGTACATCGCATTCATGGATATATCCCTAGTACCACGAGTTCATTATTTCCTATTGCAAGCCAGACTGCCTCCTATATTCTGTCATTTCTGTCCACTCGCATAGCTAACTTCCGAGGTAATCAGGCCAAAGACTTTCACAAAAATCTTTATTCCTCCTTCTCCCTTGCCCTCCTTACCTAATCAATTGCCAAATCCTAGAGATTTTTAATATTTTCTTAATATAAAGCTTTTACTGTAGAACAGTTTTAGATTTATAGCAAAGTTGCAAAATTCACCTATTCTCCTAACCTAGGTCCCTGTAATGTGAACATCTTACATGGCCACAGTAAATTTGTCACAACCAAGGAACCGACACTGATACATGACTATTAACTGAGCTCCACACTTTGTTCAGATGTCACCAGTTTTTCCCTAATGTCCTTTTTCTCTCCCAAGGTCCCATGTCCAGGATACCACACGATGTTTAATCACGTCTCCTTAGTCTCCTTTGATCTGTGACCGTGGTTCAGTCTTGCCTTGTTTTTATGGCCTTGGCAGTTTTGAGGAATAGTGATCAGGTATATTGTAGACTGTCCCTAGGTCTACCTGGTCATTTTCTCATGCTTCAACTGCTGTCAATGGCTTTTCTGGAGGATGACCGCAGGGCTGGGGTGCCATTTTCATCAAATCCTATCAAGGATGCATGCTATCAACGTGGCTCTCGGCTGCTTCACTCGCAACACTTCTAACACCAACTGTGGGGGTTTTTCCTCACACTAATTCTCCAGTTTTCTGGACAGCAGCCAGGTATCCTGTAATTCAATTCAATTCAGTTCTGACACTAACTACCCAGAGTTAACACAGAGCCCCACAAGACTGCCCCATTTCAGACACCAATTGCAAGTCCTGAGCCCTCCACACTTCTGACTGGCTATAAATCTGGGGTCAGGGGAGTCCTAAAACTCCCTCCTCAGGGCTCACAGAACTAAGGAGAATACTTTCCTACTCTTACTTGTTTGTTATAAAGGATACACATAAACAGCTCAAGGAAGAGGCACACGGGGTGAGGTCCAGAAGGGGCAGAGTACAGAAGCTTCCATCCCTGTGGGGTTGGGATGTGCCCCATTCCTGGTACATGGATGCATTCATCAATCTGGAACCCTCAGAACCCTGTCCTTTAGGTTTTTTAATGGAGCTTCCATAACAGAGGTATGATTGATTACATCATTGACCACTGGTGATTAACTCAATCTCGACCCCTTCACCCCTCCCTGAAGGAAGGGTGACTGCATTAGTCTGTTCTCGTGCTGCTAATAAAGACATACCTGACACTGGGTAATCTATACAAGAAAGAGTTGTAATTGACTCACAGTTTCATATGGCTGGGGAGGCCTCACAATCACAGCAGAAGAACAAGGGACATCTTACATGGGAGCAGGCAAGAGAGAGCTTGTGCAGGGGAATTCCCCTTTATAAAACCATCAGATCTCATGAGAGTCATTCACTGTCATGAGAACAGCACGGGAAAGACCTGCCCCCATGATTCAATTACCTCCCACTGGGTCCCTCCTACAACACACGGGAATTGTGGGAGCTGTAATTCAAGATGAGATTTGGATGGGGACACAGCCAAACCATATCAGTGGCCCTGAAAGTTCCACTCTTTAATTACATGGCTGGTTCCTTTGGCAACCAGCTCCATCCTGGAGCTATCTAGGGGCCCACCAAAAGTCACTGCATTAGCAGAAACTCAGGTAAGGCTGAAGGGGCTTGTTATGAATAATAGAAAATGCTCCTATCATGCATGCCACTCAGGAAATTCCAAGGGTTATAGAAGTTCTGTGTCAGGAACCAGGGACAAAGACCAAATATTTCTTACTCTATCGTGACTTAGCACTGATGATGTTGACCATGACCACCTGACTCAGGTAGTGTCTGCCGGGTTTCTCCACTGTAAAGTTCCTGTTTACCCTCTTTTCATACTCATTTTTCAGATGGGGAAACTGAGGTTAGAAGTTAAATGATTATGTCAAAACTAAAAAGTAATAAAACCAAAATTGGAAGGCAAGGCTTCTCACTCCTTGTTCTGAGTTTCTTCCACTCTACCAGGAGTTGGCAAACGACAATGGTCCAGGGGCCAAATCTATCCCAGCACCTGTTTTTCATAAGGGCTGTAGTTTTAAGCTGTTGGGAAAAAAAATCAAATGGACAATATTTCATGACATGTAAAACTTACATTAAATTCAAATTTCAGTGTCCATAAGTTTATTGGAACACGGCTATGCTTGCCTGTTTACATATTGCCTATAGCTGCTTTCATGATACATTGGCCAACTTGAGTAGTTACGGCAGAGACTTATGGTCCACAAAGGTTAAAATATTTCAGCTTAAAAATGTAAAATATCTGGCCCTTTACAGAAAGTGTTTGCCAACACTGCACTATACCATGATGCTAAGCTGCCTCTTTATTTTTTATCTATCTATTTATTTATTTATTTATTTATATACTTTTGTCAGGGATAGAGAAAACCAGCAGCTCTTAATCTCTTAAGATGGGTTCATTGTGCAATATACGAAGTGTAAAACAAAATCCTCTAAAACATTTCTTTAGGGGCTCAGACTTGAGGTTTGCTCAGCTTTCCCACTCTTAGTGATGATATCACATAAGCGCAGTGGAGAGCTTGAGTGTGGGAGAGAAGAAGAGATGCAGAGACAGGGACACAGAGCAGGGAGAGGCAGAGACACATACATTACTCTGGACATTAGAATTGGAGAGAAGAAGAGTGACTCCCCCAATTAACAGATCATAGATAAAATTTGTGCAATGAGTCTAAAACACCCCAAAAACCAAAAAACAAAACGTACCGGGGAGGCTGTGACAGGCCAGGATCTTTTAAATGCAAAAATCTGAGATCTTCCTCCAACATGTACAGCAAAGACATTCTTAGAAACGTTGCCTACATGTTTCCAAGTCTCAGCTGCTCCAACAGCATGCTCAAGAGACTGCCTCTCCACTCTCTCCCTCACTCAAACATGACCCCCATCATTCCTATCTGCAGACGACAAGGCTGGCTACTCGCCCAACTCCAAAACTGTTCTCTGTTTATTTCTAACTCTAGGAAACGACAGAGATGTCTCAAGAGAACTGTATTCTGGGGTGTTACGTTCCGATTTTTATTGTATGTATAATACAGAAAGCTACTTTTCGTTTTTGTCTCAGTATCTTTTGTGAATAGTCACTTTTCTAAGTTCATATCGAATACCTATGAAATTTCTTAGGAGGCCCCTCCTTTAGAAAAATATTTTGCAAGGCAGATAAAAAGCTGGCACCATTCAAGAATCAGGAAAGTGGGATAATCCTTGGAGAGGAAAATGCAACTGTCACAAAAAGACAAAGGGCGAAGTGAAGGCCGTGTGAGGATAACTTCATGAAAGCAGATAATAGAAAAAAGAACTGATGTTAGAAAGTTCAAGGTTAAGGACATTGCTGAAGCTGTGTCATCATTCTGACCTCAGGAACTCTGCATTTAATACTTTATACTTTCAAAAATGTGTTTCACCATCACAGCAATCCAGTGAGGTTAGGAATTAGCTTCACTTTTCAAGTCAAGTCCAGGCATTAAATGGCTCATTTAAGTTACCTCCATGAGATCAGGGCTCAGCTGGATCATCACTGTATACCCAGAGCCAACCATTATGCCTTGGAACACAGCAGGTGCTCAATAAAGACTTGCTGGGAAAATGTCATTAGGCCGATTGACAAATCCCCAAATCTTCTATCTCCTAGTATTTACATCACTAATGGATAAAGACGACCCCCTGCTACAATAAATACCCCTCTCCTTTCTATTCTACCATCAAGGTGCAATTTGTTGATCAATGACTTCCCAGCTTAGGCATCCTCTAAGTGCAGCTCTGACACTCAGTGAGTCAATCGCAGACACAGAGAGCAAGGAGAGGGCCTCAAAATCCCATTTCTTACAGGAGAGGATGGGTTATATTAATCTTAAAACACAAATGTGGACACCACAGTATTTCTAGAGGATCAGTATTTATGGAGGAGACGTTACCTTTTAATAATTAAGTCCTAAGGTGGCTTTTCAAACTTACGGATGGGACTGGCTTACTTAACAGTTTAGCAATAAGAAAATAAAGCACAAGATGAGAATTCTGCACAACTCGCCTTCTGGTAGAAGCCATATCTGTGAAGCAGAACGAGTATAAGGATTCTAAAAAAAGCAGAAGAAAATCCAGCTGTCTTTCTGTGATCATCTCATAAGAACAGCAACTCTCAATCACAGTCTACTTAGTACAATCGATTCATTAACACCTATTTACATAATAACACCAGGGTTTGAGGCTACAATTTTCTGTACAGAGGCATGATTTTAAAGCAAGTATCTTCACAATGCCACACAATGATCCTCAAGGCATGAAGATATCTAGCAGACAATGCCATGGGCTTCTGGAGTCCCCTTTAAAATTTTATTTTTCCTTTTCAGTCCCAGGAATGAATAGGGACTTCCTGGAAATGCCATCTAACCTTGTATTTTAGAGACATTGTTGGGGATAACAAGGCATGAAATTGCTTTCCAAAAGAAATCATTTTTCTGTTTCAATAAATGGTGCTGGATATTGGGGGAGTCCATTCAATAGCCGATTTGAATAAGGGAGAGCAAAGAAACTCTTTAGATGCTGTTCAAGTTATTCCTGGATTGAGATATTGGTACTGAGAGATGATGAGAAAAGAATTTATTTAAAAAGAAAATGTGAAGAGCAGTTGGTCATGAGAGAGAGAGTGACTGTGTTATTCTCAAGAAAACAGTAGACTGTCCCCAGTTTTTGCCACCAGGCCACCCAGCTATGATGGGATAACTAGATATATAAAGCCCAGTGTCTGCCAAGGGCAAATTGGTTCCTCAGGTAAAGCACAAATAAGTCACTAGCTTGACAGTAGAATCAGCAGCAGGTTGTTTTGGTTTTTTGTTTTTTGTCTTCTATTTTTTGTTTTGTTTTGTTTTTTCAGTAAGACAACAAAGAGCTCACAGTCCCCAAAAGAAAAAGTTACTTTCTTGCCAACATTGGTCAAAAGTATGATTCTTTTAGAAAAATTCAATGAAGGTTTCCTCTCCCAACCCCATCAAGGCAGGAAATGGAATTGTATTTCTTAAATGAATGAATGTTTTCATAATATTTATGTTTTTGGATATATATGATCATTAAAATGTGACTTCTATTTGCATGTGAAGTGGAGACAAATTAGAATTGATTGCATGTGGAGATTTTGTTTGTTTCGTATCCTTTTGTATATGCTATGAAATCTTAAAATCATTAGACCAGGAGGAGCCTGGAGGGGCCATTGGATCCACCTTACGTCTCTCTGCTTCCAAGTGTGGGCCTTGGACTAGCAGCATCAACATCTTCCGAGACCCTGTTAGAAATGCAGTGGACCCCATCTCAGACCTAATAAATTAGAATCTGCTTTACTACAAGATTGCCAGGTGATTTGTATGCACTTCCATCTCCCATCTTCTTCAGCTGTAACTTTCCTGGTCTCAGACAAACTCATCTAGCCTACAGATGGGTTAGTGGTCAAGGAGGTAGTGTCCAAGAATCAGAATCACTTTGGCCGTTGGTAGGATGGGTGCTGACTGGCCATGCCTAGGGTCGCATGCTCAGCCCTGGATGAAGGAAGGTCCCTAGAACCATGGGGACTTAGATTGAGGAAGAAAATCAAGGCGCTACTATCAGAAGAACAGGGAATGGATGACAGGCAAGCAAACCAAAAGACCTTCCCAGAAGTGATCAATTACTTGGGATGAGTATCTGACCAAAGTCAGATCAACGAAGAACAATTGCATGACTTTGGCTGTATCTACAGAGAAGGGGAGGCTCTTAGATTGAGGTTATAAAGTTCATAGAACGTAAACCTAGAGCTGCCACGTGGAGAAAGCCTGCCTGTGAACAAGGCAAACCCCAAGGAAACAGGGCTGGGAAATGGAGAGAGACCAGGTCCCTGTAAGCTTAGTTGTGTCCCTGAATGTATGGCCACTAACTCCAGGGGGCAGCCTTCACACTGTTTGCTAATGCAATGTGACTGTGCCCCTGAAGCTGTGCCATGACATGCCAGCCCTCCCTAGATCCAGCTACACCTGAAGCACATTTTCTCTCTGGACTTTTGTTATCTGTGCCCATCAACTTCTCCATCTTTTTTTTTTTTTTTAATTTTGATTTAAGTCGGTTTGAGGCAGATTTTCTGTGACTTGCAACTGAAACACTGCTGACACCCATGCGGTGAGTTTTAAAAATA
Organism: Homo sapiens; assembly: GCF_000001405.40. Taxonomy (NCBI): domain Eukaryota; kingdom Metazoa; phylum Chordata; class Mammalia; order Primates; family Hominidae; genus Homo; species Homo sapiens. The sequence goes on from NC_000012.12 coordinate 94,711,362, forward strand.
TTCATGCTCATCCCAGACCAAAACTTTTTCTCCTGCAAAAGACAGACTCTGATATGGCCAAGGTGGAGATGGGGAGAAGGGAAACGGGTTGGAGGATGCATTCTTATGCACTGCCAGGAAGAAGTCAATGAAGAAATCCTCTACAGGAGAGCAATATGATTATCTCTATATTTAAATATTTTAAATATTTAAAGGTATATGCCATTTGGCCTAGTGGTTCTATTTCTGCAAACTGATAATATAGATTAACTAGCATATGCGCCAAAATATTTATGTTCAAGGGTAACATTTAATTTGTTGGGACAGCAGAAGATTGTACAACCAAAATGCCCAGCAATAAAAGGCTAGTAAATGATGGACCATCTAAACAATGTTTAAAAAACATTCCTGTAGTTATTAAAAAGCAAATATGGGAGGTCTACATGTGCTAACCCGGAACAATCCCTAAGATAAGTAAAAACAAGTAAGGTGGCCGGGTGCCGTGGTTCATGCCTATAATCCCTGCACTTTGGGAGGCCAAGGAGGGTGGATTACCTGAAGCCAGGAGTTCGAGACCAGCCTGGCCAACATGATGAAACCCTGTCTCTACTGAAAATACAAAAAATTAGCCGGGCATGGTGGTGGGTGCCTGTAATCCCAGCTACTCGGGAGGCTGAGGCAGGAGAATTGCTTGAACCCAGGAGGCGGAGGTTGCAGTGAGTCGAGATTGCGCCACTGCACTCCAGCCTGGGCAACAAGAGTGAAACTCCATCCCAAAAACAAAAACAAAACAAAAAGAAACAAGCAAGGTATGGAATTATGTATATGTTACCATTTGTGTGAATGCAAAAGATAAATAGGTCTATATGTATATATATACACACACATACATTAAATGCATGTACATGGATATATCTCTAGGAATAGACAGAAAGTTAATAGGGATTGTTTCTGGGAAGGGGACAGGATTGGGAGAGAGACCTACTTTATGTCTTTTAAATATTGAAAATACTATATGCATCCACTATATATTTAATGCCTTGGCAGATTTGGAATGTTTCCCTCCTTTTTCTTTCTTTTTTTGAGACGGAGTCTCACTCTGTTGCTCAGGCTGGAGTGTCGCGGCACGATCTCGGCTCACTGCAACCTCTGCCTCCCGGGTTCAAGCGATTCTCCTGCCTTAGCCTTCTGAGTAGCTGGGATTACAGGCGTGTGCCACCACACCCGGCTAATTTTTGTATTTTTAGTAGAGACAGGGTTTCACCATGTTGGTCAGGCTGGTCTCGAACTCCTGACCTCGTGATCCACCCCCCCCCCACCCACCCCCACCCCCAGCCTCCCAAAATATTGGGATTACAGGTGTGAGCCACCGCACCTGGCCCCCTCCTCTTTCTTTTATTAATACAACTACTGGTCTAAAGAAACTGAGAATGCATGTCCCAAGCAAGAAGTCTGGAGACTGAGAAATCAGCGGCCCCCTCTTGTCTAATTAGGCCAAGAGCTGAGCATATCATACTCACAAATGAAAAATCACTGAAAGAACTTCATTAATTGGCTAGGGTAGAGCTGCAGTGGGAGTGGAAATTATTTTTCCCAGGAGCAGCAGGGCAGAAAGATTCAGCTATGGAAACATCTGTCCTACTGTTAGGTGCTGCAGGGCATGTTGCAGAAATTCCCAGGACCCATCAATCAAAGCAACCCTACTGGTAAATACTTTCTCTCCTGTGATGTGAATCCTCAGTGGCCTCTGGCCTGCCCTACTGGCCATTTAGAATTACCAAGCCCTCCTTTGGAACAACACTGTTTTCTGAAGCTCTTCCCTTATTCTTTTATCCCTTCTAATACATGCGCAGCTGGAAACATTTAAAGCTTCAAGCATAGTTTAAATGAAAAGTGTAAGTAAGGCCGTGTGTTGATTCTTAAGCTCCAACTCTCCTGATTACGAGGGTTAGACAGTCTCTGCCATGACTCTGTGTGATCTGCAGTGGCCACGGTGTACTCACTGACACTGAAACAGCAAACACTGGAACACATCAGGGTGACCTGAGACACTCAGAGCCAAGTCCACCACACAGTGACAGCTGCTGTTTGGGAAGCTCATGATTGGCATTCGAGTTGGCTATCATTTTACGGGTTTAAAATGTGCAACCCAAGCATGACGATGTTATTGTTTCCATCAAGCTGTAATTAACCTACGAATTAACCACTGCTACATTGATTCAATTCAAGGCTATCTTAGAAAGAGTTTGATCCCAACTTTTGGGATTAGAAACTCGTTCTCCGCTTTTTTCCCAACAAAGCTCCTCCTCCTCTCCAAATTATATATTTTACCAGTTAGAAGAGTTATTACTTGGTAGCCTTCTGAAATGATACATGCAGGATGGGTGGGGCAGTGGGAAGTGTGTGGAGAAGGTGGCCCATGTTTCTTACCAGAGGACCACAATTGATTTTGATGCTATCCCTAATGAACACTCAAAGTTTGCAATATTTATCTTCCTAGGCCTCAGCCTTCTCATCTGCCAACTTTCTTGGGGAATGAGATAGATGATCTCAGAGGTTCCTGTACTGCACCATCAGCACTTGAAACGAAAGCACCCAAAAAGGTGAGGTGGCATCTAAAAAATCCCAAAGTTTGGTTGTTTTGAATATTACTGTGGATTTGAGTGTATGTGTTTTGATCTTTCACAGTGCTTTTCTTAGGAAAATGCTTAGTAAATACTTGTGGAGCTGAGCAACCTTTATCTCTAGTCCAGCTGCCTATAAGACTGTGTGTGTTCAGTTTAAACATTAAAGGACAGTTCAAGTATGAAAATTTGCAGACCATCCCATTTAAATATATTCAACATGGACTAGTGTCTATTATTCTTTATAGCAAGCTAAGAGGAATGTGTAGTTCTTTTTCAGTTGGGGAGATTTTAAAAATTACACAGAAAGTCCTAGTTTAAACTAGAACTAGTTTAACCTTGAGCCTCTCAAGTTTGGGCAGATTGTGAAGCCAGCCAAAGAGGGCTACGAATCATGCCATGGTGTCTAGGGAAATAGCTTTGCCTTTGCTTCACTGCAAGCTTTCCGGTTCCCTCCTTTATTCCACAGAACATGATGCGGTCACAACAGGTGCCAGATGCCCCATCTGTCCAGAGATTGCTTTAAGCACATCAGTCTGGGCAGCTGCGAACAGAATCTGACCTCATTCACTTTATATGTAGTCAGTTAGCATGTGGTCGGGTTAGACTACATCATGGACAAGAGCCCTAACAAAAAAACATCCTGAGCAGTCTGTGACCAGGTCTGAGTCATTGTTTTACTTCCAGCAACAATGTCAATGCTTAGGATATAGTAGGTACTCACTCAATCAAGGTTAGCTGAATGAATGAAGTATGACAGCTTTCATCAGTGTTATGACAACATGGCTGGGAGAAAAGATGATCTACGACTATGAGTTTGAATTGAGGGTTACAGAGCCTAGCTTGTAGCACCACATAGTTTTTAGTTTTAGACGTCATTCCCAATTGAAAGGTTTATACTAAGAACAGGCATACACAGCAAGAAGCTAGCAATATATTGAGATTTTCATAGCTTTAAGTAGAGCATATGTACATAAATATGCACATATGCACATTGGGAAACCTATACTTTCACTCACTAAAGCAAACTTCATGATAAATAACTAAAAGACATAAAATTGATTTAACAAAAATAGCCCAGGGGATTTCTTTTCATCACAACTGAACACTGCAAGTAACAGAATAAGATTCATTCCTAAATGACTCTAGACTCACTAGACTCACTACAAGTGAAATTTCATCCCCCAAAATACCAACACACAGCAAAAATTTGATCAGTTTTAAGTCTAGAAAGAAATTAGTTTGGACCCCATGCTGCAATATCACACTGTATCTGTTGAAAGCCCTTCAACATGTTTCACAGCTTGAAACATCAACCGATTCCAGAGATATTGATGGCTAACAATAATTAAACATCTTTTTTTTTAACTGGAAGCTACTAATAAAATATATCAATAAGGCTGGGCACGGTGGCTCACGCCTGTAATCCCAGCACTTTGGGAGGCTGAGGCGGGCAGATTACTTGAGGTCAGGATTTCGAGACCAGCCTGGTCAATACGGTGAAACCCCGTTTCTACCAAAAATACAAAATTTAGCAGGGCATGGTGGCACGCACTGTAATCCCAGCTACTCGGGAGGCTGAGGCAGGAGAATTTCTTGAAGCTGGGAAGTGGAGGTTGCAGTGAGCCAAGATCATGCCATTGCACTCCAGCCTGGATGACAGAGTGAGACTCCGTCTCAAAAAACAAAAACAAAAACAAAAACAAATCAATGAGCCAATAGATTCCTTAGTAATTCCATAATGAGCACACATTGTGGAGTTGGACTGAGTTTAAATCCAGATTATACTGTGCTCTCTTCGGCAGCACATACACTAAACAAAACAAAAAGCAGATTACATCACTTTTTAGCTGTGTGATTTTGAATAATCAATTTAACTTCTCTGTGCTTCCCATCTATAAAAGGGGGAGAATAAAAGCATGTACTTCATAAGGTCATGGTAAGTATCAAATGAGATAATTGACATAAAAACTTTTAGGAAGGAAGTTAGCACATGGCAATTAATCAGTAAATGGTTTTTATCATTATTACATCTATCCGCAAAACATGTCCATTTAACAAATGCTCGCCATTCTAATCATAACCCCATCCTTCCTAAATGCTCAACCTCAGTGTTTCCACCAGCACAATACCAACAGGAAAACCAATTTGTCTTGCATCCCTGTTCCCAAGTGCCTGATACTGTGCCTGGCCCAGAGTTGAGTAAGTCCTCACTTAATACCAGCCATAGGTTCTTGAAACTTTGACTTTCAGTGAAACAGCTGAATTGGTATGATGAGACCAATTTTAAGAGTTAAATTCCTACATATTTCTGGTCAGAAAAACATCAACAAACTTCTAAGTAAAGAACCAAAACACTTCTATATTAAACACTGAAATCAATGTGAGCTAAATATACACTTAAGAAAGATTAATGAAAACAAGTAAGATAATTAGTTACCCAGTTATTCCAGTTCAGGGTTTTATGTGGCTGGAACCTGTCCCGGCAGCTCAGCTCAGGGTGCGAGGCAAGAACACACCCTGGACAGGACACATCCCATAGCAGGGGGCACTCACACCCACACCCACACTCACACTCACTCAGACTGGGCCTATGTAGACATGCCAATTCACCCAATGTGCACATCTTTGGGATGTGGGAGGAAACCAGATTATCCGGAGAAAACCCACGCAGACATGGGGAGAACGTACAGCCTCCACACAGACAGTGGCCCTGGCCAGGAATCGATTTGTTTCATCATCAATGCAATAACAAAACAATGTTGAACAAAATGACGTTATTCAAGGACCCACTATAGTTGCTCCAAAAATATTGGGTAAGATAGTGAAATGATGATAGCAATATTTTAAAGCACTTAAAAATACATCACAAAAAGTATGATATTCACTGTGTTCCTTAAGGGTTAAGGGAGAAAGAGAAGGAATTCTAAGCTTAGATTGCTTTTCTTTTCCCACGGGGATGGAAGGGAAATGAACAACAGCAGATACTGAAAGGTGCGCTGGAATTAAATTGTGTCAATTCCCCAGCATAATAAAAACAGAAAGTCCATTCTGGAGCCAAGGCTGATCACCTATTCATCCACTCTATTTTTTTTTTTTTTAAAAACCACTCTCTCACACAAATTCTCTCTCTTACCAATATACATGACTCACTAAGAATTCACATTACATGAAATCACAAAAAAGCAATAGGAATTCAATAAGGCATTTTCTAACTCTCACAAAAGTTTGGCCCCCAGACAGTCGGCAACAGAGAGTGCTGAATTTCCAACGGATTTACCACTGCTGTCTGACAGCAAGATCCTGTGAAAGAGGTTGGGGCTGACGCTTTGATGCTTTGTATGGGGAGGGGATCCTGCGCTGGGAAAGGGTCTTAATCAGACCAGTGTGAGCTGCCCACGGCTTGTAATTAAGGCTCTTCCTGGCCAAAGCCCACAGAGATGCCAGGCTTCAAGTACAGGTATTCAGCACAAAAAGCCAAAATTATCCCCCGGAGTGCAGAGGTTACACGGTTACAAAAGCCGAGGATTTTTTTTTTTTGTCCTCTTTAGAGAAATAAAATCATGAACTGCTCCGATATAAAATTAAATGGCAAAATGTCCATGATATAGCAAGCTCCCTTTCCCAAAATAAAGTTGTAGACAATATGTATTAGTGAGTCCATTTAATTAAGCAAAGCCAAAAACCAAACCCTCTCCACTATCCCCTTTCTCTCTGTAATGCATACATTGAAAGCTTCCTGAAAATAGATATCAAAGTGTTAAAACTGATTACCACTGGAAAGTGAGGGGGAGTCTTTAAATTTTATATAATCTTTCATCACAGGAAAAGTAAACAGATTAGTTTAATGAACCCTGATGTACCCATTACTCGGTTTCAGCAATGATTAATTCATGACTAGTTCTGTTTCATCTATACCCTTCACTCACTTCCTTTCTTCTGTATTGTTTTGGAGCAAATCCCAAATACTATTCACCCTTAAATATTTCAGTATGTATTGTTAAAAACAAGGAAATTTAAAAAAAAAAACATAAAAATAATACCATCATTATACCTAAAATATATCAATGATAACAATTTAATACTTCAAATATCCAGTGTTTAAACTTCCAATTGTCCCAAAAATGTTTTTTAAGTAAAAAGAAAAACTTGATACAAATTAATTTAATGAAGTTTAATTGAGCAAAGAACAATTCATGAATCCGGTAGCACTCTGAACCAGAGGAGGTTCAGAAAGCTCTGCTCCATAACTGGGCAGGGAGTATTTATAGAAAGAAAACAGACATGAGGCACAGAAACAGCTGGATAGGTGGCAGCTCAGAATTTGCCTTATTTGGACATGGTCTGATCAGTTAACAGCCTGTAACTGGCTAACACCTAACACCCAGCTCCTTGTTACAAAATACACTCCTAAATTAGGCTTTCAAGTTTATTTACATTCTAAGTTAGGTTAGCTTGTTAAGTAGGGACTCATGGTATGGAGGCAGTCTCAGGCCAAATTTAGTTTAACATTTGTTTTGTTTTACAGTTGTTTGAATCAAGATTCAAATAAGGACCATATATAATGATTGGTTAATATGTCCTTTAAGTCTTTCAATCTATAGGTTCTCCTTCTATCTTACTGGGTTTTTTAAAAAATAATTACATTTAGAATTTTATGTATCTATTAATTTGAAATTGATCACTAATAGGTTTTCTGTTTTGTTTTGTTTTTGAGATGGAGTCTCGCTCCGTGGCGTGATCTCAGCTCGCTGCAACCTCTGCCTCCCAGGTTCAAGCGATTCTCCTGCCTCAGCCTCCCAATTAGCTGGGACTACAGGCATGCACCACCACACCCAGCTAATTTTTGTATTTTTAGTAGAGATGGGGTTTCACCATGTTGGCCAGGATGGTCTCAATCTCTTGACCTTGTGATTGGCCCGCCTCAGCCTCCCAAAATGCTGGGATTACAGGTGTGAGCCACCGTACCTGGCTCTGTTTTTTGTTTTTTGTTTTTTTAATGAGGAAGGAAAGAAAAATTAAATAGCTGAGAGTACAGCACTGAGTTCCTTCATTGATGAAAAAATAAAAAAGCAACCCATGGTAAGAGATACAGCAGTCATTACAGGATATTCCTCTGTCTCCCAAAAGGCAACTGGACAAGAGTCCATCAATATATAAAACTTGCTTAAGAGGTAACTTTATGAAGCTAGTGAACTATCAGTAGCACAGTGAGACCAATGGCAGTGTAAAATGTCATCAGAAATGTCATCACAAATCCATCTGAGGGAACAGACAAATCAGCTTAACTGTCGGTGTGTCTTGGTTCTGCCCTAGTTAAGAATGGAAATGGGGGTTATTAGGAAGACAGAAGGGAGAAATCATATTGGGGAAGCAACGGATAAATGTTCACTGTCATCACTGTTTATATTTGTTGTGCTGTGATGCTCTTGTTAAATATGGGAGGTGGTTTCAGTGCTGAAATTAACTTCCAATTGGTAGAAGTTGGGGAGAGAAGGTTTCCAATTGTCAAAGTACAGGATGATGCCTTACACTTGGTACGTACTACACACATTTGTTGAAAGGAACATAAAATAGCTTAAATTTTTAAGGCAGATAGCCAATGATGCTTCCCAAACTACAAGACCAAGAAAAGTAAATTTACGGACTCTCCATGTCACCCCACCTGCATTGAAAAAGAGTCCGTATTTACATACATGCTTGAATCTCTTAGTTGGTTATGCAAACAAGCAGCATTCATTGATCAAATATTTGTCATCGTGTCTTTCCTTGTAATGGAAATCAAAGAATCATATCATTAAAAAAGTCAAATTCATAGAAGTAGAAAGTAGAATGGTGGTTACCAGAGGCTGGGGGTGGGGACGGGGAGAGGGATGGGGAAAGGAAAGACGCTGAACAAAAGGTACAAAGTTTCAGACCATGCACAATGGCTCACACCTGAAATCCCAGCACTTTGGGAGGCTAAGATGGGAGGATTACTTGAGGCCAGGCGTTTGAGACCAGCCTGGGCAACATAGCGAGATCCAGTCTCTATAAAAAAAACATTTTAAAAAATTAGCCAGGCATAGTGGCATGCACCTGTAGTCTTAGTTACTCAGGAAGGGGAAGTGGGAAGATGGCTGGAGCCCAGGAGTTCAAGGCTGCAGTGAGATATGATTGTACCACTGCATTCCAGCCTAGGCAACAGAGTGAGACTTTGTCCCAACATTTTTTTTTTTTTTTTAGTTAGACTACAGAAATAAGCTTTAGTGATCTATTGCACAGAATTTTGACTATAATTAATAATAACATAATACGTATTTCAAACTTGCTAAAATAGATTTTAGGGCCGGGTGCAGTGGCTCACACTCGTAATCCCAGGACCTTGAGCAGCCAAGGTGGGAGGGTAACTTCAGGCCTGGAGTTGGAAACCAGCCTGGGCAAGATGGTGAGACCTCCATCTCTACAAAATAATACAAAAATAAGCTGGGCATGGTGGTGTGCGCCTGTAGTCCCAGCTACTTAGGAGGCTTAGTGTGAGGATCTCTTGAGCCCAGGAGTTCAAGGCTGCAGTGAGCTATGATCATGCCACTACATTCCAGCCTGGATGACAGAGCAAGACACTGTCTCTCTTTTATTTATTTATTTTTAAAGTAGATTTTAAATGTTCTTACCACAAAAAGAAGATAAGTATGTCAGGTGATGGCTATGTTAATTAGCTTGATCTAATTGTTACACAACTTAAACATATATCAAAACATTTCATCATACCCTTTACATATATACAATTATCGTCAATTAAAAAGCTTTTAAAATAATTTTAATAATTCTAGTTTCTTTCTCTTTTTTGGCATATCCCTTTAAAAAATAAAATCCAGCTGGGCGCGGTAGCTCATGCCTGTAATCCCAGCACTTTGGGAGGCCAAGGCGGGCAGATCAGGAGGTCAGGAGATCTAGACCATCCTGGCTAACACGGTGAAACCCTGTCTCTACTAAAAATACAAAAAATCAGCCGGGCGTGGTGGCGGGCGCCTGTAGTCCCAGCTACTCAGGAGGCTGACGACGGAGAATGTCGTGAACCTAGGAGGCAGAGCTTGCAGTGAGCCGAGATGGCGCCACTGCACTCCAGCCTGGGCGACAGAGCAAGACTCGATCTCAAAAATAAATAAATAAAATCCTACAACATATTACACATTTAAATCAAATAAGAGTTGAGTTGGGCCTGTTAGAATAAGACTGGAGGACTTGAAACCCTCCCACTAATCTAGTCCTACTTACCACATAATACTAGTAACTCCTACAATATCAGCTTGAATATCTCTAGTGACAGGGAGTTTACTACCTCACAGGACATAATCTTATTCTAGTTTCAGTTCCTGATACTAAAGCAATTTCCTACTATTGACCAAAAGTCTGATTTCCTGTAATGTCTACTCAGTGGACCAAAACCCTCTTCTACAAGTGAATATTTCAAGTATCTTAAGACAGCTGTCATCCCGCTCAGCTCTGCAGTCTGCAGCTCACCACCCCCAGTTCTTCAACTGTTACTCACCAGACATGGTCACTGCTCCTTATCATCCTGCTCCCCTTTCACTGGGTATGTTTTGGGAGTTTTAAATATGCCCTTGACCCAGGGGAGTATGCTAACCGCTCAGTGTCTGTCGAATTTATTTCTCAACTGGCTTTTATCAACGCACACATTTTCTGTCTTTGTCAGTCAACCCTGTTTCTAATTTTCAGCCCTAAGCCTGAGAGAATGCCCATCAAAACTCATCTCTTGACTTCTTGCTGTACTTCCTGAACTTGGATTATCTTCTCCTCTTCGTATACCGTAGGCTCCCCAGACTCATCATTCATAGCAAATGCCCTGCGCTCCAGCAGACAATGTGATGCCTTTCTTGATGCTGCTACTTTTCCCAGCTCAATCCAAAGGCCCAGAAAAAAGTTCTCCTCTTGTCTGTATTCTTCCTAAAACAGAATACAACACCCCAGATGTGCCTCGGTCACCTCAGAGTTCAGTGTGACTGTTCTTTCCTCTCTCCATAGAGTGCTTCTCTTCAAGTAGATGGGTCATATTAGTGAATGTGTCTGGGGGGGTTTTAGCAGCTGCCCCTCCCTGTTCGCTCATCTCAAGCTCACAGCTGGCCATCAGTCTCCACTGGCCACAGCTACTCCTAGCTGTCTCCAATGAGGTGGCCCCCCTGCAGATTTAGTTGGGCCCTGAACCAATGACAACCAGGATTGATAATAGAGTAAGACAATGGCTGTCAATGCTAGCTGCACAGTTAAAATCATCTGGAAAGCTTTAAAAACTATGAATGGCTGAGTCCAACCACAGAGATTCAGGGTCAATTGTTCTGAGTATCCTTTAAAAAAATCAGAATTTTAAAAAATGCTCCCAAAGTGATTTTAATACACAGGATTCAGAGTCACTTCTGCAACCGGAAATGCCTCCTAACAGGTAAATATGTTCTAGAATTCATCTGTGTCTGTAAAATAGAGCCCAAAGTGCCTGGTAGAACTTCTATTCCACAATTCAAGGAGCTGTCCTAACCATCTAATAAACCATATTTAATTTTCCCAACAATTCCCCATTGAATCAAGGCAAAAACCCAGCCTCAGAAATGTCCAGTAACCAGTGCAAGGCACACTGGAAGGAAGGGGTGAATACAGAGTACTCTGGCAGGCTCCAAAGGTAGTGTCCTTAACCCTGATACACATTCCCCAATGTAGCCCATTCCTTGGCCTTGCTGGAGTGCTCACCCTTTCTTCCCAGAGTCCTGGGACTCGGGCTTTCCTCAGTTTCCAGGGGGGATTAGAGTTCAACTTTGAACCTCTACCTAGTTCCTACCAGCCCTTCTCTGTTGCTCCTGATATGTTCATCATTTTGAAGGAACTCTGTCGACATAGCCTGGATGCTTCAAAATCCAGTCACTAGGTCAGTCAGTCCCTTGGGTGCAATTCCTTCTAGCCACTGACCCAGCACTCTGTGAGGCCAAAGTGGATCTCTTTATTCCTTTCCCTTCTCCCCCGATCATGCCCTCCCCACTCAATCTATCCTTTTCTTCCAGATTCTGCCCATAGTCAGTCCTGGTTTACTCCCAGTTGTTTGCATGCTATGTGGCAAGGCCCAGCCAATTACAGCACCAATTAAATCCCTCTGATTTCTTCTTTCCAAATGAAGTGCCATAAAGCTGCTTCTATTTCATCGTGTACATTTATGATCACTCTTTGAAACCTAAATGTATGACTTCACAATTTTTGCTTTTTTATTTAGCTTTATTAGTTTGTGCCTATTATGTCAGCACTTCCATAGAATCTGAAATTGTCATTTATCATAATGAGGTATCTTTCTGAGATGTTTATATCAGCTGCATTTTCTGTTTTTTCTTTTGAGACAGGGTCTCACTCTGTCGCCCAGGCTGGAGTGCAGTGGCACAATCACGGCTCACTGCAGCAACTCGTTTGACTTCCTGGGCTCAGGTGATCCTCCCACTTTAGCCTCCTAGGTAGCTAGGACTACAGGCACATGCCACAATGCTAGGTTAATATTTTTGTATTTTTAGTAGAGACAGCATTTCACCATGTTGCCCAGGCTGGTCTCGAATTCCTGGGCTCAAGTGATCCACCCACCTTAGTCTCCCAAAGTGCTGGGATTACAGATGTGAGCCATCACGCCCAGCCCAGCTGCAAATTTTTTGATAAAGTCTTCTTTGTTTTTATCCAAGTTACTAATAACATGGCTCTTTATTACAGGCATTACTTTAGTTTGGTCTAAAACCAACAGAATCAACATTTTCTGGCAAAAATCATCCACTTGACTGTCTCCAAATAAGTATACAATCTTATTTTCAATATTTTAATGAGGAGTTTTGTGACTGCTTTGCTGAAACTGAGATTCACTATCTAGATATTGTTCCCTGAGCCTGGTTACCATAATGAGTGTTGTTAGCGAACCCTTATGGGTTCCTGGTGATCTCTTTATTCTTCTCCAATTGCTGACAAATATTTGAGGATCTATTATAAACTTGTCAGGGTTTACATGAAATGTCAAAGACCATTTGTGAAAAAGTGGAACAACACCCTGCATTTTCCTATTTTTTAGGATCGCTCCTATTCTCTATAACCTTTCCAAATTTACTAATAGGGCCAGGCGTGGTGGCTCATGCCTGTAACTCCAGCACTCTTTAAGGCAGAGGTGGGAGGCTGGCGTGAGGCCAGGAGTTTGAGACCCGCCTGAGCAACATGGCGAGGCCTCGTCTTTAAAATAAAATAAAATTAAAAAAAAAAAAAAAAAGAGTACTAACAGTTGCTTTGAGGTCAGTTCCTTTACATGTGGGATGTAATCAGCTGGGTTTTCTTCACATCTTTCCACCTATCCAGTGTTTCAGTGTCCTTTTAATTCATTTGTCTTTTTAATTGAAAACTTTGCTGAGATAATTAAAGATTTGCATGGAGTTGTAAAACATAATACAGTGATCCCTTGTACATTGTACTGTTTCCCTCAACTGTTTTTGCAAAACTATAGTATAATATTGCAACCATAAAATTGACATTTGATATAATTCCCCCCATCTTACTCAGATTTCCTGTTTCACCTGGATTTTTGTATGTGAACCTCTATACAATTTTATCACTCATGTATAATTGCGAATCCAGTTAAGATATTCAACGGTTCTAACTCTGCAAAGATTCCCTGTGTTGCCTATTCATGACTCTTTTAAACACTGCTTGCTTTACTCTCTTTGGTTTTTAGATCAATTTCCATGAAGGAAAAAGGAGATGCAAAATAAGAGTTGAGAGGCTGTGCCTTCACTGCGCTACTTGTTAACATTATCACTTTCTATTCCTTTTCAGCATGGTTTCTTAATCTGCATAAGAATTTCTTTTTAAATATTATTGTTATTTTTTCCTAGAATTTTAAAAATGCTTTCATGTCCTTAGGTTTTCTTTATCTGATGTCCATTTTCATAATTTCTTTGAAATGTAGCTTGGTAAGTGGGTAGAGTGGTTTGCCTGTTTTTCTACTTTGTAGTAGAATGAAATAAATAACAGCACCCATTTGGGACACAAATTAATTGACATTGTTTCCTACATAGTTTCCAATTATAAATATGTATGAAATACCTTTTATTTGGGTATTAAACTATAATGAGCATTTGTAGCTATTTAATGCACTAAAATATCGTTTCTGGGCCAGGCATGGTGGCTCACACCTGTAATCCCAGCACTTCGGGAGTCCAAGGCAGGAGGATCCCCTGAGGCCAGGAGTTCAAGGTTACAGTGAGGCTACTATTGCACCACTGCACTCCGGCCTGGGCAACAGGGTGAGGCCCCGTCTCTACTATATATAAAATTTCCCTCAGTAATCTCTTTGAGGAATAAGATCATATTTTATACCTCTTTTGTATCTACAGTGGCCGCTGTGCTTGCCTTTTCAACATATATGCCCCAAATGATTAGTTTTAAGCCAAAGATTGGCCCTTGCTTTATAAAGTGGCAGACAGTACATATTTTAGGCTTCGTGGGCCAAACAGTCTCTGTCACATTACTCAACTCTGCCACTGCAATGCAAAAGACAATATGTAAATGAGTGGGCGTGGGATATGCCGATAAAACTTTATTTATAAAAACAGGCAGCTAACTGTAGTTTGCCTACCCCTGATCTAAGCCAACAGTGGCAACTTCCTCAGCCAGTGACTGGTTTACAAATGCACATATGATCCAATCTGGTGAAAGGGATGTGAGAAAAGTCTGATGGGGGCTTCTGGGAGAGACGATTTCACATGTAAGACACACAAGGAAGAGACAACCCTTTTTTCCCCCTTGGATGTTACCAAATCTGAATGTGATAGCCAGGATTGCTAGAGCCATCTTGTTCCTGATCTAAAGATGAGGCCATCAAACATAAGGGGGTTAGGCCACGAGAATCACAGAGGAGAGCAGCAGCTTGGCATACTGGGCCTGGAGACAGCCCCACTTCTTAGGGAAGACAATAAACTTCCTTATTGCTTAAGCCAATGCGTTGGCCCAAAAGCATCCTAATTACTGTAGCACCCCCTCTGGCGTTCAGCAAAGTACTTCACAGAGAATAGATGTTCAGCAAACAACAGTTTGCTGGTCTGGCTAACAATCTGAACCATGAATTTATGCAAATCAGAATTCCTTCCGCTGTAAATAAACTAGTTCCTCTTATAATCCTCTTTTTTTCTTAAAAAAAAAAAGGATTAAAAAATAGAAAAACACCAATGAGAGGAATAATATAGTAAACCTATATTATTTAAGATGAATAGAAAAGTGATAAGTTTTCATGTTTTCTGAAAATAAATGTGTTTTAACTTATTTATCCGTTCCCTGCAGTTTTCCTCCTCTTACTTTAAGCCTCTCTCTCCGTGGTTGGCCCTTGGAAGGCCTGCCATATGCAAATGTGTGTATACTCATCAGTCTTATTAGGCGTAGTTCCAACTGGCCACCCCACATGAACACAATTAAAAGTTAAACATCAATTAAAATTCACAGACTCCATTTAGCTTTCTCAAAAAGCACTAAATAACGGTACACATTTGGGACACAAATTAATCTACATTGTTTCCTTCATCAGTCTTTAGTTATCAAACATCCTAAGCCTCATTTTAGACTCTGTTAATTGCTCATTCAGCCCACACTGAGTAAGCAATGAAAAACGAGCCCGAGACAAAAGAACAAAAGAATGAGATGCCACAGTGGATCAAGTTTAGTCAGCCAGGTGGTTCGTCAATGATGGTGGCACTGGAGAAATCCTGTGTGAGGACAAACACTGTCCAAGTGAGGGGCATGTGGGTGATCTCTCTTACGAGACCTCCACTGATACATGCATCTGCTTATTCATGGACGTCGATATCTAATAGGCATGTCAAGTTTCAACAGGGCCCAAACGGAATGCATAATTTTCCCTCTAAATTTATTCCTTTTCCCTCTTCCTCCATTTCAATAAATGGCACTCAGTTGCATAGGCCCAAATTCAGCATCACCCCTGATTTCCCATTTTCTGTATCCCCACGACCAAGCCATCAGCAATTCCTATCGGCTCTGTGTCCAAAATCTGTTCATCCCTCTTCATTCCGCTGCCAACCCCTTAATCCAGGCCTCTGTCATGTGTCCCCTGTGGTGACTGCCTCCGCTTCCTGACTGGCCTCCCTCTGCCCCTCCTGCCTCTCAACAACCTACTCTGCTAAAAACTAAATACCATCCCATTGCTCCCCTCCAAATGTGTCTCCACTGCATTTTAGAATTAGACACCTGTTTACTTTCCTATTGCTGTAACAAATGATCTCAATTCAGCAGCTTAGACCAACGTACATTTATTCTCTTGACAGTTCCGCAGCTCAGAAGTCGAAAATCAGAGTGTTGGCAGGGCTGTTTTCCTTCTGGAGGCTTCGGAGGATAATCCAAATTCTCACCTGCTACAGGCTGCCTGCACTCCTTGGCTCATGGCCTCTTCCTCACTTTCTCTGACTCTGATCCTCCTGCCCCGCTCTTATAAGAACCTTTGTCATCATATTGGGTCCACCCAGATGATCTCCCCACATCAAGATCCTCCACTTACTCACAGCTGCAGCGTCCCTTTTACTATGTAAGCTAATATAGTCACACAGCACTGGCTCTGGAATGAGACACAGACATTTAGCGGGGCCTCATTCAGCCTACCACAAAACTAAAACACAACACACAAAAAAACCAGTTCCTTCCTGTGACCACCCGGACCTATGTGCCCAGCCTTGCACATCTCTCTCAGCTTGTCCTCTACTGCTCTCTCCTCACTGCTACACCAGCCTTCTTCTGTCTGTTCCTTTGATGTTTCAGCTCGCCCTTACCTTAGGGTCTTTACCCTTGTTGTTCTCTCCATCTGAAGTGTTCTCCCTCCAGAAGTCCACATAGTGGTTCATTCACGAGAGCCCAAATGTCCTTTCCTCACTTACTGTCCTTCGAGATCATCTCGTCTATTCTCCCAGACCATAAGCAAACTCTGAGGGAAAAGTCCCCATCTGTCTTACTCATGCTCCACCCAGCACAGTGACTGACACACTTACCAACTTAACAGTTGTTGAAAGAATGAACTATCTAATTTCAAAATGTTAGTGATCTCTGGCTGGGTGCAGTGGCTCATGCCTATAATCTCAGCACTTTGGGAGGCGGAGAAGGGCAGATCACCTGAGGTCAGGAGTTTGAGACCAGCCTGGCCAACATGGTGAAACTCTGTCTCTACAAAAAATACAAAAATTAGCCAGGCATGGTGGCCGGCACCTGTAATCCCAGCTACTCAGGAGGCTGAGGCAGGAGAATTGCTGGAACCTGGGAGGCAGAGGTTGTAGTGAGCCGAGATGGCGCCACTGCACTCCAGCCTGGGCGACAGAGAGAGACTCCGTCTTAAAAAATAAATAAATAAATAAATAAAATTATAACCCATTTTGGTTTTATAATCCATATATTTATGTAAGTACTTTTTAAATACATCGACATTTTGACCCTAGATCAGCTCACAGGATAAGACTAAACAAGATGAAATGTAATAAAACTGACTTTGAAGTATTACTTGAGACCAGGAGTTTGAGACCAGCCTGGGCAACATGGTGAGACCTTATCCCTACAAAAAAATAATAATAATAACAGCCAAGTGTGATGGCTTGTGTCTGCAGTCCTAGCTATATGGGAGGCTGAGGTGGGAGGATTGCTTGAGCCCAGGAATTCGAGGTTGCAGTGAGCTATGATCATGCCACTGCACTCCAGCCAGGGCAACAGAGTGAGACGTTTTAAAAAAAAAAAAAAGACGATAAAGCCTACAAAATATTGGAGAGGTGGAAATGCAGTGAGGCGATGGTGCTGAGAAAAATATGAATAACAATTACTATATAAAGAAGACTTAGAAGGATTAATTATAGTTAACTCAAAACTCCGTGTGACTTGTCAGCATGGTGTGGCTACCAAAAACATGACCTTCTGTGCACTGGAGATTCCTAAGCAAAAAGAGGAAAACCGATTCTTGGACACACTAAGATGTTTTAAAATTAAAGCTAAGTTTCAACTAATCCTTAATTGTTACAGTCCTGTGTCATTTTTGTATGAGGGCCATCATCACTAAGATCTGTCATTATTGTAACAGGAGTAGTGATGCTGTAAAAAGGAACAGGACACAACTGGAGGCTGCGGAAATGGTAGGGAGCATGCCAACATCTCTCCTGCGAAGGGCAAGCGGAGATACTCACATCCCCAGATTAACATGGTATTAAGTGCTCAATTCAAGCCAAGATAGACTCTAAGGTCCAAAGGCAAATGAGGTATCCAAGAAAGGAAGCAGAGGTCCCACGGGGTGAGGGGTGGGAACAGGAAGCACCACTATATTGCACCGTGTCAGGTCCGCCATAGTGGAGGTGTGGAGGGCCCCACCTTGTGAACGATTTATGTTTTATCCTAGAATGCAAAGTAGGTTCCCTCTTGACTGACAAAGTACAATGCTCTTCCTCTGCTGGTACCACTGATAGCATTCATAATATGCTTTTACGAATAATGCAATCTGGAGACATCTGAAGGATACAGCTTTTGGTCAATAAATCCAACTCTAAAAGCCCTTTTAAAGCTTTGCCCAACCACCTCGGCCTTCTTTAATAGAATTACTTCTGTTTTTCCACAGAATGATTTCTCCTCTGATTAAGAATCACTTCAAACTATAGAAGAGATGCATATGACAGATCTGTGTATCTTCAGGACTTTCGTGATGCTAAATGGCAAACACATGTGGGTCAGAGTTGAATTTCTTAGGACAATAGTGAAAAGCTGAGTGCCATCTCCTCCTCCCCATGTCATCCCTCTTCAGGATATGCTGAAAAACTATTTTAAAATATCATTTCAAAGGTGTCAAGTTATGAGCTAGCTGAGCTAGATGTTCATGTGTCTCAGTTTTGTGTGTGTGTGTGTGTGTGTGTGTGTGTGTGTGTGTGAGGGTCTCAAGAAAGGATCTCTTTCTGCAGAAAAATACACGTGTGTACACATCCCTACAAATTAATGGTGCTCTTGGACTTCTAGTGCATGGCCAGGAATTCCAAGTTAAGAAACTTATGTCTTATTCCATTTTGTGTTGTGTATTAGTCTGTTCTCACGCTGCTCGTAAAGGCATACCTGAGATGGGGTAATTTACAAAAGAAAAAAAATGGACTCACAGTTCCACATGGCTGGGGAGGCCTCACAATCACAGCAGAAAGTAAAGGAGGAGCAAAGTCACATCTTACACGGCAGCAGGCAAGAGGGTGTGTGCAGGGGCAATGCCCTTTATTTTTATTTTTTATTATTTATTATTATTATTATTTTTTGAGATGCAGTCTAGCTCTGTCGCCCAGGCTGGAGTGCAGTGGCACAATCTTGGCTCACTGCAACCTCCACCTCCCGGGTTCAAGCAATTCTCCTGCCTCAGCCTCCCAAGTAGCTAGGATTACAGGCACTCACCACCACGCCCAGCTAATTTTTGTATTTTTAGTAGAGACGAGGTTTCATTGTGTTGGCCAGGCTGGTTTCGAACTCCTGACCTCATGATCTACCCACCTCGGCCTCCCAAAGTGCTGGGATTACAAGCTTGAGCCACTGCGCCCGGCCAGAAATGCCCTTTATAAAACCATCAGATCTCGTGGAGACTTACTCACTAGCATGAGAACAGCATGAGAAAAACTTCCCCCCATGATTCACTTACCTCCAACCACGTCCCTCCCATGACATGTGGGGATTATGGGAGCTAAAATTCAAGATGAGATTTGGGTGGGGACACAGCCAAACCATATCATGCTGCCATAAAGGAATACGCCAGGCTGGGTAATTTATAAGGAAAAGAAGTTTATTTGCCTCATGATTCTGCAGGCTGTATGAGAAACATGGCACCAGCACCTGCTTCTGGTGAGGGCTTCATGCTGCTTCTACCCATGGTGGAAGGTAAAGGGAGGCCAGTGTGTGGAAAGATCACGCGATGAAAGAGGATGCAAGAGAAAGCAGGGAAGGGCCAGACTCTTTTTAACAATCAGCTTTCAGGAGAACCAATAATGTAAGCACTCCCACCCATCCCCAGGAAGAGCATTAATCTATTCACAAAGGATCCACCCCCATGACCCAAATGCCTCCCATTAGGTCCCTCCTCCAACACTGGGTATCAAATTTCAACATGAGATTCGCAGGAGACAAACACGCACACTTATAGTATCTTACTACAGTGGGTAAGTATACCTAGAGAGACTATTTTAAAGACACTCTAAAATGGCTTATGAACACCCAAGAGGCTTATTTTTCCAGCTTCTAGGTTTGTCATTGTTCAGACCTACCACAGGCACATCTGACTACCTGTGGAGCCCACCCTAGATGGAGCATGCACTGGCCTGCAGATGATTGGGTTTTTTTCAGTATAAAATTTATAAACAGATTTTGTTTTTGTTTTTGTTTTGTTTTTTGAGACAAGGTCTCACTCTGTCACTCAAGCTGGAATGCAGTGGCACGGTTTTGGCTCAGTGCAGCCTTGACCTCCCAAGCTCAAGTCATCCTCCCACCTCAGTCTCCTAAGTAGCTGGAACTACAGATGCGCGCCACCATGCTGGCTAATTTTTGTGTTTTTTTCTATAGATGGGGTTTTGCCATGTTGCCCAGGCTGATCTCAAACTCCTGGGCTCAAGCAAGCCTCCCTCCTCAGCCTCCCAAAGTGCTGGGATTACAGGCGTGAGCCACCACCACTTCCAGCTATTAACAGGTTTTTAAATTATAACTAGCTTGTCTTTGGAGAAAGAATGCAAGTATTTGAGAACAAATTAATAAACTGGCATTGTAATGTTGTGTGCATGTGTATGTTTGTACATGTGTGAGTGCCTGTGACCGCTGTGTATGTTGTATGTACGAGTTTACGTGCGTCTTCCCTTAAGAGATGAATCATCCATCCTCCCTGGGTCTGCCATTTCCTGGTTTACCAGACAGATGATTCACTCAGGTAGGAGCCAACCTATGGGTCCCCAAGCAGCCTATCCCCTAGGAGCTCAGCTAACCTCCTCCCATCCACAACCACCCCATCTTCAGGGACGCTATCATATTGGAGACACCTGCCCACACTGAAGCCTTTGCAGCAGCTTTGAAAAGTTCCAATCCCTTCTTATCGCAAAGGACTAATCTGCTTCTTATCGCTAAGCTTCCTCAACTACATCCCACTGTGCGGCCTAAAGGGGATTACCAGCTGTCAAGTCGCTTTTATCTTTCCACCTACCCAACAGCAGACAGGAGAGCTCAAAATGGGACAGAAATAATAACTAAGAGTAAAGGAATTCCCAAAGGGGCGAATCTGTGTCTCTGAGGCAATGAAAGCATCCTACACAAAATGTAAAACATGAGTCTTGGGTTTTCCTAAATTCTCCTGTCTTTTTTTGGCTGAAAGCATGAGACCGATAAATAAGTGTCTGCCAACTGCTCGCTCTGACCAGCAAAGAAAATCAACTGGGGAAAGAAAGTCAAATCAGGAAAGGGAGTTGAGCACGGGCTTGCATATGGGGAAGCACGCACACACGCACATACACACACGCGCACATGTATGGACGCTCACACGTGCAGGGAGAAAGGAAAGGAAAAGCCACCACCCTTCCTGAATTTTCTGAGACAGACCTATAACTGTTCCAGACAACACAGGAACTCTTCGAAGTTCAGCTAAGGAAAGAGAATGTTTCCACTTCACAGGATCATCAGACACTGGCTCTGTTTCTAGGTATATGTGTACACAGAGGTTCACAGATAATACTGCTGTCCTGTGGCAGCAAATGTCACGCTGCTGACCAGCACTTGAGTTTATTTTCCCAGTTCTGATATCTTTTCCAGTCATCCTGGAGACCAAGAGCTTGATGGTCCGAGTCAAACAAAAGATCTTTTTATTGCGCAAGGTCAAGTGGCCCAAATCAAGCCAAATAACTTTTGACAATGTGCATTTGTTTAAAATTTTCAATGGCTTCCCACTTCCCTAAGGATAAATTCTCAGTTCTCTAACTGTGAGAAGGGTGGGCCACATACTTTGATGGTCCAAATCGGGACATTTTTGAGAGTGAAAGAGAGTGCTATTAATAATAGTGCTGGGGCTGGGCTCGGTGGCTCACACCTGTAATCCCAGAACTTTGGGAGGCTGAGGCGGGCAGATTGCTTGAGCCCAGGACTTTGGGACCAGCCTGGCCAACATGGCAAAACCCGTCTCTACTAAAAATACAAAAATTAGCCAAGTGTGGTGGCACACTCCTGTAATCCCAGCTACTCAGGAGGCTGACATGGGAAGATCACTTGAGCCTGAGAGGCTGACGCTGCAGTGAGCTGTGAGGATGCCACTATACTCCAGCCTGAGCAACAGAGTCTCAGAAAATAATAATAGTGCTAGACAACTGCCACACGCAAGAGCTGTCTTCACTGACAGACCAAACAATGGGCACCCTACCCTGAGGTCTCTGGCTCTGGCTTGTGATCAACCCACTTATCTCACCGTCCTCTGCTCACTCTCTTCTCTAGCCACACTGGCTTCTCTCCGCTTTTTGAAAGGGGCTAGCTTTCTCCAGCCTCCGGGACCTTGGCATGCCCTTTCCTTTCCCTGCTCCATGGGTTTGCAGCTTCCTCACCTGGCTCACTCCTGCTCATCCCTTCTTCAGGTCTCAGCCTAGATGTCACTTGGGCAGGGAGGTGTCCTCTGCCCCCCAGGACAAGGCTAGCTCCCTCTTATGGGCTCCCACAGCATCCAGAACACCCCCCATCACATCTGTGATGACTTAATGCTTGCTCCTGCCCCCACAGATGCTCAGTGTTCCACCACAATGAATAAGCCACCGAGCCAGCTTTCCTCGCTGCCAAATCCCTGGTCCCCAGTGCAGTGCTGACCCAAGGAGGTGCTGGGTTCAAGTCCCACCACAGGCATCCCCACTCCAATGCTTGAACGCCACTGCCCTTCCCCACACTGCTGTGATTGTGGGCGGCCCTGAGTGTTCCCTTGGACTGAGGCTGCCTTTGACCTAGTCTGTCACACTGGACTGACATCAACCCACTTAGTGCTGTGCGTTCCTCCAAGGCAGAGACTGTAATTCACTCACCGAGGCACGTGCTGATGAAGATACTGGTGAAGGAAACACAACATCACGACCCCTCATCCGAAACCTAGGGCTTAGATGTGTTTTAGAATTTAGAATTTTTCACTTGAAAATGATAATAATATGTAATATTGCCCATGGGGCTGGGGCAGCACCCTGTAATCTGCCACACTGATATTTCTGCAGCAAAATGGGTGAATCTTCACACTAAACAGCGAAATAAAGCCTCAAAATTATCTCACATCCTTTCAGGTCAGGCTCTGCAAGTCATTTAGTTCAGATCAGGTGAGAATTTCTGCCCAAGTATGAAGAAACTTTGGTTTTCAATAGCTTTTAAATTTTAGAATTATGGGCAGGGCATGGTGGCTCACATCTGTAATCCCAGCACTTTGGGAGGCCAAGGTGGTCAGGTCATTTGAGGTCGGGAGTTCGAGACCAGCCTGGCCAACATGGTGAAACCCTGCCTTTACAAAAAAATACAAAAATCAGCCAGGTGTGGTGGCACATAGCTGTGTCCCAGCTACTCAGGAGGCTGAAGCGGATCATTTGAGCCTGGGAGGTTGAGGCTGCAATGAGCCAAGATCATGCTACTGCATTCCAGCCTGGGCAACAGAGACCCTGACTCAAAAAAAAAAATTTTTTTTTTTTCTAGAATTGTGGAAAAGGACTGTGGACTTGTAACAGCTGACATTTCATTAACACTTATATGCTAGGCACTGCTTGAGGTTTACATACATATTATATCTCATTTAATCCTCAAAACAGTCCTACAAAGTAAGTATTATGCCTTTGTTTATTTTTCAGATAAAGAAACCAAGGCATAGATACTATAATGAACACTCAGAGAGTAAGCAGCAGAGCACAACACTGGACGCATGATCCACAGCAGGTGCTCAATGACTTCTGAATAAATGACAGGACGCTGCGAGTGTGCACGTGTTAGGCACAGTGAGGCAGGCTCGAAGCAGTTACACAGGTAGACTGCTGAGATGGCCTTGCCAGTTCCTATGGAACTGTCTGCCTCAACTGCGTCTTCCAGGCATAGCTTCAAGCCCAGCTTGATGTTTACAAACACGACATGACCATACAGCCTACCCTCCTGGACGCAGATGACTGCAGCAGGGGCAGGCTCCTGACCCATGTTTGGGCGATCATAGCGATACCCTAAGACTTAGGAACTGGAACCACAAAGTCATTTTCTTTCTTGGTCCCTGGACTCTAAAACATAAACATGTTTCAGAGAAAAACAGGGAACAAACACATAGCATCTATATGTTTGTACCTATATTTAGGTTAAAACCTAAACACCCAAATAAAGCCTGACATATTCTAACAAGTAGCTTACGTTGTCTAATTTTTCCACTTAAATAAAACATTGGCTAGCACACAGGAACTACTAGGCCAGTTAGGACTGCTTCTGCTGCTGAAATGGAACTGATCATTAAGAGTCATTTGGTAATTAAATTATTCAACCCATGTTTACTGTGTACCTACTATGAGCCAGGAACTCTGCGAAGCAGATGGTAAACAAGACAGATGTGGTTCACGTCCTCTCAGATCATACAGTTGTAGTGGAAAGTAACACTACAGTGTGAGTGTTATTATCCATGGGAAATAAGAGGAACAGAGAGAATTCAGAGCAGTAGGTTTAAACAAATTAGTCATTGAAACTGAAGTGGAACAAAAATTACACTGTTTATGAGTTGTTTGATCCCAACAAATTCTTATAAAATTGAATGATTATGAAGAATTATTGATATAAAATAAATGCTAAATGTATAAATAAAGTCTTACATAAATAATACTAAAACTATAAAGTCTTCATATGCATATTGAGTCATTCTAACAATCATATATCAAGTATGGACCATCCAGTCTCACCATGATTAAACAGAATATTAGTAAGATTTGCATATGCATTATGAATGTCTGATTAAACCACTTGACAGTGAAAAACTAAGTGGTTTTCAGAAAACACTCAATCCAACCAATACCTTTTGCCAGTTTAACGCCAGGGCTAGCCTAATTAAAACTACATTCTGCAGGAAGCACTTTGCAAAAATATTAGAATATATTTGAAGTTCGCAAGCTAAAAGGGCAACACTAAAAGGATTTCAGCAATAGTAAACAGGACGAGTAGCTATGGTGATAGAAACACATTTGATGTAATATATGACAGGTGCTATTAACTGTGAGTGCATTAACCTTCCTTCCCTCCTTTCTTCCTCATTAGCATAACCCCAATTGTGTTCAGGTTACTAAGATGCCCTGCTAAATATACTCTTTCCTGGCCTCTCTTGAAATCACAGATGCCTTGTATCATAGTTCTGGTGAATAAAACCTAAATAAAAATCTGTTTTGAGTTTCTTTTTTTTTTTTTTTTTGTGACGGAGTCTCACTCTGTCACCAGGCTGGAGTGCACTGGCGCCATCTCGGCTCACTGCAACCTCTGCCTCCCGGGCTCAAGCGGTTCTTCTGCCTCAGCCTCCCAAAGATCTGGGGCTACAGGCATGTGCCATCACACACAGCTAGTTTTTGTATTTTTAGTAGAGATGGGGTTTCACCATGTTGGCCAGGATGGTCTCGATCTCTTGACCTCGTGATCCGCCCGCCTTGGCCACCCAAAGTGCTGGGATTACAGGCGTAAGGCACTGCACCCAGCCAAGTTTCTTAATAAAAGGAGGCAGAGTTGGTGAGAGAAATCCTTTCCCTACCCTTCTTCTCTTCCATGCAGACATGAGCTGCAGCCACCATGCTGTCACCATGAGGACAAAAGCCAACATACCATGTAGCTCTGATGAAGCCCTGAACCCCGCCTACCTCTAGATTTTGTGTCATATGAGAAAAAAATGGCCCTGTTTGTCTAAACCACTATTCTTTGATTTTTCTGTTATTTACAACCAAACATTCCTAATAAGGTAGTGCAAGACAGAAGGCTGTACTTAAAATGTTTGAACCTTGGGCAACCGTAGCTATAGAGACTGAGAATTCTGTGTGCAATGAGAGACTCGGCATAGATACCAGGAAGTAGCCCATCCGTGGTGAAACAGTGTAAAATATTGATCATTGTGGGACACTGAATCAGAACTGTGGTAGAAGCTGGTGCTTGTTTACTCAACGTACACTATCCATATTCTTCCTCATCAACAGAATCCTGTATTTGTTCCCATGGTGGGCACTCACATGTCCTTTCCTAGCCCCAGGGCAAGTCCCATTTCAGGCATTTAGGCAAAGCCTAGTAGAAGACAGGAAGGGCAGTGCTCTGCCAACTGTGTAGACGTGATGCTCCCTCCAGCTCCCACTTTACGTTCAGGAGATTTTGATATGGAATACAGATCTAACGTGTGACTAACTCTAGGGTATGTTTAATGACATTGTCGGCCCCTTCAGGACTTTTTTGGTTTGGTGTAGAAGTAGGTGTACAAGTACCTGGTATATCTGATACAGGGTTATTACTATTCTTGAACTCAAGTACAGTTTTTTTTTTTTAATTTTTTGAGTTAAGTGCTCTCATTTTGTTTTGCAGCATAATATTCCTTTTCTTAGCTTTCCTATGACTTTACTTAGCAACCTTTGCCAAAAGAAGTACAATATACGATAGACTACTTTGAAGACACATACATTGGACACCTAAAATCAACAAGAGCAGAGAGGTATGGCATAATCTTTTTCATTTGTTATGTGTTGTTCCTCGAGTCAAACTAATCTTCTTAATGGCAGAAGCTAAAGCAAAATCATCCTCAAGTTAACTTTTAGGAAATTATATTGTAATATTACAGATATCTGATACCTTCATATTTTAAGTACATTTTAAATAATAATAATTATTATTATTAACAATAATAGTGCAGTGGTACAATCTCAGCTCACTGCAACCTCTGCCTCCCAGGCTCAAAAGATCCTCCCTCCTCAGCCTCCCGAGTAGCTGGAACTATAGGTGCATGCTACAGTGCCCGGCTAATTTTTTATAGTTTTTATAGAGATGAGGTCTTGCTATGTTGCCCAGGCTGGTCTTGAAATCCTGGGCTCAGTCAATCCACCCGCCTTGGCCTCCCAAAGTGGGATTACAGGCATGATCTACCACACCCAGCCTGTTTAAGTACTTTTGCTAACTGGATAATTTTTAAAAATCATTATTTAAGACTTTGGCAACCTCAAATTTTCATGCTGTGGTACAAAACTACACTTTTTGCTCACTTTCATCTTTGAATACCTTATGAAAGTTTGCTGCTAAACAGAGCAAAGCACTGGTGATTGGTCCATAGAAGAGTATCTCACCAGGCAGCCAGCATGGATGAAAAATTATGGTAACTTACACTGAAGTAATAATGATTACCTGCTGCATTAGGTACAAGGTTTACAGGACAAAGTAATATTTTAATTTAATAGCAGTGGTTACTTATATGATATCTTGAGTAAATTTAATAAATAGGAATCCATTATATCCAAATTACCATTTCAACATGTAAGTATTAGAAAAATTACTAATGAGATAGTTTCCATTTCTTTGAAGGCTTTCAAAGCCTTCAGAATTCAGTGTGTGTTTTATACTTATAAAACATCTTATTTCAAGAGCTAAATTTTTACTAGACATACTTGAGATACATTAGATTTCATAAAACTTATATTTATAAGAGTAGTTTCACATACCTAAATTGTTTGAAACATATTTAAAAGTTTCCGCAGCTCAACCATCAATAAATCATTTTTCTCTTACATTTGCATCTACTTTGACAATTCTTTATCTTAGCAAAAGCATATCAACTTGAAAACTATCTCTGTCCAAGTGTATTTAAATAGCATTTTAATTTAAAATTATTAACATCAAATTCAAATTTGAGTTGAAAAGCAACTCCCTAAATTTATCAATATAAAGAAGTGTTTCTTTTTTTTTTTTTTTGAGATGGAGTCTCACTCTGTCACCCAGGCTGGAGTGCAGTGGCGCTATCTCGGCTCACTGCAACCGCCACCTCCCGGGTTCACGCTATTCCCCCGCCTCAGCCTCCCGAATAGCTGGGATTTCAGGCGCCCACCAACGTGGCCCACTACTTTTTGTATTTTTAGTAGAGACGGGGTTTCACCGTGTTAGACAGGATGGTCTCAAACTCTTGACCTCGTGATCCACCCACCTCAGCCTCCCAAAGTGCTGGGATTATAGGCATGAGCCACCGCGCCCGGCCCTTTTTTTAACTTTTATTTTAGGTTCAGGGGTACATGTGCAGGTTTGTTATATAGGTATATAGTGTGTCACGGGGGTTTGGTGTATAGATTATTTCATCACCCAGGTAATAAGCATAGTACCTGACAGGTAGTTTTCCAACCCTCTCTCTCTTCCCACCCGCCACCCTCAAGTAGACCCGGCATCTTCTGTTCCCTTCTTTGTGTCCACATGTACTCAGTGTTTAGCTCCTACTTGTGAGTGAGAATATGCAGTGTTTGGTTTTCTGTTCCTGTGTTAGTTTGCTTAGAATAATGGCCTCCAGCCCCATCCATGTTGCTGCAAAGGACATGATCTCATTCTTTGTTACGGCCGTGTAGTATTCCATGGTGTATATGCACATTTTCTTTATCCAGTCTACCATTGCTTGGCATTTAGGCTGATTCCATGTCTTTGCTACAGCAGCTTTTTAAACAGATACCATAGTGATAAGTATATTGCCCCTGAATATAATGATCTCTTATTTTCCCTTTATAATTTGAGAAGTGGTCTATACATTTTTACTCTTATATTAAGGCTTCATTTGTAAGTAATAAAGCCTAATTTTTTAAAAAAGAAAAGAAAGCATGAAAAGGAATCTTAAGAGAGCAGAGCACATTCAGAAACTGCTAATGGGCCACAAAGGCTGTAGAGAAAGCAAGAGATGAAGACGGGCAGGTGGGCAATGGAGATTTTTGTATATCGCACATCAAAGTGTGACTTTCATCCCAGTAGCAATGAGGAGCCACTGAAGGATTTTAAACAAGGGACTGACATAACCAGATTCTTTATATAGGAAGATTAAATGGGCTGCACTATGGGAAAGCAAATTGCAAGGTGGCACAGGAGTCTAGTACAAGACAGTAAGGCCTGAATTAAGGCCACAGCAGTGGATGGATTTCAGAGGTGTTTAGGAGGTAATGGGGAAAGGGTCTGGTGACAGACTGGATTTCTCAGGTAAAGAATGAGAAGCAGTGAAAGTGACTCCCAGATGTGACAGGGGGTGGCTGGTGATGCTGTCCACAGAGGCAGGGAATGCAGGAGGCTCAGGTGAATGGGAGTGTCAGGAAGGGGTGAGAGACACAAGGCACATTCAGTTTTTGGCACTTGGGACATCTCATGGAGATGATCACCAGATAACAGAATCTATGGGTCAGGCACTCTGATCTAAGCAGTAACTATAATTTGAATGCAAATAGCAATTGAAGTCATGGGACTTCATGAGATCATCTAAAGAAAATGAAAAAACGGGTAGATGCATAAGTGAAACTATAGAAAATACTAATACCAGGGATGAATTAAGGCGCAGCATCCACAGAGAAAAAACTGGAGCCAGGCATGGTGACACATGCCCATGGTTCCCGCTACTTGGGAGGCTGAGGCAGGAGGATCTCTTCAGTCCAAGAGCTCAAGGCTACAGTGATCACACCTGTGAATAACCACTGCACTCCAGCCTGGGCAGCACAGCCAGACCCTGCTTCTAAAAAGAAAAGAAAAGAGGGGAGAGAGAAAAGAAAAGAAAAGGAAGGAAGGAAGGAAGGACAGAAGGAAGGAAGAAAAGAAAGAAAGAAAGAAAAAAAGAAAGAAAGAGAGAGAAAGAGAGAAAGAAAGGAGAGAGAGAAAGAGAGAAAAGAAAGGAGAGAGAGAGAGAAAGAAAGAAAAGAAAGAGAGAGAAAGAAAGAAAAAAAAGAAAAGAGAAAAACAGAGACAGAGAGAGAGAAAATGAAGAAATGGCCAGAGAGGCAGGAAGAAAACCACAGGGGAGGTGGAGTGGGGAGCAGGGTGGGAAGGCCAGGGAAGAGGGCTATAAGGGCTGAGTAGTCTGCAGTGCTCAATGCTACAGAACTCAGCTCACGCTGACTTAAGGGATTCTCTTCCCCAAGGCACATGGGCTTTGCCCCCCACCGTGTGTACATGTGATCCTGCTTCCCTAGCCACAGTTAATTGGTCAAGGGGTGATCAATGACCCAAGTAGCATCGAAACCTTCCCTGGGCTGAGCTCTTGAAAGGTAAAAGTGGGCCAGACCTGGAATTTGTGGAATGTCACCTGCTTCTGCCACGTGGATTGGAAGCAGACAGAGAAAGGGGAAAGATGAGCAGGGACAGCCAGGAACAATCTTGGTCCAGGGAAGACACCCTGTATTCTGATAAATGACTCTTTTATGCTGCAGCTGGTTCCTGTTGGTTTTTCTTACTTGGAACTATAAAAGTCCCAAAATTCATCCAACAAGAGAGACAGAAATATAAAGAGCTGGATTACCTGACAGAATGAAACATGTGCTGAATGGGGACCTAAGAGGGGGCTGTGGGAGCTCAGGAGCAGGGGAGAGTCATTCCAGCTGGGCGGAGGGAATGCCTCCAGAAGGGAGGCAGCACTTCAGCTGGCACTTTAAGGATGAGGGGGTTTTTAATGGGGAAAGAAAGGAAAGGGTGGATTCTAGCCAAAGGAAGAGCACCAGCAAAGGCAGAGATGAGAGTAAATGGAGCATTAGGGAAATGGAGGCAGCGGCTGTGCCTCTGACAGTTTCCTGGTCTGGTTAACTCCAATATGCCTTTCAGGACCCTAGGAAGCCTTCCTGCCCTCCCACAGAATCTGGCCACCCCATCACAGCCTCTCCCACACTGTATCAAAATGCCCCGTTGACTGGTCTGCATCCCACACCAGACCTGAGGCACTGCATCTATTGATCTTTGTATGTCCTGTGCCTGACCCAAGGCAGGGCTCAATACAGACTTGATCATCTCAAACATCTCCATTCAACCAGTGCATTCAGAGGAGGGAAAGCCATAGGAGACTGAGGGTTTGGCATCCTATTCTAAGGACCAGGAGTGGCAGGAAGGATGCTATTCGGGGTTAGCTTGTGAAGACTTGCAGGTATGGGAACATTAAGACGACTAACATTTTTTTTTTTTTTTTTTTTTGAGACGGAGTCCCGCTCTTCAGCCCAGGCCGGATTGCAGTGGCGCAATCTCGGCTCACTGCAAGCTCCGCCTCCCAGGTTCACGCCATTCTCCTGCCTCAGCCTCCCGAGTAGCTGGGACTACAGGTGCCCGCCACCGCGCCCGGCTAATTTTTTGTATTTTTAGTAGAGACGGGGTTTCACCGTGTTAGCCAAGATGGTCTCGATCTCCTGACCTTGTGATCCGCCCGCCTCGGCCTCCCAAAGTGCTGGGATTACAGGCGTGAGCCACCGCGCCCAGCCGACGACTAACATTTTTTAAAAATTATAGTAAAATATACACCACAATTTAAACCATTTTTTAAAAGGGATGGGTCTCCCTATGTTGCCTTGAACTCCCAGGCATAAGCGATTCTCTTGCCCTAGCCTCCAGAGTAGCTGGGACTATAGGTGCACGCCACCACATCCAGCTTATGTGAACCTTTTTCTTTTTCTTTTTCTTTTTTTTTTTTTTTGAGACGGAGTCTCACTCTATTGCCCAGGCTGGCGTGCAACAGTGCGATTTCGGCTCACTCAACCTCTGCTGCCCGGGTTCAAGCGATTCTCCTGCCCCGAGTAGCTAGGATTACAGGCGCCTGCCACCGCGCCCAGCTCATTTTTGTATTTTTAGTAGAGATGGGGTTTCACCATCTTAGCCAGGCTGGTCTTGAACTCGTGACCTCGTGATCCACCCACCTCGGCCTCTCAAAGTGTTGGGATTACAGGCGTGAGCCTCCGCGCCCAGCCCATGTGCACCATTTTTAAGTGTACAGTTCAGTGGTATTACACTGATACACAGCCATCATCCCAAACTGAAATTCTGTACCCATTAAACAACAACTTGAAACAACAACTCTCTAGCCCATCTCCTCAGGCCCTGCAATCACCAGTCTACTTTTTGTCTCTGTGAATTTTATTCCTCTCAGGTACCTTATATAAGTGATATCACACAGTATCTGCCCTTTCAAAAACAATTTACATTTAAATGTGTTTTCAACTGTAAACATTTACCAAGTATTGTCACTTCCTCCCCTGTGAGGCAGGCAGGGCAGAAACTATTGGTCTGGGTTTGGAGGCCCAGGGAGCTGAGGTTCAGGAAGGTTCAGAGATCTGTCCAAGCCTGTGGCACATAAGATACCCGGCCTATCTGACACCCACACACTCCTCAGAGGCTGGTACAGAATCTGAATGAATCTGGATAGGCGGAGGGCCATGACCACAACTCTCAGCCCACACCAGGTAACCTTCCTGTACCCACAGGCATGGTTTGAACACGTCACTGCAGATTGGCAATCAGAACAGGAAATAATCAATGCAGTAGGGTGAAGCTAAAGGAAAAGGATTCAACCTAAGGACATTCAGCCAGAGGCCAGGATGTATCTATCTACAGTTGGGTGCAGAGATGGCTAGAAAGAAGACCTTAGTTTTTAATTACTCTTTATCTATGGCCATGACTAAATGTTTGGCTAATCAGGGAGACGACTCAGGGAGGTCAAAGTCATTGCCAGCATGAATTATTAATCTGCACACTTGTTTGGAGTCCACTGGAATAGGCAGCATAGTCAAGTCACAGTGGAAGGTGCTACATGATTAATCTTCTTCCTGCCTGAGGCCCCCAGCTCTTGAGTGGGCATTCTTCATACTGAACATCAGGGGAAAGATCTTGTTTTCCACACTCAGGTCAAAAGGTTTGCTCACTTTTTTTTTCCTGCATAATAATGGTTGATACTAATGACCTATTTGCAAACTGCCAAGAGACAGTAGGGTTTCTTCACGTTTGTTTGTTTTCTGGAATCAGAAATGGTTCAAACTGTGCATTACCTTCTAAATCAATGTACTGCAGAAAGCTCTTAGTGAACCTGAAGAAAACGAGTGATATGCATTTTGTTCTCATCAATACTTACTAAAATAATTTATTAGGTGTTTAAATTGTTAGATGAGACAGAGTTATCAGACTGGAATAAAACTTAGTTTTCCTCTGCTATCCTGCTTAGGAGAAAAGAGGGGCTCAAATGAGGATTGGGCTAGCTATAGAAATAAAGCTATCCTTTCTTTGCACTAAGTGTAACGTGAATACATTTTCTGCCCTGTTACAGGATTAATAATTACTGAGTGCCTACTACATACTGGGTCCTTTCATACATATCCTCATTTCATCATCAAAATAACCCCATGTAGGAAACACTATTATTTTCCCATTTTTAGATTAGGAAACTTAGGCATAGACAGGTTAAGGTTGAGCAGCATTCCCAAGGTTCCACAGGTAGCAAGTGTCTGAATCCTTACAGGAACTTACAGACTAAAAGAGCACAGAACCCATAAAAAGGAGACACTTACAATGCAGTGTACTAAATGCAAGGACAGAAATGAGTGCACGGAGTTGGGGACATAAAGAGAGGCTAAATTTCACCTGGGAAAGCTTTCTGGAGAAGATTATGTACATGACTTATTTTTTGAAAGGTATTATTAATATACAACAAAATGCACAGATGTTAAGTATTCAGTTTCATAAGTTTCAACAACTGCATATGTTTGTGTAGCCACCATCAAAAACAAGGTTTAAAACACTTCCATCACCCCCAGAAAGTTCCAGCATATCCCTTTCCTATCAATCCCTCCCCCTTCTCCGATTTCTGAATTCTTTCATTACAGATTAGTTTTGTGTGTTCTTGGACTTCATAAAAACAGAATCTTCTGATGTACACTTTTGTCCCGGCTTCTTTTGCTCAGTTGAGTCTTAAACAACGAACAACCCTTTAGCTGAGCAAAGGGCCGGTGTAAAGCAGATGCAGGGAGGTGAGAGGTGGCCTGGAGCCGGGGTATTGGGCGGGAGGTAATGGGGGTGGGAAGGAAGACAAGGGGAGGGACTGAGGACCCCGAGTTTTAATCTAAGAGGGCTTGGATTTTATTCCATGGGCAAAGGGGAGCTAATGAAGGCTTAAAGCAGCTACAGATGCACCATTTTGCACTTATAATATCTCAAACTCAGTAGTCTTAGGACAAGGTTATTAGTGATCCCCATTTTTTTGGAGTCATTTTATTTTTATTATTATTAAACAACAACATTGTCATGTTTTCTTGAATATTGACAATTTGAAATTTAACTTGTTCATGAAAATAAATCTGGAAAAACCTCAAAGAGGCTAATTTCCGGCCACAATTTAAAAAAACAAACAGAGCCCCAATTGAACTTTAGCTTTAAATTCATTTTAACTTTATCCCCAAGACTCCCAGTTTTGTCCTCCTAGATGCACCGAGACTACACAACATCCTTCGTTAATGGTGGAAAATAAACAGCTTCACAGGAAACAAGACTTCATCACACAAAAATTTATAGACTTGTTCATGATCCCCACTTTTAAGTAAAATTTCCTAGCTGGTAAGTCAGGATTCAAACCCAGACTGACTCCAAATATCCTGCTTTTTCCACCCAGAGAAAGCTTTGAAAATAAGGAGAGAAAAGCCAACATAAGCTATGAATTGCTGCCTGAGAAAGGCAATGAGGAGACTGCAGAGGATGAAAAGTTACTCAGTGCATATGGCAATGGAGCTGAACGGGGCTGACCCGCAGGGAGGGCAGAAGGCAGGAATCCTGGCAAATCCAGGGTGAGCAGGAGCCAGGCAGTTCCTGGCACTCCTGCTTCTCTTCTTTAAGGCGCTGCTAATGACTCCACTGGACATGAGCATGATGGCGTTGGCTCACTCAGGTGGAACAAACTTAAAGAGATAACTTATTTTCCTGGATTCTCTTAGCAAGCAACTTCAAACCTGTTTGTATGCCGCCCTTATACTGCATTAAGCCAACTCTCCACTGACCAAGTATACTCTACGACCTTGCAGATGTGTTAAAAAGAACCTCCAGGATTACTAAAAACTATATCAAATTCATATTTACTAAAGATTTTTAAACCGATTTACCTTTTTATCCTTCCCACTGCATTTCTTCACAGCATTCCTTCTACAATGAACCAAACGAAGGTAACAGAGTCAGTTTCTAGAAAACATCCTCAGAATTACGCCTTCTCTTACTCCATACTCAAAATCTGCTCCAAAATGTGATAAAAAGTAATAGTGAGGAAAAGGAGGGCTAATAATATGTTTCAATTAAAAACTTAAACAATTGGATTTGTCTGTGTCACAGGATTTAATGACATTCTGGAGATGAATTGAACATCATGAGGCCCAAGAGCTCAAGAGAAAGGCAGTCTGGTAATATAATATGCAGAAAAAAGAGCTGAAGAAAGTCTGGGACATGCAAAAACCTGTTACGCTTTCCTAACCTCATTTAACCATAATACCTATTTTCCAGGAAAAAATATTAGCACCCTACACCTTCAGATATGCTTTAGGAAAGGTTGCAATTGTTTTCTTGTGCCTGGAAAGCTTCCCTGCCTTGTCTTTCTGCACTCCTCTTCTGAGTTACCACCTTTTTCTTTTTCCTATCTTTGCTTGGAATGACTTCTTTATGGAGACCTTCCTAGAAACATATCCCTCCCAAGACCCCACCCCAAAGGCCAGATTCATACCCCTTCTATGTACCCAAGCCTGCTGATCACAGCAGGAACCCCTCTGTGTTATAACTGCTTGTTTACTCCTCAGCCTTCTGAGCCTATGTGAACTTTTTCAAGTCAAGGACAATGTCTTGTCCACCATTATATTCCTAGTAACTAAAACAGTGTCTGACAATAAATGTTCAATAACCAATTGACAAGTGACTGACTGATTGAGCAGCCAATGAACTGTCAACCTAAATAACAGACAAAGAGGGAGACTCTTTCAAAGAAAATAATACTTATTTGGGAGTTGCACTGCAATGGGAATGTGCATGGATATATTCAGGGAGGTCAAAGGAAGACAAGGGCTTTTAAAGGAAAAATGAAGAAGATTCCATAATTTTTTTGAGACAATTATCTTTGGCTACAAGGATCATTAACAAAGGTGACATCAGTCCAGGGTTAGACAGGGGTTTGCTGGGCAGATGTTCTCACAGAAGTATTTTTTGTATATGTCAAGTTGCAAGGGCCTTTGTGCAAGGTTGTGTTTTTGCAGAGTCTTTTGTGACAGTTCTCATGCATGAGAACCCTTCATTCATGGCCTTCTCTGGCTCCATCTTTTAGAATTTTGACATAAATGACTCCATTTTGATTCTGACAGCTTTCACAGCCAATATACCTTAAATGTCAATAGTTTGAATGGGAGAAGACATTTATCATCTGTCAGGGAACGCCAAGCACAACACAGAAGGAAGAGGAGGAAGTTTGGACATGGCTGGTTAGGAGGACTTAAAAGGCCATGCTCAATTTGGAATGGGTCCCAAAGTAAAGAAATCGTATTTGAAAAAAAAAAAAAGTATAGCAGGAATCCCTTTACTGGGAACTGAGACACCTGGGGCCTGGCCAAGCTCTGCCTCTCACTGGATATGGGACTTGGGACAAGTTCCTTGTCACTTGATTCTCAATTATGTGTGAAATATAGAGGTAAGCAAAATAAAAATTTTAAATGTCTTTTTGTATGTCTTGAGGTAACATTTAATAAAACCATCTTTCATTGTTTTTTAAAATAAAAGTGACATGTGCTCATGCTATGGGTTGAATGTGTCCCTCAGAAGTTCCTTTTGCCATTTATTGGCAACTTAATCCCTCTGCCCTGGTGAATGGATTAATGGCAGCTCTGACTTCAAGAATGAATTAATGTTGCTATCGAGAGAGTGGGTTTGTTACTGTGAGTGAATGTGTTATCAGTGTGGGCTCTCTCTGGCTCCCTTGCTCTTGCCCTCTGCCATGTCATGACACAGCAGGAAGGCCCTTACCAGATGCCAGTGCCATGCTCTTGGACTTCCCAGACTGCAAAGCGGTGAGCTAAATATACTTCATTATTTCTTTATAAATTACCCAGTCTGTGGTATTCTGTTATAGCAACGAGAAACAAAGACAGCTCACTCTATAGAATTTTTTTTAAATAAAGGATAAATAATCCTATAATCTCACTCAGAATCCCATCACCCAGAGCTTCAGGGCTTTTAAGGTGGTTGATAGGGAGTTAGAGAGTCATTTTAACTCTGCATTATATAAAACATTGAAAATATAAAACAAGAAAATGAATAACCAGGAATAAAATTTTGGAGGATTTCCTTCTAG
Source organism: Homo sapiens (assembly GCF_000001405.40). Lineage (NCBI taxonomy): Eukaryota > Metazoa > Chordata > Mammalia > Primates > Hominidae > Homo > Homo sapiens. The sequence goes on from NC_000012.12 coordinate 94,748,319, forward strand.
TTTTATTTATTTCTTTATTTTTTTTATTTTTTTTGAGACGGAGTCTCGCTCTGTCCCCCAGGCTGCAGTGCAGTGGCGCGATCTTGGCTCACTGCAAGCTCCGCCTCCTGGGTTCATGCCATTCTCCTGCCTCAGCCTCCCGAGTAGCTGGGACTACAGGTGCCTGCCACCATGCCCCACTAATTTTCTTTGTATTTTTATTAGAGACGGGGTTTCACTGTGTTAGCCAGGATGGTCTCAGTCTCCTGACTTTGTGATCTGCCCGCCTCAGCCTCCCAAAGTGCTGGGATTACAGGCGTGAGCCACCGTGCCCGGCCATTTCCTTCTAGTTTTTAAAAATTTACGTGATTACCCATTTTACTTTATACACTTCAATGGGATCACAAACTACATTCTTCACTTAACATTGGAGGGCAGACCCTGTGGGTCAGCTGACCCAACGCTCATTTCCAACCCTCATCTCCCTTGCCTGCCTATACTCTACAGTTGTGAAAAGCTATATACTCACTTTATTAACATCCTTTGCAACCAGCTGTGGCCAGGTGACATGGTTTTAGCTGATAAGATACGAAGATGTGTCAGCTAGGGAGCACTCGAAACAGTTTTGCTTTTCTGAGTAAAGGTAGAGAAGCCGTAGTTGCCAACCCCCACTCCCTCCCTACTTTGGCAGCAAACTGGACGCCCATAGCTGCAGCAGGCCTCTGGTGACCACCGGGTGTCAAGCATTAGAAAGTTAATGGGAATAGCAGAGATGTTGGTGCTGATGTTGCTGAACCAACTGAGCCAACCCCAGAAGCTGCCTACGTTGGTCTTCCTGTTATGTGAGAAAAATAAATCCCTATTTGTATCAGCCCAATGGAAATAATTTTTACTAGCTGTAGCCAAATGTATTCCTGACATAAAATGTAACGTAAACAGCTTTCCAGGCCATTAACTTTACAATATCATTTTAAATGGCTACAGAGTACTCTATCAAAGCGATGTACCACAATTCATTTAACCAGTTTTCTATTGTTCAACTTTTAGATCACTTTCCATTTAACTATTATGTACACTGGTCGAAGATTTTTGTAGACAAATCTTTGCAATTTTCATGATTGTTTTCTTAGAATAAACTCCTAGAGATGGAATTTCTTGATGAAGGGGCACGTATATTTTTTAAGGCCAATACCAGCTTGTACTCTTCTCGTTCTCTCCCTCGTACAAGGAATGCCATTTTAAAAAAATTAACAATCAGATGAGCCAAAACCAATACCTCATTACTACATAATTTCTAAGTTTCCTTTTATAACTAAACATCTCTGATGCAACTTGTGAAACATAGTAGAAGATTTGGATGTGGGTTTTAACGGGCTTTCGGCTGACTTCAGATTCATTTCCAAAGCAAAGAAAGCACTGCTTGGCAGTGTGTTACAACTCTAATTTGTACAAATCTTCCCATTATTGTGAGCCTGCTCTCATTTCAGCCGTATAGGGCCCCTCAACCAAAAGTCAATATAGAACATCTGCGGGGGCTGGGAGGGGAGCTACAAATGACTGGAAAATGGAACCCAGAGAGATGGGAGATTTCTGGGAAGAAACAAATTTTAAAATGAATAAGGAGAGAAGGGAGTAAAGAAAAGGAAGAAAGCCACCAGAATCAGGGTCCACACACTCAACTTTCAGGCACTCGCATTCTGGTTTTCCGCCTTGCCAAGGTTGCTTCCTGGCTCTGCGGTTCTGTTTGGAAAGTTGTCCCCTTAGGCACAGCAGCTACGTCTTTCTCATCCTTTGTGAGTCACCCCAAATAGTGCCTCTTCAGAGGAGTTTCCTCCAATCACCTGACCTAAAGTGGCTCTCACGTCTTCCCTGACCTTCGTATCATCCTATGTGATTTTCTTCATAGCACTGAAATGGTCTTGCTCAATGACAAGCATCCATGTTGATTGTCAAGTTCCCCCAGCAGAATGTACCCTCAACCTGAGCAGAAACCTCACTCTGTATCCTCAGCATCTAGAACAGTGCTCGGTCCGTACTGAATGCACAGACTGACAATTTCCTAACCTCTAACCAGACACACACTCAGAGATGATCATGGAAAGCAAAGGATGAACTAACTGCTCCGGGGCCTTGGGAAGTCTGCAGCTCCTGAAACCACACTTCAGAGAGCAGTAGAGAGTCCAGTGTCCCTAGGCAGCTGCCACTTCTCCTTCCCTGACTCATCAACTCCCACTCCACTGAAGTGGAGGGTCCAGGGGAGGGAGGGCCCAGCATCTAGGGCTGGCCATCTCCAAAGGGATGAGAGGGGTTACTGTCACATGGGGCTCTTCACACTTATTTCTGGTATTTTGCTCTTATCAGTATTTCAAATATTTTAATTTTTTCTTATGAAGATTTTCAAACAAACAAGGTAAAGGGAATGGTACAATGAACTAATGTATCCATCACCCTTCTTATTTCATCTCTTCTCTTACACTGTGTATGTGTACTGGAGCATTTTAAAGCAAAAATCAGACACATTAACAAAATGTTTAACTGTTCCTGTGTGCTGAGACTGCCTTCAGAGCCCTGGAATTGCACAGTACACATGCTAAGAGCACCAAGGGGTCAAGGTTTCTTGCTGATGCTCAATCTAATGGCAGCTTGCTGCTTTCTTCTCGTTGACATGCACAAAAAGGTAGATTTCCAACTAACTGCTTAAGAAAACATTCGGAGCAAACAAAGCCTTTGATCCCTGTGGAAAGCTTAGAAGATGCCAGGCAATTCTGCAAAAGCACTAGACGCTAAGCAGTAATAAACCAGGTCAAACGGACATGTCTGCCTGACACCCAGTTGTTTTGGTTGTCTCTTCTCCAGTTACTTAATTTCCCTGCTTACTGCCTTCTAGATCCCGGAAGGTGCCATGTTCACCAACTGGTACTGCCTTTTCCTTCTTCTCACGTGAACAAAATGAAAGTATTAATTAGAGGTGTCTCTGAGAACAAGTGAGGGAGCAAGTGTTTTTATGTAGCCATGGAGGGATGGGTCTTGGGAGAGTCAGAGCGGCTGGGCTCTCTGAAAGATGACCCAGTCAGTAATGGACACGCAGACACAACTGATCCCTGCTGGCTCAAGCATGGTGCCTGGAACAGGGCAAGCCTGAAATGAACTAAGGAATTAATGAATCAAATGAGTGAATCGGAATTGAAGAGGCTGGGGGATCAGCAGAACTCTGGATCCTGATCTCCCAGGCAACGCACTGTAAACAATGAGCAACTAAAACAAAACTTACAAAATAAGACATTAAAATACATTTTAAAATCTATCACCTTAACAGAAGAGTTACTTTCCTTCTTCCGTGTAAGTCTCTGTCATTTGAGGATTAGTTTTTATGCAGCTGCAATCTTGATACACGGGCAGTTTTATAAACACTCTTCCTCACTTAACACAGCAAACACGACCTGTGTTGTTAGTCTTCCTCAGAATTATTTTAAATGGCTGCATGTTTGCAGGTGTGCCAACACAGCCTAGCTTAAGTTACTTGTCTGCACTATTCCTTTCCTTTCCTTTTTTTTTTTTTTTTTTAAGACAGTCTTGCTCTGTCGCCCAGGCTGGAGTGCAGTGGTACGATCTTGGCTCACCACAACCTCTACCTCCCAGGTTCAAGCGATTCTCCTGCCTCAGCCTCCCTAGTAGCTGGGATTACAGGTACCTGCCACCAAGCCTGGCTAATTTTTGTATTTTTAGTAGAGACGGAGTTTCACCATGTTGACCAGGCTGGTCTCGAACTCCTGACCTCATGTGATCCATCCACCTCAGCCTCCCAAAGTGCTGGGATTACAGGCATGAGCCACCGCACCCGGCCTTCCTTTCCTTTTTCTTTGCACATTCATCTCCTTTTTTTTAGGGGTTAAAAGAAACTTTCCCCTGGCCTCATCTCCCACTCCCTCTTGCTGCGAGGCACCCGAACCATGAGCGCTCCCTCCCTCGAGGCATCAGCACATGCTGTTCCTTCTACATGCAACACTCTCTCAAAGTCCATTCGTTTGCCTAACCTATTCCTACCCACATTTCAGGGATCGGATTGTCACCCCAGGAAGCCTGCCCTGACCTTCGTAGATGCTTTAACATCCTGTACTTCAAGGGTGATGGTGCTCATCGTGGTCTGTAATTGCTTGTCTTAGGATCTGTTTGTCCCACCAGATTGTGAGCAGGACCTATTTTTTTGGAGCCTTATTAGCTAGGTGATCATGGTGAGCCTCAGTTTCCTCACCTGTAAAAGAGGATAGTCATGCACTCTTTCCCACCCACCAAAAAGGATGCTAAGGAGATCACACCAGGCAGTACTGTGAAGATTTTCTGTGCAGCATAAAGAAAATGATTTCAAATTCTATATCTGCCACCTAATCCTAAGGAACGAAAGGCAGTCACATCATCTTAACCCTTTGAGGCTCACAGTCAAATGATAGCTAACATTTATGAATATTTATGGACACTGTACTAGACAGTTTATATGCACTTCTCATTTTATCCTCATTACAAATGAATGGGACAGAATCTAGTATTATCCTCACTTTCCAGAGGCTCAGAAGACTAAATAGATTTCCCAAGTCTACACTGTTTCAGAATATGCTGCTGAGCACCCAGTGCAAGCCTCTTCCCATAAAAAAAATGCCCATACATACATCCACACAAAATAGTGCATACAATTTCCAAGTTCATGAGGCCCCTGAAGCCAAACTTCTTTTGATCCCTATTCTAGGCCTTGCATGCAGTAAAGTGAATTCTCCAGAGAAGCTCAAAGATTTATACACCCCACAGGGCTGGGAGGTTATGGGAATAAACTGTGTCAGCAAAAATTCTGGAGAAAACCTTGTAGCCTAGGAATGAGTTGTAAATCTTGAGGTCTCACTAGACACAGTTTCCTTGGCAACTTAAGTCACTGGGCTGACTGAAGACTCTTGGCCCAAGTAAGAGCCACATGGCATGAATCCTGTATTCTGATAAGCCAGGTGCTGGGAGAAGCTGGTAGTACTGCCAAACTACAGCCACCACCACCGACAGCCAGATACTTACTGGTATAGGCAGTTGCTGAAGATACTCACTGCTTGATGTACTTCATATACCGGAGAAACAACAGCTAAATGGAACATACGAGGCCTAAAGGAGCCAACGTGGGAGCAGGAATTGGAATTGATCAAACCATCTGGCCTGAGACTGTGCTAATCTCAGAATGGCTTTGGATGCAGTGAGGCATCACTGTGGGTGTGAAAGGTGTGTCTCACACTGAGCAGAGTGAGAGCCAACACTTGGGTCAGAGGGAATGGCGCAACACCACCCTCTGCAGAGGATTCCGTGGGATTGTGCCATGAGCCAAATAAGCAATGAAAACGTGAAAAGCAAACCGGTGAGCCAGGCTGCATTTTTCATTGTGGCACTGTGTGGGCAAAGCCTTGGAGACCACCTGGGAATGGGATAAGATGAGCCAAAATGGTTTCCATGGCGAATGCTCCCAAAATCAAGAAACAAAGGCTTGGGGAGAGTGTGGTGTCCAGAAAAGCTGCCTGCTGAGCAGTGCAAGCTGTGACGGTCCTCACACGGAAGATGATGGAAGCCAGCAACTCTCCAGATCCCTTAGAAGAGGAGAAACGGGATGCAGCTGAAGAGACTGGTTGGGGTGAGGGTAAGGGAGAGCAGAGAGAACTCCCCACCCCTGAGAACTGTCAAGCTTGGAACTAAGCTACCAAGGGGACACACACAGGAATGGTGCCACAGCAGCCCCTAAATGTCGGGGAGGCAGGCATTTTGGTGGAAACAAAGTTTATTTTGCTTTTTAAACAAAAGAGGTGATAAGGGTCCTCTCTCAAACATATTTTTTTGATGGTCCACAAGTTAAACTACCGCCAGTGCAAAACAGGAGAAAATTATGGGTCCACAATCCTTTATCTGCAATTCTGAAATCCAAAACGTTCTGAAAACAGAAATTTTTTTCCTAAGTGTGTGCAAATCATTTGGAAGCAAAATCTGACCTGAAATGACATGAAGTTATCATAATCTTTACTTATCCCCATCTAATATGAATATGTCTTACTGAAGACACATTAACATGTCTCATTGCAAAGTGCTAACCCCAAGTCCCACTGGAGGCGTTAGATAAGGTGTAATAAGCAAAGAATTTCCTCCAAAACTTGGGGTAGGCAAAATTGTGGACACACATCTCCTTTTCTACAGGTCAGTAAAAACAAAAGAAATGTTTGACCACCTGGAACAGAATGAATGTAATAAAAAAAGGAACCTACCAGATCTCTTTAGCCTCCAGGTCGGAGGATGGCTTTGGGGCAATCGATGATATAGGTGTCCTCATGGGGTCCATGAACCAGACTACCCTTCTGTTTCTAATTCTAAATTATAATTTACATATTGTGTTTAGTTCTATTAGACTCTAGCTTTGCACCCATATAAATCCAAAGCAACTCCAGATTTTTCATTCATGCAGTGAAATCTGGGAGACTCTCTACTGGGATGAAAATGAAAATATTTAATAGGTAATACTGTCATTGGCTCTCCTGCTCCCCCTCCAGGAGAATATGAACTGGTAAACTTGATCTCTTTCATTTCTAGAGATCTATGATTTTAGAGGGGGAGAATAAAACAAAGTTAAATGAAGATGATGTGTTTTCTTGGAGATCTGAATAGTGTTTTCTTGATGAACAAGAGAAAGGACTCCAGATTTCCCATCAAATGATCCACTTTTCCTGTTCCATAATAGAAGGCCCATTTGGCAGGTTAAAGGATAAGAAAGGAAGATTTAAAAGGGAGTACACAATGGAATACTACTCAGCCATAAAAAAGAATGAATTAATGGCATTTCCAGCAACCTGGATGGGACTGGAAACTATGATTCTAAGTGAAATAATTCAGGAATGGAAAACCAAATATTGGATGTTCTCACTCATAAGTGGGAGCTAAGCTATGAGGATGCAAAGGCATAATAAAGACAAAATGGACTTTGTGGACTCAGGAGGAAAGGGTGGGAAGGGGGTGAGGGATAAAAGACTACAAATGGGGTGCAGTATATACTGCTTGGGTGATGGGTGCACCAGCATCTCATTAATCACCACTAAAAAACCACCTGTTCCCCAATAACCTATGGAAATACAAAATTTTAAAAATAAAATAAAAGGGAGTACAGATGGCTTTTAGCCAAAAAGACCTGGATTCAAAGCCAGACACTACCACTTAATAGCTGTGTAACCTTGGAAAGTTTACTTCACTGTGGCTGAATATCATCTGCAACCTAGAGAAAAACAATATTTTCTTCATAGGGTTTTTACGAGGATTAAATGGCATGTAAAACATACCTAATACATGGTAGGCACTCAATATATGGTAGCTATTATTATGGCTGTTGCTAGATTCGGGAGTTGAACAGTGCCTGGCTTCACTTCTTATTTCACCAGATTGCCTGGCTCAGCAAATGCAGGGGATATTGACTTCATGAGCACAGAAACAGTGGATAATAAACACACATAGCAACAAATCACATCGGTAAACCAATCTACCTCAGCTAATAACTGCTTTCCAGGCTCCTGCATTTGCTTTGTTAGAGGAACTAAATAGTTCCTAATGGCTATGGAACGAAATCATTTAGAAGAGGGTGAATTTCATCAGCTTTAGAGTTTCTGTTGAGGGCAGTGTAGGAGACTGTGCAAAGCCACCTCTTTTTAAAGAAAGCTAAGCAAAAATAATCCATAAATCATGTGAGTACCTATTACAGGTGCTTATGTAACTTACCATGTTTTCTAAGGAGAGGCTTATTTCCCATTCATTGAGGTGACATTTACTGAGCATGTCCAATGTACCAGCTACCATATTAAGTGCTAGAACACAAAAATAAAAAGACATAGGCCGAGCACAGTGGCTCACACCTGTAATCCCACTTTGGGAGGCCAAGGTGGAAGGATGGCTTGCGCCCAGGAATTTGAGACCAGCCTGGGCAACAGAGCAAGATCCCATCTCTACAAAAAAATTATTTTTAATTTAGCTTAATTTTTAAATGCATAGTGGTGCATACCTGTAGTCCTGGCTGCACAGGAGGCTGAGACAGGAGGATCACTGGAGCCCCAAAGTTGGAGGCTGCAGTGAACCGTGACTGCACCATTGCACTCCAGCCTGGGTTACAGTGAGACCCTGTCTCTTAAGAAATAAAATAAAAATAGAAAATCAAAAAGACATGAGCCCTTCTCTCCAGGAACCCAGGCCTGTGGGCGAGTATGTATGTGTTTTTTATGGTCCATGCTGGAAGTGGTAATGAGAGAGGGGTGCACAGGATGATACAGGGTGACTATCCAAAATAGACACTTCCCTAATGTAAGATAGTTCCACGACGCTGGAATTATATACAGTGAACACGTGTTACTTTTAAAACTAGGAACAAAAAAATGTAAAAGGAGAAACAAAGAACTCAAAGTCCAGTGGTGGAAACAGATTATATAACAAATATTCAAATAGTGGGATGAGTACCAAAATTCAAGGACATCAGAGTGTTTTGGGGGGAGTATTCTTCCTTTAGAAGAAAGGAAGGGCATTCCATACTGCCTGGGGGTAAAGATGACAAGGCAGGTTTCCTTAAGAAGGTGACACTCAAGCTGAGACCTTGAGACTGAATGATTTGCCGGTAGGAGTGTGTAAGTACAGTTTCTCTAGAGGGCAATCCAGCAATATTTATTAGTATTTAAAATGTGCATACTCCTTGAACCAGATGTTCCTCTTCTGGTATTTCAGCTGACAGGAATGCCAGAAAACATATCAAAAGATCTCTGTAAAAAAGATGTTTATCACGTCAATGTAATAATAAAACACTGGAAATAACTTAAATGTGCATCAATAGGACATTGTTTAAATAAGCTATGGTGTAGCCATATGCTAGAACAATAGAGTCATGAAAAAAATAAAATTTATATATAGCATATTAAGTTTTAAAAGGTAAGTTACAGAATAATGTATCCTTGTTTTTGTAGAAATAATTTTACATATTTTTTACACATAAAAACGTTTGCATATAAACAGAAAAAGCCTGAGAAGATAAACAACAAACCATTAACACTTAAGGCATATCAGACCTGGTGGGGTAGGGGTGGGGAGAAGCAATTTCATTTTCTTATTTACTCTGTATTCACATTTTTTACAATGAGGATATCTTCCTTTTATATTTAAAAAATAATATTTTTTGGCTGGGCGCGGTGGCTCATGCCTGTAATCCCAGCACTTTGGGAGACCGAGGTGGGTGGATCACAAGGTCAGGAGTTCGAGACCAGCCTGGCCAACATGGTGAAACCCCGTCTCTACTAAAAATACAAAAAAATTAGCCGGGCGTGGTGGCGGGCGCCTGTAATCCCAGGTACTTGGGAGACTGAGGCAGGAGAATCATTTGAACGCAGGAGGCGGAGGTTGCAGTGAGCTGAGATCACGCCACTGCACTCCAGCCTGGGCGACAGGGCAAGACTCCATCTCAAATAATAATAATAATAACCTTTTTTTAAAAAAAAAAGTATACTAATTGGAAAGTTATGGGTACAAAACGACTGAGGTTTTAGAGAAGGCATCTGCTCAAAACAGCTTAGCACCGCTGGAATACAAGAGCCACATGAGTTCAGGAGACAGGACTGAAGGAAGACTTTGAAGAAGAAACAAATGTGGGGTGTTTCAACTAGGAGAGAAGGTGTTTCAACTTGAAGTGAAGGGAGTAAGAGCTGTGGGGCAGTGTGAGCAAACAGTAAAAGTACAAGAACTGAAGGATGGTGTTCAAAGATACGGGACACTGCAGAGAAAGGGGCTTCAGGAATTCTCAAGGGTGGGAAGCAGGTGTCTCATTCCACAGGACTCATCTGAGGAGAAGGGCATTCTTTTAAAGGAGAGCATCTGCGAAAAACCAAGTTTTCACTAAATATCTGCTCTACATTTCTTAGTTTGGCCAGAGAGAAAGTCAGAGCAAGAGAGAACTTTTTTTTTTTTCCTGAGCAGAACACCAGGGAATACAATGAATATTTTATTGAAAAATAAGCTAGATTAAATCATTAAAGTATCCATTTACTCAGAAATTGTTCCATTACAAATACCACTGGCACAGTGGAAAAGGGCCCTTTCTTTTTCTTTTTCTTTTAAATTTTTTTATTTCCATGGGTTTTGGGGGAACAGGTGGTATTTGGTTACATGAGTAAGTTCTTTAGTGGTGATTTGTGAGATTTTGGTGCACCCATGATCCGAGCAGTATACACTGAACCCAATTTGTAGTCTTTTATCACTCACCCCCTTCCTACCCTTTCCCCTGAGTCCCCAAAGTCCACTGTGTCATTCTTATGCCTCTGTATCTTCATAGCTTAGTTTCCATTTATGAGTGAGAACATACGCTGTTTGGTTTTCCATTCCTGAGTTACTTCACTTAGAATAATGGTCTCCAATCCCATCCAGGTTGCTGTGAATGCCATTCATTCATCCCTTTTATGGCTGAGTAGTATTTCATATATATATATATGAATTATATATATATAAATATATATGAATTATATATATATGAATTATATATATACATATATATGAATTATATATATAAATATATATATGAATTATATATATAAATATATATATGAATTATATATATAAATATATATATGAATTATATATAAATATATATATGAATTATATATAAATATATATATGAATTATATATATAAATATATATATGAATTATATATATATAAATATATATATATAATGGAATTCACAATGGAATTGCGAATTGTGCTGCCACAAACGTGTGTGCACATATCTTTTTCGTATAATGACTTTGGAAAAGGTCCCTTTCATCCAAGGCGAGTTTTAGACCAAACTGTGTTGTCCTCTACACCCCAGTTCCTCCTTTCTGGGTTTTCTTTCCTCTTGGTGGATCTCACTTCATCCCCTTTCTGGAGCTCAATCCTCCTCTCAGAAAGATCTAATGTAAAACATGTACACTTCTGTGTGAGTTTATAATCATTCTTCCCTTTCTTCCTTCCTTTCTTTTCATTTTTTTTTTTTTTTTTTTTTTTTGAGACAGAGTCTTGCTCTGTCGCCCAGGCTGGAGTGCAGTGGCACGATCTTGGCTCACTGCAGCCTCCACCTCCCGGGTTCAAGCAATTCTCCTGCCTCAGCCTCCCAAGTAGCTGGGACTACAGGCACGTGCCGTCATGCCCGACTAATTTTTGTATTTTTAGTAGAGACGGGGTTTCACCATGTTGGCCAGGATGGTCTTGATCTCCTGACCTCATGATCTGCCCACCTTGGCCTCCCAAAGTGGTGGGATTACAGGCATGAGCCACCGCACCCAGCTCCTTCCCTTTCAATGTATTTTAATTCTAGGCCCTATCTCTAAATAAAAAAATCCTTCATTTAGAGAGCCCATCTTTTTAAAAGGAGTTTTGAGCATCAGGTGACAGGTGGAAAAAGAAGGAGAGAGAAGATTCTTGGAGGCCACGCAGCAGAAGGTCACCTACATTTGGAAGCTGGTCCTCTTTTCACATGACTAAACCAGCAGTCCTCAACCTTTTTGGCACCAGGGACATAGATGAGGGGAGGGGAATGGTTTCAGGATGAAATTGTTCTCTATCATTATTAGATATCATATCATTATTAGATTATTAGGCATTAATTAGATTCTCATAAGGAGTGTGTAGCCCAGATCCCTCACATGCACAGTTCACAATAGGGTCCTCGCTTCTATGAGATTCCAATGCCACTGCTGATGTGACAGGAGGCACAACTCAGGCGGTAACACTTGCTCGCCCACCGTTCACCTCCTGCTGTGTGGCCTGGTTCCTAACAGGCCACAGATCGGTACCGGTTCATAGCGTGGGGGTTGGAGACCCCTGGCCTAAACAATGTAGGAAAGCCCCTCTCAGAACTATCTTGACCCAGGATCCATAGGATGAATTCTAAAATGTGGAAGGAGTGGGAGGAGGAGAAAATATTATTCTCTTGTACCACTTCCTTAAAACACATGAGCAAATGAACTGAAAACATGGCAATTTTCTCATTAATCGATTCTCGACAAGAAACTAGATAATTCTGCTGAAAAAAATATCCCTCTGGTGGTTAAATTATCTCTTCGGCTGTCTACATCCACCAAATTAACTCAAGAACTGTAACCTCTATTTCATATTGTGTTGTGTTAATATTACTGTGGCAGGTTTGAATGCAGAGGACCTGAGCACCTCACCATTCATCCCTTCTGAAAGGAGGGTCTAAAACCAATGCCCTTCTGGTCACTGAGGCGGGAGACCAGAAATGGCACAGTTCAAACACTGCCCCACTTTAAGCTGCAGCTTCAGTTAGGAAATGTTATGATTTCAACTGCTTTAAGTTGACTTTACATTTCCCAATCTAAAAATAAATAATTTTAAGGCACTTGGCAATGGATCGAGAGATGTATAGAAGGTTAATTTTCCTACACTACAAATATTTGAAATAACAATACAAAGATAAATAGACTGCAAACTTTTTTTAAAGTCTAACCTCACTTGTGAGAGTAACATGAGTTATCGTTTTTTTTACCTATCAAATGGGCAAAAAAGTTTGAAATTCTTTCCAGTGTGGGAGAGTATCTAAGAAAGCAGATGCTGGTAGGAGTATAGATTGCAACATTCTTTCAAAGTAATTTGAAATCTTATTTAAAACATTTGTCTAACATGCAGACCCTATGATTCAGCAATTCTGCTTCTAGGAATGCGTCCTAATAAACATGGACACAAAGAAATATGTACAAGACAATCTTTCTAGTGATGCCTATAATAATAAAAGCTACTAAAACCACAAATGTCCATTCATAATGAGCTGTGAGTAAATTATGTTATAAAATGGAATAGTATGCAGTCATTAAAACTGATAACACAGTTATTTTGATTTAGAAATATATTTATGTTATTAAAGAAAAAGGTAGGTTATGAAACTATATATTATATAGCATGTGATGTCACTTTTGTTAATACATACACAATGACCATAAATTAAAATGTGTTAAGCAATTTATACACACCTACACACACATATAAATCGAAAAAGTGTCTCTAATTCTCTTTAAAATACTCCAGCACAAACAGTATGGTATATAGGTGTATGAGTCTTAATTTATACTCTAGGGGCAGTTGCTTAGCATTTGAAAGACTTTAACAAAAAATTGGTATTTCCAAAAAAATTGGCTATTATAAGGCTTCGGCTGCCTTTATCTTTAATAAACATCAGACGGTTTGTTAATAAGCATAGTGGATATTAGAAATTATTTTGGATGAAAATAGGTGTTCAAAATACAGTTATGCACTGCTTAACTACGTTTCAGTCAATGGACTGTGTAGAAACAATGGTGGCTCCTTAAGATTATAATGGAGCTGACAAATTCCCATCCTCCTCTAGTGACTCACAGCCGTCATAATGCTGCAGCGTAATACATTACTCATGTGTTTGTGGTGTTGCTGGTGGAAACCAACCTACTACTCTTCCATTTGTGTAAAGTGTAGCACATACAGCTATGTACAGTACATAATACCTGATAATAAAACAACTATGTTACCAGTGTATGTATTTACTATGCTATACTTTTTATTGTTATTTTAGAGTGTACTCCTTCTACTTATGAAAAAAAGAGGTTAACTGTAAAACAGCTTCAGGCAGGTCCTTCAGGAGATATTCCAGAAGAAGGCATTGTTATCATAGGAAATGACAGCTTCAAATGTGTTATTGCCCCTGAAGACCTCCCAGTGGGACAAGACGTGGAGGTGGAAGACAGTGAAACTGATGATCCTGACCCCGTGTAGGCCAAGGCTAATGTGTGTGTTCGTGTCTTAGTTTATAACAAAAAATTGAAACAGTAAAAATATAAATAATAGAAAAAAGCTTACAGAATAAGGATATAAAGAAACTATTTTTTGTATAGCTATCCAATATATTTGTGTCCTAAGTGTTATTATGAACGTGTCAAAAGTTTCTTAAAATTTATTTTTAAAGTTACAGTAAGTTAAGGTTTATTATTAAAGAAAAAATTTTAAATGAATATAGTGTAGTCTTAGTATACAGCGTTTAAAGTTTACACTTGTGTGAGTGGTCACATTCACTTACCACTCACTGATTCACCCAGGGCAACTTCCAGTCCTATAAACTCCCTTCATGGTAAATGCCCTATACAGGTGTGCCATTTTTAATCTTTTATAACCCACTGTGTTTTTACTGTACCTTTTCTGTTTAGATATGTGTAAATACACAAATACCACCATGTTACAACTGCCTATTCAGTATGGTAACACTTTGTATTGGTTTTTAGCCTAGGAGCAACAGGCTACAGCATATAGTGTAGGTGTGTAGTAGGCTATGCCATCTAGGTTTGTATAAGTACACTATGATGTTTACACAATGACAAAATTGACTAACGATACATTTCTCAGACCATATCCCTGTTGTTAAGCAATGCACGACAGTGCAGTAAGGGCTCACTTCATGTCATCAACAGGAAACTGCAACTTTCAGTGAAACAACATATAGTGAAACTGATTTTGCCACAGGCTAATTGAGATCAACAAGAGCTAAGTTCTTATGGCATATTTCTGATCACAAAAAAAATCACAAAACTTCTAAATAAAAACCAAAACATTTATAATATTAAACACTGAAATACATGTGAGCTATACATACATTTAAGTAAGGTTAATAAACACAAGGAAGATAATTATTTGCCCAGTTATTCCTGTTTCAGGGTCAAGGGTAGCTGGAGCCTGTCCCGGCAGCTGAGGCTGCAACATTGGGACCCATCCTGGACAGGATACATCCCCTAGCAGGGTGCACTCAGACCCACACCCCCACCACACACACCCCTGCCACACACACACACACACACACGCTCTCTCTCTCTCACTCAGGCTGGGACCACATGCCAGTTAACCAAACATGTACATCTCTGCGATGTAGGAGGAAATTGGGAGACCTGGAGAAAACCCATGCAGATGTGGGAGGATGTGCAAACTCCACACAGACAGGGGCCCCAGCCAGGAACAGACTTTCTCATCAAGGTGATCATGAAATGACACCGATTGAAATGACATCATTTGAGGACTTGCTGTATATGGATCAGCTGGAAATGCTGTACAGGCCACTCCGCCTTCTTATGACCAGGGTGTGAGAATTCAGCAACGCCAGCAGCCTCCATCCCTCCAGTCTTACGTTATGGAGGATTCTGTGGCCTGCGTGACTCTAAGTAAAGTTAGCTCAATGCTATGGCTACAACACTGCTGCTGCACAGGCCACAGGAGAGCCTTTCATGCAAGGTGTTTGTCTAAGCGGCTGAAAGCTGGGAGCTTGGGCCTCTCCAGCGCAGTTTACAGCACAGGCTGTGTGCCTGCTTGGTCATGCATGTTTGTCCCCGTAGCAGGATTGGTTTGAGAACTGCTCTTGCTTTCTCCTTTCACCCTTACAGAGGTTGTGGAGTAGAGATCTGTCATCACTGGAGGCTCCTGGTATCAACCATACATAACCTATTAGCTGTGAACCACTAAACTGGCTTAGGTCAGTTTACCACAAAGGCTGTGTATGCCTGAACTTCAGCAGTGATTATCTACAGATGGTGGGATTATACAATTCCAACCCCCACCCCCCAACTCCCTTTGTGCTTATCTGTTTTCTAATTCTTCCTATAATATGTATGTATTTGTACAAGGTGGGTGGGTCACTTGAGGTCAGGAGTTCAAAACCAGTCTGGCCAACATGGTGGAACCCTGTATCTACTAAAAATACAAAAAAAATTAGCGGGGTGTGGTGGCAGGTCCCTGTAATCCCAGCTACTTGGGAGCCTAAGGCAGGAGAATCTCTTGAACCCGGGAGGTGGAGGTTGCAGTGAGATGAGATCCCACCACTGTACACCAGCCTGGGCAACAGAGCAAGACTCTGTTGAGAGAGAGAGAGACAGAGAGAGAGAGAGAGAGAGAGAGACGGAGAGAGAGAGAGAGAGAGAGAGAGAGAGAGAGAGAGAGAGAGAGGTATTATTTAAATAATAAATAAATAACAAGAGACTTAAGTAAACTGCACAGACAGCACTGTCACCACCTACTGGCAAAAACAGAGAAAGACCATTGTAGGTGAACGCTGACTGCTTAACAGCAGAGAAGGCGGCTTGCAGTTAGACTTTTCAGTTTCCAGTTGTTTTTAACTTCGAAGTATAACATCTGGATTTTAGGGAGGGGAGAAGATCACTCCTCTTGAAGCATGTTACCTTGAAAGAGTTCTGATTTTCAAAAGCAAAATATAGTTCTGCTGACCATGGTTTAAGTCTGAGAGAAAATCATAGTCCCTGCTATGTATCAGTTAGATACAGTAAGTATCTAACTATGATGCCACCGCAGGCAGCAGCTTCAAATGAGAAGCCAAAGGCTGATCATGGGTTATAACAAGTATAAGTCATTTTAAAGGTCTCGTTCTTTGGATGCTTCTAATTAGGCAGTTGCCAAAACTGATGCAATCAGTAAGGCCATAATCTCTCTGGTCTTATGATTTCTGCTAAATTTCTAATGGGGACCTAAGAGTCCAACCGCAGTTTGGGTTCTATAAGCAAAGCAAACTCGGCACAGACACAAACAGCGAGAAAGGCAGCAGTTACGACAATGTTGCAACAGGCTAACTTCTTTCCAGGCTGATGCCTGGGGCACAGGAGCCTCCCTGTGTCCAGCAGCACTTGAAGTGTGGATCCCTCCACAGATGACCTGCCTGTCTCTCCTCTGCCAACCCCTGTTCTCCTCCTTGCCCAACCTCTGACACCACCTATCTCAGAAAATGGGGAGGCTGCTGCCCCCCAAATGCTCATCCTGCCATCTAGGAGCCACTGCCCTCAGACCCCTCCCATCCCTATTCTGTCTCCAATGGAAGAAACTACTACAGAAACACCCTCCCCCTAGTACCCTCTACTCCCCCAACCATCTCGTTCTCCTATGACATCCCTTATACAGTGCTCACCATATCTAGAAATTATTTTCACAATCTTTTTTTTTATAAATATGATACTTGCAATCCCTATTTGAAATAAAGGGAAAACAACACACAAATGCTTTTTACTTTAGGGTAGTATGCATGACACATCTGCATTTGCACTGGGGACCAACACACACACACACACACACACACACACACACACACGCACACACACAAGAGTGGGACCAACTGCTCTCATATTATTCACACAGGAGGCAAACAAGATTTTACTGGCAACTTTTTTTTTTTTTTTTCCAGACGGAGTCTCATTCTATTGCCAGGCTGGAGTGCAGTGGCACAATCTTGGCTCACTGCAATCTCCGCCTCCCAGGTTCAAGAGATTCTCGTGCCTCAACCTCCCAAGTAGCTGGGATTACAGGCACACATCACCATGCCTGGCTAATTTTTGTATTTTTAGTAGAGACGGGGTTTCACCATGTTGGCCAGGCTGCTCTTGAACTCCCGACCTCCAGTGATCCACCCACCTCAACCTCCCAAAGTGCTGGGCTTACAGGCATGAGCCACCATGCCCAGCCAGATTTGGGGGCAATTTTTAAAAATCATCATCTATTTGGGGAAAAGATACTTTAATCTCAAAAAAGAACATGCTATCAGAATGACAATGAACCAACTTAGCTTTGGGAGAAACTCACTTCATTGCATTTACTTTGTCATGGTCCTGCACTAGTTTGGGGATGGACTCAGGAGTGCATCTTGGACTCTAGTGACCTTCTAGGTAGTTCCAAAACTTCAAACACTTCAAAAACCAAAATTTCAGTAATTCAAGAACCACTAATATATCATAACTGTACTACTATTTCCTTAATATTTCTCTTAAATATACTCACATTTTTACTTATATAGTTTTGTTTTAAAAGGAGACTTTGTGTCACTTCCATAAAAGAAAAATCAATATCATGTGTCACAAATAAAAGGTAACCTATGAATAATGCAATAGAAACAAAACATGTTATTGAAGTCCAGTTAGACAGTGTTGCTGGCTGAGGCCTGATCTCACTGTGTAGACCAGGGAGGCTGGCAAGTGGTCAGCAGTGATTAAAGACCATCATCAAACCATGCTTTTCTCTTTAATAACATCAGAGGGATTGAAAGTAAATTGAAAATAAAAGTACTTTCACTCAAGGTGATACAATATTATCCAGTGCTAGACTCAGGTCACATCTAAAGTCATCTCCAGTGGTTCATATCCCACTCTTAGAGTAACAAGAATCATGATACTTTGGTGCATGAATATTGCTAATTCATCCAGCCATTTGACACATTTATTGAGCATCTACTACACTCCGAGCACTGTACACAACAGAAGAAGGAATGAATAAAACAGGCATGGTATTTCTTGCAAACCTTCCAGTGGTGAAACATACATTAAACAAATGGTTACACAAATTATATTTGTGTATATTTGTGTTGTTTTACATACATGTAAGCATACTGTGTGCATATATCTGATATACATATTATATATATGTGTGTGTCTATATGCATCAATTTGGTAAGTGGTTTTGTTTGTTTTGAGATGGAATCTTGCTCTGTTGCCCAGGCTGGAGTGCAGTGACACAATCTTGGCTCACTGCAACCTCCGCTTCCCAGGTCCAAGTGATTCTCCTGCCTCAGCCTCCTGAGTAGCTGGTACTATGGTTGTGTGCCACCACGCCCAGCTAATTCTTTGTATTTCTAGTAGAGATGGGGTTTCACCATGTTGGCCAGGCTGGTCTCGAACACCTGACCTCAAGCAATCTGCCTGCATCAGCCTCCCAAAATGCTGGGATTATAGGTGTGAGCCACCATGCCCAGCCCAATTTGGTAAGTGTTGTAAAGGAAAAATACGAGACGTTATGGCATGGTTTCACAGTAAGACCGTCTTTAGGTAAGGGGCCAGTAAAGACATATAGATAGGAGGATGTAACAATTAAACTGAAGCCTAAAGGTAAACAAACTTTAGCATGTTGAAAGGGTGGGTAACCTCCACACAGAGGTAATGATGTAGAAAAGGTTTGGTTCCTTTGGGGAACTGGAAGAAAGATATGTGCTGAGAGGGCAGCAAGCAAGAGGAGGGTGGAATCAGTGGGCAGGGGGTGGGACAGGGGTGGCGGGGGGGAAGCAGTCTCCTAACCTTTGCCTAAAGGGACCAGAAACTTTCTAGTTCTCTGTGGAAAGATCTTCCATCTTTGTATATCACCCTATAAATGTTTCCTAAAGAAAAATCTGTCTGTTGTTTTCACACACTAATAAATCAGTTCAACACTTTTGCATCATGTGCAGAGGAAGTTTAATTCCTCCTCCATGTGACAGCCTCCAAGTATCTGGAGATGGCCAAGTGTTATTCCAGAACTTTCCCTTCCAGGATGAACACCGTCAAAGTTCCCATGCTCCCTGTTGTCTGTGTCCCTCTTAAAAGGAAGGGTGGCTGGGAGCAGTGGCTCCCACCTGTAATCCTAGCACTTTGGGAGGCCGAGGCGGGTGGATCACCTGAGGTCAGGAGTTCATGACTAGTCTGGCCAACATGGTGAAACCCCATCTCTACTAAAAATATAAAATTAGCTGGGCGTGGTGGTGGGCACCTATAATCCCAGCCACTTGGGAGGCTGGGGCAGGAGAATTGCTTGAACCCGGGAGAGAGGTTGCAGCCAGCTGAGATTGTGCTATTGCACTCCAGCCCGGGCAACAAGAGCGAAACTCCTCTCAAACAAACAAACAAAAACAAAAAAAAGAGGAAGGCAGATTTTCCAATGTCCATTTGTGTTATGGGACTTGAATTTCCTTCTCTGCATATTCTTTGTTTCTAACTGCCTTTCTGGAAAACACCCAATAAGTTATGGTCAGGCCTGAATTCCTTGAGAACTAGGAAATTCTCAAATGCATGCCATCAAAAATATTTATTTCTTCTTTCATGTCTCTTTCCTGCACCTTGGAAGGCAAATTCCATTCGTAGAGGGGAGGGAGGGGGCGCTAAGGAACTTTTTCAAATAATGGAATGATGGCGAACATTCATCTATGCTAAACTCAAAGACATGCCCAAAGTTTGTGATAGAAAATTTAAATACAATATTTACTATTTGAACTGATGTTCCATTTGTGGGTACAGGAATGCTACATTCAGGGAAGGTGAGAATAATGCAAAATCCCCACTCTTGACTGCTGTGGCTACAGACCCAGATTCCCCTGAAGTGAGGGCAGGGTACTGGGGTGGTGCTGTGTAAGCAGGGCACTCTGCCAGGCTCGGATCACACATCTCCTCTTTGAAACTGGTGTGGAAAAAGACACATGAGAGCTTCATGAATAATACAGCAGCCCTGACACGCTGAATGCACATTTCAGCCAAATATATGCACATTTCAACCAAATAAGTTGGTCTCTCCACATCCCCACCCTTTCCTCTCTCCTCCCTCCCTTCAGTGCTCTTTCACCACTTTCGCCAGATTTCTAGGTTTTCTTGCTGCCTCCTGTTGCAAAGTGAATTGTCCCAGGGAAGGAGGGCTAGCTTCCGGATTCCCCCCGTTGCACCTAAAGCCTTCTCCTCCTCTGCCGGCCTTCCAGCTCCCTGACTGCAGCATTGCCCATTAGGCTTCATCAGAGGAGGCTGTGTGTGGCCCAAGGGCAGCAGGTGAAATTCAAAGCAGACAAGTTGCTTCTCCGCATCAGTGCTGATATGTTAGAGGCAGGCAGCCAAAGAAAATGAATATAATAAAGAAAGTCTGGTTTAAGAGCATCTGTTGCTTTTCTTGGAAAATTCTACCCTTTACGCATTAGCCTGCCCATAAGAGCTCTACCTCTGCACATAATCGGAAGAAATAATATTCAAAAAAAGTTTTCAAATACGGGTGTAATAACAATGCAAACAGCATTAAAACTCAGCAGAGTGTAGTGCCGGACGCAAGGTTCTCTCTCATGGGGAGTGCCCCTTATGTAAAGCAGCAGGAAACTGTGCTGGCCATAAAATTACCAACTCCTGAGGGAAGAGACCACATCTGCTTATCTTTACGTTCCTTCAATGGTTGATGCAACGTACCGATTAGTTGTTCAACAAAATATGTTGCATGAATTTGATTCTTAAGAAGAATAACATATACAGGCACTGAAAATAGTTATCTTCTGGGTGGTAGAGCGAAGGTGATTTTTATTTCTGTCTTTGCCTTTTCCACATGTTCCTGATTTTCTCCAGTGAACATGAATATATTTAGTGAGAAAGTTATCAGTAAGAAGGAGATTTTTAGAATTGGAAGGGACCAGAGAAATTAGTCCAATTCTCTTATTCCTTACATGTGGAAACTGAAGCTCAGAGAAGCTAAATGACATGTCCAAAGCCATGTAGCTTGTTAAGGAGAAGGCTGAAAGAAAACTGAGGCCATTCATGTTTCTCGGCCTACTGCCTTTCTTCCCCTATACATATCCTTTGCCTTTCCTGAAAGACAGTTTAGGTGAGACTCTAATCTAATGTTTTGAAAAGGCTTGGACCCAATTTAAAAGCAAACTGTGCTATCCAGTGAGCTTATTCCCCACAGAAGACACTATCTTAGAAAATGCAAAGCATAATTTAAAAGTCATTAAGTAAAACATCCTCTGCTGCTGTGACAGCAAAACGTTCGGCCACTCCTTCATGACAGATGGCCCCATGCATTGACACACACCTCAAAATAGCCTCTGCAAGGAAGCTTAACATCCGAGAAAGGCGGAATAGTGAATGTCACAGAAAAGGGAGAGTTTGCTTGTGGGTTTGCATCTCCAGAAGTAAGAAGACTTAAGAGATATTTACTGTGGGCTCATCTTCCACCAAACTTTTATTGATGTGTGAACTTGAAACTTCTTATCATAAAAATTTCTAACATACAAAAGAGAGAATGTTAAAATGGATTCCATGTAACCAGAGTACAGCTTTATTAATCATTAACTTAGGGTCATCCCCCCAGCCACTGCCTCCCTCCCCATGGGTAATTTTGAAGTCAATCCTGAACATTATAACATTTTATTCATGAGTAGTTTAACATGTACCTCTAAAAGATAAGGACCTTTGTTTAACATAAACATTCAAATGTCATAATGCCTAAAAAATTGATAATAAATCCTTGATACAGCCAAATAACCCGTTTGTGCTCCACTTTTCCTGATTACCTCACAAAAATGTTTAAGGCTGGTTTAATTTGTCAGGCACTGTGTATTATCTCAGTTAATCCTGACAATAACACTATATGGGGGCTGTAGGTAGCCTGGGGGAGCAAGACACATGATCAGGTTAGAGATGTAGGTGGGAGCCTCACTCCCCCAGGCTCTAGACACACTTGACTTATTTTCTTTCTCCTTCAAAAGCCAAGCAGGTGCCTACTTCAGGGCATTTTCATGTTTATTTTTCTTCCTGGTCTTTCCATAGCTGTGAACTCCTCAGAGATCACCCCTGACTGCCCAGTCACTCTCTATTAAAATACCCTGGCTATGTTCCTCAAAACATTTGGTACTATCTACAATTCTCTTGTTTGTTTATCTGCTTGTGTTTCTTTCCAACAGAAGAGACGCTCCATGACAATCGGCTCCTCATCTGTGGAGCTGAGGCTTCTGTACCTACAGCCCTCAGCACAGCCTCTGGCAATGGTAAGTGCTCCATGGTTGTGTGATGCGTGGATTAACATATGCCTGCAAACACAACAGGTATTTGTTGAATGAAATAATGCACACACGCACACATGAGAAAAAGAACAGCCTTGTTTCTGCTGAGCTCCACTCTTGGGCTCTCAGGCACTTGGCCGAGGCCTTTAGCCAAACTGCACTTTTATTACTTTCTATTGTCAACGGCTTTTTATAACTACAAAGGCAGTATGTGTTCACTGTAGAAAATTTGGGAATCCACAACAAACACAAATTTGAAGATTCAAAGAGCCTAGAAATAGCCACTGTTGACATTGTTTTTATGCACATATTATGCAAAATTGGAGTCATGGGATTCTTATTGATTTGTGATCTACTCTTTTCATTTAACAATGTGGCATTAATATTTCATAGGTCACTTAACTCTCTTCTAAAATGCGTTGTTTCAAGGCTGCATTGCATTCCATTGTACGGCCAGACAAGGTTGTCAATAACACCACATTACGGGACATTTCACTTGTTTCCTTTTCTTCTTGGCTACCATAAAAAATAACAATAAACATTCTTGCGTGCTTATGCACATTTCCATTATTAGTTTCTCCAGATAGATTCCCATAAGTGGACTTGCTTGACAAATTGAAATACAAATTAGAGCATTTGTAAGTATTGCTAAATTGATCTCTAGAACAACTGCATCAATTAATACTCCCAGCATCAGTGTTTAAAGATGTTCATCTCCTTTTCCCTTTACCAACAATGGATGCTAATATTTTTTAAAAATCTATAACACTATAATCTATCTTTTTAATTAGATCACAGATTTCTTGCGAGCCCTTTCTTTTACTTCTGTATTACTCCCGATATATAGCAGGCACTCCTTGTGTATGGATAGATGAACTGCATGAATTTTGTCAAGGATTACCAGGAAAAACATTGAGCAACATGAACAAGTTGTCTTTTTCCTGTTTCAAGAGCTCTCCTGCCCAGTTTACATGCGCACCTGAGCACAGTCCTTCTTCCCTGCTAAACCTTGCTGAACGTCCTTTTGCCTTTGGTTTGGGAATGTTGGGCGCACATCCCACCAGATCCAGCTCTCCCTCCCATTTAGCTTCAGCAGAAGAGGTGGCAGAATTACTAATTTTAGCTGACATGATGTTTACTGCTGCAAGTATCACTAATTAATGATGTAACCGCAGAATAACAAGTCCCAGATTTCCCTTAGCAAAGCAAAACTGAGAGTAAACCCCACACTGGACCACTCCACAGCATCCGAGCCTACCAACTGGAAAGAGACAATCACCAGGGGCTCAATCTGACCCAGAATTTGTGCTAGGAGAAATTTAACCCCATAATGCCATGTTAAAGAGCTGCCTGCTACCCACTCACCCCATGTGCAGATCCCAGCTTGTCAGCCCTCAGGGAGCCCTCAGGGAATAGGACCAGGTCTTGTTTGTTGGTACAGCCCTGTGCCCAGCATTGCTTGACATATGGTAAATACCTATTAAACATCTGGTGAATACACAGACACCAAAGAGAGGGAACAGACGATGAAAAGATTCATGGAAGCCTGGGCAGGGAGAGGGCAGGGTGAGGAGTATTCTCTGATGTTCTTCATTGTCATCCACATGGAGTAGAGCAAATGGACACTCAGGGAAGAAACAGCTGGGGCCACAGCTGGGCAGCTATATAGCTTGTAAATTCTGGGATCTGGATTTGGTCTTAAGTCAGAAACAACTTCATTCCCTTTGCCTGTTCTATGCTGCCTTCCAACTCTAGAGAAAAATGTCTAATACCCTCCATCTGAGAATTTGTGTTCAATAAATGTTTATTACAATTTTAAAATTAAAATGTCTTGAATAATCAACTTATATTCCAGCTATTGTGAAGACGTTCTCACAGCAACATTTTCCCTGAAATGGCCCTTATATGCTAAAGTGGGCCCTATATGGTAAAAAAAAAATATATATATATGGAAGTGAGAACTATTGTCTGCCTACACAAATTGACAGTAAAATCATAGATTTTCTGGGCTGGAAAGACAGAGAACAAAATGAACAATAGACTCTCCAATGCATTTTTGTTTTTTAATGCACATCTTCTTTGGCTGGAGATAAGAGTTAACCATTTTAGTAACACTGAATGCCAATAACAGCTTATGTGCAAATACAGCAGAAGGAGCTATATAATTCATTTATTCATTTATTTGGTGTTAGACACTACGGAAACAAAAACAGTATGTTCCTCCCCATTCTCATGAAGCTTACTGTCAACCAGGGAGATCCACAAGCACTCTATCACAACAGCTAACAGAGGCCTGTGCCCACTGGGTTACAGAAGTGCTTTACCAGGCTTCTCAAGGAGGTGAGAAAAGAAGGAATTCAGAAAAACTGAGATGAAACAAGACTTATGCTAATTGAAAATATATTAATAATACTAACAGTTATCCATTTATTGAGTGGCCTACTATGAACGCAGTACTAATAACAATTCATTGATTACAGCATTTTGGGAGGTCAAGGCAGGCAGATCACCTGAGGTCAGGAGTTTGAGACCAGCCTGGCCAACATGGGGAAACCATATCTCTACTAAAAACACAAAAATTAGACAGGCACGGTGGTACGCGCCAGTAGTCCCAGCTACTCAGGAGGCTGAGGCGGGAGGATCACTTGAACCCGGGAGGCAGAGCGTGCAGTGAGCTGAGATTCCGTCACTGCACTCCAGCCTGGGTGACAGAGCAAGACCCTGTCTCAAAAACAACAACAACAACAACTACAAAAAAAAAAAAAAAAAAAACTCATTGAGGGGGAATCTATTATCTCCATTTTACAGAGGAAGAAACTGAGGCTTTGAGAGTTTAGTTTACCCAGCTCATAAGGTCCTAAACAAGAGAAGAACAATCTGGATTAGAGTTAAAAACTAGCATATAACAGTCATTGTCCCAAATGTCACTTGAAAAATAGGTGCACATCTTCTATTGAGTATCTATTGCTACATAACAAATTATCCCAAAAACTTAGTAGTCTAAAACAACAAATATCCTTTATCTCAAAGTTTCTGTGGGTCAAGAATTCAGAGACAGCTTAGGTGGGTTGTTCTGGTTCAGGATCACTCAGATTTGCAGTTCAGATGCCAATCAGGGCTGTGTTCATCTGAAGGCTTGACTGGGGCTGCACAATCTACTTCCAAGATACCCCACTCACATAGCTGTTGGCAGAAAGCCTCAGTTTCCTTGCCATGTGGGCCTCTCCATAGGGTTGAGTGTGAAGCCGTATGGCAGGTGGCTTCCCCAAGAGCTAGTAATCTAAGAGAGGGCAAAATAGAAGCCACAATGCCTTTTACAATCTAGTCTCCAAAGTCTAGCAATATCACTCCTTTAACTTTCTATTAATTAGAAATGAGTCTTCAAGTACAGCCCATGTTAAGGGGAAGAGAATTAGGCTCCATCTTTCAAATGGTGGAGAATTTGTGGTCATGTGCTAAAACCATCACTCTAGCTCAGACTGGAAACTAGAATTGAGTAGGGGGATCCTATCTGGAGAAAAAGGTTTGTGTTTCAAAAAGTAGTGGGTAGTAAATAAACTAGCTCTTGAGTGTTGAAAAAATAAGATGGTATCCACAAACCAGGCAAAGGAGGTTGCTCATCTACCAAGTGCATAAGTGGAATTTTTTTTTTTTTTTTTAGACAGGGTCTCACTCTGTTACCCAGGCTGGAGTGCAGTGGTACGTTCCCAGCTCACTGTGGCTTCGGGCTCCTGAGCTCCAGTGATCTTCCTGCCTCAGCCTTCTAAGTAGCTAGGACTACAAGTGTGTGCCACCACACCAGCTAAGTTTTTTTTTTTTATAAGATGGGGTCTCACTATGTTGCCCTGGCTGTTGTCAAACTTCTGGCCTCAAGTGCTCCTCCTGCCTCAGCCTCCCAAAGTTCAAAGTTCTGCATTACAGGTGTGAGCTACCACACCTAGCCATGGTGTAATACTTTTAGGAAAAGAGGTTGGCGGCTTGGTAAAATTCATAGTTTTAGGAAGAGAAACATGAAGTTTAAAAATACTTTTTGGTTATTAACTCTTTTTATTGTTTTCCCTGCCTTTGAGCAAAAATTCCTTTGAAAATGTCAATTTACTTATTAGATATGCCTTAAGAAAGGGGTTTGGGCTACAAAGACAGGTGGGAATTAGAATCTCTGGTGGACCAGAGGAAGTGGGGATGGTTGCAGGGATCAAAGGGAGGGAGCACAGAGGGGAGAAAAGGAAGAGCAGGGTCTCCTAGGTAAGCTGTTTCCACCAGAAATTCTCCTTCAGGGCTCTCCTTGGCATGTCCCAGACTTCTGAACATTCTGTGCTCTGTTCAAAAAAGGAAGGCTCTTCCTTTTCAGAGCCTAGATAAATTAGATAAAATGAACTTCCTAGCATAGAAAGCTGAATGTCAAAAAAATCAATTCACATGACCTTACCAATGCAAAATACAAACCATGAAATGGTCTTAACATATCGAAGGCAGCATTTGCACTGTGGAGAAAAAGATAGACAGCAAAGCCCAGAGCCAGCCCAGCATCGCCACTGAACGGAAAGCGCTGCGGTGGGGCCTGGGCTGAAACCCAAGCGCCATCTATAACCAGCTGCGACACCTTGGGAAAATTCATCTTTCTCAGGTGTGGTTTCCTTTTTGTAAAGATAGGGGTACTAGTAATTTCTTACAAGGTTGTGAGGGTTTAATGAGAAACGTAAGAGCTCAACGAATGTCAACTATCATTAATGCATGATAGGGACTAAGACATGAAGTTAGCCATTAGGAGTAAAATTAAAGAACATGTGTTCATTTTCTGCATCTCAATGTATGGTTTTATCTTGAACACTGTTCAGAAAGCAAATGGTAAATCACTGCACCTTCTCTCCCTCCTTCAACTTCCCTAACTTCCCATCCCTTCGCTCTCCAGGGAAAGGGGAGGGACCTCATCACTCAGATCAGACATGGAGAAACACAGAGAGCTGCTGTTTCCCGAATCCCAGCAGCATTTCAGAGGCGGTAAGTCCCGGGAAGGAGCCATGGCAGCGGCTTCCCATGGCTCCTGAATTCCGTCTTTCTGAAACCACGTGTGTGTGTGTGTGTGTGTGTGTGTGTGTGCATAGCAATAGCCCTATTCAACAGCAGCTTTTCCAAATCCCAGAAATTAGGCACAGGGGAGCCACTGGGGGACTCCTTGGAATTCTAGGGAAAGGGACCCCAGGAGAGGTGTAAAGGTTGGTAAGGACCCTCTCTGGAGCAAAGGGTGGGAAAATCATCCCCACATGGCTTTTATCTCCTAATCAAGCCTCACGTCTCAAACCACAGAGCAACACAAGCTCATGACCAGCAAGGCTGAGGTTGTTTCCAGCAGCACAGTTCTTGGGCCTTTAAGAACAGGAAAACCAATATGCATTAGAAGGTACATAAGAAGGTACCTGAAACACACTGATGAAAGAATAATTGTCAATTCCCATATTACATGGCCAAATGCCAGTAGATTAGATGACTGCTGTGGTCCCTCATACCCATTTTCCAGCAGGGAGCTATTGCCCAAGCTTGGTCAGAACCCTGCAGTCAGAAACAGGTTAAAATTCCCTTTCCAGATCTGGTCCTGTAGCATCCCATCAGGGAAATACTCCCTGATGCTCCTGAATACCTTGCCAGCCAAACAGGTACCTTTAGGCCCACACAGCCTTACCCATTTAATAACTGAAGCACTTTTCTAAAAGCTGCCAAGCCCAGTTTTATTAAGGGTCCAAATATAAAACCTTCATCAACTATTCATGCCTCTCAGGGGCTTAACTGGGACCTTTCAGAGAACAGTGTGAGAGACTCGGTACTTAGTCACAAACCCTGCCTAGGAAATCAATTTATTCTGGATTCTTGGAGGAAGAATAGAGCATGTTGCTATTTACTTTTAATAACAAAACCCCTTGGCGTCTCAAGCCCATCTCTTAGTCAAAGAGAATTGTTATTCATCATTACAGGGTAAGGTCTGACCTTAAAAGCCTGCCTCCACTGGACACATTCCTAGATATATACATGTCGGGGAACCTCAGATGGACCCTCCGTGGAGTCAGGAGAGACACCATCACGCACCCATCAGGCTTCTGTCACTGATTCAAGGCCATCAACTTCTGGCCCTTGTCAAGCAGCTGGAATTGTTTTTAAGTTCTCGCTGTGCAATACTTTCCTCAGCCTCAATAACCAACGCCACCACTCAGTGAGCCTTATTCTATGCCAGGCACTGCTCTAAGTCCTTTTGGGTATCATCGCTTTTGTTTTTCACCACTACCCTGAGGGGCAGGTTCTATAACACCCCCATGTTTTACAAATGCAGAAACTGAGATACAGGGGGATGGATAAGGAAGCTGCCCAAGGTCCCACAGCTAATTAAGTAGGAGAGCTGGGATCCAAACCCACAGTCTGGCCCCAGAGGCTGTATACTTGCTGCTGTGTTATTCAAACCTGTTTGCTGTATGGGTTTCAGGGTTTTTTCGTGCCATTTAAGGATGAAGCCCCTCTCTCCTTTGGCATCTTAGCAAAACACTGGTTTGGCATTAGATGGTAGCCATCTAATACTTGCTCAGTGGCCATGCCTTAGCTGTTTCTACACTGTAAAGAACTGCCACTTCATGATTCTTTTTTTTTTTTACTTAATGTTGACTCTTTCAGCTTTCTTACCCTAAATGGTATTCTAGTGATGATCAAAGCTTCATTTCCCTTAAGAAGCAGAATAAAATAGTAGAACATGGATTTTGAAGACAAAGAGAAGCCCTTCTACTACTTCAAGATGAGTTACCTTGGGCAAGAGAATTAACATCTCTGAGCCTTAGCCTCCTTGCTCATGATATGCAGGTGGCCATATTTACCTTTTAATATTATTATGAGAAAGAAAAGATATAAAGTATATAAATGACCTGTTACATGCAATAAAGAGTAACTCCCTGAGGTTCTTTCCTGTTCTAAAAGTCTGTAACTACCTTTACTGCTTGGGTGATTACATATCCCCAAGGAAGAAAAGATTTGGGTTTACTGGCTTGTTTCCATCAAAAGCATGTCTCTCGGGTGTAGAAAATCAACAGTTACTGACATCTACCAGTTCTGTAGTCTCATGCTAAATTCAGGGGACATACATTCCAGGGAGCAATCAGATGCACATGCGGGGGGAAGCTAACAAATAATTCCACAAGCAAATGACCAAGCAGGAAACCAGCACTGAGCAGGAAACTAACAGAAGGAGAAGATCCTTCCGCCGGCCCCTGTGTGAGGTCAGATAAGAGAAATTTTCAGGAAAGAGCAGATTGGGGCAGGCAGAGAAGATGAGGGGGGAAAAATCCAGGAATGGCAGAGTAGAAAGGAGGGAAGAAGGAAGAGAGAGAGAGGATAGAAAGGAAGAGAGCGAAAGAAAGAGAGAGAGCAGCACACGCAAGCACTAAGATCTGGAATGTAAAGATGGAAGATCACAAGATGTACCCAGTCAACAGTAAGACAGCTAGCTGGGCAGGAAGTCAGGATTAAATAATCAATTGATGGTGTACATATTGTTGCATTTTGCTTTACCACTTACCAAGTGCTCTACATGTGTAATCCTACTTAATCCTTACAAAGGCCACGCTAAGCCTATACTATCCCTATTTTTCAGTTGAGGAAACACTCAGAGAGACTCAGATTCACGATTTCCACAACCGATTCTCAAAATAATTCTGAGATGAGTAGGCAAGCATTATTTCCATTTCAAAAAAAAGGTCAATTAAGGCTCAGAGAACCCAATGATCCATCTCAGTGCTTCTCAATGCTAAAGGTGCAGCATCCTTTTTTTTTTTTTTTTTTTTTTGAGATACTGTCTTGCTGTGTCGCCCAGGCTGGAGTGCAGGGGCATGATCTCAGCTCACTGCAAACTCCACCTCCTGGGCAAGCAATTCTCCTGTCTCAGCCTCCTGAGTAGCTGGGATTACAGGCACCCACCACCACACCCAGCTAATTTTTGTATTTTTAGTAGAGACAGGGTTTCACCGTGTTGGCCAGGCTAGTCTTAAACTCCTAACTTCAAGTGATCCACACTGGGATTATAGGCGTCAGTCGCCACGCCCACCCAGCACCCTCGTTTTATAATTAATATTTATAATGCCATCATTATTATCTTCAAATAAAACAAAACTCAAAAATAATATAATAACCATAATTGTGACAACCAAAATTGTCCCCCACAAATATCCAAGCACCCACCAGGGGATAAGACGCTTCAGGCTAAAAACTATTCAAAGACAAAGGTAGGACCAGTCCTCAACCTTAGGTCTCCTTTCAAAGAAGGGCTCTTGAAAAGGTGGGGTGTGGCCACAGGGTGGAGGACACAGACCAGCAGAGCCATGACAGAGAAGGCTGGACATCAGCAAGGTCAGGCCTTCAGCCTCTTTCCCTCTAACGCTGGCCACCAGTATTGAGAAAATGATGGCATTTACATCACAACCACTCACCACCTCAGCTCTTTAATCTCTGAAACTCATCTTGCCGAAATGGAAATTAAGCACTGTCTTCTAAACCCTTTCACGGTACATATTCCATATGCCAGTTCTGATGCAAAAAACACAGGGACTTGAGAAGAATCACTTACGCTCTTCACAGCTAACTCAAATTAACTCATAGTACAAAACAAAACATCCGGAAACAAGACTTTTGTTTTAAAAGTCTGTGCAAGGCCTTGGATTCGATTTATCTTCCTCTTGGTCTAACCACTTGACAGGACTGATGGCTTTGATCAACCTGCCAAGAAAAACCAAAAAGACATCCAGAGCTCACATTCCAGGGGCGCCTGTGGGAGATTCAGGGCTGACAAATTGTATGCACAGATTCTCAGGAAGAAAAGCCAAACATCTTCATTCTTGAGGTTTAATTTATGTGATTTAATGCCATGTTAGCACGCTTGTAAACCTATGTCATGATCAATCAAGCAGGAGGCAAGACGTCCTTCTCTCAGTTGGCTGTGCCACATTGTTTTAGCAGACATTAGATAATAAAACAAAGCTACTGGCTGGGTGCGGTGGCTCACGCCTGTAATCCTGTCACTTTGGGAGGCCGAGGCTGGTGGATCGTGAGGTCAGGAGTTCGAGACCAGCCTGACCAACATGGTGAAACCCTGTCTCTACTAAAAATACAAAAATTAGCTGGGCATGGTAGCACACGCCTGTAATCCCAGCTACTCAGGAGGCTGAGGCAGGAGAATCACTTCAACCTGGGAGGCAGAGGTTGTGGTGAGCCAAGATCACACCACTGCACTCAAGCCTGAGTGACACAGCAAGACTCCATCTCAAAGAAAAAAAAAAAAAACTGCCATGAAGAAACTGCTGGCTCACATCCTAAAGTTCCACCTAAGTGGAATTATACATTCAATGAATGACTACAAAGCACCTACATAGCGCCAGGCGCTACGAGAAGTTTAACGACGTCCCTGGTCCTCCCTCCCAGGACCCCACAACCTGGTGAAGAAAATGTGCCAGGTACGCAGGCACAAGGCCCTGAGTGAGCGGCCCAAAAGGCAGTGAAAGCAAAAAGTCAAAAATAAATCCAATCAGCCTGGGCACAGTGGCTCACGCCTGTAATCCCAGCATTTTGGGAAGCTGAGACAGGCAGGTCACTTGCAGTCAGGAGTTCGAGACCAGCCTGGCCAACATGGTGAAACCCTGTCTCTATTAAAAAATATATATATACGAAAATTCACCGGGCACAGTGGTGGGTGCCTGTAATCCCAGCTACTTGGAAGGGTGAAGCAGGAGAATCTCTTGAATCTGGGAGATGGAGGTTGCAGTGAGCCGAGATTACACCACTGCACTCCAGCCTGGGCGACAGGGTGAGACTCCATCTCAAAAATATATATATTTTTTAAAAATCCAATTAATGTTTGGCTATGTGGTAACCAAAGCCAGGAATAGGGGGCATACATAAAATCCACAGAAACCACAGATTTAAATTAATTTAAGGTAAACCCTTTTCAGAATATTAACAGGTAGATCTCTCTCAATTAGCCTTTAACCACACCTTCCAACAAGACTAAGATTGACTTACTAGGCAGAAGGAAAGGGACTGTTGGTTTATCCAAGGTCAGCTGAGCAGCAGAGACCAAACACCAACTGAGGAAGAAGAGCCATGTGCAAAAAGGAGATAACTTTAGATGGAAATTCTAGACATACAGTGACATGGAAGCATATTACCTTGCCTACAAAGCAAAAGAGAGAAAGATTCCTATGCCAAGGGAAAGACAGACCCAAAATAGCTTTAAGGTTTGTTAAAGTCCTCTGATGCAGAGTTCAATTGCACTAATTCTGTCCTCATTTTTGAAAGAAGACATGCCACATTTTTAGGAAATGAATAAATATTGCCAAAATTTATTTTATTTCTTATAAACTTGGGAAACGTTTTTCCCTAAGTTTTTTCCCTGTATTTGCAATGACAAACTCCCTAATTTCTTCTCCAAAAAGACTATGGCATCCTATTTCATGGAGGGTAAAAAAGGCTATTTTGATGATATGACATCCACAAGGTGAGCAGGTGGAATGTGCAATAATGCCGCTAAAGTTTTTCCTTTTTAAACAGATTTATTAAGATGTAATTCACATACCATCAAGGGCATCCATTTAAGTATACAATTCAATGGTTTATATACATTTAGTATATTGCAACCATTACTATAATTTTGGAACATTTTCATCATCCTCTAACAAAACTTTATATTTATTAGCAGTCACTCCCATTTTCTCCTACCACCTGTCCCCTTCTCCTACCCTAAGGAAATACTAATCTACTTTCTGTCTTTATAGATTTGCCTCTGCTCAACATTTTATATAAACAGAACCATACAATATGTGGTCCTTTGTGACTGGCTTCTTCCACTTAGCATGTTTTTGAGGGTCATCCATGTTATAGAACATACCAGCACTTCATTCTATTTGTTGCTGAATAATATTTCATTATAGGGATATACCATATTTTGCTTAACCATTTATCAGCTGAAAAAAATTGGGATTGTTTCCACTGTTTTGGCTAATATGAATAGTGTTGCTATAAAGATTTGTATACAAGTTTTGTGTCGATATGTTTTCATTTGTTTTGAGTATAATATGCCCAGGAGTGGAACTGCTGAGTCATACAGTAAATTTATGTTTAGTTGATTTTTTTTAGAGACAGGATCTTGCTATGTTGCCCAGGCTGGCATTGAACTCCTGGGCTCAAGAGTTCCTCCCGTCTCAGCTTCCAAGTAGCTGGGATGACAGGTGCACACCACAGTGTCCAGCTATGTTTAGCATTTTGAGGAAGTGTTAAACTGTTTTCCAAAGTGGCTGCACGATTTTACCTTCCCACTAACAGTGTATGAGGGTTTCAATTTCTCCACATCCTCACCAACACTTGTTATTGTCCATTTTTTTATTACAGCCATCCTCATGGGTATCAAGTGGTATCCTGGTGTCATTTTGATTTGAATGTCCATAAGGACTAATGAATGACATTGAGCATCTTTTCATGAGCTTACCAGCCTTTGTATATCTTCTTTGGAGAAATGTCTATTCAGATCCTTTGCCCATTTTTAAATTGAGCTGTCTTTATTGTTGAATTGTAAGAGCTCTTTATATATTCTAGATACAAGTCACTTATCAGATATATGATTTGCAAATATTTCCTCCCAATGTATGAGTTGTCTTTTCACTTTCTTGATGATGTCTTCTGAAACACAAGTTTTTTATTTTGAAAATGTGAAAGGTTTTGAAAGTACTTAGTACATATCTTACAGGGGAGGTGAAATTAAGATAGGGGCATATTTGTACACCCATGTTCATAGCAGCATTATTCACAATTGCCAAAAGAGGAAGCAACCCAAGTGTTCATCAACAGATGAATGGATGAACAAATGTGATACGTATATATAATAGAATATTATTCAGCCTTAAAAAAGGAGATTCTGACACATCCTACAATGTGGATGAACCTTGAGGACACTATGCTAAGTGAAATAAGCCAATGACAAAAAGACAAATATCATACAATTCCACTTATATGAGATCCCTAGGGTAGTCAAATTCATATAGACAGAAAGTAGAATGATGGTTGTACAAAAATTAGAAGGGGTAAATGGAAAGTTATTGTTTAATGGGTACAGACTTTCTGTTTGGGAAGAAAAAAGAGATGAAAAGATGAAAGGAGATTGACAGCAGTGATGGTTGCACAACGTGATTGTAATAAATGCCACTGAACTGTACACTGGAACAGTTAAAATAATAAGTAATAAACAGATGAGGGGCCGGGCGCGGTGGCTCATGCCTGTAATCCCAGCGCTTTGGGAGGCTGAGGCAGGAGGATTACCTAAGGTTAGGGGTTCAAGACCAGCCTGGCCAACATGGTGAAACCCCATCTCTACTAAAAACACAAAAAATTAGCCGGCTGTGGTGGCAGGTGCCTGTAATCCCAGTTACTTAGGAGGCTAAGACAGGAGAATTGCTTGAACCCAAGAGGTGGAGGGTGCAGTGAGCCGAGATTGTGCCACTGCACTCCAGCCTGGGTGACAGAGCAAGACTCCATCTCAAAAAAAAAGTAAATAAATAAAAATAAACAGATGAGGGCAGTAGCTAGTTCCCAGTCCTCGGGTTTTAGCTTATCATTTGCTCTTCCCTGCTAACTTCTATGCCAATAAGTAAAATAAGCCAAAAGCACAAAAAGTAAACGGTTCAACTAATCCAAAAACAAGCAGCATACAAAGTTCAATGAAACAGCAAAATGTGAAAATAAATTCCTTCTGCTGACTCCCATATTTGTAGAAGGTCCATACTATGTGAAGAACAATGCTGAAGGTGGAGATTCAGAAACGCTTGAGATAAGGACTCTGTGCCCTAAAGGAATTTTCAGACCAGGAATATATTTTCAGTCCCGTGAATGGCACTCAGCCTAATTCGACCTGCATGCTTTTTGAATGGGAATCTTGTAAAGACTGGATTGAAGAACACTGCAATCAGAGTTAGACTACATCTAGGGAAGCTCTTGTTTCTTCTTCTTCCCTCCTCTGACATAGCAGTATATCTTTCAACTCTATGAAAATTTAAAGCTCTTACTCATCTGTTAAATATAAAAGGAGGATGATTATGCAATTTGGAATCCAGATAGTCATTTTTCTGAATGAGTTCATGCATATGCTTATTTACAACTATTTCATTTTTTCCTGAATGCACGTAAAAGATCACTGCAGCTTAACAGTATGCAAATCTATTCCTACTGTGAAATCATAACAGCAGCACCAGCCTGCTGAGAACTAAGAGGAAATGCCACATATGACCAAAGACTAAATTACCTACCAAATCAAGCCTTTGAAAAGCACAGACACATTTACTATGGAACAAGAATATGCAACAATAAGAAAAAGTTCTAGCAGAGGGATTAGTTAGAATAATACATGCCGAAAAGTGCTTTAAGAAGCAGAAACATCTTTTGGACAGACAGAAGTTCATTCAATAACTTAAACAATATTTATTAAGCACCTATTATATGCCAGGTACCATGCTAGGATCTAGGAGGTTAAAAATAAAAAAGAAGACTTAGTCCTTCCCAACCCTCTCCCAGAACCTCAGTGTCTACCATGGGGAAAAATAAGCAACAAATTCAATAAGATGTGATAAATGCTGTGATAGATAATGTACAAGATGCTATGAAAGCAATAGCATTATAGGATAGCATGGAGGGATCAAGGAAAGTTTGCTGAAGGAGAGGAGACCTAGGGTGTGTGGAAGTAGATGGGCGGGCCAGGCACAGTGACTCACACCTATAATCACAGCACTTTGGGAGGCCGAGATGAGAGAAGCACTTGAGGCCAGGAGTTCAAGACCAGCCTGAGCAACATAGCGAGATTTCATCTCCACCAAAAAATAATAAAATCAGTGGGGTGTGGTGACACTTGCCTGTACTCCTAGCTACTTGGGGCGGTGAGGCAGGAGTATCGTCTGTGCCCAGGAGTTCGAGGTTACAGTGTGCTATGACTGAACCACTGCACTCCAGCCTGGACTACAGGGCAAGACCTTATCTCTAAAAAAGTAAAATGAAATAAAAAATAAAGTAGCTGGGCAAAAAAGGTAGAGAGGGTCAGTGTTCTGTGGAGAAAGACTAGTATATGCAAGAAGATGGCTCCCCTACAAAAGTAAGACTTTGGGTTCCGGAGTCAGGAAGATCCAGGATAGAGTCCCACTCTACCACGTGTTAAGTAACCTTCACAAGCTAATTTTTTTCCAGCTCAATGTTCTAATCTGTAAAATGGAGATGGCAATTTTACCTCCTCATTGTGGATTAAATGAAATAAATACATAAGTAGAGTTCCATACACACAGCAATTATCATGAAGATAATATTTTTTAAAATAGGGGGAGTATAGCAAGAAAATAATTGAGAGAGTTACAAAAAGAATTGCATTTGATCCTTGCATTTTCCTTTGACTTTGGTCTCAAGTTTCAGCCTAACCGTGAAATATTCATGTCCAATAAATGATAATGTCTTAACCACTTCAACTGTTGATATAGTCTCTTTTATATGAGCACATGTATATCAGTTAGGATTAGATTCAGTTGAGTAACACAGACTCAAACTAATGATTTAAACAAAATAAAAATGCATTTTTCTTATATGTGAAAGTCCAGAGGTAGGCAGCACAGTGACAGGTATGCAAGCTCTGGTCCCTGAAATCTTCACAGAACCAAAAGCCTTCCAGCTCACCATTCCAACATCTTTAGAGTTTGGCCCTTCTTGTCATGATCCAATATGGTGGCTATAGCTCTAGTCATCACAACCATGTTCCAGGCAGCAGGGTGGAAGAAGGTATAAATAAGAGAGGGCAAAAGGCACACACCACTTTTTTAAAACAGGATTCCAAAAGCTACCAAACAATTCTTCTACTTGTAATAGTAGAATGTATTCTATTGGCCAGAACTAGTCACCTGGCCTCCTCTGGTTGCAAAGGAAGCTGGGAAATATAGTCCTTTTTTTCAAAGTGTATGATTTTCTAAGCACATGTGGAACCATCACATAACTAAAATAATGAACATATCCATCACCTCCAAAAGAGGAAATATAATCTTTATTCTGAATGGCCATGTGCCCAACTAAAACTTGTGAGTTCTAAGAAAAAGAGAATAGATGTTGGGATAAGAGTCACTGTCACAACAATTGATGTGCTAGAAACTCAAAGTACAGAAAGTAGGGTTTTTTGTTTTGTTTTGTTTTGAGACGGAGTCTCACTCTGTTGCCCAGGCTGGAATGCAGTGGCGTCATCTCGGCTCACTGCAAGATCCGCCTCCCGGGTTCACACCATTCTCCTGCCTCAGCCTCCTGAGTAGCTGGGACTACAGGCGCCCGCCACCACGCCCGGCTAAGTTTTTGTATTTTTAGTAGAGATGGGGTTTCACCATGTTAGACAGGATGGTCCCAATCTCCTGACCTCATGATCCGCCCGCCTCGGCCTCCCAAAGTGCTGGGATTACAGGCGTGAGCCACCGTGCCCGGCCCAGAAAGCAGGTATTTTTAAAGGAAGGCATTACTAAGTGCCCACTATGAGAAATCTGAAGAGCTCTAGATACAAAGATTGACACGAATATCAGGAAACCTGGTACACAGAGGTGAGCCACAAAGGAGATAAAAAGAGCTGTTGATAAAATGCATGAAGGTAACAAAGAAGGGGCTATAGGAAGAGGATGTGAAAGAAAGTTAATTGCTGCTTTTAGAAAGTAATACAGTGACCAAGTAGGCACATTCTTTGATTCCACAAACCCAATTCTTGCATTTTCTTCAACAGGAAAACAAACTTATGCACAAATATGTTTGCTGATGACCATTCAATGAGAAGAGAAAATAAATATTTAACTGGACAACAGGATAGACTTACTATACAAAACACTGTAGTATATTATACAGTCATTAAAAATGAAAACCATGTACAAGCAAAAACTTTGCCCTATGGAGTGAACAGAAAGTTTTTACTGATTATTATTAGATATACATTAAATGTATACAAATGAGGACATGAAGTTAAGTCATACGCACTCATCAGACCTCAATGCACACATCACTCTCTCAGAGCAACCTTCTAAGGCCTTGGAATAGCTCAGGTGTTGTAAGTGCTGATAGCACCGTTACCTTTCTTGGGGCCACGCAAGACCGTGTGTAACTGCAGTTTTTATCTGAACTTCTCCCTTTGGACTTTAAGCTCCTCGAGGGCGGGGACCTGCAATGGGCACCTGTGTTTTTTTCCCTGACCAGCATCCTCCTTTTTCAGTAACATAACCTTGATACCTTGGCTCCAATGATGGACCATACCCCAAGCCTGACCAATCAGCCCATTCCATGCTCTGGTTGCTCCATGCCACAAGCCTCCTGAGTGCTAGGTCCTTGTTCATCTTTGTCTTTCCAGGGCCTAGCACAGAACAAGTTTTACATAAATGTCTGATGTCCATGAATAGATGAATCGATGGATGCTCTTCTACCAACCCAGGTACGGAACAGAATTTGACTAAATAGATGTGTGGGTTGATGCTTTTAAGGAAAAATGTAGTGTTTAATGGAAAAATGTATTCAAAAGCAACAATTTATTTTGCTCAAGGGTCATTTAGACCCGGGCTCCAGACCTAGCCCCACTCTTTGCTAGATTGTGCCTCTGCGTAAGTCACACAAGTTCTCTAGGCCTGTTTATTCATTGGCAATGAAAATTACAATATCTACCTTACATGACTGTGTGCAGGTTACCTACACATGGAAACAAATGTGGTATGTACATACAGTGGAAGGGTTTAGCATAGAACCTAATACATGACACCTGCTCAATGTCAGTGGTGCTGTTATTATTATACCTGGGAATAGCTACAGGCAAATATAGAGAGACAGTGGGTGGGGATCTTCTCTTTGACATTTGTGTGTTTAGTATTCCCCTTGACCAAATGAAGTTATATTTAACTTCTCCTTTCTCACTTTCCTTGGAAATTTCACTGGGCTGTGGCTCTCTGTGTCTTAGAGGACAATTATTTATCTTCCAAAGTGATGCCTGGCTTATTTTATTTACCTGTGGTAGATTGGACAATTTAGGATCCATCTAGTGACCACCCCCGGTCCCCGCAACAATCACTACTCAGGAAGCTTGTCACCGGTAGGGCGGTGACCACACTAGGGCGGCTGACTATGCTAGGACAGTGCAGAGGAGGGATTTATTTTTTCCTTTTGCAGATAGATGGATAGCAATTCCAAAGCCAGGCTGGTTACCAGAAAAACCAAGGGAGCTTAAAGCCAAAACAACAAATAAAAACCACATCCCTGGGCCTCACCACCTGAGAATCTAATCCAGTCAGTGTAGGATGGGGCTTAGTGGTCTGTATTTTTAAAAAGCTCCCTGGGTGATTCTAAAGCTCCCCCAGGCTTGGGTACTAGAGAAATAAAATCAGTTTTTTCCCAATGTATGGGTTAATATATGGTCACTCCCAGACCAAGCATAGAGCTTTCACTTTTTAACACTGACCTGCTACATAGGGGCTCCAATCCTCAGCCCAGTGCAAAACTAGATGAGCTTTATATGACGTCACAAGGATTTTTTAAAAATATAAATAATTCTCTCTTCTGTTGTCTTGGAGAATATTTATTCAATCAATAGATAGCACAACGTTAGTTAAAATGACATATCATGTATGACTTTAACCAGAACTATAATTGGCTACAAAGCTGACTGTTTTGCATTTACCTGCTTTCCCTTCTCTGTATCACCTGATGCACCAGTAAGCAGTGCAGAGATGATGAAGCAAAGGAGTAACTTTAACAGGTAAAGAAACAACAAGGGAAAGAAGTAAGCAAACTGAATGATCAAAATTGAATCACCAGCTCCAGAATAACAAAGACTTAAAACTGCAATCTTTCAGAAAAGCTTTGTCTCTTTTGAGAAATTGGCATGCTCTCTCTTTTCCAAAAGTATGAGTTATGTACCTTATCATGTTTTCCTTTTTGCCACAGCTACCAGGAAGTTCCAGGTAAAATCAGTCAAAAGCTCTAATTTAACACTCTTGGATAGTAGTTTGGCATTTTCTTCTTTTCCATGGTCCTTTTCTCTCCTTTTTTTTTTTTTTTTTTTTTTTTTTTTGAGAAGGAGTCTCACTCTGTTGCCCAGGCTGGAGTGCAGTGGCATGATGTCAGCTCGCTGCAACCTCTGTCTCCCAGGTTCAAGCAATTCTCCTGCCTCAGCCTGAGTAGCTGGGATTAGAGGCATGAGCCACCATAACAGCTAATTTTTGTATTTTTAGTAGAGATGGGGTTTCACCATGTTGGCCAGGTTGTTCTCCAACTCCTGACCTCAAGTGATTCACCCACCTCAGCCTCCCAAAGTGCTGAGATTACAGGTATGAGCCACTGCATCTGGCCCTGATTTTCAATTTCTAGGTCCACTTTATTAATATTATTATTCATTGGTTGAGAAGTCACTCCAAATTTGTTTTAGGAAGGAGCAGGCTAAGTCAAATCAACCAACTCCCTGGAAGCTTTTTTATATTCCATCAACATAGCATACCGCCTAGCTCCTCCCAAGCAAGCTCATCAGAACTATCTACTGCTTAAAGCTCTTAGGACATGTACTTTTTTCCTAGGTTTAATTTGGTATTCAAAGGCCACAGCAAAAATTATATTCATTACAGAACAGACACTGCTTGGTGGCCATGCCAGCTGACACAACACCACCATCTCCTCTGGCAGACATTTTACCTTAAAGCACAAACACTGTGTTTCATCCTGATATAGGGCCTGTGGCTAGAAAGTGATTGTTATCATTTTCTATTCATGTGTTCTCAACAGAAAAAAAAAAGGACATTCCCTTATAATTCTCTATCACAGACAACTTCAAACCATCTTATGTCCCTTTAAATCACTGAACTAGCTGCTTTCATAAAGACTATTGATTTTCATCCTG
Organism: Homo sapiens; assembly: GCF_000001405.40. NCBI lineage: Eukaryota > Metazoa > Chordata > Mammalia > Primates > Hominidae > Homo > Homo sapiens. The sequence continues at coordinate 94,789,870 of NC_000012.12, forward strand.
CATAAATTATTTTACAAGATAGATAACAAAGGGAAAAGTACCAGGAGATTCAATAATTCTCTCTGGTTTTATTTAAGGGAAGATATATTCTCTTCCCTCTACAAAAACACATTGCTTTTCCTGTCCTCCCCGTGCCTTTCATGCTGTGAAAATCAGATAAGATACAAACATTCCAAACCCTGCAAAACACTAGATGGTTCTCATGAAAACCAATTATTATTTTAACGCATAGGGAGGATTTCTGACACATCTTTTGGTGGCACATTCATTTATTAATTTCTTTCAGTAAATATTTATCAAGCACCTACTATGTGCCAGGAACTATGCAAGGCATAGACCCTGCCCGCCCCTTTCCTATACAATGTCATTTTGGGGAGCACAAAGGGTTTTGTTCATAGCTGCTTTCCTGCTAGCATGCTGCAGTATGGCTGTGCCAGTTCCTCAATTGTTTAAATATTCTTGTACCTCAAGTCCCCTCAGCATCCCCTACCGACTGATCTCTTTTCCAGCATGCCAGACCTTCTGCTTGGATTTATGTCTGATCCAGCTGGGACCCCAGGGCATGCTCCAGCACTGTGGCCTTCAGCCCTTCCACGGGATAGTGCTGCTGGGTACCAGCTGATAGGTATCTTTAACAGATCCTCCTCATTTCAGGACTGGCCTATGGACCTAACACTGCACTCCCATTCACCTACCTCGCCCATTTCCTCCCATGTTCTCACACCAACTCCTCCCCTGGCCTAGACACAACAAGCTCTGCAGGAGACCAAAGACTTTCTCTCTTTATGTCTCAAGAGGATCAGGGTCTCCGTTTCTCCATTTTACTATCATTGAACAAGACCAGTTGGAGCTTTTGCCTTCCTCCCACCCAAGGTGATGTTCACAGTGTCCACTTTGTCAGCGGTAGCAAGCAAGTGAAGGGTGTCTTTCCTCTTACTATTTTGGCAAATGTAGAATCATCACAGGGACTCTGTTTAAAACGAAAATGTGCAATGAAGAAAAAGCAACTGTGGGTGACTAGGCAATCCACACCAGGGTTTGAAAATGATTTAAACCAGTAACTAGAACTTTGCATGGGCAGAATTCCAAACAGGAGAACTGCAGGGCGAGAGTGACAGGTGCCAAATCTGAGCAATAGTTCCTGCAATGATTATGCAAAGCACTGGCCATTCATGCTTTGATGGTAATGCACTCATTTCTCCAACTTCCAGCACACTAAATGCAAGTGTGGCTTAATGACGGCAACTGGATTGAAAGGTAATTGGGAGCTGAAAATAGAGACTTTGCCTCATTATCATAATTCTCTACCAGAAATGTTTGTTATGTCAAAAAGCACTTTTCCCTGGGCACCAGTTTAAAGGAATATCCATTAAAGATTTTAAGGGTGTAAGCATTAACAGTGTTTTTAAGCCATGAATGCTAAGCTTATACAAAATAGATATGAGGGACCTTGGATAACTGAATGTATTTCAGGCAAATAAGATGTGAGAGCAGTAAGTTCAAGCCATGAGTCTATTCTGCTCACCTGACTTCCCTCTAATATTTTTTCCACTCCCCTCATTTCCTTTCCATCTCCAATGCCCCTTCCCTATCTCAGGTACCCCCACCATACCTTGTATAACCTCTTGTAAGAGGCAAGTTGTGTTGAAGAAGAGAAAGAAACAAAAGCCTTCAACATTTCTTCTCTTCTGCCACTTCCGCACCTCTGACCAGCCCATGGTGATACCTTGGGGATGACAGTGATGATGGTGGTAATCATGACAGCAACTACTATAACGAATCTACTTTGTTCCAGACATGTTAAAAATATACTCCCTTGTTGAACAATGAGAACACATGGACACAGGGAGGGAAACATCACACACTGGGGCATGTCAGGGAGTCAGGGACAAGGGAAGGGAGAGCATTAGGACAAATACCTAATATATGCAAGGCTTAAAACCTAGATGACGGGTTGATAGGTGCAGCAAACCACCATGGCACATGTATACCTATGTAACAAACCTGCACATTCTGCACAAGTATTCTGGAACTTAAAGTAAAATTTAAAAAAATAAATGTTATATATATGTATATATATACATGTGTATATATCTCATTGCATATATATACATGTGTACACACATATACACATGTACACACATATACATATGTACATGTGTATATATACATACGTACATGTGTATATACACATATGTACGTGTGTATATGTACACATGTACGCGTGTATATATACATATGTACGCGTGTATATATACATATGTACGCGTGTATATATACATACGTACACATGTATATACACATACGTACACATGTATATACACATATGTACGCGTGTACACACACATATGTACACATGTGTGTGCACGTGTGTACGTAAACGTGTGTACGTACACATGTGTGTATATATACACACACACATTCTCCCTTATTTTCACAAGAAGTCAATAAGGAATAAATACTTTTAAAACCATTTTTGTTGTTGTTGTAAATAACATAAAATATGGCTAACAGCAGCTTCCATAAATAGGGGTCCATTTCCTTGCATAACAAGAAATCTGAATGTAGACAGTACCAGGGGTGCTTTGGGGAGACTCAATGATGGTAGGACACAAGGTTGGCACCTCTGTGATTCTCTTAGTCTTCCCCCTCATAGTCATGAAATGGCTGCAGCAGTACCAAGCATCGCATCTTAGCACGGCTGCGTGCAAAGCAGAGTGCAGGAAGCAGCACAGGCAGAGGTTCTCCTCCTCTACTTCCCTCGGATGTAGGAAACAAATTTTCTCCCAGAAGCCCCCCACCGCCACCAATTTCCCCTTACATCTCTTGAACCAGAAGACACTCACCTGTCTGCCCCTAGAACCAGGGGCAAGGCCCACCTTTCCCGAGTTTGGGTGACCTCTGCCTGGTTTTGCTAACAAGGAAAGAAAGAGTCATGGCTTTGTGGCAAATGACAGCTGCCGCAGTAGTATTCTCTGTAATCTACAGTGAGGTGACGCAACAAGCCAAAGCTTTATTCCACTGAGGGGCCTCCCTGCCTGCTGCAGCCCTCGGCTGAGATCCAGTTCCCTCCATCTAGAAGGCTTCCTCCTTTTTTTTTTTTTGTTAGTGCTTATTTTTTCTTAAGCTAACCATACTAAGTCTGTCGCCTGAACTGAAGAAGTATTCAAATTTCACCCAGGACCGTTCAGTTCTGCCCCCTCCCACTCATTTATAAGAACTAAGTCCAAATCAGTCAGGTCAAGAGCACCCCGAGGTGCAGACAGAAACATTTTGTGCAGAAAACAGCCGTTCCCTAACCAACTTGCAACAGGGCTGGAAACTGCTCTCACCAGGGTCACCAGGGGAGCTGCCATCCTGTTAACCGAGCTCCAGGAACTCACTGGCAACTGAGACATGGGGCAGGTAGAGCCTGACAAAAATGTCATCCTCAAAAACAGGAAGGGGCGAAACCCTTTTGTAGAACTCTGAAAATGTCAAGCGCCTGCTTGCACCTCCGTCAGGGTTAGATTGAATTTCACATTTCACTGCGGTAGGGCCCTGGAGGCACTGCGGCAGCGGGAGCAGGCGGTGAAGGTTGGAATCCCAAGGCTGACACTGCCGGTGTGGAATTCCTATTCCCTCTGTGCTTCATCATCCTTCACTGTAAAACAGACATAACAATGGAATCTATCTCACCGCATATCTTTTGAGAATTAAAAGACATAATATATGTTAAGGGATTAGAAAAATCTTTGCTCAATGAACATCAGTGTGTTAGCAATACTGGTAGCAACAATACCAGCAATAGAAACAAAACCAAATGGTCTCCCTGTAATGGCCAGGATTTATTTTAATGACTTAAAGGTACTAGCAAATCAGTCTCACTGTCACCTCAGTCCAGAGCTTGAAAGTCTAGCTACCTTCTCCCTAAACTCACTCAACAATGAGCAATCACCCCAAAACAACAAACAAGCATAAAAAGTAGAACATCTGATACCATGCAGTATCTTGTTTTAGTTTCATTTTATTCTTGGTATATCTTGTGTGAAATATTCCAAGAAATCAAGAGAATGTACATAACGTGTATCCACATTTTAAATAAAATAACAAAATACCTATGTACCCATCCCACAGTTTAAGAAATAGAATGATGACGCTGTGCATCCTTCCATGATTCCAGGCGCCCCAACCTTAATATGCAGGTAACCAACAATCTGAATCTTCAATTAATCATTCCTTTTCTTTTCTTCTTTTTTTTTTTTTTTTGAGTCAGGGTCTGGCTCTACCGCACAGGCTAGAGTGCAGTGGCACCATCTCAGCTCACTGCAACCTCCGCCTCCTGGGTTCAAGCGATTCTCCCGCCCCAGCCCACCAAGTAGCTGGGACTACAGGCATGCGCCACCACACCTGGCTAATTTTGGTATTTTTTATAGAGACAGGGTTTCACCATGTTGCCTAGGCTGGTCTCGACCTCAAGTGATCCACCCACCTCGGCCTCTCAAAGTGCTAGGATTATAGGTATGAGCCACTGTGCCCGGCCTCCTTTGCTTTTCTTTATACTCTCCTCGTCACATATATATGTATCCCTAAGCAATAAACCATCTAATTTTGCTATATTAAATTTTATGTCCATAAAAATATAGAGCAGGTATTCTTCTGTAACTTGCTTTTTCATTCAGCATTTGTTTAGTTTTATCCATGTTTACACACATAATTATACTTCATTCATTTTCATTGTTATGTAATAGTATTCGATTTAGGAATATACCACTATTTATTTACCCATTCTCCCATTAATGGATATTTGCCTTGTTTCTAGTCTAAGACTTCTCACCCGAGGATGGGCTTACACAGATCCTATTTAGGGTAACCATATAACTTACTGTCCTAATTGAGACACTTGTGGGAAGGAAAGAGAATGCTGTTAATAATGACACAAGGACAACAGGCATAAACAACTACACTGTATGGTCACCTTGTACACACTGAACATGTCTCAGGGCTTCTTAATTACTCCCCTAAAGTGCGGACTGAGACATTTAAGCCCAACTCTTCATAACTGATGGTGAATTCACATCTTAAATGCTGCTAGCTTCTCCATTCAGATGAGAACCCTGAAGGAAAGCCCAAACAATTAATTACTCCTTCTATCCCAGGAAGAAAAAAACAAATTCTTTAAGACATAAGACGGAAAAAATGCATGACTTCCCTGCCTCAGCCATCTCTGACTTTCACAGTTGATCATCACTGTGTGAAGAAAATTCTAGCTCCAATGATAACTGCAGCAAAGAGAAAGTGTAAAAGGCCTCAAAATCTGAGTCCTTCTCCTGAGTTAAGACGGGGCTAAAGGCCTCGCACCCACTGCCTCCTTTCATCTTTACCACAACCCTGTGTGGCAGGTGTGGGAAATGAAGCTCAGAGCTGCAGCAATGTGTTCCAGGTCACAGTGCACATAAGTGACAGAGCCTCAGTCACTTTGTCTAAGTAGGGAGCCGTATACTTTGTGATGCAAAGGAGTAAAAGGGGGTGATTTAACAAGTGCCAGGAAAACAGTTGTAAACTAGTCTTCCCCAGGCACACCCGGACATGGGACACCCTAGTTCTAACTTTACCATATGCACTTATTTTCCAAGAGCAGATATAAATGATTTGGGGGACTGATGAGATGTGGGACCCAAATCTCTAGTGTTGACACTCGTCTTGTGTGGCGATACACTGTCCTCGCAGAGGTCACAGGGTGTGCAAAGTCCCTCCCCTCTTCCTCCTCAGCAGACTTGCAATGCCTGGTGACTTCCCAGTGGCATCCTTCCATCCACCACAGCAGGCTGGAGAGGATCATGACTCGCTTCCCTGAAATTCACAATTAAACTGGAGAGGCACTCTTCCTCCCAAAGCAGCTCCTGCTGGTGGCTGCCAGCAGCAGTGTTATGTCGCTCTCACTGGAGCAATCTTCTTTCACGAGGCTGCGCACACATTCTCCAACGTGGGGGATTTGTAACCCTGTCCTTCAGCAGGGCCCCTGAAATCCCCAGCCTCGCACCTTTCTGCATGTGTGTGTGGCCTCTCACACACACACAAACACACACAATAGTTTTTTAAAAGAAATATTTCAGCCAGCCACAGTGGCTCATGTTTGTAATTCCAGCACTTTAGGAGGCCAAAGGAGAAGGACTGCTTGAGCCCAGGAATTTGAGACCAGCCTGGGCAACATAGTGAGACCCTGCCTTTACAAAAAAAAATGTTTGTTTTTTTTTTAATTAGCCAGGCATGATGGCATGCGCCTGTAATCCCAGCTACTTGGGGGCCTGAGGTGGGAGGAAAAGAAATATTTCAGATATGGAAAAATAGAGAATTATATAACAGCATCCCCTGGGCCTGAGCACATACATATCTTTTGCTATACAAAAATGTTCTGGCCAGGTGCGGTAGCTCACACCTATAATCCCAGCACTTTGGGAGACTGAGGTGGGAGGATCACTTCAACCCAGGAGGTTGAGACTGCAGTGAGCTGTGATTGTGCCACTACGCTCCAACCTGGGTGACAGAGTAAGACCTAGTCTCAAAAAAAAAGAAAGAAAGAAAGAAAAAAAGTTCTGTTCCCAACCACAACATTCACAGTGGCCCCAAAGGAGAAACAACACAAATGTCCATCAACAAACAGCAAAATGGTACATTGTGGTACAATCACACACATAAAGTATCATACAATAGGAATGCTGTCCAGTAAGAAAAATCCACAAATTGCTGCTACACACAATAAGGTAATCTCACAGTCAATATATTAAGGGCAAGAAGCAAAAACAACAAAGAATATGTGCGCTATAATTTCATATATATAAGTTTCAAAAACAGGCAAAAATGACCTATAATGCTAGAAATGAAGACTATTACTTTTGTGATTGAGGTAAAGGATATTGATTAGGAGAAGCCTAGAGAGTTTGCTTCTAGGATGTTGATAATATTCCAATTTTTAATCTGGATGTTAGGTACAGAGGTGGCAGCTGTGGTAATTCCTCAAGTAATATGCTTAAAGATGTGGACACCTTTCTGTATGTATGTTACACTTAAAGAAAAAAGGTTTAATTTAAAATAAATCCAGAATGAAAGCCTCTTTTAGTCAACTATTATGTTATTTATACCCAAATAATTATCTTCACTATCAAGCCATCTGTGTGACCTTTGGAAAATCACTTAATGATCTGTGTCTATTTCTTTTTTGGCGGGGGATGGAGTCTCCATCTGTCACCCAGGCTGAAGTGCCGTGGCATGATCTCAGCTCACTGCAACCTCCGCCTCCTGGGTTCAAGTGATTCTCTTGCCTCAGCCTCCCAAGTAGCTGGGATTACAGGCACATGCCACCACGCTCGGCTAATTTTTGTATTTTTAGTAGAGACGAGGTTTCGCCATGTTGGCCCCAGGCTGGTCTCAAACTCCTGAATTCCAGCAATCCACCCACATCGGCCTCCCAAAGTGTTGGGATTACAGGCGTGAGCCACCGCGCCTGGCCTTTTCTTTATCTGTAATGGCGTATGATGTATAGTGGTGATGTGAGAAGTACTTGATATAAATATGAAACATGCTTAGCAAGCACTTGGCACACAATTAAGCACCCAAAAATGTTAGCCATTTGAATTAGTGGTATTCTATCCACACCTCCCCTCCTTGTATTTGGGACTTATCTCCACTTATATCCTTCTGGACTGGGCAAAGGCATATTGAAACGAACAGGTTTGCCTATGTGTGTTTTGGGGTAGGAAGTGGAATGGGTAAATCCCTTCTGGAAGACAATCTGGCCATATATACCAAGAGCCCAGAAAATGTTTGTACCCAGTAATTCCATTTAGGAATCTACCCTAAGGAGATAAGACAAGTAAAAGAGATTTATGTGCTGCAATGCTGTTACTTATGTTATTTATGTACCATTGCATGTTATTTATAAAAGTGAAAAACTAGAAACATTTATTATATCAGGAAATAGTCAATAAAATAATGGTGATGAGCACTTTTAATGACATGAAAAGTTGAATATGAAAGAGATCTAACTATACCAATTTTTAAAATAATAAATACATATAAAGAAGATTAGAGGAAACTAAACCAAAATTTCAGCTAATTATCTCTGGGTGGTAGGATTATAGGAATTTAAGTTTTCTTCCTTATACTCTTCTGTATTTTTCAATATTCTTCTCTGAGTATATATTACCCTTAATAATGACAGATATAAATGTTAAAGAATTTCTATCCTCTTCCCCTAAGGCCTTTGTCTCTGTGGTCAAGGTGACAGCTGGCTGCAATCCATCACATTTAGGAAGGATGCTATACAATGAAATGTGTCTGAAGGAAAGTGACTGACAGGTTGGCAAAGTGCTTCAAAGATAAACCCCATGAGGAATGGCTGAAGGAACAGGGATGTGTACTTTGAGGAAGACTTGTTAACAGGACAGCTGTCTTGGAACACCTGTCATGTGGAAGAGGGATTACACTTGCTCTACCAGCCTCCAGATGTCGGAACCCTGACAATAAATCAAAGTTACAAGGAGAAAACAAGGGGAGGGTGAAGAGTATAGCTCAAGAAGCATCCAAGCTGCATGATCACAATATAAACTCCAGGTTTCCTTCCTGTCCAATAGTAAGCAGCTCCCCTGGAGGTGTCCAGTGAATTTTCTCGTTAGCATTTGGGCAACCACATGGCTCCATCCTGAGGCTGTGCTCTACCAGCCTCCCAGATCACAGCCTTCTCTGTGGACAAACCCATGAGTTAGGATCTCTGTATTCATAAGCAAACACCAGCCTGGGGATATGCAGGTTAATCCCTAACCCTTGTCCTTCAGCAAGCTCTTCAAAATTTACATAAATTGGTCTACTTTTCTCCATTTTTTCCACTTGACCATCTTAGTCTAAGTCGTAATCACCTCTCTTCCCTGTACAACTACAATGTCTTCCTAATTGGTTTCTCTCTTCTATTCTTGCTACCTCCACTCCCAATCTATTCACTACCTAGAAGCTAAAGTAATAGTTTTCCTAGGGTAAAGAAAAAAATCATTGACAGACTATAAGACTCAAAGTGGAGACTACATCTCCAGCCTTCACTGGATGCCACACCCCTTGCTTGGTGTACTCCGGTGAAGGTCCCCACCTTTTAGGGCCCACATTCATGCTCAACCTTTCCACCTCAGGACACTTGCACATGCTGAAACACTCTCCATCACCTTCAGAACCCCAAACCTCAGATGTCATTCCCTAGTTTTAATCCTATAATGGGATCCCAAATTGGGAAGGAGACTTTGTGTGGCTTATCAGACTTTGTGTGACCTAGCCACAGCCGACCAGTCTGCACCTACTATCTCTAGTCTCTTAACTAGGCTCAGTATGAATGAGCCTCAGCCTCACTGAGGAATGAGGGAGATGTTGGTGCATTTGAGGAACTCAGAGGCATGTACCAACATCCCCCTCATTCCTCAATCTTTAGGCATCCTGCTTCCTACGCCTGGAAAAATCTTGTGGCTAATTCTTGATCACCTTCAGGGCTCAGCATGAAATGTCACTTCCTCAGGAGGTCTTACCTTACCTCCAGATACTGGGTGGGTGTCTCTGGTGTGTGCTTACAGCAACTCTAATTATTCCATCAGAGCATTTTTTTTTTTTTACTATTCAACTGTAACTGTATTTCCTGCTATTTGGTAAACTATATGAAGGCAGGAATCACATCTATATTGCTCAGAACTGTTGAGCAAATGACTTTATTCTTTAAATATGACTTTCCCCCCATGAATGAGCATATTAAAGTCAAAAAGAACCCAGGAAAACCATAGATCTCAACAGGAAGCATTCCAATAAGTGGTATTTCTTCCTGGAATAATGAAGCAAATCTAGACTTCCGACTCAATTTCCCATGTCCTAAGGGAAGGTTCATGTGTTGTCATTTTTATTTTCACTAGCTGGCATAGTAATTATTCTTTACCAGCATTCGAATGCCCGGGGGCAATCTTCAGTAGGCACACAAAAGGATCGATAAGTACTAAAGAGACTAAAAAGATAAATAATATTGAATTCATAAAATGGCAGGATAAAAGAAAAGTAAATTAGGAAAACACTGGAGGATATAAGACTAATAAGCAAAAAATAAATCACCCACAGTCTGCTTCCCCCAAAAGCATAAGCAGCTGTTGTTAATTTGATAAAACTGCTTCATGTGAAAGACCTTCAGAATCCTAAAACCAGAGCCCTGGTCTGGACCTTGGTGTGGATTCAGGGTAGAAATACAACAAACAGAAGCCAGGAGACAGTGCCCTGTGTCCCCTTCCCTGCTCTACCTTTTGTCAGCTGGGAGACTTTGGACAAGTTACAAGTCTTCTCTGAATTTCAGTTTCTTTACCTAAGAAGGCTACATAAATTCATGTGGTAGAAAACTGCTAGTTCTCTACGCATTCTCATTCCCTTCTCCTTTCTCGGTAACGGAACCCGATTTTTAGCTGGGCACACTAATGTCCCATTAAAACATAACATTTCTCAGCCAACCTCTACAACTAGGAAGCCAATGAGATGTAAGTAGACCTGTTGGGTGGGTCTACTGGAAAGTTCTGAAAGAAGAGACTGGCCATTCATCTTCCCACTTCCTGGCACAGAAATGTGACTGATGGCTGAGACCTTTCAAACTGTAAAAACAAGAGCAGCACCAGAAAGGCCAAGAAGAAGAAAGCTGGAAGAAACTGGGACCCAAATGACCTAATGAAAATACCACAACACATTCTGGACTATCTACTTCTAAATTCCTTTATGTTAGAGAGAAATACACTGCTCATCTAGTTTCATACTGGATGGCTTCGTAGAAAGATTTCCCTTTATATTTGGCCCCAGTTGGCCTATTTGGGTACATTGGTCCTGCCTCTCTCCTCGGGAGCAAGACGTTCCATTCTGTCCTCCTTAGCGTGCCAGCCCCATGGATATTTAGAAACACTGGGAAGTGGTCTGAGAAAACCTGAGTTTCCATGGGATCTCGGGCAAGTCGCTTAAGTGCTCTAAGCCTTGTTGTTCATCCATAAAATGAAGGTTACTTCCTTTATTTCCCCAGAAATATTGTTTAGAGGAAAGAGCATAGGTTTCTGAGTTACATATGAATTCAAATTACTTAATGGCTATATGATCTTAAGCAAGCTACTTAACCTTTCTGAATTTCAGTTTTCTCATCTTTAAAATATCTTACTTCACAGATTATTATCTAAGGATTGGATGAGATATCAAACACGAAACACTTAGCCTAAAGACTTTTATTTGCAAGCCCAATACCTTACCATAAAATAGTAGTTACTGTCATCTGTTTTCATTTTGCAGTGTTGTATGTAATGGTAACAACAGCTAACAATCACTGAGCACTCATCGTGTGTCAGGCACTGTTCAAGCACTTTCCATGTATTAAGTCATTTAGTTCTCACAACAATGAGGTAAGTACTCTTATTATCCCCATTCTATAGATGAGGAAACAGAGACGCAATATGTTAACTGCCTTGCCAAGTCACACAGCTAAAGAGGGAAGCCAGACAGTCTGACCCCAGAGCCCCTGCTCCTATATTTCCAGCGTACACCATATTGCTTGCTGTCTGGGGGTAGTGTCATGTCTCCCCAAACAACATGCTAGCGTCCTCAGGGCAGAATCTGCATCATATATGCCTCGGTGTCCTCCCTGGTGGCTAACAGGGAATCTTACCCACCACAGGCCTCCAAGCACCAGAGAGAACTGAATGGCAGGTAAGTAATAACTGAGCCACTTCCTAAAATACCTGTATCACAGATGACCTTGAAGAAGACCATTTGTCCAATGAACCAAGGTATGCCTGAAGTGAAACACAGAGAATCCCTTTCACAGGGGGTGGAATATCCCTCCACCCGAAGTGCACCTCTTGGGTCCTCAGAATCAGATTCCCTAAAGGCTTAAAGGACTCTGGGAACAATTCTGGCCAATGTTTTACATGCTTCCAGAGTCTGAACTGAGTTTAAGGCCTCTGTCATTCATTCAAATTAAAAATGCCTGCCAGACAGAATGAAATGTGTCAGAGTTTGCCGGCCTATAGAGAGTCACCATTTCCTCCTAGGTGCTGACGGACAACAGCTTTCGAAAATAGATCTATTTATGTTGTCATGATCAAGAACACTGATTGAGTATGTCACTATGCAAACTGAGTGTGTCACTATGCTCGGGATGCAGCTGATAGGACACAAACCTCATTAGCACAGACTTCATTAATTTGGAATATGTGATCATTCTTAGTAATGAATTTTATTTTTTGTTATCCATAAAGAAAACAATATGCAAAATAAATGAAGAAACAAGACCAATTCATCTCTTCTACCAATATTCATTGTAAATCTAGCACCAGGGTGGTAGTCATAGATGTTATTTTGTGTAATTCTCATTAAAAGAGAACCCTTTAGTGCAGAAGGTAATGTACCCATTTTAAAACAAGTTAGAAGTCTGGAAAATTAAATTACGGTACATCCATACAATGAAATGCTATGCAACTATAATAAAACCAATGGAGTACATCAGCTGGTGCTAACATATTAACAAGAACAAATGCTGAATGAAAAAAAGCAAGAGGTGGAACCCTCTTTAAAGTATCTCATTTGTATTAAAAAACAATGAGAATAGATTATAATGATGTATACATACATAAATGGATATACAGTGAAATTCTCAGGAAGGGCAGTCAAGAAAAATGGATGGTCTAGGATGGAAAAGAAACTCATTTTTCACTGTACTTGTGTAACATGGAGTTCTTTACCATTTTCATGTTACTGTTTATATTAAACCTAACAAAAAGAGGTTAGCATTAATTATTATTTATTGGCCCATGCCTAGTGCAATGTCTGGCATATAACTGGAATTCCAGTGTTAATTGCATGAATGTAAAGAAATGATACCACTAATTACCATCTAAGCACATTTATCTTTTCTATTCATACATCAGGTCCCACCCTAACATTAAATGCAAAAACTCTCTGGAGTAAATTCAAGTTCCTGTATGTGCTTAAAGAAATACACTTGCAACAATTTTGAAAGATACTCTGTAATTCATCCTTCCCCTTTATGTTCCCCACTCTCTCCTTTCTCAAGCTCTGCTCTCCACACAGGCGAACACACACACACGCACACAGGCATGCAGAGTCAGGTAAACAGTTCACTGACCCAAAAAAAAGGACTGGAATTCAGAAATGTTTTACCGCTATTGCTAGAGGTTTGGTATGATCAATAATTTTTTTAACCACATGCTGATTTGAGAAAGTCTATAACCACACACTACCACTTCACTGGCACTACCAATTAATTTTCCAAGTATATTTTGAAAAGAGTTGGTGCAGATTCATTGGAAACAATCTGCATTATTCCTAATAGTAACCACAAACATGTTCTAAATAGTCAGAGCAACCCTTAAGCATCTTGGAGGTCTATGAACACTTACCTGCCAGATATCAAATTCGCAGGTATACCTGACACGTGCAGCTGCTCCCTCCCGCTGCTATCTCCCTACGCGAGTGACAGCAAGCCAGGGAATTGGAAACTGACAGTTTTGTTTTCTCAGTGCTGACAAAGGGGAACAAATTTCATATTTTCCCTGAGTGTGCAGTGTGTTGTTTTAAATTTTGTCAGAGTTTTTCCCCTAGTAGCAGCAACCAGGAGAAAAAGAAAAAGACATCTGGTAACTTCTTTAGAGTATGTCTTAACAGATCTGTTGGTGTGACTCCACTCATCTGTTTCATAAATAAAACGCAGGCAATGCCATCAATTAAAAATCTTTCTAAAGACGGTTTTAACAAGAGCAATATCCTGGAAACTACGGTCCCAATATCCTAATAATCACAAGAGCCACCATATATGGAACACGCTTGTGTACTGGCACTGTGGGGAGCACTTTATAAGCAAGCGGCAGCTTAATTCTCACAATTCTATTGGGTGCCATCATTATCCCCATTTTGCAGATGAAGAAACTGAGGCTCATTGAGATGAATTGGCCAGCACAAAGTCATACAGCTAGTGAGTGAAAGCGCTGGGATTCAAACCAGGTTTTGAAGAACTCCAAGCATTCTGGAGCTCTGTGTTCCATCTATGTTCAATGAGTTTATCTGACAAAAAAAAAACAGTAAGAATTAGAGGAACAAGGAAGGAGCCATTCTCTCTCTGCTCCAGAATTGATAGTCTATGACTTTCGGCACACAGGCCAGCTGTGGCAGACAAAACAGTAAGTCTGGCATCAGGAATCCCAGAATTGCCGTCCTGACTCTACCATGAACAAACCTGCTTGTCTCACTTAACAAGCAAGCCTTGTTCTCCACAGCTCCGAGATGAGGCAGCTGGATTACAATCTCCCTCAGCTTAAAAACTGCATCTACAAAGCCAGGCACAGTGGCTCATGCCTATACTCCCAGCACTTTGGGAGGCCGAGAAGAGTGGATCATTTGAGGTCAGGAGTTCAAGACCAGCCTGGCCAGCATGGTGAAACCACATCTCTACTAAAAATATAAAAATTAGCCAGACGTGGTGGTGTGTGCCTGTAATCCCAGCTATTTGGGAGGCTGAGGCAGGAGAATCACTTGAATCCGGGAGGCAGAGGTTGCAGTGAGCTGAGATCGTCCCATTGCGCTCCAGCCTGGGCGACAGGGTGGAACTCCATCTTAAAAAAAAAAAAAAAAAAAAAAAAAAGGTCAGGCGCCATGGCTCATGCCTGTAATCCCAGCACTCTGGGAGGCCGAGGTGGGTAGATCACAAAGTCAGGAGATTGAGACCACCATGGCTAACACGGTGAAACCTGGTCTCTACTAAAAAAATACAAAAAACTAGCCGGGTGTGGTGGCAGGCGCCTGTAGTCCCAGCTACTCAGGAGGCTGAGGCAGGAGAATGGCGTGAACCCGGGAGGCGGAGCTTGCAGTGAGCTGAGATCACGACACTGCACTCCAGCCTGGGCGACAGAGCAAGACTCCATCTCAAAACAAAACAAAACAAAAAACAAAAAAAACCCGCATCTACAAGGATAGGTGTATAGAAACATTTTGCTGGGATAGTAAAGCAGGACAAAATGGAATATAAGCCACATGGTGTACAATTGAGCATATAATGTCCACTTTGCAGAGAAAAACCCTGACAGATGGCATTAATCAGCAGTCAGCTTCCAATGAAATTGCACCAATGACCTCCAGTGCCCACTGCTAAATCCAGTGGTCAATTTGTGGTCATCTCAATGGGCTGATCAACAGAAATCCACAGAATTAACATTCTCTCCTCTTGAAATCTCTCTAATTGACTTCCAAGACACTAATCTCTACTATATTTTCCTCTTCCTTCCTGGATGCGCCTTCCAAGTCTCCTTCGCAACTTTGTCCTCATCTTCCCAACTCTTGGAGTGCTCCAGAATTGAGTCCCAGTCTTCCTTGTCTACAGTAACTCTCTTGGTGCTCTCATCCAATTTCACAGATTTAAATGCAATCCACACACTGATGGCTCCCAAATGTGTAATCTCTACCCCAGAACCAGACTTTTACATCCAGTTACCAACTTAACACCTCTGCTCAGATGGCTAATGGGCATATCATGCCCCCAAATGAGCTCCTGTATCTCCCCAACTCCACCCTCAGAGTCGTTTCAATAAACGGGCCCTCAGCCCTTCACGGTGCTCTTTGCAGTCCCAGCTTGTCTGCAGCCACCCCAGCCAGCTCCAGCTTATGCACTTACTATTCCCATGACTTGGTGACTTCACCAGGTATCCATGAGGCTCCCTCTCTCACCTTTCTCTGGTAATTATTCAAACATCACCTTTTCAGTGAGGCCTTTCCCTGATCATTCCATTTTAAATTGTAACCCATCCCTCAAAGCACCTTCTTTCCCTTCCCCTTGCTTTATTTTTCTCCATAAAAATTTCATCGCCTGATATATTTTATATTAGATTCATGTACTTCTTTATTGTCTATAATCCCCAACTAGAATGCACGCTCTAGGAAGAGGAAAGAGTTTGTCTGTCTTGTTCACTGATACATCTCTAACACTTAGAACAATGCCTGGAACATAGCAGGAATTCTTTGGGGGGAAATGATGTAATCTACAAGCATCCATGCATAGCCTGAGTACACCAGAGCATGCACAGTAGCCATTTCTCTCTGAATAGGAAAATGATGAAATATCTGTCTCAGACACTAGTTTCTTTTCCTCTTGTCTAAAAACTGAGGTCATTTTTGGATGTAAGAAGTATATATTGTAGTGCCCCATTTAGAAATCACAGCCCCCAAAGAACTAAGATAAAATATAATAATATCATAAAAATAACTTTAAAAAATAAATTAGAATCAGTGTGTTGTTTTCATGTGTACATTAATTTTTAACATATATAATATATGATATGTAGAGAAAGAGACATAAATATTTTTTCCATAAAATTGGGGAACTAGCCATGCCAGGATTTCTGTGGTAATCTTGAAACTGTCTTTATGTATCAACAGCCAATAATGTTATTTGTTTATCTATAGCTAGTTGTGTGTCTCATTTTTCTTTTTCTTTTTTTTTCATATTTGAAATCTTGTATTTCACCTACCACTACCCTGTAATGGCAAAGGATGGTCACTGAGTTAGTGGGTCAAAGCTCAGACATTAGCATCAAAGAGACTGGGCCTAATTCACAGATCCCATCTATGAGAACTCTGAAAACATTCTTGACCCCTGATTTCCTCACAGATTCACCATCCAGCAACATTTCTGTGAGGATCAGTGAGATAATCCGCATAAAACCCTTAGCACAGTGCTTGGCACACAGAAAGTATTCAGTATACATTAACTATTATTAATCTTCAGACCTTATCTGACATCTTTGGCTCTCAAAATTCAAAGGTCTTATTGATCTCAAATGCAACTCCTGCCAGCTGCAATTAAATACAGTCATGTGTTGCTTAACAGTGGGGCTTAATGGCAGGGCTACATGCCGAGAAATTTGTCATTAGGTGATTTCATCACCGTGTGAACATTCTAAAGTGTACTTACACAAACCTAGATGGTATAGCCTACTACATACCTAGGCTACATGGTATAGCCTATTGCTCCTAGGCTACAAACCTGGACAGCATGTTTCTGTTCTGAACGCTGTAGCCAGCTGTAACACAACGGTAAGTACGTGTGCATCGAAACATGTCTAAACATAGAAAAGGTAATGTATTGCCCTGCAACATTACGATGGCTATGATGTCAGTAGGCGATAGGAATTTTCAGTTCCATTATCTTATGGGATGACCATCCATTATTGGCCAAATTGTCACTATGTGGTGAATGACTGTATTCCCTTCTTCAGTTTATACCTAATGAAAATGCACCCATTTTCAGTAAACACGAACAAATCAAATCACCTTAAATGTCCTAACAATACATGTGAATGTAGGTTTTAAAGACAAAACTATTGAGGGTTAAGAACTGGCTGATAAGTAAATGAACCAAGTGTTCGCATCTGAAATGACATAGAAGGAGGTAAAGACCATGAAGAAAAGAGGAAAGAAAAATGCTATCTAGAAAAGGGGTGAAACGAAAAACGAATCAGAAGATATAGGTTCCGTGCTTACCAACGCATTCTTTTAAAACAGTGACAAAAATAATAAATAACGCCTACGTAGGTAGCATAGATAAGAGTGCCCAGCATTGTTCCAAGGGCATTATGTGTATTATTAGCCCATTTTGTCTTCACAGTGTCCTCTCAGTGGGTACATTATTATCCCTGTTATGGGGCACAGAGATAACATGTCCAGCAGCTGCTGAGTGGCACAGTCAGGATTGGAACCAGGCAGGGCAGGTCCAGAGCCCAAGCTCATAACCACCACGGGACATACATCCTCATGTATATTCCCTGATTTCAGAGAGAGAGGTGTGTGTTGTTATTCTTTGGGAAATTGCCCCTTTCCCTGACCCTATGTGGCTCTAGAAGGCTTGACTCTTCCCCTTACCCTATGTAAGCCACAAGTTATGGGGGCAAAGGTAACCCAATATGACCAGACAGGGTCCATTCTCTGAAATTTTTTTCTACTGCAGCTGGAAAGAAACTGTCCTTATCTTCCCTTGGACTGAGAGCTGTAAGGCTATGATCCCAAAGCAGCTAGGACCCTTTTGCCCCACTGCATGGAGGTACAAGGAAGTGCTTAAAGCATGGGCCTTTCCATGAACAGGGACCAAAATGAGAGATGGACAGACAGAAAGAGGGAAGGGGTAAGCTGTTTAAGTCTCTGGATCCAGGTATCCCTGAGGTCTGCTGTACCTCCTCCTTTCTAAATTCCATTTACCTGAGTCAACTACTTTCTACCTTGTTATTTAAGATATTAGTTTCTGTTGCTTATAGCAGAAGAATCCCAAGGAACACATTTAACTAGACATTTAATACCTCCAGGATGAGCTGGAGAAAACAACCTGCCTGCTAGACAATGAAGTAGGTTTATAGCTAAAGGAACATATGTTCCTAGACTGAACATGCATCTTCTGAGCACCCATCCTCTGTCCAGGACCGTGCTAGACACAGGGGAATCATGAGAAATAAGACACTGTCCTCGTTCTTGAGGAGCTCACAGTCTAATGTAAGAGGACACACATGAAAACAAATAATCACAAGACAGTGAGCTAGGTGGTTAATAGAGTTCCCGCCTCGGGGTCTTTGTATTTTCTGTTTCCTTGCTGGAAACACTATACTCTCAGACCCATAACTGTCCAAGGCTGGTATATCAGTTTGCTAGGGCTGTCATAACAAAGCACTACAAACCAAGCACCTTAAGCATCAGAAATTTATTGTTTCACAGTTATTAAGGCTAGAAATCCAAGATCAAGGTGTTGGCAAGGTTGACTTCTTCTGAGGGCTGGAAGAGAGAATATGTCCCACCTTTCTCTCCTAGCTTCTCGTGGATATCTTGGCCTGTAGATCTCTGCCTTCATCTTCGCATGCCATTCTCCCCATGTGTTATCTGTATCCAAATTTCTCCTTTTTCTGAGGACACCAGTCATACTGGATTAGAGACCCACTCTATTCCAGTATGACCTCATCATAACTAATTATATATGCAAGGACCCTAATCCTAAATCAAGTCATATTCTGAGGTACTGCGGACTAGAGCTTTAACATATTAATTTTTATGGGACACAATTCAATCCATAACAGCTAGCTTTGTCTTGCCATTCAAGTCTCAGTCCAAGTATTACCTCCACAGAAAGGCCTTCCCTGACCACCCAATTGAAAGAAGCTCTTCCCCAGCCACCAGTCACTCTACCTCATTGCCCTACTTGACTTTCTCCATGCACTTACCACTACCAGAAATCATCTCACTTGTTTGCCTTTGGTCTGCCTCTCTACACAAGAACATAAACCTCATGAAAGCAAGGACTTTGTCTTGCCCACTTGTCTCCAGAGCTGAGAGCAGTGCCTGTGACACATGGTGGTGCTCAATCAATGTCAGCTGAATAAATACATACATAAGTTAAATGAAAATCACTTGGCCATTCATAAATGTAATGCCAGGGAGTGCCACAGCTATGAATAAAAGTCAAGCAGGGTAAGAGGGTAGAGAAAGGTGTGCTGTTCTGAGTATGGCAGCCGGGGTAGGCTTCTGAGGAGCTGACACAGAAGCAGCAAGAGCGGTTTCAGTGAGAGTGAGGCTGATGGTCTGACTGGGGTAGGACCGAGGCATGAACAGGAGGCAAGGAAGTGGAGACAGCAAGGAGACATGCCATAAAGGGAAGCTGAGAGTGGGGGCATCTGCATTTACTACCCAGCACCTAGACCTTGACAGCTGGCAAAGACTTTGCCATGCCTGGGGAAATAGTTTTCACTTATTCCCGAAGTTTTTACAACAGCCCTGAAGCCCTCCCTTCTCTGTCCCCTGAACATTTTGTTCTTGTTTTGGCACTGTACTTCTAGAATTTCTGTGGAACTGCAAGCTTTCCCTTTTACATGGCTCTTTCCTCCTCCAAGGAACTCCTTGAGGGCAGGGACCCCAAGAGGTTCCCAATAGATATGGAAGGAAGGGAACTTCTGGCTGTTGCTTCTCCCTGTGGGTGCCCCTTTCTACTACAAAAAAACAAACAAACAAGTTTTATCCCTTTACAAACAAGACTTTGAGATCTGTGTGGTGAAAATTATAAAACATTGATGAAAGAAATTGAAGATGACACAAACAGAAAAGTATTCTGTGTTCATGGATCAGAAGAATCAATATTGTCAAAATGTCCATATGCCCAAAGTGATATGTAGATTCAATGCAATCCCTATCAAAATTACAGTGGCATTTTTCACAGAAACAGAAAACACAATCCCAAAATTTGTTTGGAGCCATAAAAGACCCCCAAATAGCTAACACGATCTTAAGCAGGAAGAATGAAGCTGGTGGCATCACGCTCACTGATTAAAAATTATACTACAAAGCTATAGTAACAAGACAGTATAGTAGTGGCATAAAAACAGACACATAGGCCAATGGAGCAGAATAGAGAGCCCAGAAATAAACCCACACATGTACGGTCAAATAATGACCATGTGGACAAAGGTGCCAAGAACACACAATGGGGAAAGAATAGTCTCTTCAATAAGTGGTGCCGAAAAAACTGTATATCCATGTACCAAAAAAGTGAAATTGAAACTTTATCTTATGCCATACACAAAAATCAATTCAAAATCGATGAAAGACTTAAACTTAAGACTTAAAACTGTAAAACTTCTAGAAGAAAACATAGGGGGACAGCTCCATTACATTCGTCTTGGCAATGATTTTCTTTTTTTCTTTGATACGATACCAAAAGCACAGGAAACAAAAGTAAAAACAAACAAGGGAGACTGTCCCAAACTGAAAAGATTCTGCACAGCAAAAACACAGCAAAACGAAAAGGCAACCAAAGGAATGGGATAAAATATTTGAAAACCATATATATATGAGGTATTAATATCTAAAATATATAACGAACTCATATACCTCAACAGCAAAAAATAATAGTAATAATATCCCAACTTAAAAATGGGCAAAGGGGCTAGGCGCAGGGGCTCATGCCTGTAATCCTAGCACTTTGAGAGGCTGAGACAGTAGGATCCCTTGAGATCAGGAGTTTGTGACCAGCCTGGGCAACACAGTAAGACCTTGTCTCTAGAAAAAACATTTTTAAAATTAGCCGGGAATGATGCTGTGCACCTATAGTCCGAGCTGCTCGGGTGGCAAGAAGATTGCTTGAGCCTCAGAAGTCAAGACTGCAGTGAGTTATGATTGTGTCACTGCCCTCCAGCCTGGGCGACAGAGCAAGACCTTGTCTCTAAGAAAAAAAATGGGCAAAAGACTGATATTTTTCCAAAGATGACATACAAATGACCAAAAAGTATACAAAAAGGTGCTCAACATCGCTAATCATCAGGAAATGCAAATCAAAACAATAAGATATCATCTCACACCTGTTAGGATGACTATGATCAAAAAGTCAAAAGTTAACAAGTGTATGGCAAGGAGGAAATTAACAATCCTTATGCATTGATAATGAGAATATAAATTGGTACAACCATTATGGAAAACAGTATGGAGTTTCCTGAAAAAAAATAAAAATAGAATTACCATATCATCCAGAAATCCTCCTTCTGGGTATATCTCCAAAGAAAATAAAATCATGTTCTCAAAAAAGTATCTGGATTTCACGTTCAGTGCAGCATCATTGACAATAGTTAAGATATGGAAACAATCTAAGTGTCTAGCAACAGATTTATGGATAGAGAAAATGTGCTATATATACACTGTGGAATATTATTCAGATTTAAAAAAAGAAGATGAAATCCTGCCATATGTGACAACATGGATGAACCTGGAGGACACTGTGCTAAGTGAAATAAGCCAGACACAAACAGACAAATACTGCATGATCTCACATAGATGTAGAATCTAAGAAAGCTGAACTCAGAAACAGAAAATAGAATGGTGGTTGCCAGGGGCTGGTCACTGGTCAAGGATATAAACTTTCAGTTATAAGATGAATAAGTCCTGGGGACCTAATAACAACATAGTGATGGTAGTGTATAACAATTTACACTTGAAATTTGCTAAGACAGTAGATAGATCTTAAGCATTCTCACCACACACATATGAAAAAATGGAACTGTGTGAGGTGATGAATATGTTAATTAGCTAGATTATGGTAACTGTTTTACAATGTGTGTGTGTGTGCATATCTCAAAACATCATGTTGTATACCTTTAATATACATATTTGTCAATTACACTTCAGTAAAGCTAGAGACAAAATAAACAAAAAATAAAAATCAGGCTTTCAGGAGTGATGTCATGCAAACTAACAGAGCAAGGAGCTCCAGGAGCTATCTCTCTACTGAAACAACCATTGACCTGGAAGGAGTGACTAGAATCAACTATTTAGGAACGGTGGAACCTAACTAGACACTTACAACAACCAGGGGAGGGCTTGATGAAGGGAGGGACTGCTGATCTTTCCTAAGACAGCAACATAAGTGAACCAGCTACCATTCCCATCACAGCTTTGAAGATAGCAGCCCATGTTCTAGGAATGGCTGACTCATACCAGAGTAGGTAGTGGGGACTTTCTCTTCCAAAAATTGATGTTGTACATTTTTGTTGGTCTAGCAGTGTCTGAGGGGTTGACGCAGACACCCACTTTGGTTTTGGCCCTCTTGGTGGCAGCAACTTCCCCTGGCAGCATCCATATGAAAATTTTAAGTAACAACTCCTACCCACTTTTCCCTTTTTGGAACCAGTAATTTAAAGAAATATTTTTCAGGTCACTGACTGACCACAGAGATAACAGAACAGAAACTTCAGTGACCACACAAAACAAGAAACACGTATTTGCAAAAAGAGTTTGGAAAAGTCACAAATTAACAGCACTAGCCCTTAATGGAAAAAAGTCAGCAAGTCCTGAGAAGTGGGAAAATGGCATTTCTAGAGTTATAATATTATAGTACTCAGAATTTCCAATTTTCAATAAAAATTTGCAAAGCATACAAAGAAATGGGAAAATATAGTCATTAACAAGAAAAAAAGAAATTTGTCAGAAATATTAACAAGCAAACCCAGACAATAGAATTACTATCAAGAGTGTTACATCAATTATATTAAATATGGTCAATGAGCTAAAGGAAACTATAGACAAAGAACTAAAAGGAAGTCAGGAAAACAATGTGTGAACAAAATGAGGATCTCAGTAAAGAGATAGAAATAATTTTAAAACCCTAGAAATTCTATAACTTAAAAGTACAAAAACTACCATGAAACTTACTAGAAAGGTTCAAGAGCAGATGTGAAAAAGCAGAAAACAGGATCAGCAAACTTGAATATAAGACAACCAAAATTATCCAATTTAAGAAACAGAAAGAAAAAAATATGAAGAAAAGTAAACAGAGTCTAAGGAACCTGTGAGACATCATCAAGTAGACCAACATATGCATTGTGGTGACCCAGAAGGAGAAGGAGAGAAAGAAGCAGAAAGAACTTTGAGGAAATAAATGCCAAAAACATCTCCAAATCTGATGAAAGAAATTAATATACAGATGCAAAAAGCTCGATGAACTCCAAGCAGGATAAACTCAAAGAGATCCACATAGAAAGGCATATAATTAAAGTGTGAAAACCCAAAGCAAATGAGAAAAATTTGAAAGCAGCAAGAGACAAGTGACTCTTCGTGTACAGAGGAAACTTAATGAAGATTAACAGCTGATTTATTATGAGAAACTATGGAGGCCAGAAGACAGTGGGATGACATTCAAAGTCCTCAAAGAAAAAAAACTTTGAACCAAGAATTTTATATCTGGCAATTCTATATCCAGTAATTCTATATCCAGCAAGTCTATATCCCACAAAACTATCATTCAAGAATAAAGGAGAAATTATGACATTTCTATATAATTAGAAGGTAAAGGAAATCATTACCAGTAGACCTGCCATACATGAAATGATAAAGGTAGTCCTCTGGGCTAGAATGAAAGAACACTAGACAATAACTCAAAGCCATAAAAAGGAATAAATAAATTGGCACAGTTAACTAAATAGGTAAATATAAAAGCCAATATTATTGTACTTTTGCTTTGTAACTATGCTTTTTTTCCCCAAAGTGATTTAAAAGGAAAATGCATAAAACAATAAATCTGTGTTAATGAGCACAAACTATATAAGGATATAATCTGTGGCAATAACAATATAAAGGAGGAAGGATGGAGATCTATAGGAGCAGAGTGTATACTATTGAAACTGAGGCAACATTAATCAAACTAGGTTGCTCTAAGTTTTCTTTCAGTTTGAAATGCTAATTTTAAAATAAAGTGTACAAGACATACAGTATCATGATGGAACAACTAGAAAAACAAGGCAAAAAACTGGAATCACCTTAAGTCATACCAGCTTTATCTTGGTTGAGCTGAAAATTTTTTTAGTGACTAGATCTTTTTCAGAAGTGCCGGAATAAAGAGGGGAGCATGTCAGACAGCTGGAACAGTATGGGAAAAGAAGAATGGCAGAAAAGATTTTTCTTTCTTTTCCCTCAAAGAGATAGGCTCTTTTTTGTGTAAGATTTCTCCAAGTACTTTGTATATCAAAGGCATTAGAGTATAATAGTTAAGAAACAGACTCTGGGCTAGCCTAACCAGGTTTGAATTTGGTTCTATCACTTACTAGGTATGTGATGTTGGTCCATCTCTCAACACTTACTTATTTTATTTGTAAAATGGAAATAATAATAGTACCTACTTCATGGGTTATTAAAATGTTAATGCCTGTAAAACACTGAAAATCGCTCCAGGTATATAGGTAAAGCCTAATAAATACTGGCTTTTACTATAATCATACAATCATCTAGATACCCTAAGTGGCACCAATGAGGACCTACCAAAGTCTATGGCTGTAGCAATAAAAAAATTTAAAAACTACTTACTCAATTTCAGAATCTAATCAATTAACCCATTTCTTACCAGATGTAGACAATTTCCACTTAACATCTATCTAGGCCAAGTATAACATCTGAAATATTTTGGTGCTTTAAAAAGGAAGTCTTCCATCAGAGTAATAATGCAGTTAGTTCTGAAAGCTTTTTTCTAAACCAGAATTGGAACATCTGTGTCTTTCTGTCCTTGCTGTTGACACAGGATCTACCACAGGACCAACTCCCATGATGTTATCTGGAAAGCCAAAATGTCTAGCCATATGAGATTTATTCATTTATGTATTCATTTGTCCAACAAATATTGAGTGTCTTTTATGTGCCAAGCACTGGGATATGGGAATATACAAAACAGATAAAAATCCAGGGGACAGTAGTGCAGACTTCACAGGGCTGTGGTGAAATTTAACTGAGTTAAGGAGATGAAAAGTACTTAGAATAACATCTGGCACATATGAAACATTCAATAAACATTTTTCAAAAACAAAACCTCCCAACATTGCTTTTGGCCAATTATTTCATCTAGAGAGTATCGCTAAACTGTGAAATCACACAATCCGTTAGACAAATGAATATTTAATCATTACAGCACACCAAATAGCAACTTGGATTTCGGGGGCATGGCACTTTCAGATTACAGTAAGGGCCGAGGTTGGCTGCTAGAGTTGGCTTCTCTAAGAAAGAGCTCAGAACCCTGCCTACTGACTTAAAATGAGTCTTGGTGCAGAATTTCCCAGAGACATTGGCTCCTATCCCCTCCCTCCCCCCTGCTTTCCTTTAAAGTTGATTCAAGCAAGGAAGCATGGGCTTTATGGCCAGGGCCTAATATGAGTAAACACAGGCCTCCAGGGCCCTGGCCCCTGCTCACCATGATCAATAACCTAGTCCTGGCCAGGTGAGGTGACTCACGCCTATTATTACAGCACTTTGAGAGGCTGAGGCAAGCAGATCACTTGAGGTCAAGAGTTTGAGACCAACCTGGCCAACATGGTGAAACCCTGTCTCTATTAAAAATACAAAAATTATCCAGGTGAGGTGGTGCACACCTGTAATCCCAGCTACTCGGGAGGCAGAGACATGAGAATCACTTGAACCCAGGAGGTGAAAGTTGCAGTGAGCCGAGATCACGTCACTGCACTCCAGCTTGGGCAACAGAGCGAGACTCTGTCTCAAAAAGAAAACAAACAAACAAACAAACAAGAATAACCCAGTCCTCAGTGTCAAATGAGTTCCATCACAGCCAAGCACACTGCCAGCCTTTCTCTTTCCCTCACGAGAGAACTCTCCTGCGCTCAGCTTTCCTCTCTTCATTTGCATTACAAAAAGCACACCTGACCCTGTTGAAAAGGGCATTTAAGGAGATCATCAAAGGGGCCTGTGGTGCTCCTTTCACAGCACATGATCTCTCTCCCTGATAAGCCCTCTCCCCAGCCTTAAGAAACCCACATTCGGGAGCAACATTACGCTACCAGCTGCAGCTGAGGGCTCTGGGTGAAATCGAGCCAGGGCTGGGGAACAACTCAAAAGTCATCTGAGAGGTGTGACACCTCCCTGGCGTCCAGACCCACGGCAGGCAGCCTACAGACTTTTTCTCTTTGACTTTTTAAAGTAAGATTTATGAAACCACTTTTCCTATCACGGCATAAGAAATGATAACTGCTTGAAGGATTATACCTCTTTGCCATTTGATGACATCTCTGTAAGTACAGGGAACTATGGGCTCTGTCATCTTTGCATCCCTAAAATCAAATTCAGAAACTGGCCCCCAAAAAGGCTGTTGAATAAATACATAAGTAAATTCCATTTTTATACTATCTACTGATGTCTAAAAATTCCAAATTAGAAGTTAAAAATCCTATGATAGATATCTAAAGGAGAACAAAGTAATCCAAAATTAATTATATATTACATGCTACCTAGGATTTTATGAAACTGAGCTCAATCTCAAAATTAAAGAACTGTACTATAGGCTGGGAGCAGTGGCTCACGCCTATAACCCCAGCACTTTGGGAGGCCAAGGCAGGCAAATCACTTGAGGCCAGGAGTTCAAGACCAGCCTGGCCAACATAGTGAAAACCCATCTCTGCTAAAAATACAAAGATTAGCCGGGTGTGGTGGCTGGGGCCTGGAACCCCACCTACTTAGGAGGCTGAGGCACAAGAATTGCTTGAACCTGGGAGGCGGGCCATGAGCCTAGATCGCACCACTGCACTCCAGCTTGGATCACAGAGCGAGACTGTCTCAAAAAAAAAAAAAAAAAAAAAAAAAAAAGAAAGAACTTACTGTAAAATCTGCTTTGCTTTGTTACTCACTCTTATGAATACAGAGCCAATCACTGGTTCTAGCCTCACTATTATGCTATATTAAGGGAGGAGACCACCCCTCATATTGTCTTACACCCAATTTCTGCCTCCAAATAAAGAAGTAAAAACTAAAAGGCAGAAATGAAATCCACAGGCAGACAGCCCAGCGCTGAGCCCTGGGCCTGGTAGTTAAAGATCGACCCCTAACCTAAGCGGTTATGTCATCTATAGATTCCAGACATTATATGGAAAAGCATTGTGAAAATCCCTGTCCTGTTCCGTTCTGATTACCAGTGCATGCAGCCCCCAGTCACGTACTCCCAGCTTGCTCAATCGATCACGATCCTCTCACGCGGACCCCCTTAGAGTTGTAAGCCCTTAAAAGGGACAGGAATTGCTCACTTGGGGAGCTCAGTTGTTGGAGACGTGAGTCTTGCCGACGCTCCCAGCCGAATAAAGCCCTTCCTTAACTCGGTGTCTGAGGGGTTTTGTCTGCAGCTCGTCCTGCTACAATATTACTGTATATATGTAAAATATGCTATATTACTATATTTTCTCATTTATAAAGTGGGAGTAAAAATAACAGCTACCTCATTGCATTTTTGTGAGGATTAAATTAGTTAACACATGTATAATAGTTATGGGACATAGTGACCACTTAAGAAATGTTAGCTAGTATTATTGTTGTTGTTACCAGGCACTGTTCTGGCTAACATTCTATTAGACCAAGTTAAATATTAGTTCATTTAGTTAATCTGCCCAGAAAAGTATTAATAGAAGCAAGTTGCCCATATAACCTGTCCCCTTGACAACAAAATTTGCCTTCTGAAAGCCATTAATGGATTCTCAAGGTACAAGAATTGCCTATGAATTGTTTACTTTTTAGAATATGATTTCCCCTTGAGGCAGAATATATATTTAACAGGTCCTAAATGTATACCAGAAAGAACTGAATCGCCAGCTTCACTAACAGGTTTCTCTAAAAAGAAAATCAGACAGCAATTTTACCTTCTGTTCAGGCCAGATGATGTTCCTAATCCTGCAAGGTCTGGGGTACTTTCATCTGATAAGAGCCCATGAGCTTCTGAGAGCTTCAAATGACTACTACTTAGGTTAAAAATAAGCACCGAGAAACAAAAACTGAGAAACAAAAGCAGAAGTATTTCTAAAATTGCTCTCTTCGCACTGTCTCGCTGCGGGTACTTTCCTGTCTCTCAGATCACTGACCTTCAGTCCAGCAATTTCCAGTGTCCTGCAGGCTGCTGATCCCAAGATGCTCAGCCACACAAAGGTGTTGCGGCCAAGTAAGGTTGGGGAACCCATACTATACTCCCTTTTGCCACAATACCTTTTTAACCAGACTCCTTTTGTGATAGTAGGTAGCTAGTTAGACCTGAGCAGGGCAGAAGAGGGCTCCCCTGCCCCACTCCAGGAGTGTCAGGCAACCACTGAGGTCAGGCAGTTGTTAACTGTCTCTCTAAAATAATAATTGGGCCGGGCACGGTGGCTCACACCTGTAATCCCAGCACTTTGGGAGGCTGAGGCAGGCGGATCTCTTGAGGTCTGGAGTTTGAGACCAGCTTGGCCAACACAGTGAAACCCCATCTCTAATAAAAATACAAAAATTGGCAGGGCATGGTTGCGGGCACCTGTAATCCCAGCTTCCCCGGGAGCCTGAGGCAGGAGAATCGCTTGAACCTGGGAGGCGGAGGTTGCAGTGAGCCGAGATCGCACCACTGCACTCCAGCCTAGGCTACAGAGCGAGAATCTAAATAAAAGAATAAAATAAAATAAAATAATAATTGGTCACAGCCAGCACCAGAGAAAGGCAGTCTCCCAATAGATAGAAACACCTGAAGCTGGGAATCAGCAGTTTCCTGATAAGATCTCAGGAGTTGGGCCAGTGGGCTCAAGCAAAAAAGAGGCAAAATGGCAAAGTTTAACTGGTATATGACCTTCTAGGAACATTCAACTGGTAAGAGAAGAATGCCTCGAGTGAGCATGCGTACAACTCCAGTAAACATACCGTGCATGCATCACTCCTAAGTGCTGGCAGCCACTGCGGATGCGGAGAGCCCACCCAAGGGAAGAATCAGGAGACAAGGGACACAAGCTCCTGGAAATATGACAACATATAAAATCCCAAGTCAATGGGGAATCCATGCACTTGATCTCTCCAGTCACCCCCTTGGCCCTCTTCCAAGTTCACTTCCTTTCATTCCTGCTGTAAAGCTTTTGAATAAACTTTCATTCCTCTAAAACTTGCCTTGGTCTCTGTGTCAAATATTTTCTTCTGAAGAGGGAAGAATTGAGGTTGCTGCAGACCTGTATGGACTCACCACTGCTAACACCTTTTTCAAGGAATATCTACTAGAATCTAGGTGTTGGAAATGCTGAAATAGTCTAAACTAACCAATTATTTCCACCTTAAAATGACTGTAGGCTCATTCACCTGGCCTGGCAAAGTCAGCACTTACTTAAAAGCAGATGGGAGAGAATGTTGACCCTATACATACCCACAGTCCCTGATCAACATACATTTTCATGAAGAGGTATATCTTGGATCAAGTCAAAAAGAAACTATCCCCGGATCCATCTGAGGTGTGTCCCATACTCAGGGAACACACCAAAAAATTCAGGAATGGCTCACAGGGAAGCATGATTTCAGAAGATCGGGAGCATAAGAAAAAGGAAGATGATGACACTATAAGAGAAATCCTATCAACAAAAGGAATATAATTCTCCTCCTGTTTTTTTTAAGTCAAGGAGAAGAATGCTGGTGCATTACAATCTAATTGGAACATGTCCAAAGTGATGGGAGAAATCCACTGACACCAGATTAAAGGAGTCCTGAGCAGAGAGGAAGCTGGATGGTGGCAGGGTCCTCGAAAAACTATCTCCAAAGACTCCAATCTCTAGAGCATTATCTTAGTTCTATGACTGGAAATTTTTTCCAGAATCCTCAATATCTATCTGTAATGTAAGGCTCCTTTTTGCTAGCACCAGAAGCTTACATAAAATTAGGCACTTGGGGAAGCATCTTGACCCCCTCATCAGGCCACCCAACCATAACTGCCCCAATGGCCAACAGGTGGGGATTATGGGAACTATAATTCAAGATAAGATTTGGGTGGGGACACAGTCGAACCATATCAATGGAGGAATACATGGATATACATGCAGAAATCTGGGTGGCTTTAATTCCTTCCATGAGGTCTTACAATCCTACCATCACTATAAACTAGCCAAAATTAAAATATATCTGGGCAGACAGGAGACCCAGATGGGTAGGAACTAAATATACAAACATTTCTCTCAGTAGAGAGAAAAACCAAGAAAAGGGAAGAAATAAGATTCAAAATGATCCCAAGAGGCACATCCTGGGGAAAACCCAACAAGATAAATATAGTAAGTCCTCAAAAGATGCTAGTTACTAGTATTATCATTAATGTTAAATAGTAATATTAACTGTAAATCCCTGCATTTATATTGAAGATAGCAATTACATAAGAAAAGATATTAGAGAACTGGCTTAGCCAAAATCCACAGGAGAAAATAAAATTTGCGTTTTGGCTAATCACAAGCCCAACACGTGTCAGCACTGCAATGTAGCTGATAAGTAACTAACACCACTGGGCAGCCCTCACCCAGAGCAAAGGAGCTAACAGGCTCACAAAACTCTCCCAGCCAGGCCATATCTGATGTGTAGGTTTGATTTAGGCACAAAAGATATAGACAATCGGAATTGCATCTAGCAAGAAGTGACTATCACAGCTGTAAGTCTGGAATCCAAATTAAACACAAAATAGTTGATAGAACAGGTGGCAACCATGGAAGTGATGGTTTAAGGTACTCTTCGATATTTGAAGAGCTGCCAATAAAGAATGGCACTAGTTGTTTTGTGTCACCAACGGGTGAAATTTACAGGGGAGGCTAAGTTAGGCTCCATACATAAAATGATTTTCCAATACTTAAAATTATCCAAGAATTGATCCCACGGGCTTGAAAAGTTTTAAGCTTTCTTTTTGAAAGTGCCTGGGAGCCAGAAGATTATCAACCAACAAGAGCAATCTAAGGATTCCTCTGGTGGGTGAAGGGATGCACTCTGAAGTTTCAAGGCCCCTTTCAGCATCAAGAATCTGCAATTCTATGGTTCTGACTATAGCTGAGCTTCATCAGATTAGTAGACAGAGCCCAGTGCTACCCTCTCCTCCCACTCATTTTTGCATGGTGAATGGTAAATATTCTTGGGGCGAGGCGCAGTGGCTCACGCCTGTAATCCCAGCACTTTGGGAGGCCGAGGCAGGCGAATCACAAGGTCAGGAGATCGAAACCATCCTGGCCAACATGGTGAAACCTTGTCTCTAAAAAAAAATACAAAAATTAGCTGGGTGTGGTGGCATGTGCCTGTAATCCCAGCTACTTGGGAGGCTGAGGCAGGAGAATTGCTTGAACCAGGGAGTCGGAGGTTGCAGTGAGCTGAGATCGCACCACTGCACTCCAGCCTGGCGACAGAGCAAGACTCCATCTCAAAATAAATAAATAAATAAATTCTTGGTAGACTCTGGAAAAAATGATCAAATAATACTTGTGTCTCCAATATTAACTAATTTGTGTTAAATACCCTTTTATTCTACTTAAACTCTTGTATTTCTTATCTGCAAAAGGACCTAAATGAGAAGATAAAGGTAAATTAACTCTGAAAACCTTTAAAGCAATGTAAGGGATATTTTTATAATTATTGATGTTTATCAATAAGTAGAGAAGCACTCAACTAATTTTTTAAAAAAGAAAAATTTGCATATAAAGCAGTCATTTTTCTTATCTGACTTCAATTGTAAATTGCTGAGGAAGGTCTAATTTCACCTTCTATCTCAAGATTTGGTAGCCAAAGTTACCAAAGGCCTGCATAGTTACCAAAGGCCTGAACACACAATTCCAGGAAGGTGCCCAACACAGTGTATTAGCAAGAGAACTTGGAGGCTGGGCTTTGCCTTCTGTCCTCAAACAGGAATAAATGTAGATCCAGGGAGAATGAAAGAGTAAAAATTGGGACATCTAAACTAAGAATAAACCAAAGAGACAGGAATATTTGGGTGCTAAGAGGCAAAGGCCAAACACAAACTATAAAAGAAAAAATTGATTAACTGGACTTCAGAATTAAAAGCTCTCTTCAAAAGTCACCATTAAGAAAATTAATTAATTACTCTACATATTTACCAGTGAAAGAAAAGGAAAATGAAATGCAAGCCACAGATGGGTGAAAATATTTATAAATGATATCTGATAAGGCACTTATATCCAGAATATATAAAGAACTCTCACAACTCAATAATAAGACAAGGAACTCAATTTAAAAATAGGCCAGGCCGGGTGTGGTGGCTCACGCCTGTAATCCCTGAACTTTGAGAGGCCAAGGCAGGCAGATCACCTGAGGTCAGGAGTTCAAGACCAGCCTGATCAACATAGTGAAACTCCGTTTCTACTAAAAATACACAAATTAGCCAAGCATGGTAGAGCATGCCTGTAATCCCAGCTACTTGGGAGTCTGGGGCAGGAGAATCGCTTGAACCTAGGAGGCAGAGGTTGCAGTGAGCCAAGACTGTGCCACTGCACTCCCACCTAGGTGACAGAGCAAGACTTCACCTTAAAAATAAATAAATAAATAAATAAAAATAAAAATAGGCCAAAAATTGAATGGACATTTCACCAAAGAAAATATATAAACAGCTGAGTGGGTTCCAAGATGGCCGAATAGGAACAGCTCCAGTCTACAGCTCTCAGCGTAAGTGACCCAGAAGACAGATGATTTCTGCACTTCCATCTGAGGTACCGGGTTCATTTCACTGGGGCTTGTCAGACAGTGGGTGCAGCCCAGGGAGTGTTAGGTGAAGCAGGGCGGGGCATCGCTTCACCCGGGAAACACAAAGGGTCGGGGAATTCCCTTTCCTAGCCAAGGGAAGCCGTGACAGATAGCACCTGGAAAATCGGGACACTCCCACCCTAATACTGCGCTTTTCCAATGGTCTTAGCAAACAGCACACCAGGAGATTTTATCCCACGCCTGGCTCGGAGGGTCCCAAGCCCACGGAGCCTTGCTCACTGCCAGCACAGCAGTCTAAGATCGAACTGCAAGGTAGCAGCAAGGCTAGGGGAGGGGCATCTGCCATTGCTTAAGCCTGAGTAGGTAAACAAAGCGGCCCAGAAACTCGAACTGGGTGGAGCCCACTGCAGCTCAAGGAGGCCTGCCTGCCACTGTAGACACCACCTCTGGGGGCAGGGCATAGCTGAACAAAAAGCAGCAGAAACTTCTGCAGACTTACACGTCCCTGTCTGACAGCATTGAAGAGAGTAGTGGTTCTCCCAGCACGGAGTTTGAGATGTGAGAACGGACAGACTGCCTCCTCAAGTGGGTCCCTGACCTCCAAGTAGCCTAACTGGGAGACACCTTCCAGTAGGGGGCCGACTGACACCTCATACAGCCAGGTGCCCCTCTGAGACAAAGCTTCCAGAGGAAGGAATATTTGCTGTTCTGTAATATTTGCTGTTCTGCAGCCTCCGCTGGTGATACCCAGGCAAACAGGGTTGGAGTGGACCTCCAGCAAACTCCAACAGACCTGCAGCTGAGGGTCCTCACTGTTAGAAAGAAAACTAACAAACAGAAAGGACATCCACACCAAAACCCCATCTGTACGTCACCATCATCAAAGACCAAAGGTAGATAAAACCACAAAGATGGGGAGAAACCAGAGCAGAAAAGCTGAAAATTCTAAAAATCAGAGCGCCTCTTCTCCACCAAAGGAACGCAGCTCCTCGCCAGCAATGGAACAAAGCTGGACGGAGAATGACTTTGACAAGCTGACAGAAGTAGGCTTCAGACGATTGGTAATAACAAACTTCTCTGAGCTAAAGGAGGATGTTCAAACCCATCACAAAGAAACTAAAAACTTTGAAAAAAGATTAGACGAATGGCTAACTAGAATAAATGCGTAGATAAAAGCTTAAATGACCTGATGGAGCTGAAAACCATGGCACAAGAACTATGTGATGCATGCACAAGCTTCAGTAGCCGATTCAATCAACTGGAAGAAAGGGTATTAGTGACTGAAGATCAAATGAATGAAATGAAGTGAGAAGAGAAGTTTAGAGAAAAAAGAGTAAAAAGAAACAAACAAAGCCTCCAAGAAATATGGGACTATGTGAAAAGACCAAATCTATGTCTGATTGGTGTACCTGAAAGTGACAGGGAGAATGGAACCCAAGTTGGAAAATACTCCTCAGGACATTATCCAGGAGAACTTCCCCAACCTAGCAAGGCAGGCCAACATTCAAATTCAGGAAATACAGAGAACACCACAGAGATACTCCTCGAGAAGAGCAGCTCCAAGACACATAATTGTCAGATTCACCAAAGTTGAAAATGAAGGAAAAAATGTTAAGGGCAGCCAGAGAGAAATGTCAGGTTACCCACAAAGGGAAGCCCATCAGACTAACAGCAGATCTCTCAGCAGAAACTCTACAAGCCAGAAGAGAGTGGGGGTCAATATTCAACATTCTTAAAGAAAAGAATTTTCAACCCAAAATTTCATATCCAGCCAAACTAAGCTTCATAAGTGAAGGAGAAATAAAATACTTTACAGACAAGCAAATGCTGAGAGATTTTGTCACCACCAGGCCTGCCCTACAAGAGCTCCTGAAGAAAGCACTAAACATGGAAAGGAACAGCCAGTACCAGACACTGCAAAAACATGCCAAATTTTAAAGACTATCGAGGCTAGGAAGAAACTGCATCAAGTAACGAGCAAAATAACCAGCTAACATCATAATGACAGGATCAAATTCACACATAACAATATTAACCTTAAATGTAAATGGGCTAAATGCTCCAATTAAAAGACACAGACAGGCAAACTGGATAAAGAGTCAAGACCCATCAGTGTGCTGTATTCAGGAAACCCATCTCATGTGCAGAGACACATATAGGCTCAAAATAAGGGATGGAGGAAGATCTACCAAGCAAATGGAAAACAAAAAAAAGCAGGGGCTGCAATCCTAGTCTCTGATAAAACAGACTTTAAACCAACAAAGATCAAAAGAGACAAAGAAGGCCATTACATAATGGTAAAGGGATCAATTCAACAAGAAGAGCTAACTATCCTAAATATATATGCACCCAATACAGGAGCACCCAGATTCATAAAGCAAGTCCCTAGAGACCTACAAAGAGACTTAGACTCCCACACAATAATAATGGGAGACTTTAACACCCCACTGTCAATGTTAGACAGATCCACGAGACAGAAAGTTAACAAGGATATCCAGGACTTGAACTCAGCTCTGCACAAAGCGGACCTAATAGACATCTACAGAACTCTCCACCCCAAATCAACAGAATATACATTCTTCTTAGCACCACATCACACTTATTCCAAAATTGACCACATAGTTAGAAGTAAAGCACTCCTCAGCAAATGTAAAAGCATAGAAATTATAACAAACTGTCTCTCAGACCACAGTGCAATCAAACTACAACTCAGGATTAAGAAACTCACTCAAAACCACTCAACTACATGGAAACTGGACAACCTGCTCCTGAATGACTACTGGGTACATAACGAAATGAAGGCAGAAATAAAGATGTTCTTTGAAACCAATGAGAACAAAGACACAACATACCAGAATCTCTGGGACACATTTAAAGCAGTGTGTAGAGGGAAATTTATAGCACTAAATGCCCACAAGAGAAAGCAGGAAAGATCTAAAATGGGTACCCTAACATCACAATTAAAAGAACTAGAGAAGCAAGAGCAAACATATTCAAAAGCTAGCAGAAGGCAAGAAATAACTAAGATCAGAGCAGAACTGAAGGAGATAGAGACACAAAAAACCCTTCAAAAAAAAATCAATGACTCCAGGAGCTGGTTTTTGGAAAAGATCAACAAAATTGATAAACCGCTAGCAAGACTAATAAAGAAGAAAGGAGAGAAGAATCAAATAGATGCAATAAAAAATGATAAAGGGGATCTCACCACCGATCCCACAGAAATACAAACTACCATCAGAGAATACTATAAACACCTCTATGCAAATAAACTAGAAAATCTAGAAGAAATGGATAAATTCCTGCACCCACACACCCTCTCAAGACTAAACCAGGAAGAAGTTGAATCTCTGAATAGACCAATAACAGGCTCTGAAATTGAAGCAATAATTAATAGCCTACCAACCAAAAAATGTCCAGGACCAGACGGATTCACAGCCGAATTCTACCACAGGTACAAAGAGGAGCTGGTACCATTCCTTCTGAAACTATTCTAATCAATAGAAAAAGAGGGAATCCTCCCTAACTCATTTTATGAGGCCAGCATCATCCTGACACCAAAGCCTGGCAGAGACACAACAAAAAAAGAGAATTTTAGACCAATATCCCTGATGAACATCGATGCAAAAATCCTCAATAAAATACTGGCAAACGGAATCCAGCAGCACATCAAAAAGCTTATCCACCATGATCAAGTGGGCTTCATCCCTGGGATGCAAGGCTGGTTCAACATACGCAAATCAACAAATGTAATCCATCATATAAACAGAACCAAAGACAAAAACCACATGATTATCTCAATAGATGCAGAAAAGGCCTTTGACAAAATTCAACAGCCCTTCATGCTAAAAACTCTCAATAAACTAGGTATTGATGGGACGTATCTCAAAATAACAAGAGCTATTTATGACAAACCCACAGGCAATATCATATGGAATGGGCAAAAACTGGAAGTATTCCCTTTGAAAACTGCCACAACACAGGGATGCCCTTTCTCACCACTCCTATTCAACATAGTGTTGGAAGTTCTGGCCACGGCAATCAGGCAGGAGAAAGAAATAAAGGTTATTCAATTAGGAAAAGAGGAAGTCAAATTGTCCCTGTTTGCAGATGACATGATTGTATATTTAGAAAACTCCATCGTCTCAATCCAAAATCTTCTTAAGTTGATAAGCAACTTCAGCAAA
Organism: Homo sapiens; assembly: GCF_000001405.40. Classification (NCBI taxonomy): domain Eukaryota; kingdom Metazoa; phylum Chordata; class Mammalia; order Primates; family Hominidae; genus Homo; species Homo sapiens. The sequence goes on from NC_000012.12 coordinate 94,827,090, forward strand.
GTCTCAGGACACAAAATCAATGTGCAAAAATAAGCATTCCTATACACCAATAACAGACAGAGAGCCAAATCATGAGTGAACTCCCATTCACAATTGCTTCAAAGAGAATAAAATACCTAGGAATCCAACTTACAAGGGATGTGAAGGACCTCTTCAAGGAGAACTACAAACCACTGCTCAACAAAATAAAAGAGGACACAAACAAATGGAAGAACATTCCATGCTCATGGACAGGAAGAATCAATATTGTGAAAATGGCCATACTGCCCAAGGTAATTTATAGATTCAATGCCATCCCCATCAAGCTACCAATGACTTTCTTCACAGAATTGGAAAAAAACTACTTTAAAGTTCATATGGAACCAAAAAAGAGCCCACATTGCCAAGACAATCCTAAGCCAAAAGAACAAAGCTGGAGGCATCACACTACTATACTACTTCAAACTATACTACAAGGCTACAGTAACCAAAGGCTACAGTAACCAAAACAGCATGATACTGGTACCAAAACAGAGAGATAGACCAATGGAACAGAACGGAGTCCTCAGAAATAATACCACACATCTACAACCATCTGATCTTTGACAAACCTGACAAAAACAAGAAATGGGGAAAGGATTCCCGTTTAATAAATGGTGCTGGGAAAACTGGCTAGCCATATGTAGAAAGCTGAAACTGGATCCCTTCCTTACACCTTATACAAAAATTAATGCAAGATGGATTAAAGACTTAAATGTTAGACCTAAAACCATAAAAACCCTAGAAGAAAACCTAGGCATTACCATTCAGGACATAGGCATAGGCAAGGACTTCATGACTAAAACACCAAAAGCAATGGCAACAAAAGACAAAATTGACAAACGGGATCTAATTAAACTAAAGAACTTCTGCACAGCAAAAGAAACTACCATCAGAGTGAACAGGCAACCTACAGAATGGGAGAAAATTTGTACAACCTACCCATCTGACAAAGGGCTAATATCCAGAATCTACAAATAACTTAAACAAATTTACAAGAAAAAAATCAAACAACCCCAACAAAAAGTGGGCAAAGGACAAGAACAGACACTTCTCAAAAGAAGACATTTATGCAGCCAACAGACACGTGAAAAAATGCTCATCATCACTGGTCATCAGAGAAATGCAAATCAAAACCACAATGAGATACCAGCTCACACCAGTTAGAATGGCGAAGTCATTCTAACTGTTCATATGGACCAAAAAAGTCAGGAAACAACAGGTGCTGGAGAGGATGTGGAGAAATAGGAACACTTTTACACTGTTGGTGGGACTGTAAACTAGTTCAACCACTGTGGAAGACAGTGTGGCGATTCCTCAAGGATCTAGAACTAGAAATACCATTTGACCCAGCCATCGCATTACTGGGTATATACGCAAAGGATTATAAATCATGCTGCTATAAATATGCAAAGGATTATAAATCATGCTGCTATAAAGACACATGCACACATATGTTTACTGTGGCACTATTCACAATAGCAAAGACCTGGAACCAACCCAAATGTCCATCAATGATAGACTGGATTAAGAAAATGTGGCACATATACACCATGGAATACTATGCAGCCATAAAAAAGGATGAGTTCATGCCCTTTGTAGTGACATGGATGAAGCTTGAAACCATCATTCTGAGCAAACAATCGCAAGGACAGAAAACCAAACACCGCATGTTCTCACTCACAGGTGGGAACTGAACAATGAGAACACTTGGACACAGGGTGGGGAACATCACACACCAGGGCCTGTCATGGGGTGGCGGGAGGAGGGAGGGATAGCATTAAGAGATAGACCTAATGTAAATGATGAGTTAATGGGTGCAGCACACCAACATGGCACCTGTATACATATGTAACAAACCTGCACATTGTCCACATGTACCCTAGAACTTAAAGTATAATAAAATATATATATAAACAGCTAATAAGCACACGCAAAAATGCTCAATATCATTAGTCATTACAGAAATGCAAATTAAAACCACAATGAGATACTACTACACACCCACCAGAATGGCTATAGTCAAAACGACAGACAATATCAAGTGTAGAATGGGATGTGGAGCAACTGGAACCCCCTCATACCCCAGAGATGGGAAGGTTAAATGGTACAGTCACCGTGGAAGGCACTGTAACAGCTTTTCAAAAGGTTAAATATACATCTACCATATGTCCCAGGAATTGCAATTCTAGGTGTCTACCCAAGAGAAATAAAAACATTTGTCTACACAAAAACTTGCATACAAATGATTATAGCAGCATTATTCATAATAGCCAAAATGTAGAAACAACTCAAACGAACATCAACTGGTGAATGAGTTAACAAGATGTTGTATATCCATATAATGAGATACTCAGCAACAAAAAGGAACTACCAATGTACATTACAACAGTGAAAAGGGTCAAAAACATGCTAAGGGAGAAAAAGCCCGTCACAAAACCCTATATTAAATCATTCCACTTATATGAAATTTCTAGCAAAAGCAAATGTATGAAGATAGAAAGTGGATTAGTGGTTGCCCAGGACTGGGGGTGGGAGAAGAGACTAACTGCAAGTGGGCACAAGGCCACCTTGTGCTGTAATGGGCATGTTCTATAAACATGGATTACGGAGATGATTGCACAACTCTACAAATTCACTAAAAATCAATGTATTTACAATGGATGGACTTTAGATATGTAAATTATACCTCAGTAAAGTTATGGGCTCAGTTCAGAGGGCAGATCTTCCAGTCATATTCATGATGAGTCACAGGCAATCCAAAGATAGAAACAAAATGGAGAGAAAGAATACATTTCCTTCTTCTTCAATTTTATTTATCAAAAGCACTTTCTTCAGGTATCTCAAAATTTAAAGCTATAAGCCAGGCACGATGGTGCACACCTGTAGTCCCAGCTACTCTGGAGGCCAAGGCAGGAAAAACGCTTGAGCCCAGGAGTTTGAGATCAGCCTGGGAAACATAGCAAGACTCTATCTCTCTTTATTATTTTTTTAATTAAAGCTAAAATACCCAGATCTCTTTTTTTAATTATTATTAATTTCTGAGACAGAGTGTTGCTCTGTCATCCAGGCTGGAATGCAGTGGCACAATCTCAGCTCACTGCAACCTCCGACTCCTGGGTTCAAGCAATTCTCCTGCCTCAGCCTCCGAAGTAGTTGGGATTACAGGCGCCTGCCACCATGCCCAGCTAATTTTTGCATTTTTAGTAGAGACAGGGTTTCATCATGTTGGCCAGGCTGGTCTCAAACTCCTGACCTGAAACGATCCACTCACCTTGGCCCAAAGTGCTGCAATTACAGGCATGAGCCACCATGCCCGGCCCCACATCTGTTAAAATATGATTTTGCAGGCAGTTTGCCTGGAGGTTAAGGGTTGGAACTGTGGACTCAATCTGTGTGTAAAACCCAGCACTCCTACTTACTAGCTGACTTTAGCATGTTACTTAGACTGAGTTTCAGTTTCTTGTTCTGATACAAAAAATTAATACATACTACAGAGTTGTTTTAAACTAGCACACTATCTATTAACAGCACATGGTAAATACTCAACAAATGCCGATGTTATTTTTTTATTATCAACACATCATCATTACCATCACTATGACTGTAGTTTCCTTGGGAGACTTGAAAACTTGACTGATATGTGTATGTTCCTAATGTACATTTAGTGCTTCATCACTGCTATATTCAATTTAATTGACTGCCCAAACATAACCATGTTCCCTTATAACCCTCATTCCTTATCTTAGGGACCTTATACTTTGAAATAAAATCCCTGGATCATTTCACTAACAGAACAAAAGCTGTGCTATTCCCTGGCTAAAGCAAGATATTTTCCAATTCAACCATAGGAAAAAAACATTTTTAAAAGGTGCAGTTTTTGTTTGTTTCTAGGATAGGAGAACTGGACAAAGAAAAAATGTCAGCATCTCCTCAGAGAAGCCTGGCAAACAGGGGAAATAACACTAAACAAAGAAAGCCATGTGCAGAGGACCTGGCACAGGAACACAATTGCCAGGCCTTGCACCCGAGAATCACCAACACCTGCAGAGTAAAGCAACGGGCCACGTACAGTGCTGACTGCTTCCTGGGTGACAGCTGAAACCCAGCCAAGTTCAAAAACCCCTCATTGTGGGTGTGTGTTTTTGCTTTGTAACATCTATATGAAAAGGGAAGGGAAACTGCATGGGGTAAACTTTCTATTTTGTAAGACAAGCGTCTTCTTGTTCTCTTTTTCTTTTTCTGGTCAGTGAGTGGAAGGACAGAACCCTGGAAAAATACCTGTGCACCAAGCAAGACAACCCCATCACTGATGTCAGGAAAAGCAGAGCAGTCACCTCTGGCTTGCCCAGCCCACCTCACTCGCCCACCAGCACACACTGCGACTAAAGAACCCCACTTTAGCTGACTGGAGCATTCTTCCAGCCACACACCTCAAAGATCATCTGGGAAGAGATACCACAACACGGCAGGGGGCCGGGTGCCTGTGCCAGGGAGGGACACATGCTCTTCACTCCCCACACTTGCTGGTGAGCCACAGAAGCCCTGTGACCTCAGCACACTCAAGGGAAATATGTCATGGGGCTTACCCTTCATGAGGACCGCTCTAACTTAGCATCCAAGAAAACCTCACAGCCCCTGTGGGGACTTCTCCTGGGCACCACCTAGCTCCTGCCTTAGTAAAGTGTGGAGAAAACCAACTTCCTCACAGAAATGTCTTTTAGAGCCAAATGTAAGTGTCCCTGAAATCAAGTAGACAATGATATTCCTATCATTCTGGGCCTGTCCTTGAAAGTTGTCTCTGTTGTTTTCTTTCCACTAGAAAGTCATAGACCCTGAGACCCAAAAAGGCCCACAGGGATCTAGAGAGGTGAAATAACTTACTAAAGGCCACAGAGGATGGAAGTGGCCAGGCCAAGACTAACACCCAGCTTTATCCACAAAATCTGGAAAATGCTATCAGGCTATCTTCGACCCAGAAAAGAAGCGCTCACAAGAAGAATATCAAGGGAGGCTAGTCCAGACTCTGCAGCTAGTGTCAAAGTTCAAATCCAGTTCTGTCCCTTACTAGGGCACGTAACCTGGGCAATTTCCTTAACTTCTGTTTTCTCTTCCATTAATAAGAGGATAATAACAGCATCAACATTACAGAGCACTCCAAGCATGAATGTATCAATACCGAGAGTTTCTATATGACTGATCATCCTCCTCCTCCTCATCATCATCCTAAAACAGACAGGGGAATGAGAGTAAAGAAGGGATGATAGGAAAAAAAGGTAGAAAGTGAGTGTATGGTCACTAAATAAGTAGAGCATAATTTAACTTCAAAAAATTCAAAGACATGTCTAGGGTCATATCCACAGGGGTTAGTGAGAACATAAAAGCAAAACGTATTATAAACCATTAGGTACAGTATGGCTCCAACTATGTTAAATATTCATACCCACATGTATATACATACTTCCAGAAGAAAGTGAAATAAAATGCATGAAACATTAATTCTCTGGGCACTGGGATTAAGGTTGATCTTTATTGTCTTCTTTATTACTTTTATTTCCCAAATTTTCCACAACAGACATATATTGCTTTAGAAATCAAAATAAATGTGGGTTTTAAAGGCTGTTTTTATTTTTTTATTTTTATTTTTATTTTTTTGAGACAGGGTTTCACTGTTACCCAGGCTGGAATGCAGTTGTGCGATCACAGCTCACCGCAATCTCCACCTCCCAGGCTCAGAAGCAATCCTCCTGCTCCAGAGCCCCCACCACCCATAGCTGGAACCACAAGTGCATGCCACCACACCCAGCTAATTTTTGTATTTTTGAAGAGATGAGGTTTCATCATGTTGCCCAGGCGGGCCTTAAACCCCTGGACCCAGAGCCATCTGCCTGCCTCCGTCTCCCGAAGTGCTCACAGGCAGAGCCGCAGCGCCCAGCCCAAGGCTGTTTTTTAAAAGAAGAAACTTGATACCAGGCCAGGCCTCAAATGGCAAAAGGGCTATTAGGTAGAATCCCAAGAGGCAGGGGCTGTGTTTACTCAGACAGCCAAGGGGGAAGTGCCTGTGTCTGGGAAGAGAACAAGACTTAGGGGGAAGGGGGAAGCTTAACCACGAAGCTTATGCCTGAGAGCATCAGGCCAGGGAAGGACTCTGTAAAATAGGAATAAATTCCAAAAGAAAATAAAACAGAAGTGACGACATCAGCAGTCCCTAGTTAAAAGAAGAAGAAGAAGAAAGAGAATCCTGGAGCAAGCCTCTGCGCAGATAATTTTTTTTCCCTGGCTGGAACAGAAGATCAGTCACCAAAACTAAAAAGCAAAAGATCCAAGTGGCTGAAAAAAGGAATTATGGGCTCCCACTGGGGACAAGACTTGCCTGGAAGCCCATCTGAGGGCTTGCTGCCCTATCCTTCACATCTGAGATTATCCCCTGATCCCAGCCAAGACCAGGGATTTCCTGCTTTTTGGCATCCAGATGCGAGAAATAGATCTGCTGACTCTGAGATCACTGACTGACACTAGCCAGGGCCCAGAGAGAACGCCGCCGTGGGGTCTAAGATCGAGTTCACCTGGCATCTTTCTCGGCACGTATCTTCCTGGCTTGTCCTCAGTCTCCACTCCTCTCAGTTTGAGTTCCCACCTCACCTCTTTTGCAGAGATTCCTTGTAGCTCATATGAAGGAGTGGACAGAAGACACAGAACAGATAGCAGAGAGAAGTACTGGGGGCCTCCCAGCTCTTGTTCAGGGCCCCACTTTCCTCTGACAAGCATGTTAAGGTTTATCCAGATTATCCCTCCAGTTCCCCTATTTCACAGATGAGGGAAATGAGACAGAAAAAGGGGGACTGTATGTCTGTGCCCATCAAAGTCAGATGAAATGATACACTGTCTTAAGACCATCTGATTCGGGACCTTGCCTGAGGTCACAAATCTTTGTAGTGACAGAGCCAGGACAAGCACATAACTATCCTAATGGCTGCTCCTTCCTTCAGCACTGTGGCTGCCTACGAGCTGGACTGCAGTCTCTACTGCTCACTAGAAAAGTTCCAGTCCCCCAGCAGGCACAGGGGCTCCAGCAGCCGCGGCGTGTCCTTGTCCTCCTTCGGGGGGCTACAGCGGCATCCTGTCTGGGTCCAACGGATTGCTTGCGGGCAACGAGAAGCTCACCATGCATAACCTCAACAACTGCCTGGCCTCCTACCTGGACAAGGTGCACGCCCTGGAGGCAGCCAACAGCAAGCTGGAGGTGAAGCTCCGTGACTAGTACCAGAAGCAGGGGCACAGGCCCTCCCACAACTACAGCCACTACTACAGGACCATCGAGGACCTGCGGGACAAGATTCTTGGTGCCACCATTGAGAACGCCAGGATTGTCCTGCAGATCAACAATGCTCAACTGGCTGCAGATGACTTCTGAACCAAGTTTGGTTTGAGTGTTTGGGTGCTGGATGAGGTGACCCTGGCCAGGACTGATCTGGAGGCACAGATCAAAGGCCTGAAGGAAGAGCTGGCCTACCTGAAGAAGAAGCATGAGGAGGAAATCAATGCCCTGAGGGGCCAAGTGGGAGACCAGGTCCATGTGAGGGTGGATTCAGCTCGGACCTGCCAAGATCCTGAGTGACAGGCAAAGCCAATATGAGATCATGGCCAAGCAGAACTGGAAGGATGCTGAAGCCTGGTTCACCAGCTGGACTGAGGAACTGAACCAGGAGGTCACTGGCCACATAGAGCAGCTCCAGATAAGCAGGTCTGAGGTCACTGACCTGCAGTGCACCCTCCAGGGTCTTGAGATTGAGCTGCACTCGCAGCTCAGCGTGAAAGCTCCCTTAGAAGGCACACTGGCAGAAACAGAGGCATGCTTTGGAGCCCAGCTGGTGCAGATCCAGGCACTGATCAGCAGTATTGAAGCCCAGCTGGGCGATGTGCGAGCTGATGGTGAGTGGCAGAATCAGGAGTACCAGCGGCTCCTGGAGCAGGAGATCGCCACCTATCGCAGCCTGCTTGAGGGCCAGGAAGATCATTACAACAACCTGTCCACCTCCAAGGTCCTCTGAGGCTGCAGGCTCTGGGGCCTCTGCTCTCCTCAAAGCACGTCTCCTGGGTAGGAGGATGGGAAGGAAGAGACCCTTACCCCTGGTTCTTCCCCTGACCTGCCAGCAAAATTTTATGGCTCAAGGGAAGAAAAAAAAAAAAAAACAAGAGCAAAGAAAAGTTCCAGTCTAATCCCCAGGCTCCTCTTGGGCAAATGTCAACACATAAAATGATCCAGAAGGCCAAGTCAAATTACGGTGTAATGGACAGGGGTGCCTCTTCACATTGCCTAAGGGACAACTATAACAGAAAACATCTCAGTCAAAAAGGTGACCCTGGGCCAGGCGCGGTGGCTCACGCTTGTAATCCCAGCACTTTGGGAGGCCGAGGCGGGCGGATCACGAGGTCAGGAGATCGAGACCATCCCGGCTAAAACGGTGAAACCCCGTCTCTACTAAAAATACAAAAAATTAGCCGGGCGTAGTGGCGGGCGCCTGTAGTCCCAGCTACTTGGGAGGCTGAGGCAGGAGAATGGCATGAACCCAGGAGGCGGAGCTTGCAGTGAGCCGAGATCCCGCCACTGCACTCCAGCCTGGGCGACAGAGCGAGACTCCGTCTCAAAAAAAAAAAAAAAAAAGGTGACCCTGCAATGTGGATTGCCAGGACCCACAATGAGCCAGAGGGGTTGGCACCTTTTCAACACGGGCCTGCATTCCTGCAGGTCCAGATCCCAGAGTGTACTGTATCCAACGTGCCTGTGGCTAGCGTGTGTCTACAGACTCTGGAACCACACTCCTTGGCTTCCAACCCTGGCTCCAGCACATACTCTGTGACTTTTGGCCAGTACATTAACCTTTCTGTGTCTCCATTTCTCCTTCTGGAAGGTAAGCATTAAGTATCTCCTATCTTTAAAAGTTCCTAAGAAGTCTACATCCTAGGCCACCCTATATGTGCACACCCAGCAGCCCTTTCTGTCCCCTTTGAGCCCAATCTGAGGGAGGACAGGTCCCTCTCTCAGCCTCAGAAAGTGAATGATGATGGGATTCAACCTTTTCTTTGGTTTTCTCCTTCTCTTTGGCCAGTGACAAGTCAAAGGCAAGAATAACTCGGTTCTCACTAAACAGGGAGGTCAGCAGGGAAACTTTCCTTTCCCAATAAAAAGACATAGGTTTGGCCAGGTGCGGTGGTTCACACCTGTAATCCCAGCACTTTGGGAGGCTGAGGCAGGCGGATCACCTGAGGTCAGGAGTTCAAGACCAGACTGGCCAACGTGGTGAAACCCCGTCTCTACTAAAAATACAAAAATTAGCCGGGCATGGTGGCACATGCTTGTAATCCCAGCTACTCGGGAGGCTGAGGCAGAAGAATCGCTTGAACCTGGGAGGCAGAGGTTTCAGTGAGCCGAGATCATGCTACTGCACTCTAGCCTGGGCGACAAGAGCAAAACTCCATCTCAAAAAAAAAAAAAAAAAAAAAGACATAGGTTTATGCAAAGCGTATTAGGCCATTCGTGCACTGCTATAAAGGAATACCTGACACTGGGTAATTTATAAAGAGAAGAGTTTTAACTGGCTCACTGTTCTGCAGGCTGTACATGCATGGCACCAGCATCCTGAGCACAGCTTCCAGGGAGGCCTCAGGGAGCTTTTACTCATGGCAGAAGGCAAAATGGGAACAGGCATGTCACATGGCATGGCGAATGAAGGAGCAAGAGTGAGTTGGGGCAGAGGTGCCACAAACTTAAACAACCAGATCTCCTGAGAACTCACTCACTATCACTCACTATATCAAGGACAGCACCAAGACATGAGGGATCTGCCCCATGACCCAAACACCTCCCACCAGGCCCCACCTCCAACACTGGGGATTAGATTTCAACATGAGATTTGGGCGGGGACAAATATCCAAACCATATCACACAAAAGAAGCCTTTTGACCCTTCCACTGCCTTTAGTGCTGCTATAGCAGCCATCTGCCGCCATGGGGAAAGAGCCAGGAAGGCCAAGAGGATCTCAGCCCTGAGCACTAACACTGTCCTGGTCTCTGTGCCCAGGCCAGCCTCCACTTATTCCAAGGATGACTGTGAGGAATGTGGACCCCTGCTTGTTTACAGTACTGTTGGATAACTCTTCTTTTGCTTGTGGCCAAATGCCATCCTAATAGGTCAACTGTATAAGTTTATTCTCATTAAAAAAAAATAAAATTTAAAATCATGTTCTCCAAAAAGTTACTGAGTAAAAGTGATGTCGCAATATCAGTATGACTCATGGCATTGATTTTTGTTCGTTTGTTTTTTGTATTTTTCTGAGACAGAGTCTCACTCTGTCTCCCAGGCTGGAGTCAGTGGCGCAATCTCGGCTCACTGCAACCTCCTCCTCCCGGGTTCAAGCGATTCTCCTACCTCAACCTCCTGAATAGCTGGGACTACAGGTGTGCGCCACCATGTCTGGCTAATTTTTTTGTATTTTTAGTAGAAATGGGGTTTCACCATATTGACCAGGCTGGTCTCGAACTCCTGACCTCGTGATCCGCCCGCCTCGGCCTCCCAAAGTGCTGGGATTACAGGCATGAGCCACCATGCCTGGCCGGCATTGTTTTATACACACACACAGATACAGAAATATAGGGATGTGTGTGTATATACATTATATATACACACACACACACACACACACTATATATGGGTGTACATGTCACATATATTTCCTAGCTTTTTCCACTCAGGCGGCCTTGAAGCTGTGATGTCCCTACAGCAACAAGCACACTTAGTATCTGGATCTTGGTTTCTAAATACCATCCTCCAGATGACCTCCAAGAGACCAGTGTTCCTTGAAGAAATGGCTGGCTCAAGAACTGCAGCAAGGAAAATACAAGATGAACCTGGACATCTTAGAATGCCAGAAAGCAAAGGAGGTGCTTTTTTTAAAAAGGAAAGGGTGAGAAAAGGAAAAAAGAAGAAAGATGGGGCATGTCAAATGGACGTATAAGCCAAACTGAAGGAGTTCCCAATAGCCAAAGCTGGAACAAATTAGAGGGAAAAAAGGGGGGATAGTAGTATAAGATCATAGAATAAAACAAATATCTGTGAGCCTATACTGAAATAAATAAGTGACTAAGTAAATATAGCAAAAGGGACAGATCTTCCTTACAAAAGAATTCCAATTAATAATTATAGAAAGAATTAGGAAAATAGAAAATCACCTGTATTTCACTGGAGCAGAAATGTTTGCCCTAAAAAAAATTATGGCCTTCAGTCTTCCTGGGAATGATCAGCTGTTGCACTTTCGGTGACAGCAGGATTATGGACATTAATACAGAACTTTACAGTTTATAAATTTTTTTTTAAGAAAGAAAAGAAGAAATCATGATTAAACACCATAGTAATAACTGCTTTAACAAGATCCACTGATGAAGATAAAATTAATGTGTGAAACTTTATGGAGAAACATTATCTGCACAACCTTAAAATATCTCCTAGCTGAATACTAATACAAATATTAATTACTGTGGTGGTTTTAAAATATGTCCACAGACTCTTTGATACTCCTCCATGAGGTGGAACTTAATCCCCCCATGCCCTGAGTATGGGCTGGACTTGGTGATTCCTCTCTACTTAATCAATGATGGAAAGGGAAAGACAGTAACCTTACAGTAGTGAAACCTAGCAGACATGAGACATCACCAGTACCAAGCCATCTTGACATCATGTACTCCTTCAAAGGACGCAGTGAGAACAGCGTATCACCTGAATCGTATTTGTCCCCAAAGTCCATAACCTCAGTCTAATCCTGAGAAGACACTAGACAAACCCAAATGGAAGAACATTCTATAAAATGCCTGAACACGACTCTTCAAAAGTGTCAAGGTCATACGTCTCAAGCCTTTTAGTGTTGTTATAAAGCAACATCTGCATGCTTGGCTCATGGTTCTGCAGGCTATTCAAGAAGCATGGTGCCAGCATCTGCTTCTGGTGAGGGCCTCAGGCTGCTCCCACTCATGGCAGAAGGTGAAAGGGAACTGGTGTGTGCAGAGATCACATGGTGAGAGGAGAAGCAAGAGAGAGGAGAGGGGCCGGGCACGGTGGCTCATGTTTGTAATCCCAACAATTTGGGAGGCCAAAAGGGGAGAATCTCTTGAGCCCAGGTGTTCGAGACCAGCCTGGACAACATAGTGAAACGCCATCTCTACAAAAAATAGAAAAATTAACTGGGCAAGGTGATGCGTGCCTTAAGTCACAGCTACTCGGGGAGTTGAGGTGCGATGATCTCTTGAGCCCAGGAGGTTGAGGCTGCAGTGAGCCGTGATCACACCAGTCCACTTCAACCGGGGTGAAAGAACAAGACCTTATCACAAAAAAAGAGAGAGAAAGAGAGTACAGGTGCTAGGCTCTTTTTAGCAACCAGCTCTCATGGGAACTAACAGAGTGAAAACTCACTCATTACCACAAGGACAGCACCAAGCTATTCACTGGGGATCCACCCCCATGACCCAAACACCTCCCATTAGGCACCCACTTCCTACACTGGAAATCAGATTTCAACATGAGATTAGCAAGGGTCAAACATCCAAACTATAGCAGCCATATAAGACAAGGGAAGATGAAAGTATCATACATCGGAGGAGACTAAGGAGACATGACAACTAAATAAAATGTGGATTGGATCCTGGAACAGAAAATAACATTCGAGGAAAAACTGGGAAAATGTGAATAAAGTATGTAGTTAACAACTAAAGTTAACAGTGTTGTACCAAGGTAAATGTTTTCATTTTGATGAACATACCATGTTGTTTAAGATACTCATATTAGGCTAGGCGTGGTGGCTCATGCCTGTAATCCCAGCACTTTGGGAGGCCGAGGTGGGTGGATCTCCTGAGGTCAGGAGTTCGAGACCAGCCTGGCCAACATGATAAAACCCTGTCTCTACTAAAAATATAAAAATAAGCTGGGTGTGGTGGCACGCGCCTGTAATCCCAGGTACTCAGGAGGCTGAGGTAGGAGAATCGCTTGAACCCGGGAGGTGGAGGTTGCAGTGAGCTGAGATCGCGCCACTGCACTCTAGCGTGGGCGATAAGGTGAGACTCTGTCTCAAAAAAAAAAAAAAAAAAGTGTGAAAACTAAACCAAACAAAGCAATGCTCCAAGAAGATGCAGCACGTGTATCCTAAGGCTTCAGGTTCCCATAAAATCCCTGAGGTTGCCCAGACACCCCCAGTTTGGGATGCATCAGAGCCTCTCTCACTAATGAATACCATAGCCATGATGACCATGCATCCAGGAGGAACAGCATGTATCCTCTATTTTCACTGGAGGCTGTACCCCAAGGGTCTTTCCTAATTACCACTGCTGCGAGGACCTGGATGAAAAGTGATAAGCCCCCAAGCATGGCAAGGCTCTAGCCTGTTGCTTCTGGCTATGGTCCCATCACTCAGCACTTTGAAGACCCGCATAGAATGAGTTATTAACACACCCAAAGAACAAATTCTGAAAGTGCATCAATATTAATTCATTTACAGAGAGGTTTTGCTTTCTCCTCTCTCTTTCTTGATTAAATGCTTAGTGCTTCCTCAAGAGATATGCTGTCACGAAACTCTCAACAAGTCATGAATGAGAAGAAAAGATAAAATCTTCCCCATCACCTTAAAGGAAAGCATTTATTTAAAAGTTCTCATCAACCAGACGCAGTGGTTCATGCTTATAATCCCAGTGCTTTGGGAGGCCAGGAGTTCTAGACCAGCCTGGGCAACATAGCAAGAGCCCGTCTTTAAAAATAAATAAATAAAAAATTAGCTAGGTATGGTGGCATATGCCTGTGCTCCCAGCTATTCAGGAGGCTGAGGCAGGAGGGGAGCCTGGGGTGGGAGAATCCACTTGAGCCCAGGAGTTTTGGGCTGCAATGAACTATATGATTTTGAGACAAAGTGACATTCCGTCTCAAAAAATAAAGTTCTCATCACCTAAACGTATGCCTTTTAGTTCATATTTTATTTGTTTAATCTTTGGGTAAGACTCTTGTTGCTGTTTTCTTTCTTTTTAAGATGAAGTGATAGATTGCTTGCAAAAATGGCCCCAAATCCTCCATCCCACTCCCTTGTATCCACACCCTTTACTCAGTGTGATTATGTGGCTTCTTTCATCAAGGGAGACAGTTTGTTTACCAAACCTTGAAGCTGGGATGGCCATGTGGATTACTTTAGCCAACACAATGTGGCAGACAGAGTTGGTAATGTGCCAGTTCCTGAACGCAGGCCCACGAGGCTCTGCTCTCTTATGCTCCCTCTCAGAACCCTGCTTCACAGCCATGAGAACAAGTCAAGGCTAGCTGCTGGAGAACGAGAACACATGTGGTATAAAGATGAGCCAGCCCAGCCAAGAAGACAACTGCCCACATGGGCCCAGCCTACATTGCTTGCCTGCAGAACCATGGGCTAAATAGTTATGTCACCACATTTTAGGATAGTTTGTTATCCAGCAAAATCTAACTGATACAATTGAAGTGTGTGATTTTAGTGCTGTTAATTATTCTGATCTTAAAAGTATTACTAATTGGAGAAAGTCAGAAAATACAGAAAAGGAGAAAACCGCCCATAATTTATCACTAGAATAAAACCAACATTCTGGTGGTGTTTTTCCCCAGTCTTCAGTATATTAGTGTGACTGAATGAAAATGAAATCCACTTAGTTTTAATTCCGTATCTTTCTCCTCCCACTGAAAACATTCAATAGAGCTTTTCTTATGCCATTAGTGTCTGAAAACGTAATTTTTAATGGTTTAAATATTCTATTTATCATGGATGTACAATAATTTAAACGTGTGCATATGTTTCTGTAGTTTCTATAATTAAATAATGAAATTATTTATTCATTATTGTAAGTATTATTGTTCATTTGAGTACAGAAAGCTATGTTCAACTCTGTGCTTATTTCTTTAAAATAAGCTTCTAGAACTGAAATTCTTGATTCAACGAGTATAGACTGCTAGTCAAAGCCAGTCCCCCTACACACACACACACACACACACACACACATACACTTCTTTGCTGGCAGAGACACATTTTGTTCCATTGTTTACCCTGCGTTCTACCATGTGCTCAGAGTGAGGAGCCTCTCCCCAACAAGGAAGAGAAAGGAGAATCCTGATAGTCTAAGCTACTAGCTAAATCTAGCCCACCACCTGTTTTAGTATAGGCCATTTAATGCAATTCTGGCCAGTGAGACATGAGAGAGGTCTTTTGGGAGCTTTTGGAAAAAGCTTTTCTTTACAAATACCCATGCAAGAAGGAATGGTTCCTTTTCTCAACTCTAGAGATGAGTGTATAAAGATGCAATGCCCGGAACTGATGCAGCCATCCTGACCATGAGGACTTAAGTCTATGGGAACAAACTGATATACTCAGGATGGCGGAGAAGGAAAAGGAAACACTCATGTCCTTTGTGATGTTTTTGAGCTGCTGAATTTCCTGGAAACACTCCACCTCTGGACAGTGAGATGATAAACCTAAACTTCTTTCTGTGTAAACCATTTTTACCAGGTTTTCTGTTCCTTACAGCCTAAAGGACAGGGACTCTTTCAAGGCTTTCTCCACACATTACCAAACTGAGCGCATAGAGAGATTGTAGCAATGAACATTTTCTGCAGAACTACATGGGCTTAACATAAAATTTACAAAATAACTTGGAGAAAAATAATACATGTAAAATATTCAATGTTCTAATATCCACAAACCTGATATCTCCTTTGTTCAAAATTTTAAAAAATATCTCCTAGTAAATTCCATTATTTACTTAGTCCAGCAATGTGCTGTGAGTTTTTCTAAAGGTTTTACGCTTTTTTGCTGTTATTATAACTAGAAGCATTTTCTCTATTATATCTAACAGATTGTTGCTGGTATATAATAAAGCTATTATTCTTCATGTATAAATCCACAACTTTACTGAGTTGTCAATAAGTTTAGGAGTGTTACCATACATTTGTTTCTTTTTTATTGTTATGTAATTATGTTGTTTATTTTTTAAAAACTTTTTACTTCCTGCTATCAGCTATATTTCATATGTTTCATGCTTTATTGTACTGACAAGAAATTCCAGAATAATAAATATCATCTTAGTTTTTTTATTTTAAAGGGAATCTCTAATGTTTCACCATTGAGTATGACATTAAATACTGGTTTAAGAGATATGTATGTGTGGGTGCACAGACATACAAAATTTATTTTTTGGTTTATAATATACATAAATCATGTAAAAAATCTTATTTTTATAAGAATTATATTTTTTAAATTAACGACAGGTACTGAATTGTCAAATGTAATTTAGGAATCTATTGTGATCATCATATAGTTTATCTTAACTGAAACTGACCAAAGAGTCTAGTTACAGACTTCCTTTAAAAAATTCATATTCCTAGGATAAAATGTTACATATACATCCTGAATTACTCTTTTATGAGCATTTCTTTTTGAACTTTTTCATGTGCTTTATCCGGTGTTTTATTCATATGATTTGGATAGTTCTTCTACTAGAGTGTGATAGCACTCATAGAACAGGGGAATTATCTCATATCTGGAACTCGAATAAGCTCATTAGTAAAATTGGAAGAGCAACCCACGACCCCATGGTAAAAGGACAAAATTCCCAATAGATGAAGTTAAACGATTTATGGAGGAAGGGAAGGCAGTCCTTTGAAATGCTAGTATTACCATGGACATTTCTTTTTCTCTTTTTTCTTTTTTTTGAGACGGAGTCTCACTCTGTTACTCGGGCTGGTGCAGTGGCATGATTTCAGCTCACTGCAACCTCCACCTCCTGAGTTCAAGTGATTCTCCTGCCTCAGCCTCCCAAGTAGCTGGGATTACAGGTGCCCACCACCACGCCTGACTAATTTTTGTAATTTTAGACAGGGTTTCATCATGTTGGCCAGGCTGGTCTCGATCTCCTGACCTCAAGTGAGCTGTCCACCTTGGCCTCCCAAAGTGCTGGGATTACATGCGTGAGCCACCGCACCCAGCCACAGCTGACATTTCTGACGGCTTTGCTAGATACAGTCCTTGCCTGGAGGTTCACTTTCCCTTTGTAGCACTTCACCAACTATGCTGTACTTTCCTGATGCTGAGAGTTGGCCATGGCTGGTTTGTTTTATTTTGTTTTCCTACTGTACCAGAAATACTGCTCCATGTTTTCAGACAGTGTTATATAGGAGGAGAGGAGGAGAGAGTTTCTCCATTTCTGAACACAGGACCACTGCCTGTCCATTTCCCACCATCCCCATGTGTATCAGTTATCCAGTTCACAATAATGCTGTGCAAAAGTAATCAGAGGACCTCACTAGCATACAGCAGTAAGGGCTCATAGCTCAAGTGTCTGGAGTGGTCAGTTAGGTGGCTCTGCTGATCCTGGCTGAGATTACTGGCCCTGGAGTAATTACCACCCTGCAATCAGCTGGTTCTTTGCTGATTTAGGAAGTCTTTGGCTGGGAAGTTTAGGGTAATTCAGCTCTGCTCTGAGAACATCTGCAAGACAATGGTGTATGTGCAAGAGAGCAAGCAGGATCATGCAGTCTCTTAAGACCTGGGCTTGGAGCTGGCATACCCTCCATCACTACTACTGCATCCTGTTGGCCAAAGCCAATGTCAAGAGGCCAGCCCAAGCCAGGCGCGGTGGCTCATGCCTGTAATCCCAGGACTTTGGGAGGCCGAGATGGGCAGATCACCTGAGGTCAGGAGTGCGAGACCAGCCTGGCCAACGTGGCGAAACCCCGTCTCTACTAAAAATACAAAAATTAGCCAGGCATGGTGGCATGTGCCTGTAATTCCAGCTACTCAGGAGGCTGGGATAGAAGAATTGTTTGAACCCGGGAGGTGGAGGTTGCATCAGTGAGCCTAGATCACGCCACTGCACTCCAGCCTGGGCAACAGAGCAAGACTGTCTAAAATAAATAAATAAACAAACAAACAAACAAATAAATAAAGAGGCCAGCCCAGGCTTGAGGGGTGTCTCTTTAGTGAAAAGAACTGCAAAGGCGTGGATCCAGGGAGAGGTGGGGAACTGGCCGCCCTTGCAATCTACCACACCGTATCCCTTCTCCGTCTTCAGCTACTTCTACACATCAGTGATCCTGCATCTTTTCCTCTCACATCTTCTCTCCACCATAGTGTTTGGCCACAAGTTACCCCTCCCCTGCAGAAAAGACAGTGGCTTTCGTTAGCCCAGCACTTTAGCTGTCTCAGAGACCCAAAGGAGTAGCTGGGCCTTCCGGTCAGGGTAAGGAACAAGAACTGCTAAGTGAGCTGTTCAAGGCTCTCTCAGGTGGGAAGGGCTGGGGGAAAGAACACAGTCTCCACGGCTGGGTATGACTCAGGGAAGAATGGCCGTTGGGGAGCCATGTTCCACATCTCCACCTTACAGTGAATCAGGAATACAGAAAATCAAGGTTGAGGCTATACACAGTAACACTCACTAGTGGCACAGCTTTGTCCACATCAGCAAGTCTAAGTGCAGGCTCTGCTGTTGCTAACTGCCTGACCTCGGGCAAGCCTTCTATCTCTTAGGATATTTAAAAAACCAATGGGTTGGACGAGTCTCAGTGAGCCTTCCAGCACCAACCTTCCACACCTATAGATTTTATTTTGTTAACAAACCAAACTCTCTTCACACATATTCATTCTTCATGTCAACTTGTAGTACGACTATCTGCTCACAATTTTAAAAATCAGAAGAAACACCAACAACAGCATAACCTTCAACCCAACTTCTCCAGATGAGTATCACACCACCTCAGGTGAACAAAGGCGGGCTAAGATTATTATTCTATCAAAGCAGCTTCATGTAAAGAAAGAGAATGGAATGTGTACATTTTTCAGGGCAGTGCACATTCATCTGTGATTGAAGAATGATTCAGATCTGTTTCAAGCAATAATTTAATTTTTCACAGTGAAAATTATCATTTCCCCAATTTTCAGTTTTTTTAATTCAACTTATTTTTTGAATAGGTGATACATGTACATGGCTTTAAATTCACAAGCTACAAAATAATATAAAGTTTAAAAGTAAGTTTTCCTGTCACTCCTGCCCCTATGCAATTCAGTTGCTCTCCTCAGTGACAACCACAGTTACCACATGCTCGGTACATACAATAAGTGCAAGTGCATGTGTATGCAGGTGAGCAAGCATGTGTGCACACACACACTATTCTTTTTTTTTTTTTTTTTTATAGAGTCTCATTCTGTTGTCCAGGCTGGAGTGCAGTGGCATGATCTCGGCTGCATACTCCGCCTCCCAGGTTCAAACAATTCTCCTGCCTCTGCCTCCTGAGTATCTGGGACTGTAGGCACGCACCACCATGCCTGGCTAATTTTTGTATTTTTTAGTAGAGATGGGGTTTCACCATGTTGGCCAGGCTGGTCTTGAACGCCTGACCTCAAGTGATCCACCCATCTCAGCCTTTCAAAGTGCTGGGATTAAAGGCGTGAGCCACTGTGCCTGGCCTGTTCTTTTTAGACTATAAATGGTATTATCCTAAAAACATTATTTTCCATCTTGCTTTTTTCCCTCCTAATATTATATCGCAGACATTACTTCATAAAGAGTAGCCTCAGACTTTTCAAAGACTGTATCATATTCTGTTGTATAGCTATTCTATTTAACCAGTGCCTGAAAACTAATGAATATTTACGATGTTTTTGGTATTTTGCTCTTTTAAACAATGTTACCATGAGTACCTTTGTACACAGGGCATTTTGCACAGGTGCAAGAATATCTGTAGGATAAATTCCTACATAGTCACTCTCTGCACAACCATGTATTCATAACTTAGATACAGCCAAACCACTTCCAGAGACACTAGACTGGGGTTGCAAACTATATCCCACAGGTCAAATCTAGTCCACGAGCTAAGGATATTTTTATGTTTTTAAAGAGTTGTTTTAAAAAAAAGAAAAGAAGAAAAAGGAGAGGGAGAAGGAAGAACATGTGACAGAGACCTTATGAGGCCTTCAAATATTTACTATCTGGCCCTTTCAGAAAAACTTTCCTGAGCCCTACACCAATTTACAGCCCCATCAGCAATGTATAACAGTGAATGTTTTTCCACTATTTCCATTCTAATCTTTGTTCAAATTAAGATTTAAGGTAATGCTTCAAGTTTTGTTTCAGTTGAAGAAAATAAGGCACTCATAAAACACTTACATCATGGCACTATGATCTTTCCAGGCAAAAATATGGCTTGTTCTAGGACACAAACATAAAGCGACACTTGAACTTCTCGCCTCACATTCACAGGTGGTGAGAAAAGGTTAGAACCTCCAACTGTTAGAACCGGAAGGAACTTTAAAGGTTATCTGATGTAAGAGTTACAGATTCTGTGTACCATTAAAATTTCAAAACAAATTTAAAGGATTAAAACAATGTTGTCAATTTTTTATGTTGCCAATAAAGTCATTAAAAAATAAAAACAGACTGGGCACGGTGTCTCACGCCTGTAATCCCAGCACTTTGGGAGACCAAGACGGGCAGATTGTCTGAGCTCAGGAGTTCACGACCAGCCTGGGCAACACGGTGAAACCCCGTCTCTACTAAAACACAAAAAATTAGCCGGGCATGGCGGCATGCATCTGTAGTCCCAGCTACTTGGGAGGCTGAGGCAGGAGAATTGCTTGAACCTGGGAGGCGGAGGTTGCAGTGAGCCAAGAGCACACCACTGCACTCTAGCCTGGGTGACAGAGCGAGACTCTGTCTCAAAACAAAAACAAAAACAAAAACAAAAACAAAATCCAACCACCATCTACTTCTTTCACCATCACTTCATAAAGGAATTTAACATTAAAAGTAGGGCATTCCCAATATTAGAATAAAGGAGAGTCCATTACATTAAATATACTTACCTTCACGAAAAGCCAAACACATCACCATTTTCCTTCTGCCTTTGCTTCACATTGAGGAAAACTCCATGTCAAACCCATGTGGAAACCAACTTCACTGTTTCCTAAACAATCAAAAGACCCTATACCCAAATGAATGCTCAAGATTCAATTCTGGGCTGGGCACAGTGGCTCATACCTGTAATCCCAGCACTCTGAGAGGCCGAGGCGTGTGGATCGCACGAGGCCAGGAGTTCAAGACCAGCCTTGCCAACATGATGAAACTTTGTCTGTACTAAAAATACAAAAATTAGCTGGGCTTGGTGGTGCATGCCTGTAATCCCAGCCACTCAGGAGGCTGAGGCAGGAGATTCACTTGACCTGGGAGGCAGAGGTTGCAGTGAACCAAGATCACGCCACTGCACTCCAGCCTGGGCGACAGAGTAAGACCCAGCCTCAAAAAAAAAAAAAAAAAAAAAAAAGAAAAAGATTCAATTCTGATGACAATGAATTTATGGCAGACCTAGAACTAGAACCCAGGACCTATGTCTGCCAATCCCCCTAAATTTTCCCCTACACCACATTCTCCACATGTCCCAAAATCACAAAACAAATGACCAGCATAACTGGTCCCACAGCACCCCAGCCAGTCTCTTCCTTCCTACATCACTGCTCTTCCCTCTCAAGTGTGATCGCTTATCTCTCAGCCAAAATGTGTTTTCAGTCCTCTTCGCTGGGAGGCAGGGGAGCAAAACAACAACAAAACTGGACATTTTCTCTCTTCTTAGTAGCTGGAGAATCCTAAATTCATGCAGACTCAAATGGCAATCACCCATTCATTCTAAATGTGTTTTTCCCCCATCAATCCTTATAAATAGCCTCCACCTCACTCTCCTTTGCTGTGTAAGGTGGAGAGGGACT
Source organism: Homo sapiens (assembly GCF_000001405.40). Classification (NCBI taxonomy): domain Eukaryota; kingdom Metazoa; phylum Chordata; class Mammalia; order Primates; family Hominidae; genus Homo; species Homo sapiens. Next base: position 94,848,908 of record NC_000012.12, read on the forward strand.
GGGGTCCCTGGAAACACATGCATGAGCTTCTATGGGCACTTAAGCATCAACCCAAGGGTCTTCCAGATGGTTGACAAGAGGCATCTCCTACAGCTTCTTCCACAAGAAGAACCAAAATAGCGAGTAGATAGTCACACTTCAAATAGATCATCTAAGACAGACCACTGGAATTCAACAGAGAAATGACAGGAAACATCTAAAGCAGGGAAGGAGACAGAAGCAAGGCAGCCTACTCTGCCAGGGTGGGCCGGCATCCAGGACAGGCTTCCCAATGGAGAGAAAGGGTAAGTGCCACATTCCCACCACGGACTCCTGCAATCTTAGCCACAAGAGAGCCCCTCCACTCTGGGGGGCCCAGAGACTAACCTAAGGCACTGCCTGGAGACTGTGCAACCAGAGACATTGCTCCAGACGGGGAACTCATGCTGGGTCCCACAAACCCCAAGTCTTAAGCACCTACAGCACAGTGCCACTTTGAAAGCCCAGCTCCCACCAGACTGCAACCAGTCCCGGGCCCAACAGCCCCTGCATCTCCACATCCCCGGAGTCCCACTGACATTTCTCCCCCTCAGCCACCATTGCAGGGGCCAAGAAGGCAGCCACTGGAAACAACTCGACCCAGTTTTCACCCCCTGCAGAGAGGCAGCTGTGCATTTTCACATGCCCCAGGACAATTCCACTGACCACAGCTAGTCATGCAGGTAGTTATGGGCCAAAGCTAGTGAAGTACACATCCCTCAGACCCCTGCCTATGGCTGCTCCCACTGAAAGCAACCCTGCCCTCCCCAGTAGCAGGGCCACAGCACACAGGCTGCTGCCTGCACCTGGCCATTTCCCCAGTGGCCTATAGGGATCACCCTACCCCTGCCTGGCTGTGGAGCCAGTGCCTACACACGCCACCAGGGGTGGGACAGAGGACAGCTTGACTGGGATTTATCCCAGGGATGCAAGCATGGTTAACATATGCAACTCCTCACATAAACAGAATAAAGGACAAAAACCACATGATCATTTCAACACACGTAGAAAAAGCATTTGATAAAATTCAATATTCCTCCATGATTAAAAAAAAAAAATTCTCAACAAACTCGGCCTAGAAGGAACATACTTCAACATAACAAAGGCCATATATGACAAACCCACAGGTAACATCATACTGAATGGGGAAAAGCTGAACGCCTTTCTTCTAAGAACTGGAATAAGACAAGGATGCCTACTTTTACCACTCCTATTCAACAAAGTACTGGAAGTCCTGGCCAGAGCAATCAGGCAACAGAAAGAAATAAAAGGCATCCACATCAGAAGAGAAAACGTCAAAGTGTCTCTCTTTGCTGATAATATGATCTTATAACTAGAAAAACCTAAAGACTCCACCAAAAAACTCTTAGATCTGATAAATAAATTCAGTAAAGCTTCAGGTACAAAATCAACACACAAAAATCGGTAGCATTTCTATACACCAATAATGAACTTGCTGAGAAAGAAATCAAGAAGGCAATCCCATTTACAATAGCTATAAAAAATAGAATATCTAACAATAAATTTAACCAAGGAGGTTGTCTTAGTCCATTTGTGTAGCTACATCTGAGGCTGGGTAATCTATAAAGAAAAGAGGTTTATTTGGCTAATGGTTCTACAGGCTGTACAAGAAGCACAGCACCAATATCTGCTACTGGAGAGGGCTTCCCGGCTGCTTCTACTCATGGCAGAAGGAGAACGGGAGCTGTTGTATGCAGAGATCATATGGTGAGAGAGAGGAAGCAAGAGGGAGGGGAAGAAAGCACCAGGCTTTTTTTAACAAGTACCTCTTGTGGGAAATAATAAAGTGAGAACTATCCACCCAGGAAGGACATTAATCTATTCATAAGGGATCTGCTCCAATGACCTAAACACCTGCCATGAGGCCCCATCTCCAACATGGGAAATAAATTTCAACACGAGGTTTCGCAAGTCAAATATCCAAACTATAGCAGAGGTAAAGGATCTCTATAAGGAAAATTACAAAACACTGATGAAAGAAATTAAAAAGAACACAAACAAATGGAAAGACATCCCATGCTCAAGGATCAGAAGAATTCATATTGTTAAAATAAACATACTGCCCAAAATACCAACATCATTTTTCACAGAAATAGACAATCGTAAAACTCATATAGAACCATAAAAGAGCCCAAATAGCAATACTGAACAAAGCTGGAGGCATCACACTACCTGACTTCAAAATATATTACAAGGCTATAGTAACCAAAACGGATGGTATTGGTATAAAAACAGACACAGAGACCAATGGAATAGAATAGAGAACCCACAAATAAATCCACATATTTGTAACCAACTGATTTTCGACCAAGCCTCCAAAAACACACATTGGGAAAATGACACCCCATTCAATAAATGGTGTTCAGAAAATTGGATTGCCATATGCAGAAGAATGAAACTGGACCACTATCTTTCAACATATATAAAAATCAACTCAAGAGAGATTAAAAACTTAAACATAAGAACCAAAACTATAAAACTGCTAGAAGAAAACATAGGAAAAACACTTCAGGACATTGGTCTAGGCAAGGGCTAAAACCTCAAAAGCACAGGAATAAAAAAAAAAATAGAAAAATCGAACTATATTAAACTAAAAAGCTTCTGCACAGCAAAGGAAACAATCAGCAGAGGGAAGAGACAACCTGTTGAATGGAAGAAAATATTTGCCAACTCTTCATCAAACAAAGGACAAATATCCAGAATATACAAGAAACTCAAACAACTCAACAGTGAACAAACAAATAAATAATTCCATTGAAAAGTGAGCAAAGGACATGAATAGACATTTTTTAAAAGAGGATGTACAAATGGCCAAGAAGTATATGAAAAAAAAAAATGCTCAACATCACTAGTCATCAGAGAAATGCAAATCAAAACCACGAGATCTCTTACCCCAGTTAGAATGGCTATTACTAAAAAGACAAAAAAATGCTGGCAATGATGTGGAAAAAGGGAACTCTTACACACTATTGGTGGTAATACAAATTAGTATATCCATTGTGGAACAAAGTTTGGAGATTTAAAAAAAAAAAAAAACTAAAAATAGAACTATAGTATGATCCAGCCATCCCACTACTAAGTATTTATCCGAAGGAAAATAAATCAGTATGTCAAAGGGTAGGTACGCGTGCATTGCAGCACTATTCACAATAGTTTATTGCAGCACTATTCACAATAGCAAAGATATGGAATCAACCTAAGTGTACATCAATGGACGAACGAGTAAAGAAAATATGGTATATATACATAATGGAATACTATTTGGCCATAAGAAATGAAATCCTGTCATTTGCATCAACATGGATGGAACTAGAGATCACTATGTTAAGTGAAATAAGCCAGGCACAGAAAAACAAATACTACTCATATGTAGGAGCTAAAAAATAGTTGATGTCATGGAAGTAGAAAGTAGAATGATAGACACTAGAGGCTGGGAAGGGAGAGGGCGATGAAAAGAGGTTAATGGGTACAAACCTAGACTTAGATAGAAGGCATAAGTTCCAATATTCAAGAGCAGAGTACGGCCAGGCACGGTGGTTCATGCCTGTAATCCCAGCACTTTGAGAGGCCAAGGTGGGAGGCTCATAAGGTCAAGAGATCGAGACCATCCTGGCCAATGTGGTGAAACCCCATCTCTACTAAAAATACAAAAATTAGCTGGGCATGGTGGCATGTGCCTGTAGTCCCAGTCACTCGGGAAGCTGAGGCAGGAGAATCCCTTGAACCTGATAGGCGGAGGTTGCAGTGAGCTGAGATCGCGACACTGCACTCCAGCCTGGTGACAGAGCAAGACTCCATCTAAAGAAGAAGAAGAAAAAAAACTAGAGTAGGGTGACTGTAATAGTTACAAACCATGTATTGCAGTATTTCAAAATAACTAGAAGCAAAAACCTGAAATGCACCCAACACAGAGAAATGATAAATACTAAAGGTGATGGGTACCCTGACTTGATCATTACATATTCTATGCATGTAACAAAATATGACATGTACCCCATAAGTATGTAAAATATCATGTATCCATTTTTTAAACCCACAATCAAAAAAATAAACAAAAAAGAATTAGCTTCCCCTGAAATTAAGAGCCAAGGATACTTCAACGGGCTTGGATACAGAGCTACCGAAACACAGCATCTTTATCAGATCCAAGACCTGGCCTTCCTCTGCCCTCCCTGGTGCTCTTTCATCCAACATTTGGCTTTCTTCTGTGTGCATGGCACCATTCATTTGCTCCTGTGGCTGCTCATGTATCTGTCCTGACATAGGAGTCAGCCTCATTTTGTGCCATCTACCACGAGGGTGCAACCCTCCTTCTAGTACAGCTATGTCAGCCCCTGCCACTCAGACACCCAGCCCCTGCTCTGTGCTGCTAGGCACTATGGTTTCCAGCTAGCCCTGCAGCTAAAGCTAAATGATGCTCTGGACTGCAAAGCTTCCCATAGTCCTTCCAGCATCATAAGAAAAATCCATTTGAGAGCAGTGAGCATTGACAATAGCTTTAATAAATAACAGTGTTGGCTCAATCTGCTCTATTTTCAATTAAGATTTTAGCTCTCACACAGCAGGGTTTTAATAGGACTCCTAAGCCTAGGAGTAGGTCATTGAGAATTTATAACACCTTTTTTAATGAACCAAATAGCAAGACTTTTGCCGCCATCCCAGGTTGCTTTTGTATTTGTTTTTAAGTCTTCTTCTGTCTCCCATTGCTCCAAAACATAGTTGAGGACATTTTCCTCTCATGAAACTATGTTACTCCTTCCCCACTAGTAATTACTACCTCAGTTTCTTATTCCCTTACAAAGCTTTTTAATAGGACTAGTAATCCAAGGGAGAAACTAATTAGTAGATGGAATTTTTCCTTGTAATATGCTGTGGTCAAAAACATGCAAATTCTCACCAGGATCCCAAGAAATGAAACACATATCCCAAGAAGACTCAATATAGGAAAGGGGAGATGTGATCTCTCTGCCAATACTTCATGTTTCCCTCAAGATGACTTCTGCAGGTTTTGGCAGCAGGCTCCAGATAACATCACATCCCTATAAATCAGCTCCGCCGTGCAGATGTGATTTAGTTAGTTATTCCCAGGAACAACAGGAGGTTGATTTGGACTTCATATTGGAGGTAAATGAAGGGGCCAGCCTTAGAGACTCTGACCTCTTTGTTGTGGGACAGAGGGACTATCTTGCTTACTACACCAAGGTATTAGCTTCCTGGCTTGAAGTTTGTATTCCAAGATGTGTCCCACTGAAGAGATGGGCAGGAGATGACAGGACTCAAATACGCCTTCAGAGTCATGAAATGGTGGACATAGAAGAGGCCACAGGGGTTATCAAGGAAAACAGCGAGTTAAACGGACACATGAATAGAAGAATGGTGAATGAAATAGGACAGATATGTATGCATAAATTTTCCCAATGTCAAGGTTTGTGATATGCCACATGCTTGGGCCTTTTTTCAACCTTTCCACTCATTCAACAAATAGTTATTGTGTGCCTAATGGGTACCAGGTTCCCAACAGTACTAAGCACTAGGGAAATGGTGGTGAACTAGACTCTTTTTTTTTTTTTTTTTTTTGAGACAGGGTCTTTCTCTGTCACCCAGGCTAGAGTGCAGCGATGCAATCATGGCTCATGGCAGTCTCGACCTCCCAGGCTCAAGCGATCCTCCCACCTCAACCTCCCGAGTAGCTGGAACTACAGGTGTGTGTCACCATGTCTGGCTAATTTTTAAATTTTTCTTGTAGAGACAGGGTCTCTATATGTTGCCCTGGCTGGTCTCAAACTCCTGGACTCAAGCAATTCTTCTGCCTTGGCCTCCCAATGCGCTGGGATTATAGGCGTGAGCCACCACGTTTATCCAACATTTCTCTTTTTTTTTTTGAGACAGGGTCTCGGTCTGTTGCCTGGGTTGGAGTGCAGTGGCATGATCATGGCTCACTTGATGGCATGCCTTGACTTCCTAGGCTCTAGCGTTCTTCCCACCTCAGCCCCACAAGTAGCTGGGACTACAGGCACATGCCACCACGCCCGGCTAATTTTTGTATTTTTTGTAGAGACAGGGTTTTGCCATGTTGCCTAGGCTAGTTTCAAACTCCTGGACTCAAGTGATCCTCCTGCCTTGACCTCCCAGAGTGCAGGGATTACAAGCATGAGCCACGGCACCCGACCGACATTTCTTCACATCGCTTACAGTCTAGAGTTTACAGTTTAGTTAATAAACAAAATTACAACTGCTGCCCATTAAAAAAAACAAAACAACAACAACAACAAAAAAACGCATGTCAAATGGTTGGAGAAGGAAGAGTTTAATACATTTACTGATATTCTGAACAACTGAGAATTATCATAGATAGAATAAAAGGGTTCTCAATTTATCAATAAGTAGACTTACCTTAACTACTTTACATATATATATGTAAACCAAAATAACAATTCTATTCATTCAGAAAATGTTTATTGAGGACCAGCTATATGCTAGTCACAAAGTGACTGACAAAAGTCCTGTCCTGGGCAGGGCACAGTGGCTCACGCCTGTAATCCCAGGACATTGGGAGGCCGAGGCAGGTGGATCACTTGAGGTCAGGAGTTCGAGACCAGCCTGGCCAATATGGTGAAACCCCATCTCCATTAAAAATACAAAAATTACCCAGGCATGGTGGCACATGCCTGTAATCCCAGCTATTTAGGAGGCTGGGGCAGGAGAATGGCATGAACCCGGGAGGCAGAGGTTGCAGTGAGCTGAGATCGCACCATGGCACTCTAGCCCAGGCAACAGAGTGAGACTCTGTCTCAAGAAAAAAAAAAAAAAAAAAAAAAAAAATCCTGTCCTTAATGAGCTCATAATCTAAATAAAAAGATGAAAAAAACTAACAAAGAGCTTCAATATGGGTGACAAAGTCTTTAACGAAGGATGGAAAAATTCTGAGAGAATGGGGTGGGGCAGGTTATTACCTTATTAGGGCTGGGAGGAGGGCAGTACTTGGGACTTGAAGCTGAGCCTTGAAGGGTGAGTGAGGTGATACCAGAAGGAAGGAGTTGAGGAGTCCCTTTCAGATGGAGGGAACAGCATGTACATTCCTAACTGAAAATAGTGCCTGCTGGGTGGGCAGGGAGTGCATCTGGGCAGCAGCCAAAGAGAAGCCTAGAAAGGGAGACAGAGGCCACACCCTGAAGGACTCTGTCGGCCCTGACAGTGTGGCTGGACTTGATCTTGTGGGCAATGGAAGGCCACCGCTGTGTCTTGACCGACAACATGATTAGATCTGCATGTCGGAAACGTGGTTCTGGCTGACCTAACATGTACTTCCTCCATCACTGAAGTTGTGGCTGCAGATGGAAAAACCAGAGGAAGGGAAATGGCCCAGGTGAGCAACGTTGGTGAGGTGGCAGAAGGAGAAGCATCTTCATTTTTTCTTTCAACTTTGATTCCAATGAAAGAAACATATCTAAAAAGAGTTTATCCATTATGACTCAGTCTGATCTCTTCATAAACACTAAATCCTACAATCATATTACAAGAGGAATAAAACTGCTTGACCTAGTAATTTCTTGTTTTGAGACAGGGTCTTGCTCTGTTGCCCAGGCTGGAGTGCAGTGACTCACTGCAGCCTCAACCTCGTGGGTTCAAGCCATTCTCCTACCTCAGCCTCCTGTGTAGCTGGGACTACAGGCACACAAGCCACCATACCTAGCTAACTTTTAAATTTTTTTGTAAAGACAAGGTCTCACTATTTTGCCGAGGCTGGTTTTGAACTCCTGTGCTCAAGTAATCTGCCCACCTTGGCCTCCCAAAGTGCAGGATTACAAGCATGAGCCCCAGCCCCTGGCTGATCTAGTGATTTCATTAAGGAATTCCCAAGAAAACAATCTAGATGAGAGAAAATAATTTTTCTCAAAGATGTTTTTAACTATGCTACTTAAAATAGCCAACAAATGAAAATAATCCAAACATCTAAAAATAAAGGATGGTTAAGCCAAATGTCATCTATCAACATGACTAAATACTACATAAACATTAAATTAACTACAGCCATGCATGGGAATGTGTATGGGAGCAAAAGCAGACTCCAAAACATGATATGCACAACAGCTACAAGCTTAAGTACCTACTATGTGCCAGGCCCAATGCTAGGTTCTGGGGACACAGAAATACACCAGACAAGGTCCCTGTCTTCTGAACTCACAGTTCACTAGGAAAGTTGGACTCACACAATTGTAACAAGAACAAAGCATGGCACAAAGAGAGCCCAGAGGAGGAGTTGCCCAACTTAGAGCCAACACACAAACACAACACAAATGTGAATGTTCAAGTCTGCAGCAGAATCACTCATCAATTATAAATTTTGATGACCCCAAACACATACTTGTTAATTTTGTGGGTCAGGTGTGGTGACTCACACTGTAATCCCAGCACTTTTGGAGGGTGAGGCAGGCAGATCACCTGAGGTCAGGAGTTCAAGGCCAGCCTGGACAACATGGTGAAACCACGTCTCTACTAAAAATACAAAAAAAATCAGCCAGTCATGGTGGCATATGCCCAGCTACTTAGGAGGCTGAGGCACAAGAATCGCTTGAACCTGGGAGGTGGAGGTTGCAGTAATCTGAGATTGCGCCACTGCACTCCAGCCCGGGCAATAGAGCGAGATTCCGTCTCAAAAAAACAAAAATTGTTAGATTATCCCGGACATGTAAAACCTAAGATGAGGAACACTCAAATCCCCAAGAATATTGCATGGAGCCTTTTAAGAGTCCTTGGATGCTAGTTTGAGAAACAAAGATCTAATAGCAGGAAGGTGCCTGTATTCGTCCATTTTCACACTGCTATAAAGATACTACCTGAGACTGGGTAATTTATAAACAAAAGAGGTTTAATTGACTCAGTTCTGCACGGCTGGGAAGGCCTCAGGAAACTTAGAATCATGGTGGAAGGCAAAGAGGAAACAAGGCACGTCTTACATGGCAGCAGGAGAGAGGTGGGGAACTGCCAAACACTTTTAAACCATCTGTTCTTGTGAGAACTCACTATCACAAGAACATCATGGGGAAAACCACTGGGGATTACAATTCGAGATGAGATTTGTGTGGGAACACAGCGCCAAACCAAATTAGCTCCAGTGGACAGGAAGGGAGACAAAGGCCCAATAGCATCTGGCTCCTGATTAGGGTCAAGAGGGAGGAAGAGTCAGAGATGATGTCAAAGTTTGAAGCCTCTGCATCTGGAAAAATGGCAACAGGGCTCCCTGATATAAGAAACCTAAAAGAAAAGATCAGGTTTGAGAGTAAGAATAAGTTCTATTTTTCATATATTGAGTTTAAGAAACATTAGAGAGTAGGAAAGTGGTGGTATTCAGGAATTTGCTGAAAATTATCTCTGGAGACTTGGAGACACAGAGTAGAGACCCAGTATCCAAAGACATCTTCCAGGCTGGGCGTGGTAGCTCACGCCTGCAATCCCAGCACTTTGGGAGGACGAGGTGGGAGGATCACTTGAGTTCAGGAGTTCAAGCCCAGCCTAGCCAACATAGTGAAACCCCGTCTCTACTAAAAATACAAAAAAATTAGCCAGGTGTGGTGGTGTGTGCCTGTAGTCCCAGCTATTTGGGAGGCTGAGGCTGGAGAACTGCTTGAACCCGGGAAGCGGAGGCTACAGTGAGTGGAGATCATGCCACTGCACTCCAGTCTGGGTGACACAGCGAGACTCCATTTCAAAAAAAAAAAAACAAAGTCATCTTCCAGAGATAGCTGAAGCTTGAAATGGATGCTGCACAACAGGTATGAACACATCCAACTGCATTATTACATGTACAAGATACTCTCCTGTTAGTCCCTCACATATTTGTTAGGCATCTACTTACTTTCAAAGGATTAGCTCCTTAAAATTAATAAAAACAGGGATATAGTATAAAGGATCAGAGTGAATACATTGATCTCGTATTTTTTCCATGGGAAAAATTCTCTACTTTTATAACGAATACAGTTTGAAAGATGATTTGATTTTAAAAAGGATTAATATTAAAGCTTATTTTTTCTACAGTGATTTATTTCATGATCATCTTCCTTCTAGCCTGTGAACTTCCAAGATAAGGACTGTGGAACTATGCCTTATTTAAATTGCTAACAAGGTACCTGGAAAATAGTAAATACTTAATATTTGTGGTAGAAGTTTTGTAAACAGAAGAATACTTTGTTGTGGCTCTCAAACATCAGGAAGTTGCAGAGTACTATATGAGAGCATTTGTGTGTATGTACATACTACTGAATTCTACTGCGGTAAACAATCTGGGCTTCCAGTGTGGAGGTGGATGCTTTCATTCATTTGAAATCTACAATTACTCACATGTAAATTAGCAGCAATGCAGAAAATGTGAGAAATTCAGAATTAGTTTATCTTTTTAGAACTACCGAGATTCTTTTTGTGTTTGTGATCTATATGTGCCAACACTACAATTGTGTTATTTCCAGAAATAACTCAAAAAGACATTTTCAATGATGAGTTTTGAGTAGCAAAACTGGAAAGGATATTGTCAATCTGTTGTACATTTATGATGTGCACAATCTAGACTTTCCTTCACAAATATGCTTCAATGCACAGAAGAAGGTGAAAACAACACCATAAATCTCAGGGCTGCAGAGGGAGAGCTGAAGGGGTAAAAAACGCAATTGGAGTTCATTCACCAGGTTGGACAATGAAACACCAGCTCTTGCTCTGCTTCTACTTGCTGAAACAGACGTCCCCAAGAAGATAAAGGGAAGATACTTTGTACCCTTCCTGACCCTCTTTCTTCCTATACCTTTATTGTTCATGAAGACAAATGGTATGAAATTTTAGTGAAAAAGTCCAAGCTTGGGTTGAGGGAAGTATTTGGTTTACTTAAATCCATTGCTGAGGTTTATGGAACATATCAGAGCTTCCCAAAGTCTAAAAAATTTAGACTTCTAGGTCCTATCATAGAAATGCTGATTCTGTAAGTCTGGGGTGAGCCTGGGAATTTGTATTTCCTGAAAGCCCCACTCACTTCCACAACTGATTCTAATAACCAGCCCAGTTTGTGAACCATGAACGAGAGACTACACTCAGACTTGGCAAACATAAACTGTCTCACTTGATTCTGACAAATCAAGTGCATGTCAATCATCTCTATTTCACAGATGTGAAAAATAAGTCACAAGCCTGTATGCGTCAGTTTAGAGGTCATAGTGCAATGCTGCCTCCATTACACCATTATTTGAGCACCAAATTTCTGAGCATAGGTGAACTCTAACCTGATCTTGGGTCTCATCTCACAGACTATTCATGCAACCAACCAATAACTGTGGTGTGCCTGAACAGTTCTTGCACCTGTCCATAGTTCAGAGAGACCTCTGCATCCCAAATAACCACTATTCACTACATAAGCACTAAAAAAATCCATTCAAATAGAACTTCAATAAATTTGTATTAGAGCACACAGCTTGTAATACTCAACTAATTTCATTTTATAACCAGTAATGAGAAATTATCTGAAAATGAATAAAGAAAACAAATAGATCTTTCCAAACCCACTTCTGTAAAGGAAACAATATCCTTGCCCTTACTACTTCTGTAACATTCTGCTGAATGCTAATTGCTTTATTTTAATTTTAATGCAAAATTCTACATTTCTGATTAATGCAACTTACCAGGATCCCAAAGAATAGAAATGAGATCCCATGTCATCAAGAAAGGGTGCCATGAGCATCAAGTAGAGGTGTGTGAGGGAGAGAGAGAGGAGGCAGCAAGTGATGAAGGCGGAAGACTGAAATGTCCTGGTTTCAGTTGGGTTTCTGGTTTTCTATCCATGTCACTCTGCATTACCTCCTGAATAGGTAGACGGACTTTGGCAGAAAAGGATGGCTCACATACTGGAAAACAATTGCACGCATACCTGGAATACATTAGAGGAATCTCTAATGCTTTAGGGCAAAGGGTGGCAAATTACAATCCACCGGCCAAATCCAGCCCATGACCTGTTTTCGTATTATCCACAAGCTAAGGATGGTTTTTACATGTTTAAATGATTGAAAAAAAATCAGAATAATAGTATTTTATGACATGTGAAAATGATATGAAATCCAGATTTCAGCATCCATAAGTAAAGTTTTATTGGAACACAACCACATTCATTCATTTCATGTGTTGTCTATGGTTGCTTTCACATTTTAAGGCAGAGTTAAGTCATTGCAATAAGAGACCCTATGGCCCACAAAGCCTATATTTCCTATCTGCCTCTTCACAGAAAAAGTTTGTGAACTCCCATTTTAGGGCAAAGGAGGGGTGTTAGGTTACTTCCTGAAAACTGACTCTGACCTAGCCTTAGTTTGCTGAATATGAAATAAAATACTGAACTTAGAATCATCTGAAATACATTTCCTTTGATATTGACCTGTAAGGTATAACACAATCTAGTTATCCCTGCCTGAGTGTCCCAGTATTGAATTGAGACTATTCCTGTGGCTTCTTAGCCCAAAAACAGGGGCGGGGAAGGCCTTCTGCACATTCAACTCCATTACTGGAATGATGAACGCATAAAGAGAGGAGCCCAGCATACTAACCCAGCAGAGCCCTCTGCACAGGCTGCGTTTGAGCCTTCCTTTTAGCAAAGGGAATAGGTAGCTTTACCCTGTCAGCAACTATCTCGAGCACTGCTGTCATTTTCCCAGCATTGATATTCAAAAATCAGAACTGCGGGCCGGGCGCAGTGGCTCACACCTGTAATCCCAGCACTTTGGGAGGCTGAGGCGGGTAGATCACGAGGTCAGGAGTTCAAGACCAGCCTGACCAACGTGGTGAAACCCTGTCTCTACTAAAAATATAAAAATTAGCTGCGCTTGGTGGTGCGCACCTATAATCCCAGCTACTCAGGAGGCTGAGGCAGGAGAATCGCTTGAACCTGGGAGGCGGAGATCGCAGTGAGCCGAGATCATGCCACTGCACTCCGGCCTGGGTGACAGAGCGAGACTCTGTCTCAAAAAAAAAAAAAAATCAGAACTGTGGCATGTAAAACATAATTCAGAGTTGAATAGCAGGAGCCGCTGTCCTCCCTTCTGCTGAAGGCAGGAGGGAAGCTTGTCAGAGTCCAGACAGTTCTGGTCTATTAGCAGCAGCCTAATTTTTGCCATCTCTGAAGGCAACACAAATTACAAAGCATTCGCTACTGTTGTACCAGTCAACTAATTCAATTGTCAGAACATTTCAAACCCCATAATTTGGATGGGAAAGAGAGGGAGAGCCTTGCTCTTATGAATTGACTGTTGGACTATTCCATGTCACAGCTTGCTTGGGGGTGAGAATAAGAAAATATTCTCTATCAGGAAATTAACATTTGTAAGTACCCTGGAAAGCTAAATAATAAGCATAATGGTTTAGAATGAAAGTAACCAAAGCGGTTCATTATTAACATTGCAAGTAAACATTTTAATTTGTGGCTTTGCTACACACATGGATTGTTGGGTCAACTGTTAGAGTATTTTCACTCATCTTTCAAACTACACATAATTCAGTCCTCTTTGCCAGTGTTTTTACCTAAACCCTCTGTGAATGACACTTTCTAGTTTCATGATATAACTAGTCCTTAGATTCCAAGGTAATAAAGGCGCCCTTCTACTCAAAAACTTCATGGGCTTATTTCCCTCTTGCAAACTTAAGTATGCTTTAATGAGCCATTACACTCATTTGAATTCCAGCTCTGCGAGGGACTAGCTGGATGTGTACGGATCCAAAACCTCATTTCCCTGAGCCCCACTCTCCACCTGAGAAAATGAGATTAATGCCACTACTTCAAGTGGTGGTTTTTGACTCAGTAAATTTACTTTAAAAACCATTGAATTATACATTTAAAACAGGTTAGTCTTACAATATATGAATCATTCCTCAAGAAAGTTATTAAAATTTTAATTTGAAGAACTGCTCAAGACCAGCCTGAGTAACATAGCAAGACCCCACCTCTAAAGAAAAAAAAAATTTTAATTGTACTTAAAAGAAGGCCGGGCATGGTGGCTCACACCTGTAATCTCAGCCCTTTAAGAAGCTGACGCAGGAAGATCACTAGAGGCCAGGAGTTCCAGACCAGCCTGGGCAACAAAAGAAGACTCCCAACTCTACAAAAAATAAAAATTAATAATGTGATTAAAAGTAAAAATAAAAAGAGGCAGCCATGAACAATAAACTATCAGTGAATAAAGCAAGAGAGGACTGTCTGCAGAATAAAGAGTGCAATTGTAAGATAAAGGAAAACGTGCTGTTTGAGCAGAAGAGACCAGGAGAAGGTCAGAGTAGCTAGATCATGCTTGAGGAGAAAAGATGGGACTTACAAAGAATGTGTTCAGATGCCATGTCCTGTTTAAAATTAAATTCCCCTGACACCACAACACCTCTCTCCTGTCTGGAAAAGTTAATTACCTTTTTTCTAGGCTGTATTTTAGATATGTTTTTGCTAATGCAGTCATCACACTGCATGGTAACTATTTGTTTAAAAGTCTGATCCTCAGTAAACTAAGTTCTTACGGCTCAGGGGCCATGTGTTTTGGCAGCCCTAGTCCATAACTCAGCCCAAGAATGTGAGATAAATGAATGAATAATTTTGTTGCTTACTGCAAAAAGGAAAAAGACGGTTTTGAAGAGTCAGTGAAATATACATATGTATATGCAAAACGTGTGTATGTATTAGCACAATGCCTTGCACATAGCGATCATTAAGTGATTTTTTTATTATTACTAGTAAAACATGCCAAGAACTGCACTACAGTTCAAGTCAATTTTGAAGCAAGTTTGGTCTAACAACAACAACAACAAAATGTTCGAACGCATGGAAAATAAGTAGACCTAAATTTAGATGATCCCCTGCCCTATTACTAAGGTTTAAAGGCCTAGATATGGGCCAGACTTCAAAAAGCCTCACAGAACCATCTACAATTTGAGATCAGAATCCTCCACATTCACTGTTAGCAGCAATTCTACTCTCACTAAACCTTGTGCTTGCAGGCTTGTCGCCATTTGAGTAGCAGTTGATGGGCTTTCTGAGGATTCGTTCTTCAAGATTTTGGTCTGAATAACAGAGGAAATGGATAAATTCCTGGACATACAACCTACCAAGACTGAAACAAAAAGAAACGGAAAACCTGAACAGACCAATAATGATTAATGAAACTGAATCAGTAATAAAAAATCTCCCAAAAAAAGAGAAACCCAGGACCAGATGACTGTCTTGTGGAAACCTACAAGACTTATAAAGAAGAACAACACGAATTCTTCTCAAAGTATTCCAAAAAATTAAAGAGGAGAAAATTCTTCCTAATTCATTCTATGAGACCAGCATTATCCTGATACCACAACCAGACAAGGACCCAGCAAAAAAAAAAAAAAAAAAATAGAACTACAGGTCGGGCATGGTGGCTCATGCCTATAATCCCAGCACTTTGGGAGGCCAAGACAGGTGGATCACCTGATGTCAGGAGTTCAAGACCAGCCTGGCCAACATGGTAAAACCCCATCTCTACTAAAAATACAAAAAATTAGCCGGGCGTGGTGGCGGGCACCTGTAATCCCAGCTACTCATGAGGCTGGGGCAGGAGAATTGCTTGAACCTGGGAGGCAGAGGTTGGAGTGAGCAGAGATTAGGCCATTGCACTCCAGCCTGGGCAACAAGAGAGAAACTCTGTCTCAATAAATAAATAGATAAATAAATAAATAAATAAAAAAATAAATAAATAAATACTACAGGCCAGTATCTCTGATGAATATAAATACAAAAATTTCTCAACAAAATACTAGCAAGCTGAATCCAACAACACGTCAAAGGGATTTATCTCAGGGATGCAAGGATGGTTCAACACACACAAATCAATAAATACATCAATAGAATAAAGGACAAAAACCACGATTATCTCAACAGATACAGAAAAAGCATTTCATGAAATTCAACCTCTCTTTATGACAAAAACTCTCAACAAATTAGGCACAGAAGGCACATACCCTCAACATAATAAAAGCCATAGATGACAAGCCCTCAGCTACAATCATACTGGAAGGCTTTTATGAATCCCTCAGACTAGGTTAGGAACACCCACTACAGTCCCCCAGTAATTGATCCTTCCTTTGCAACCATATACGCCACAATTCATGGTACTGCTTAACTGTCTTCTCAGAGCCTGCAAAGTCTGCAAGATCAGAGCCATGCAGAGCTTGCTCACCCACAGTGGATTCCTAGCACACAGAAGGAAGTCAATGTTAAAATATGTGTTTGAGGAGTGTCACCACATTACATTTAGTCTACATGCCAACACCTATGAAACAGCTTCAGTTCTTTCCTTCAGCTTGAAGATATGCACAATTCTAAACTCAGAAAGTTACATATTATCTGCAGTATTCATATTTTATTCTCCTGATGCTTTGGTGAATGCTGTCTCTCCCACCAGAGCAGTTGATCAAAAGAAGCAAGAGGTGGCAAGCCTCAAAACTAACCAGCTTGATTTTTGAATCTTTTTTTTAAGCCCCATGTATTTTTCCACAGTGTCTCACCTCAGTTACAAGGGAGGCACGATGCCCAAAATCTTGTCAGAATTAAAATTATTAAAGTAGAAAGCCTTTTGGCAAAAGAATTTAAAGTTCCTATTTTGTGTGTATGCTGGGATTTTCAGCCGAAATCACAGCTGGGTGTACTCAGCCACTGCCAGGGACAGAGGCTGTGTGTAAGTTTACCAGCAGTTTATCTAGAGCAGAAGCTCTCAATTTTAAACTCCCAACCTTCCATCCCATCTTTTTTTTTTTTTTTTTTTTTTTTTTTTTTTTTTTTTTTTTGCATAAATATAAGAGCACAGACTCTGGCGCCAGAATGCCTCATTTAAAATCCCTGCTACATCATTTATTGGCCATGGTATGTTGGGAAAATTACTTAGCATTCAGCATCTAGCTTCCTCACTTGAAAATGGGAATAAAACAGCACCTATTGCATAGGTTTGTTGCGAGGATTAGATGAGTTAATTACATGAAAGGCGCTTAGAGTAAGGGCTGAGTAAATATTAGCTATCCTTATTATTAAACACAGCTGGGGCATAGGAATACATGTGGAGGAGAAGGGATGTGAAACAGAACAGAGAAGACAGCAAAAGTAATCTGCTGTGTAATGATGAGAATGGAGCACTTTCCACAAATTATCACAGACCTCAGGAAAACCTTTCAGTGCAGGTTAACCCGTCCAAGCCACATAGCCAGTAAATAGCCGTGCTGGACTTGAACCCAAACAGTTTGTCTCCAGAGATCCCATCCTGAACCACCAAGAAACACTGTCTCCCATGATCACACTTTCCCCTTTAGGGAAAGGAATTCCTGGGTTGTGAAGTGAAGCAAAAGGACGTGAGGAATGAAAAGAAAGAATGGATAAACAAGAGAAGGCCAGACTCATCTGTTTTTTCCATTTATAAGAGGTAAAATGACAGGTTTCCCTTTATCATCCCTTCACAGTCATGAAAGAGCCCGCTGTCTCTGCAGACACTTGGCTTTGATTTCAGTAGGCCAAGTTGAAATCAAAACCACTGTTAAAGAATTCAAGAGATTGACAGATCCTTTTCAACCCAGCAAGATCCAAATGTGAAATAGAAATGATGGACATGAAGTACAAAGGGTAAGCAGGAGAACAGTGGATGGGGTCATTAGGGACACCGGAATCTCACCTGTGTTTAGAGTGGCAAGACTAGCAGAGGTGCTCTAGAGTCAGAAAGACAAAGGATTCAAATCCTAGTTTGGTTCTGTATTACCAGAAAAATGACTTAACCTCTCCAAGGATCATTTCTTTCATCTGTAAAATGGGGATAAGAACATCTGCCTCTCCATGGATAAACCACTTTGATACAGTTTCCAAGAAACTGGGAGACAGGCACTCACGCTGGTAGATGTGTAAACTGGTTCAATCTCTATGGATGCAGTCTGGTAATACTGCTCTTTTTTCAAACTTGACAAACTTATATAGCGCTTAAAATGTGCCAGGCACTACACCAGGCACTTTACAAATAGTATTTGATTCTTGAGGCACGTTGTAAAAATGGTGGCAATGATTCCCTTCACCGTATCCCTGCATCCCTGACCTTGGGGAGTCTCCTCTTACACAGATTCTGAGCTTGACTCTTGCTTTGGTCAATGGAACAGCAGCAAATGTGACACATGCAGAGGCTTGACAAGTGCTTGAGCTCCGCCCTCCTGGGCTACTCTATGGAACCCTGAGACCACCATGTGAAGTAGCTAGGCTACTGGAGCATGAGAGATTGCATGCTGTCCCAAATGAGTCCCCGATGACCAACACAGCTGTCAAGCACCAGATATGTGAGTGAGGTCATCCTAGACTGCCCAGCCTCCAGCAGACCCACAAGCTGACCACAGAAGCAGAACCAGAAGAGCCACTCAACCAACCCACAGATTTGTGAGCCAAGTAAAACGGTTATTTTTTTAAGCCATGATGATTGGGGGTGATTTGTTGTACAACATAAACTGAGAGAATCCTCATAACAATCCTATTAGGTAGCTACCATTATTATCCCTATTTTGCAAATAAAGCAACTGAGGCAAAGAGGGGTTAAGTGACTTGCACGACATATAAATGGCAGAGCCAAGACTCAACTCCAAGCAATCTGTCTACAGGTCTGTGCTCCTAACTCCTACACTATGTTGCTTTACCTACTAAAAATACAAGTATTCACATCACTTGACCCAGAAATTCCACTGCTATTTATCATACAAATACGCTTGCACATATGCAAAATCATGAATATATAAGATTATTCACTGCATCATTGTTGATAATAGCAAAATACCAGAAAAAAAATTCTAGTGCAGGCATACCTCTTTTTAGTGTACTTCCCTTTATTGAACTTCACAGATATTGTCTCTTTTACTAATTGAAGGCTTGTGGCAACCCTGTGTCCAGCAAGTCTATCTGCACCATTTTCCAACAGTATATGCTCATTTCATGTCTTTGGGACAATTTTGGTAATTCTCCCAATATTTCAAACTTTTTTATTATTACTATATCTGTTATGGTGATTTGTGACCACTGGTCTTTAATGATACTATTGTAATTGTTTCGGGGCACCATGAACCATACTCACATGCAATGGTAAACTTAACTATATAAATGTTGTGCATATCCTGACAGCTCTATCCACCAACACTTCTTCTCTCTCTCTTTCCTTGGGCCTCTCTATTCGGAGACACAACAATATGGAAATTAGGCCAATTAATAACCTTACGATGGCCTCTAAGTATTAAAGTAAATGGAAGAGTTGTCCACCTCTCACTTTAAATCAAAAGCTAGCAATGATTAAACTTAGTGAGGAAGGCATATTGAAAGCTGAGATAGGCCAAAAGCCAGGCCTGTTGCAGTGAATGGTCAGCCAGGTAGTAAACGCAAAGGAAAAGTTCTTGAAGGAAATTAAAAGTGCTACTCCAGTGAACACATGAATAATGAGAAGTCAGTGCCTGGCTTCATGGCTTCAAAAGACAGGCTGACTCTCCTGTTAGGGACTAATGTAGCTGGTGACATTAAGTTGAAGCCAATGCTCCTTTACCATTCTGAAAATCCAAGGAGATTGATGTTGTTTTTGTGCCTGCTAATACAACATCCATTCTTCAGGCCACAGGTCAAGAAGCAATTTCAACTTTCAAGTCTTATTACTTAAGAATACATTTTGTAATGTTATAGCTGCCATAGTGAGCCCCCGATGGCAAAATAAATTGAAAACCTTCTGGAATGGATTCACCATTTTTACATGCCATTAACAACATTCTTAATATGAACATTTACAATATCAACATTAACAGGAGTCTGGAAGATGAGTCCAACTCTTATGAATGACTTTGAGAGGTTCAAGACTTCAGTGGAGGAAGGAACTGC
This sequence comes from Homo sapiens, assembly GCF_000001405.40. Lineage (NCBI taxonomy): Eukaryota > Metazoa > Chordata > Mammalia > Primates > Hominidae > Homo > Homo sapiens. The sequence goes on from NC_000012.12 coordinate 94,868,847, forward strand.
ACTGGAAACAGCAAGAGAACCAGAATTAGAAGTGGAGCCTGAAGGTGCGACTGAATTGCTGCGATCTCATAAAATTTGAATGGATGAGGTTTCTTATGAATGAGCAAAGAAGTGGTTCTTGAGATGAAACTACTCCTGGTGAAGATGCTGTGACATTGTTGAAATAACAACAAAGAATCAGAATTTTACATAACTTTAGTTGATAACAGGCAGGATTTGAGAGGATTGACTCCAATTTTGAAAGAAGTTCTACTATAGGGAAAATGCTATCAAACAACATCACATGCTACAGAGAAATCTTTCATGAAAGGAAGAGTCAATCACTGCAGCAAACTTCATTGTTGTTTTAAGAAATTGCCACAGCCACCCCAACCTTCAGCAACCACCCCGCTCTAGTCAGTAAGTAGCCTTCAACACTGAGGCAAGACCCTCCACCAGCAAAAAGATTATGACTCACTGAAAGCTCAGACAATTGCTGGCATTTTTTAGCAATAAAGTATTTTTATTTAAAATATATACAGTGTGCCGCAAGGCGCGGTGGCTCACGCCTGTAATCCCAGCACTTTGGGAGGCCGAGGCGGGCGGATCGCCTGAGGTTAGGAGTTCGAGACCAGCCTGACCGAGGTGGAGAAACCCCATCTCTACTGAAAATACAAAATTAGCCAGGTGTGGTGGTGCATGCCTGTAATCCTAGCTACTCAGGAGGGTGAGGCAGGAGAATTGCTTGAACCCAGGAGGCGGAGATTGCAGTGAGCCGAGATCGCGCCATTGCACTCCAGCCTGGGCAATAAGAGCGAAAATCCACCTCAAAATAAAATAAAATAAAATATATACAGTGTGCTTTTTTAAACAATGCAATTGCATACTAATAGACTACAGTGTAGTATGAACATAACTTTTATATGCACTATGAAACTAAAAAATTGTTTGATTCACTTTATTTAGATATTCACTTTATTGGGATGGTCTGGAATCAAACCTGCAACATCTTCGAGTTATGCCTGCATATTCACATTTACAGCTATAAAGAGAACTTGGGGCTGGGCGCAGTGGCACCACACCTGTAATCCTAGCACTTGGAGAGGCCGATATGGGAGGATTCCTTGAGCTAAGGAGAGTTCAAGACCAATCTGGGCAACAGAGTGAGACCCCTATCTCTACGAATAAAAAAAATTAGCCGGGTGTGATGGCACGTGCCTGTAGTACCAGCTACTCCACAGGCAGAGGTGGAAGGATCACTTGAGCACAGAAAGTTGGGGCTGCAGTGAGGTAGGATTGCGCCACTGCACTTCAGCCTGGGAAACAGAGCAAGACTCTGTCTCAAAAAAAAAAAAAAATATATATATATATATATATATATATATAAAGAGAACTTCATAAATCTATAAATACCAATCTTGTATGAGAGAAAAATGCGTGGTGAAGAAGAGTATACTTATATGCTACCATTTGTGCTTTTAAAAATGAAAAGCATGAATATATAACTGCTTATATATGCATAGATTATTTCTAGAGGGACAGAAGAGATGAGTTAACAGCAATTGCTTCTAGGAAAGGGAACTAGCTGTCTGGGCAACAGAATAGGAAGGCTTATTTTCATTGTAAGCTTTTGATAGCTTTTAAATTTTATACTATGTAAATGTATCACCTATTAATTTTTAACTTAAAAGGTTGTTATGAAAATGAAGGAAGCCAGTAGATGCGTGGCACAAAGAAAATAATCAATAAATAGTAGCTACCAGCCTGGACAACATAGTGAGATCTCGTCTCTACAGGAAATTAAAAAATGAGGCAGGAGGATCGCTTAAGCCCAGGAAGTAGAGGCTGCAGTGAGCCGTGATGGTGCCACCGTCCTGCCACCTGGGTGACAGAGCAAAACTCTGCCTCAAAAAAAAAAAAAAAAAAAAAAAAAGTAGCTACCATTATAATTATTCTCCCACAACTGCTTTCTAACTTTTTCTAACACAAATAATTTTTTAAAGCAACCAATCCTCTGTAACTCCTGGCTTGCATGGAAAGAGTTCATTTTGGATTCAAAAATAATGAAGGAAATAGGAAGGAGCCATGTGAAGACGTGAAAGAAGACCCAACCATGGGGTTCTCTGGTGTTCAAAGCCCTGGACAGCATGGTATGCACAACATTAGCCGTTTGTCAGAGTCCATTTGGGCTGCTACAATCAAATCCCATAGACTGGGTGACTTATAAACAACAAAAATGCATTTCTCACAGTTCAGGAGGCTGGAAAGTCCAAGATCACAGCCCCAGCAGATTCAGCGTCTGGTGAGGGCCCAAGTTCTGGTTCAGAGATAGTGTCTTCTCACATCATGGAAGGGACAAGGAAGCTCTCTGAGGCCTCCTTTATAAGGTTCTGCCCTTGTAACCTGATCACCTCCCAAAGACCCACCTCTTAATACCATCACCTTGAGGGTTAGGATTTCAACATATGAACTGCGGGGACAACAAACATTCAGACCACAGCTTCTCTCTTCAGAGCAACCCAAATACTGGGCATCTTCTGTGCTCCTACTCTGTACATTCCCTACACACCTTCTCTTTCATTCAAGGACACCAAAGGAAAGTAATTACTTTTGATTATAATAGTGTGTCTGCACACTCTCTCTCTGCAGTTACTGATCTGCCACAGTTGAAGGGCTGCCACATGCATCTGCCAAACTGCCAAATTATATGCTTCTCCAGAACCAGACAGGGTCTGGGGCAGAAACAAAAAGTTTGTAGGCAACAGAGTGTAATGTCAAGAGCCAGGGCTTTGGAGTCCAGCAAACCTGGGCACAAATCCTGCTCTATTTTCCTCATAGCACTCATCACTATCTGAAACTACATTATTTGTACCTTTGTTTACTACTTTATTATCTGATTTCTCAGTTTGAATGCGGCCTCCAAGAGAACAAGGCTTTTGTATGTCATGTTCCTCACAGTATTCCTAGAGCTCAGAACAGCGCCTGCACATAGTAGGTGCTTAATACACGTCTTATGGAGGTGGGGGCTGAGTATTTAAAATGCAGATTGCCAAGCTCCAGTTTCAGAGATTCTAACTCATTAGGTTTGAAACAAAGCCTAGGAATCTGCATTTGCAGCAAGCATCCACCTCTTTCATCCTAAGGCAGGTAGTAGGCAGATCACATGTTAAGATACTCTGGTCAATGCCCTCCATCTCCAAATCGTGATTCTCCCTCTAACACGCATTTCTACGGATCCCATCCAGGCTCTTTTCTTTAATTACCCTGAGGCACTGAGAGTAAAAGGAGGTTGCTGACCCCTGAATTTGGAGTTCAAACAAGTAACCTCACCACGGCCAGTTTCCATTTCTGCTGCATGCCAAACTAGCTGGCCAGCCTGGCTGGAATCCTGTTCTCCCCAGAAACACCTGAGCAGGTCTGGACTAGCTCCAAAAGTATAAGCCAGGTAAATTTCCGTGTCAGCTCATTGAGAGACTTTCCAGGGGCAGCTGGGGCCAATTCACATTTGCTCTATACTCCCTCCAAAGACACCCCCTTCAACACACACACACAGAACACTTAATTCTGGTACCACCAGCCAAAAGGGGCCCGAGTTCCCTTGGGAGCAGCCCAGCCGCTGAGAGGCGGAAATCTCTGAAAGGGCCACTCAGATGACCAAAGCAATAGGCGCCTACGTACCTTACAACAAGCCAACCTCAAGTTCCAACCTAGAGAAATGCATGGACTCTGGTGGGAGAGTCTTATTCCGTTTTTGTTTTCTTCTTTTTTTTTGTTTTGTTTTGTTTTGGTTTGGTTTTCTTCCATTTCTTCTCAGCCTTGTCTCTTCAGAAAATACCCCTCCACCCCTTCCTTGGCGCGTAAACTGTCTTCAGGGTGGCCTTAGGAGTTCTGGGACAATGTGGAGGGTACCCAATAGGATTTCCTTAAGTTTCCTCTACTGCTTTTCCACACATATTAATGCTGAGATCCTGTATTTGATTAAAGCACCTTCCATTTCCAAAGTTAAAATACAAACGGGTCTGGTAACTTACAAAGTCGCCAGCATCTTCGTGTCAATTAACTTCCCCAGACAAGTAAGAACGAGCTGCACTAGGGCCTGCGCTCTCTCCGGGGCTAACAACAAGCAGCACCAGTCCCCCAAGCTGTCCCTGGAGGTGGAAGAGCCACTGCAGCTGAGCCTGTTTATTTTTCGTTTTTCCACAGGCAGCCTTGGCTGGAGGGTGGGGGTGAGCGCGGGCTCCCTGGCACCTGCCGGTAAAGCAGCAGCCGCAGCCCCCGAGGGCGCCCCAGGCCAGGAGCTGCGCGCCGTCGGCGGGCCGTGCCTGGAGGAGGCTCGCGCCTTCCAAATGCCGGAGTGCAGGCATCCTTCCTCTCCCCAACCCCAGCCCCGGCCTCGACCTGTCGCCCACCTGGCCCGGACCTGGGGCTGGCTCCGTCTCTGGGGTGTGCGCCAAGGGAGCCCCACCGACGCCCAGCAGAGCTGCCCGGGCTCCCAAAGAAGGACCGGGGCTTTGGGCAGAATTCTGGCAGCCAGGCGGGCGTCAGGGGAGCCGGAGAAGGGGCTCGCCAGCAGGCGTGGGGCGGAGTGCCGGGCGCAGCCCACCTCGCAAGCGCGGGCCCAGGGCTCCGACGTGCCAGCGCAGCCCCGAAGAGTGCGGGCCCGGGGTCCCCGCGGCGCCCCTTCCCCTCCTCAGTCCCCCGGGGGCGACCGCGCTCCCCGCCGAGGTCCGTCCCCGCCGCACCCTCACTATTCCCGCTGGGAGGACCCCGGCGCACGCCCCCGCCCCCGCACCCCGGGGCGACGGCGCACTCACCCTCCGCATGGTGTCTGGGCCGTCCGGGCGGGGCTCGGCGACTTGGGCGCGAGAAGGGCTGGGCCGGCGGCGACGCTCGGCCGGCCGGGAGCTCCGCGCTGCCCCCTCCTGCACACGCCTGCGCCGCGGCCGCCAAGCCGGCGGGGGCGGGGCGGGGTAGCGCTGGCCGCGGGGTCCCCGGGGCTCTCCCGGGCTGCGGCGGAGGCGCGGAGCCGGCCAAGGGCGCACTGAGCTCGCGGAGCTCCGGGGCCCCGGGGCCTTTCTGCCGCCGTCGCAGCGTCCCCGCCTCCTCGGGCCGCTTCGCCCCTCTCCTCTTCCTCGAGTTCTGGCCCCACCAGGAGCGGAGCGAGTCTCCGATGCCTGCCCCGCGGCCCCCAGAACTGAGCTGGAGAAGCTTTGGGGTGAAAGCTGGGCCCACCCTACAGGGACCCCAAGTTTGCGGAGCAAGAGTGGATTGGCGGAGAGCGCAGATGGCAATTCTCACCCGCCTTAAAAGTACCACCTTAAAATTCTCCCCATGGGATGGGAAGGTGGCCCGCTAATGTCCGTTCCTACTCTTCGTTTTCTTTTTAATTTTTCAGACAGGGTCTCGCTCTGTCCCCCAGGCTGAGCGCAGGGGCGCGATTTCGGCTCACTGCAGCCTTGCGATTCTCCCAGGCTCAAGCGATCCTCCCGCCTCAGCCTTCCCAGTAGCTGGGACCACAGGCGAGTGCTCCACTACGCCCGGCTAATTTTTGTATTTTTATTCTTTTGTAGAGACTGGTGTCTCGCCATTTTGCCCAGGCTGGTCTCGAACTCCTGGCCTCAAGCGACCCTCCAGCCTCGGCCTCCCAAAGTGCTGGGATGAGAGGTGTGAGCCAGTGCGTCGGCCCTTTACCATTCTTTAGATTCTGCGATTGTTTTTTGAAAGTCCTGAGCATTCATAAAGCTTTCCGAGGAGGGGTGGGAAGAGAGTTAAGAGCGGTAAACAGCAGATCCACCCGGGGCTGGAGGAAACACCGTGGAACAGAGACCGTCTGGTCTCATTCAGGTGAAGGAGCTCGGCAGGGGAAGAGGTCAGCATCCCCATTCCAGCGAAACCCACGGGTTTTCCTAGCAGTCCCCTGTGTGCACAGCTTTCTCTTCACAATCGACCTCCACCCCAACTTTTCCAAACAACACGGGAGCCCATCCCCAAATGCTAATGCTTCTGCGGGAAAAAAATGAGAAGGGGGAAAAATGTATTCCCCAGATCATGAAAACGCTGCACACCCTTGAGCTCAGAATGCAGGATCTAAATCCGCAAGAACAGGATGGAATGATGTGGGAAGGTCTTCCAGGAAGAAATCTGATTTTATTCTGCTTCGACTGCTGAACAAAGTAAATCAAATAGCACGGAACTCAAGGCAGCCTGAATTTTGTGTAGAAAAAAATATCTCTTGTTTGTCAGAGGATCCTTTGAAAAGCATCCAAGGACGCTTGTGTTTCCAAAGCGGCTGTGACAGGTATGCAGGCAGACAGCAGTGGGAATGCAAAGGCTTGTGCCGGGTAAACACTTCTCATGAGTGTTTCAGCTTTGGCATTGCCTTTATGCCAGTTATTCTGGCAGATCACCACTGCCAAAGAAATACCTTTATAATTTTCTAACATTGATTGTCAGCAGCACTATAGAGACCGTAATATTACACGAAGTACCTTAATGATCTAATGAATAAAAACATTTTGTCTGGATTTCTCTTTGGTGCCTATCAGCACAGATAGGGGGAGGAGTGACTGATGTGTGAGGGGGAAATGTAAGAAACGACAATTAATGACACTTGCTATGTCCCTTTTTTACTTTATCTTATGATCTGTATGCAGTGGGTTTTTTCCTCCCTGGATATATAATCTCTTCTGATTGAGCTTTTATGTTTTTGCCTTTCTTTGGGAAAATAACAATGTTAGTAAGTGTACTTCTGAGCCATACCTGTCTTATCATTTCAATCCACACAACTCTATGAAGTACGTACTGGGATATTATGGTTTTTTTAGAGGGAGATACTCGAGCTCAGAGAGGGCAGGTCATTTGCCCGAGATCATACAGCTTGTTAGTGGCACAGCCTGGATTTCAACTCAGGCAGTCTGACACGAGGACCCTCTCACTTAATGCCCATGCAATACTGCCCTCCTCTGCTTCATAGAAAAGGTGCAACTGTGTAAAGGTGTTCCTGGAAGTAAAAACGTGAGCTTTTGTCATAGATTAGTCACTTGACATCTCAGAGCCTTAGCTTCCTCATCAGTAAAATGACAACTTGGACTAAATAGATGCATTAAAGGCCTAGCCAGAAGTAAAGTTCAAGATTTAGAGTATTACTATGTGAGTATTAGAGTATCAGTATTCTTGCTCAGCATTGTAAGAAATCTTAACCTGGAGATACAGTGTTAGCCACTTCATTGGTTTGTGTGATCTCACCACAGCGCCTTGTTTTAACACTACTTGTGCTGCTTTCTACAACATTACCTCTTCCTGCTCCTTCTAATTAATACTCTTTGCTTTGCAAATGTGATATCTAATCAATTTAATGTTCTTTTTTTTTTTTTCTTTTCTTTGAGACGGAGTCTTGCTCTGTCGTGCCCAGTCTGGAGTGCAGTGGCGCGATCTCGGCTCACTGCTACTTCTGCCTCCTGGGTTTGAGCAATTCTCCCACTTCAGTCTCCCAAGTAGCTGGGACTACAGGCACCCACCACCACACCCAGCTAATTTTTTATATTTTTAGTAGAGGCAGGATTTTACCATATTGGCCAGGCTGGTCTTGAACTTCCAACGTCAGGTGATCCACCTACCTCGGCCTCCCAAAGTGTTGGAATTACAGACGTGAGCCACCGAGCCCGTCCTAATGTTCATTTCTTACTAAACTTGAATAAGACTCCTGGTGTGGGGGAGGGGAGTCAGTTTCAGTTAAGTAGTTGTTAGGATGATCTTGAAGTATTAGTTAGCCTGAATCATTTTTAAATTCCCTTCAGAAACCAAGAATGTTATTCAACTGTACCAAATAAATAACAACACGTCAGTTGCTAATGGAACACGGTCACACTGGCCATCTATGGAAATCCTCATGTTTCCAATGCTCTCATTAACTACCCTGAAGAATCAATTTAAAAGTAAAACTAGATTGAATCAGATTTCCCCCTTTTTTATTCCAGGGGGAGGGGGAAAGGTCTTTGTTTCTTTCATATGTTTAAAGAATCTTCAAAATATTTTAATGATAGAGTTGTCTATCTGTTTCATATTATCATATCTCCATTAGCCTTCTAAACTCAGCCATATTATTTGATTCCTTGAAAACCATCTAATGTTTAAGAACACTATATTTTCCCCTTTTTTCTTAATTGTTTAACTTCTCCACCAGTCACAAACACTGTTATTCAGCCTTAATTTTTTTTTTTTTTTTTTTTTTTTTGAGACAGTGTTTCACTCTTGTCACTCAGGCTGGAGTGCATAGGCACCATCTCGGCTCACTGCAACTTCCGCGTCCCAGGTTCAAGCGATTCTCCTGCCTCAACCTCCCGAGTAGCTGGGATTACCGGCACCCACCACCACTCCCAGCTGATTTTTGAATTTTTAGTAGAGACGATGTTTCACCATGTTGTCTAGGCTGGTCTCAAACTCCTGACCTCAGATGATCCACCTGCCTCGGCCTCCCAAAGTGCTGGGATTACAAGTGTGAGCCACCACACCTGGCCTATTCAGCCCTCTTGATCTGCAGGCTGGATTCATAGGTCTTCATCTTAGTACAGTAGGAAGTATACTGGCATCAGGAGGTCAAGCTTACTTCTTTCATTACCTATTAAGGTAGATAGGCATTTGTTATAAAATTGAACAAAAAGGAACTAGTTTACAATTTTACATAAATAGTAAAAGAGAATAATTTCTTCTTTTCGTAGATAAGAAATGTTATCAACTGGCATAATTTCTTACCAGTCTGTCATCCTCCATTTAGAAAACCATTAGTAATTAAATGTTGTTTTCCTTTACCATGTTCCTAAATATGAATCCTTCATAAGGCATCTATTAAATACCTACTATGGGGCGGTATACATTATTGATTAAATCAATCCATATTTCCCTGAGAAAGACCAAGAAAAATTTCAAGGAAACATGTATCACAGCTACATGCATTGAGTACTTTATATGTTCCAGGCACTGTGAAAAGCCATGTATCAATCTGTTTCATCCTCACAAAACTCTGCAGGATTGTTGTTAGTATCTTCTCCATATGATAGACTATGAAACTAAGATTTATCGAGATGAAACACCTTGCCAAAGGCTGCATGTTTAATTAGTGACACACTTCTGGCCCAAATCTGACTCCAGAACCCAAGAGATTGACCAGTGATAGGTGGATGTTAATGTATCACACAGACTTCTCTCTCCGGAATTTCTTCAAAGTGGTGAAAACGTGAGCCAAGAATTTTATATCCACTAAAACTGACTTTCAAGTATTTATACTAGAATAAAGTGACATTAGTTAAGAAAGAATTCTTAAAGGAGATGAGTTCTTAGCTTGAAAAAATATAAGATTTGAATGGGAAGAGTGAAGAATATTCTTTTTTCAGCCTCTCAAGTAGCTGGGACTACAGGTGCATGCTCCCACACCCATCTCTACAATTCTTTTTGTTCGTTTTGTAGAGATGGGGTCTTGCTATGTTGCACAGGTTGGTCTCAAACTCCTAGCCTCAAGTGATCCCCCAACCTAGCCCTCCCAAAGTGCTGAGATTACGGCATGAGCCACCATGCCCAGCAAGAATATTCTTCAAAGGGTACAGTGGAATGAGCCACAAAGTAGAGGTGGTGAGTCAATAAACCATTCTTAGGGAACCCTGGGATGTGTGACTTTTTAATTTTTATTTTTTATTCCAATATCACAGTCACTTAAGGATATTCTGGGTCCTTTATTTTGCTGTAGGAGGTCTGCGTGGTTGCTATGCTATTTCTTTTCTTGCCCTTGACAAGGCCTGTTCAACTTCTCTGAACCACAATTTAGGGGCTTGACATTCTATTGATCTTTTTTTTCTTCTTCTTCTTTTTGTGGCCTGAAGATGCAGGGTAGAGTGGGAAAGAACTTACCTAGAGCTGTGTGTCGCCTTTATCATAGGAATTTAGTTTCTTCTTTCTTCTAAAGCTCTGTGCCAGAGTTCAGCCCTTAGTGGATATTTAAAAAGACAAAATTCACCCGGACTTGCACCCCTAGTGCTACTTATATATTTAATTCCATGCTCCTTTTTAGTCTTCGTCCAAATGCATGTCCATCTGCAATCTATTTACACAGCTATCTCTCCTACTAGACTCTGAACTCCTTTAAAGAAGGGACTGTCTTAATTCTTACATCTCCATGGCCTACCCCAAAATAGGTGTGCTTGGTACGTGTTTAATAAACGAATTAGTGATGTTTAAACCATATTATAGTCTGCTGTTTTCCCTTGGTTAATGTTTCCTATATTTTACATAGCCTTAATAATTACCTTTATTGGCTGCTCAATATGCACATCTCAGTGATATATTATCATTTAACCTTACCTCATGTTGCCATTTGCATTGTTTCTACTCCTTTGATTGAGCCCGAGAGTTCAAGACCGGCCTGGGAAACATAGTGAACTCCATCTCTATAAAAAATACAAAAATAAGCCAGGTGTGGTGACACGCACCTGTAGTTCCAGCTACTCAGGAGGCTGAAACAGGAGGGTCACCCGAGCTCGGGGAGGTTGAGACTGCAGTGAGCCGAGATCACGCCACTGCACTCAAGCCTGAGTGATAGAGCGAGTCCCCATCTCAAAAATAAAATAAAATACTCCTTTGAAATTCCCTTGAGTTAGTAAGTAGGGATATGACTTCATATTAAGAAGGATTTGGAGGATGAGAATGTGATTAAATGGTCTAGACGTAGGAAGATAAGTTAGGAGGCTAACCTCAGTCACACAAAATGGAACTGGTGAAGGAACCAAGGTCAAGATTAGGATGGTGATTGTGGAAATGGAAAGAGAAAATCAATTTCTACATCCACTGCCAAAGCTGGGAAGATGTAACAAGGGATTTACCCTATATAGGGCTAAAAATATGACAAACAGTGGGGACATTGTCCTATGATGGGGAGCGCTATTTTAGCACCATGGACAGCTCCCAGGTTATCAGGTATTCGTTCTGGGTGGTATGGAACCATTATTGCTGTCCGTGATGGTGCCTTTTAATAAAAAACATTAAGTAACATTTTTGAACATATAACTAGTGAAAGCTTTACATACATTTATTAATTCTCATAACGAAACAGGCACGTAAAGATTACATAATGTCGCCCCCAAAATCATACAGATAACAAGTGGCAGAGCTAAGTCCTGAGTCCAGGTAGTCTGGGTTTAAAACCCACTACGCCGGCCAGGCACAGTGGCATAATACCAGCAATTTGGGAGGCTGAGGCGGGTGGATCACCCGAGGTCAGGGGTTTGAGGCCAGCCTGACCAACTTGGTTAAAATCCATCTCTACTAAAAATACAAAAATTAGCTGGGCGTGGTGGCGGGTGCCTGTAATCCCAGCTGCTCAGGAGGCTGAGGCATGAATATCGCTTGAACCCAGGAGGTGGAGGTTGCATTGAGCCAAGATCATGCCACTGCACTCCAGTCTGGGCAAGAGAATGAGACTCTGTCAAAAAAAAAAAAAAAAAAAAAAAATTTACACCATACTGGAAAAGACACTGATGACAAACTATGATTATATAGTTATAAAGGCTATATCTTTCCAGCTTTGGCAGTAGATATAGACACTGTCTCCCTTTCCATTTCCAAAATCGCCATCCCAGTCTTGACCTTGGTTCTCTCATCAGTTCCATTTTGGTTACATTGGAACTAAGTTTTGAATGACAAATGGAATTTAACTACAGTCCAGATGGCCAATAGGCTACCTGAAGCCCTGTGTTGAGAAGGGTTCTGAGTTCTAATCTAGGCCCAACAAAAAGCCTCCTGTGAGCAGTTAGCAAATGTGATAGAGAGTGATAGGAGACCTCAGGCTAGGAAGGTAGGTAAGCCAAATAATAAAGGGTCTTGGATGTGAGGAAGGAAGTTTAGACATTTTTCCTAAAAGTTTTAAAAACCCACTGAAGAGTTTTAAGCAAGATATGGCATTAGGATGAGATTTGCATTTTTTAAAAAATAATCCTAATAATTTCACGGTAAAGATAACAGAGTAAACCATGATCACAGATTCTCCTTTTCCTAATACCTGATATAACGAAGAAAAACTGTAGCTCAGAAAGAGGACAACAAACTCATCTGAGATAAGGTGAGATGGGGGCCAAGGAGACTTCATCCACACTATATAACAGTTACAAAAAGATCTGGTTGGAGCTGCCCATATGAAACAAGATTAAGATGAAAAGATGACCATGTACATGTGGTACAGTCAAAAAAGGGTGGAGTGGGGAGGAAGGAAGATAATGTATGCACTGTGAAGAAACCAGTATGGAAGAAAACATAAACCCATGAAACACATCCTCCAGGTAGTGCTTTGAACTATAAATGCCTCAGAATATGAACCTGGGTAAATAAGACCTCAAAATTGAGATGAAAAAATGACCGAGAGAGCAAAAAGTTGTCAGAGCTAAAGAAATGAATCAAAAACTGAAACAACACCATTATAGACCTAATATACAAATTAGAAATGCCAAATAACAGGAAAGACATGATTGAAAATTGAATTAATGGATAGTAAAAGGTTTACGATAATCATGGTAAATGCATAATTTGCCACAGAGGGAGTAAAGTAATTAGGGAGAGGATAATAAGAGAACTAAGAGAAAATCAAACATAAGATTCTTGGTGTCCCTAATTGATGTAGATAATCCAATAAGTGTAACAAAATATGCATTTAGACACATAATACAGGAAGAGTTTTTCCAAAATGAAGAAAGAACTGAATCTGCAGAGGAAGATTTATACTGTATGCCAGACAAAAAGTACTTTAAACAGACATCAAAACATAGTCTGGTTAAGTTAACAATTTTCAAGGGAAAATAGTTATTTAGGTATCTAGGCAGAAAAGGCAAATCATCTATGAACGTGGGGGTGGGTGGGGATAGAATCAAAACAGATACGAACATGTCCAAAAAACCTCAAGCTAGAAGACAATGAAACAATGTCATCAGCCTGGACAACACAGCTAGACTCTGGTCTCTACAAAAATATATTTTTTAAAATCAGCTAGGTGTGGTGGCACACGCCTGTAGTTCTTGCTACTTGGGAGGCTGAGGTGGAAGGATTGCTTGAACCCAGGAGGTTAAGGCTGCAGTGGGTCATGATCACGCCAGGGCACTCCAGCCTGGGTGACAGAGTGAGGCCCTGTCTCTAAAAACAAAACAAAACAACACACACACACACACACACACACACACACACACCATCTACCTAGCTTGAAGAGAGAAAAAGTATGACCTAAAATGGTTACACATAGCCATCTGCAGGTATTCTCAAGCATAAAAGAACTCACGGAGTAAAACACACGAGCCTTCTTGGGGAAAAAAAAATCCAGCCAATCAGGAGCAGGAGATGAATGAAAAAAAAAAATCAGGAACAGAAGACACCAAGGTAAAAGGTAAAAGTGCTGATGGTCAACAGTTCAGTATTTAAATAGAGAACTAAGATTAAACAACTGATGGAATTCTAGCAGTGGAATAAATTGAAAATGTTACAAATTCTGACAAAGTAAAAATAATAGAAAGATTTTTAAAATTAGGAGGTGAAGGAGAGTGAAAGGAAGTGTGAGTGCTAATTACTTCATCGTCTATCTGCAGAGAACCAATTGAGATCATCCAAAATTGAAACATAAAAGAAACACTCAAACTTCTTAATGATTTCTGCAGTTTTTTCTTAACCTCAGGCATATCTTAGTAACTTCTCCCATGATGGAGGAAAAAAAAGGGTTATCTGAAACTGAATTACTTCAGTTTAATTATTTTTTATTGTGTTAAAGTAAAACAAACTTAAATTCAGTAATTAAAATAACCTTGGTAGTCATAAAACTCTCTCTCTCTCTCTCTCTCTCTCTCTCTGTCTCTCATCTTCTACCTTTATATATAAATAGAGAGGCTTTTTGAATTATGTTAATACTCATTTCTGGGTGGTGAGATTTTGAGACGTGCTGCTTTTCTTTTTTGTACTTTTCCATATTGCTTAAAATTTTTTTTAAGGAACAGATATCATTTTTATTTAAAAATAATTACTTTTTAATGATAAATGAATATGGCTCCTAAGTATAATTCAACATGGAAAGTCATCCATGATATATTGCTGAGTGAAAAGGTTGGTTTAAAATTTCATCTGTAGTATAATCTCATTTAGGTAAAACCTACATATCATACATGCTTACGTGTTCATTAAAAAGTCTAGAAAGATGAACACCACAATGTTAACAGTATTTATTTCTAAAGTTGGTGTAGAGAATTGGGCTTATAATTTCTCAGTATCATTTTCTAAACCTTTTTATTTAAAAATAAAACAGGCTGGGTGTGGTGGCTCACACCTGTAATCCTAGCACTTTGGAAGGCCGAAGCGGACGGATTGACTGAGCTGAGGAGTTAGAGACCAGCCTAGGCAACATGGCGAAACCCTGTCTCTACTAAAATACAAAATATATATATATTAGCCGGATGTGGCAGCACGTGCTTGTAGTCCCAGCTACTTGGGAGGCTGAGGCAGGAGAATTGCTTGAACCTGGGAGGCAGAGGTTGCAGTGAGCCCAGATCATGCCACTGCACTCCAGCCTGGGCAGCAGAGCCGAGATAGTGCCATGGCACTCCAGCCTAGGTGACAGAATGAGACTCTATCTCCAAAAAAAAAAAAAAAAAACAGATGGCCAGGAATGGTGGCTCATGCATGTAATGTCAACACTTTGGAGGACTGTGGTGAGAGGATCACTTGAGGCCAGGAGTTTGAGACAAGGCTGGGCAACAGAGTGAGATCCTGTCTCTATAAAAAAATTGTTTTAATTAACCAGGTGTAGTGGTGTGTGCCTGTGGTCCCAGCTACAAGCAAATGCTGAGAGATTTTGTCACCACCAGGCCTGCCTTACAAGAGCTCCTAAAGGAAGCACTAAATATGGAAAGGAAAAACTGGTACCAGCCACTGCAAAACCATACCAAATTGTAAAGACCACTGACACTATGAAGAAACTGCATCAACTAACAGGCAAAGTAACCAGCTAGCATCATAATGACAGGATCCAATTCATACATGACAATATTAACCTTAAATGTAAACAGGCTAAATGCCCCAATTAAAAGACACAGACTGGCAAATTGAATAAAGAGTCAAGACCCATTGGTGTGCTGTATTCAGGAGACCCATCTCATGTTCAAGGACACACATAGACTCAAAATAAAGGGGTAGAGGAATATTTACCAAGAAAATGGAACGCAAAAAAAAGCAGGAGTTGCAATCCTAATCTCTGATAAAACAGACTTTAAACCAACAAAGATCAAAAAAGACAAAGAAGGGCATTACATAACGGTAAAGGGATCAATGCAACAAGAAGAGCTAACTCTCCTAAATATATATGCATCCAATACAGGAGCACCCAGATTCATAAAGCAAGCTCTTAGAGACCTACTAAGAGACTTAGACTCCCACACAATAATAGTGGGAGACTTTAACACCCCAATGTCAATATTAGATCAATGAGACAGAAAATTAACAAGGATATTCAGGATTTGAACTCAGTTCTGGACCAAGTGGACCTAATAGACATCTACAGAACTCTCCATCGCAAATCAATAGAATATACATTATTCTCAGCACCACATCACACTTATTCTCAAATTGACCACATAATTGGAAGTAAAACACTCCGTAGCAAATGCAAAAGAATGGAAATCATTAACATTCTCTCAGACCACAGTGCAATCAAATTAGAACTCAGGATTAAGAAACTCACTCAAAACTGCACAACTACATGGAAACTGAACAACCTGCTCCTGAATGACTACTGGGTAAATAACGAAATTAAGGCAGAAATAAATAAGTTCTTTGAAACCAATGAGAACAAAGACACAATGTACCAGAATCTCTGGGACACAGCTAAAGCAGTGTTTCGTGGGAAATTTATAGCACTAAATGCCCACAGCCCCACAGGAGAAAGCAGGAAAGATCTAAAATTGACACCCTAACATCATAATTAAAAGAACTAGAGAAGCAAGAGCAAACAAATTCAAAAGCTAGCAGAAGATAAGAAATAACTAAGATCAGAGCAGAACTGAGGGAGATAGAGATACAAAAAAACTCTTCAAAAAATCAGTGAGTACAGGAGCTGGTTTTTTGAAAAGATTAACAAAATAGACCGCTAGCCAGACTAATAAAGAAGAAAAGAGAGAAGAATCAAATAGACACAATAAAAAATGATAAAGGGGGCATCACCACTGATCCCACAGAAATACAAACTACCATCAGAAAATACTATAAACACCTCTGTGCAAATCCATTCACTTTTTAAGGTTTGCAAAATAAAGATTTATAATTCTGCATTTCTTTTTCATTCATTAATTGAAATGCTTTTATAAAGAGGTAATTTCCCCCCATTGGTTAACTAGTATTACAGTTTATACAGAAAAGGCAAAATAAAACCTTGATTCTATGCATTTCTCTCCCAGTTTTCAAGATAATGAATTGGTTCCCTATCATCTTCTGAAGGTGAACAATCTTTTAAAATATTCATATGAATTCACGAATTTAAACACTTTTGATAATTTTAATCAATTACAATTATTAACTTCCATGAAAACTCAAATTGTCCTGTTTTTGGCCAATAAGAGCCCCTTCAATTTGGCTTCTCAGGTTTTTTTTCCCCATGTACCTAGATATGTTTGATATTTTTCTTGCTACTGAGTATAACAGAATGCTCTAGGCTCATCTCATACATTTTCTGTCCCAGATAGAAATCAACCATTTCTCTGAAAATTATCAGTTTTCCCAGGAAGTCTTCATTTCTCTTAGTGGTAAATAGTGTTTCAAGACCAGGATCTTGGTACTAGGAATGCTCCTGGCTGCTGACTTGGTCAGAAATTTTAGGCCTCTTCAGGGGACAGAGCTAAACTACAAGACTGTCTATATAGATAAAATCTATAAACTATATACTCTCTCTAGCTAGTATTATGTGATATATATCATGCTAACAGCAGCAATTCCAAGTCATTCTTGTTTTTATTTAGCCTCTTATGTATTATATCTTCTTCCAGATGAGACTCCTGGTAGTTCGAGACCAGCCTGGCCAACATGGTGAAACCTCTCCTCTACTAAAAATACAAAAAATTAGCTGGGCGTGGTGGCAGGCACCTGTAACCCCAGCTACTCGGAAGGCTGAGGCAGGAGAATCACTTGAACCTGGGAGGCAGAAGTTGCAGTGAGCCAAGATCACACCCGTGCACTCCAGCCTGGGGGACAAGAGCAAGACTTCATCACAAACAAAAAAACAAGACTCCTGGTTCTTAAGAACACAAGTGATGATAGAAGTAGAATATCCTATAATTACTTATTTATTTATCACACAACTCTTTCAGAATGGCAATACTAATACACTAAATATTACTACTGAGAACATTTAAGAACATTTTTGTATTTACTCTCCCTATTCTGCTGCCTCATTTTTTAACTTTAATTTAATTTTTTTTTTTAGCAACAGATCTCACTCTGTCACCCAAGCTGGAGCACAGTGGCATGATCATAGCTCACTGCAGTCTCAAGCGCTTGGCCTCAAGTGATCCTCCCACCTCAGCTCCCAAAGTGCTGGGATTACTGGCATGAGCCACTGTACCTGGACTTAATATTTGCACTATATTACATTATCTGATCATTTACCCATTACATGATATCCTGTTTTAACACTCACATAGTCTTAATTTAAAAACAACTGTATTTCTAATTCTCACCACCAGTTTCTGTTGTGTGAATCTTATTCTCAAGTAGAATCCTCGGGAACTGTTAATAGGAACAATATTTCTTAAGTTCTTACTGTTGATAACAGTTTGTCTATTGATAACAGTCATCGAGTGCTTAAAAGTTTACAGAATAGAATGAAACAATTACCTTTTATTTAAAAGCCACTAAAAGATATTAAGAGAATGACAGAAGAGATGAAAAAAATTTACTGAATATAAAGTTCTTGGCTCACATGTTCTTTTTTCTTAAGTATCTTAAACATGTTAAGATATATTTATTGAGTATCTTAAATACATTAAATATGTTATTTAATTTTCTCATGAGGTAAATCATTGCTCTCAAAAATTCTGGTGTTGATATAATTTTTTTTCCCTCGCTGTTTCTGCTTAGATGCTCAAAGGAAATTTTTCTTCTTTAAAGCAGAGTAATTTTATTGGAATATGTCTAAGTGCTGTCAGTTTCAGTATGATATTCTCCAGTGTGCAGCATGTTCATTCATATATAGCTTCAAATCTTTTTTTTTTTACTTCAGGGAAAAATAATTTTTAATTTATAATTTTAGAATGCATTGTTTTCTTCCTTTGCTTTTTGTCTTCAGGGATTCCTGTTATCTCTATCTTGGATCATCTTCTATCTTGAATATCTGTCACTTTCTCTTGACAGATATTCCTGTCAGATAACAAAATTCCTGTCTTAATTTCTTTTTGACTTAAAAAAATCTGCCTTTTCACATTCTGTTCTTCTTTTTTCACTCTGTTGCCCAGGCTGGAGGGCAGTGGCATGATCTGGTCTCACTGCAACCTCCGCCTCCCAGGTTCAAGCAATTCTCCTGCCTCAACCACCTGAGTAGCTGTAGCTGGGACTACAGGAGTGCACCACCACACCCAGCTAATTTTCGTATTTTTAGTAGAGATGGGGTGTCACCATGTTGGCCAAGCTGGTCTCGAACTCCTGAGCTCAAGTGATTCACCCACCTCAGCCTCCCAAAGTGCTGGGATTACAAGTGTGAGCCAACACACGTGGCCCACATTCTATTTTTCTGTTGGATTTATTTGTCCTTAGTTTTCCCTTTAGTCTTCATTCACAAAGTTTAGTCTTCATTTCTTTTATTTCTAATTCTTTCTTGAAGTTTATCACCTCATTTAAAATTATTTTTTGTAATTTGATTTATGTTATTTTTCATATCTTCTGTTATTCTCTTAATATCTTTTAGTGACTTTTAAATAAAAGGTAATTGTTTTGATCTATTCTGTAGACATACCTTGCTGTGTGGTTTTGTCTGAATGGATGTTGTTTTGTTTCACATATCTTTTATTCATTTTTCAGAGACAAGGTCTTGCTGTGTCACCCAGGCTGGACTGCAGTGGTGCAATTATAGTTCATTGTCCCACCTCAGCATCCCTAGGACTACAGGCATGTGCCAACCAATTTTTTTTAAATTTTTTGTACAGATGGGGTCTCACTATATTGCCCAGGCTGGTCTTGAACGTCTGGCCTCAAGTGATTCTTCCGCCTTGGCATCCCAAAGTGCTGGGATTACAGGCATGAGCCACCACACCCAGCCTCTTTTATTCTTAAAATAACTTTGTGTGGGATTTGGTCTTGAGACTTTTTATTGCTTATTTTTTTATGTAAAACTCATTTTCCTGAAACCCGAGAAAGAAGTGTGACCGAAGGTAATATTTCTAACTTCATGGAACTCCCTTTTCTGATATTTTTATAAGAAGCTAAAAAATATACTGCAGCTTGTTTTCTGAGATTTCCTGGTCCCTTTCTTTTTACCACTTATATCTGTTCCCTCCCCCCGCCAACCCCCCCACCCCCCCCACCCCACTTACCTCCACCCCTTCTCTACTGCCTACTTCCACAGTTTCTCTTCAAGGTAGAAACTTTCAGTATCCTGAAAGGGATCCCTGGCTGGTCAGTTTTAAGAGTTCTAGGAGCCGGACTGCTCCAGCTCCTTCAATGTTTTTACAGCAAACTCCTTCCACTCACCTGCTATTGGAGTTGGCAAACCTCTTCCCAGTTACAAATGCTGTCCTCAGCTTGGCCTGCCATGCTTTCCAGTGAACGACTGTTGACTATTTGGGGATTCTCTTGTTCTCAGATCCATCAGAAGTCCCACAGAGAAAGCCCCTGTGCTTTCTCCTGCACAGATGTTAGTACCATGCAGGTCTTTGTGGATCTGGGAGTTTGCAGGGATATCTTCTCACCAAGTTTTGTTGTAAATGTGTTCATGGGTTTTTGATTTGGCTGTCTAGTTGTTCTGTTTTTATTTGGGAATTCAAAGAAATTCCAAATACTACGCTGCAGCTATTATCTTCCCAGCTCACTTTATTTTAAAAATATTTTTACAGCAATCATGTTTCTCTGGGGGGAAAAGCAATAATATTTCCATTTTTGGAAAAAAAAGATGCACCTGGCCACATTCTATTGGATGGCTTTGAGGGATTTAAACAGATACAATCAGCTGATATGAAGTAGCACAGCTGTACCATTGTCAAAATATTTAAATACTTTCATTCCAACTAGAAAGTAGCCAGTGCTCCAACCCCCAATGCCTGTTTCTCAACTGTCCTTTCCCTAGGTCCCCCTGACTGAAGTAGAAGCTAAAGAGTCAATGTCTATCACAAGGGGGGGTCCTGTGGGCTCCTGCTCCAGCTCAATGGCTGATTGGTCAAAGCCCATGCTGTAATGTTGGTTTAATACTTGGAATATCACCTCTGAGTAGACTCCATGAGATTTGGAGACAGTGTGGGGGAGGTGAAAGTGAGGGTTTACAGGCCTTCTGAATGGGCCTCAGCAGAATATTTCAACCAACATTTATTAAGCACCTCCTGTATGCCAGGCACTATTCCAGGCAAAGAAGGTGCAAAGACAATAAGACAACGTTCTTGGCCTTGGGGCAACCACAGTCTAGTGCTCTGTCTTTGGGGCTACTTATCCTCTGGAAGGATGCCAATTTCACTGAATTGCATTACAGAGCTCAGCCTCTGAGCAGAAATGAGAAAAGAAGAAAAGTGCGGACCTAATGGCAAAGCTCTTACTGAAGCCATGACCTAAACAAGCTCAAATCTCTCTACCTTTGGAACAGTGACTGCTGTAAGAGGCCTGGCAGCTAATTAAAACATGTGGTAAATAAGCCAAGCAAGGAACTCTCTGTCCTTGTACACAATGATTCGAGCGGTCTCCTTAGACACAAAAGCCTGTATCCTTATCTATGGAGCAAATCAACTATTAAACGATTCATGTTCTGTGTCCTCAGTGGACTGCAATGCTTTTTTTGAATGAGGAAAAAGAGACCTGGAAGGAAATCTGGTTGGAAACACAGTGTTTGGCTAAATAATAACTGCAGTTTTTCTCATAAAAGATTTGTACCCTGAGGAGTGCAATGCATTTGAGGAGATGCTCTGATTTTTGTTTGCCCAGTTACTGGAAGCACAAATCACTCTGTAGAGGGTGGAGTGGAGGGGCTGGGATCAAATGGGACTAGCTGTTTACTGTCAGAGCCCAATGCCATAAGGGAAAAGTTACCTCAACACCCTTATTTCCCCAAAGTTAATAAATTCCAATTAACCACATTTATTAAGCAAATATGTATTAAGCACTTACTGTGTGTCAACTGTAGTCCCTGCTATAACCAAATTCCACCTTAACCATCAGGAAAATTAACATGCAGAAACCGGCTGGGTGTGGTGGCTCGTGCCTATAATTCCAGCACTTTGGGAGGCCAAGGCAGGAGGATTGCTTGAGTCCAGGAATTTGAGACTAGCCTGGGCAACAAATTGAGACCCCATTTCTGCAAAAAATAAAAAATTAGCCAGCTGTGGTGGCACGCACCTGTAGTCCTAGCTACTCGGAAGGTGAGATGGGAGGATGGCTTGAGCCTGGGAGGTTGCGGCTGCAGTGAGCTGTGATCATGCCACTGCACTCAGCCTCAGCAACAGCTCAGCCTTGCCTCTGTAAAGAGGTATAGAAACCCAGTGGTTCCCAAAGCTGAAGTAATGCTTAAACAGGAATCAGACGTACATTATGAGTAGGACATTATTGTTTATACCTTCAGTTGTGACTTCCGAGAGACTGATCACAGTCAAGACAACTTGATTAGTCTGTAGGAGTTCATGGGGCATTTGGGAACCCCTACCTCAGAGCAAGAAAAACAGGCCCTATAAATTATCATCTGACAAAATGAGAATGTTATATTGGCAACTGCTATCATTAACTTCTAGTAATGTAGCAATTTTCAACGCAGGAAGGGAATGTATCAAAAACCTTGGTGGGAAGGCAAAGGAAAAATAAAAGGTGCTTTTTCAAATTACACGTCCCCTCTTAATAGATTTGTGTATGTTAGTGGTTAAGAGCACAGGTTTCGGAGTCAGACTGCTTAAATGCAAATCCTGGCTCTAATCCTTACTAGCTGTGTGACTCTGGTTAAATTAGATAGCTACTGCATGCCTCAGTTTTTGCATCTGTAAAATGGGAATGATGACATTCATGGTATCATACAACTGTTTTGAAGATGAGATGAGTTAACACATGTAAAGTAGTACTTAGAAAAGTGCCTCCCAGCTGGGCTTGATAACTCATACCTGTAAACCCAGCACTTTGGGAGGCCGAGGTGGGTGGACTGCTGGAGTCCAAAAGTTCAAGGCCAGCCTGGACAACAAGGCTAAATCCCATCTCTACAAAAAGTATGAAAAATTAGCTGGGTGTGGTGCCATGCTCCCAGCTACTCGGGAGGCTGAGGAGGAAAGACAGATTGAATCCGGGCAGTGGAGGTTGCGGTGAGCCATGATCACACCACTGCACTCCAGCGTGGGCAACAGAGCAAAACTCTGTCTCAAAAAAGAAAAAAAAGTGCCTCCCTCCCAGGTCTTGTCCCACTGCTGCCTCTTTCTGACCTACATCAACCATCTTAGTGAGTGTCCCAAATCTCAGACCCTGATAGAATCAAGAAGGGGAAGGAATCTTGGAGGCCAGCTGCTCTTATCCATTCAGGAATCCTCTCTCTGAAATCTTGGCCACATCATCTTGAACGTACCCTAATGAGAAAGTTTCCTTCCCGCTAAAACACCCGTTACATCTCTGGACACTTGAAAGGTCTTCTTTGCATTAAGCTAGAGTCTGTTTCCCTGTTTCCTCTGCCTGTTGGAATCAGAGATAACAAGGTGATTCACATCCTTTTCAATGATGGAGGCCACAAAGGGTATGCATGAGGGCTGTAGGGACAGCTTGCATGGATTGAACCTCAGCTTCACCATTTATCGGCTGTGTGATCCCAGGCAATGTAATCTCTCTATGCCTCAGATTCCTCATTTGCAAAATGGGCATCCCAATACTACCAATCTCCCAGGGTTGTTGTGAGGATCGAATGAGGTAACATATTTAGAGCTTGGTACCTAAGACTCAGTCCATTTTATCATGATGCTCATGCTGTGGATAGCCCCTCAGCATTTGCTTCTTCAGGCTACACATCCCTAATTCCTTCACTTGTTCCTCAACCAGTAATTCCCAACACACCTCACCCCTCTCCTTTGAGTAGCTCCAGTTGCCAGTGTTCTTATTTATTTCTTCATTTATTTATTTATTCATTTTCTTTTTCTTTTTTTGATACAAGGTCTTGCTCTGCTGCCCAGGCTGGAGTGCAATGGCACAATCACAACTCACTGTAGCCTCGACCTTCCTGGGCTCAAGCCATGCTCCAACCTCAGCCTCCCGAGTAGCTGGGAGTGCAGGTGCACACCACCATGCCTGGCTAATTTTTGTATTTTTTGTAGAGATTGGGTTTCGCCGTGTTGCCCAGGCTGGTCTCAAAATCCTGGGCTCAAGTAATCTGAGTAATCTGCCCGACTCCGCCTCACAAAGTGCTGGGATTACAGACACCCCACCAGTGTTCCTCTTTAATTATAGTCGTGTGCTGTGTAATGACATTTTGGTCAACAACAGACTGCTTATACACAGTGGTCTCATAAGATTATAATACTGCATTTTTGCTGTACCTTTTCTATGTTTAGATACACTAATACCATTGTGTACAATTGCCCACATATTCCGTACAGTAACATGCTGTACAAGTTTGTAACTTAGAGCAATAGGCTATACCATATAGCCTAGGTGGGTAGTAGGTGATACCATCTAGGTAGGTTTATGTAAGTGCCCTCTATGATGTTGGCACAATGATGAAATAGCCTAATGACACATTTCTCAGAACATGTCCCACTTGTTAAGCAACACATGACCGTTTATCCCCAGAACTGAGCCCAGGACTTCGGTGGGCTGTGGTCCACAAAGATCAAGATGTGCCATCCTCTCCCCAGCTTGGTTGTTTATTCATTCATGTATTCATTCACAAATGATGTTAAGAGTCTATATGTTTATTAAGCGACCCTAAGAGAGAATTGGCTTTTTTTTAGTGCACTTATCATACTCTTGACTCAAAGTGAACTTGCAGTGGGCTAAAAGAAGGGTGAGTAAACTCTTCTGTAAAGGGGCAGATAGTAAATGTTTTAGGCTTTGCTGTTCATATGGTCCCTACTGCAACCACTCATCTCTGCTGTTGTCACACAAAGGCAGCCACAGACAAAATGTAAAACTTCATTTACAAAAATAGGCAACTGCCTGAATTTGGCTATGAGCCATAGTTTGTCGACTTCTGAACTAAAACATAACATAAATGTGTTATTTTTCCACCTCTCACCTACTGCCTCGTGTTTGCAGTTGGCGGTTGTTGTTTTAACAGAGTGCAAGTCCTTTCATTTATCTCTATTCAGCTTTATTTCATTGGTTTGCCCATTCCTCTACCCTGCTGAGATTTTCCTGAGCCCCGATTGTGCCACTGACCAAAGTAACCCGTCTCTCTTAACCTTGTGTCATCATCTGCCAATGATAAATGTGCCTTTTTATATATTTATCCAGGTAATTGATTAAAATTTTGAGCTGGAAAGATCTGAGCACAGAGCCTTAATTTTTGCGACAAGCAATGTCCCTCCTTGTAAATTCTGTATATTGTTCAGGACTCAGTCCAGTGCCACTTCTTCCAGGAAGCTATTCTTACAGCTGCTCTCCCTTCCCAAGCCACCCTGTCCAGTCTGAGGAGGGTGCCCTTTGAATGTAAGTCCATCCTACCTTCCACATACCTCTACCCTAGCACTACCACTGCCCTGGAATTATGCCTCCTCTGTTAGACTTTGTACTCTGTTCCAAATCATGGCACAGAGTAGGTGCTCAACAAATGTTGCTAGAATTAATGAATAAAGGAATGAATGAATGAATGAATGAATGAATGTGTGGTTTCATGTATGGGTCCTGCTTAGCATCTTCCCTTCATCAAAAGTTACTTTTGGGGGGCTAGATGCAGTGATTCATACCTGTTATCCCAATACTTTTGGAGGCTGAGGAGGGAGAATCACTTGATGCCAGGAGTTTGAGACCAACCTAGGCAACACAGCAAGACCCCATCTCTACAAAAAAGTTTTAAAAATAGCTAGGCGTGGTGGCAAGCACCTGTAGTCTTAGCTCCTTGGGAGGCTAAGACAGGAGGATCTCTTCACCCCAGGAGTTTGAGGTTACTGTGAGCTATGATTGCACTACCACACTTCTGCCTGGACAACAGTGTGAGACCCTATGTCAAAAAAAAAATTACTTCTTTCTTGTTGCCTTCCTTTGATCAGCAGCTTGGTTACTGGAATTTAATAAACTAACTGGAGAATGGTGTAAGTGCAAGATAACAGCTCAATGTACCATCTCTATCTCTTCCCAGATTGCCTGGGAGGTTATGTTTTAGAAGAGTGTCCAATGTCCTTATCTCAAAAGTCTAAATAACATGGCAATTTTAGGTGCTATAGGAAAGAGATTTTGGAAAGAAAGGTGAATACTTTATCATCCCCATCTAATCATACGGCACTGTGTTCTCCTTATTAGGCTTTTGCATAAGAAAAACCTGAACACAGCTTCTCTGAAGAATATGTATAAATGTTTGTGGATTACAAATAATATTAATAAACACCATCTGCACCCCTTAGAGTGTTCCAGGCTTGTCCCCAGAGAGTCTCTAACAAAACAACTCTTAGTCTCATCTTTAAAACCAATATCATGCTGTTCAATTACCAGGAAATGCCTGTCTCAAAATCCAGCCTCATCTTGAGAATAAACAACAATATATAAAGATAGAATTGGTGTTATATTGTTGTCATTGTTAATGAATTATTGAAAATTATTGAGGGTCTCATTCACACTGGTATTGGGGTAGATGAATCCTGTACCCCGAAGTACTTGGAGTGACCTAACTCCTCTTTGGTTAGAAATTCAATAGGGAGTTTCCTTTGTCACTAGTAGTTGAAAACTGAGGGTTAAGACCTGGGATTTATTTCCCAAACACAGATCACTCAGCTCCTTGACATATATTCTACTTTTTTTTTTTTTTAAATTAGAGACAAGGCCTCACTATATTGCCCAAGCTGGTCTCAACCTCCTGGGCTCAAGTGATCCTCCCACCTTGGCCTCCCAAAGTGCTGGGATTACAGGCATGAGCCACCACACCTGGCCCAAAATATATTCTACTTTAAATCAGAGTAAGGGGTGCAAACTGGTGGCTCCAGGGCCAAGTCGAGGTAGGAGCTATGTACAGTGTTGTCTTCTTTCCTCCCTTGCTCCCTCTCTCCCTTCTGTCCTTTTTTTATGTATAATATTTGAGCTAGATTTTCTTTTTTCTTTTTTTGAGATGGAGTTTCGCTCTTGTTGCCCAGGCTGGAGTGCAATGGCGCGATCTCAGCTCACTGTAACCTCTGCTTCCTGAGTTCAAGTGAGTCTCCCGCCTCAGCCTCCCGAGTGGCTGGGATTACAGGCACCTGCCACCATGCCCAGCTAACTTTTTGTATTTTTAGTAGAGATGGGGTTTTGCCATGCTGGCCAGGCTGGTCTGGAACTCCTGACCTCAGGTGATCCACCTGCCTCAGCCTCCGAAAGTGCTGGGATTATAGGCGTGAGCCACCCCGCCCAGCCTAGGTTTTCTTTTAGCAGAGCATGCACCCTCTTATTCATCATAGTTTCTTCCATTCCCTGTTGCCTGTCCTACACCAGGTAGCTTTACACATTTGAATTATTATTTTCCTGGCCCCTGAAGACATTTGAGTTCTGTTTTCAGAACACTGAGCAATTTGCAAAAGGGAGGGATATTTATAACAGTTAGTATTTCAGAGCATTTACTAAGGACAGGCCGTGCACGAGAGGTACTTTCCACATATTATTTCACATATCCTACATCTTTAGGAGGCTAAGAAAGATGAACTAGTCCAGAGCCACAAAGCTGGTAGATAGCGGAGGCAGGACTGATAAACAGAGCCTCCCCAGAGTAAGCCACATTACAACACATGACAGTGTGTGCTGTTCTGAAACAATCACACCTGGTCGTCTTCTTAAAAATTTAAAGAAATAATTACAGAGGCTTCAACTCAGCAGCAAACTACAACTGGATCTGAAATTTAAAACTTAGAAAAGAGAAAAAGCAGAAAAGCCCCAGAGCAAAACTGTTAAAAAAAAATTACCCGCGATGGCAGAAATCCTAAATAAAATGAGAACAAGAGGTTTTTCTAGGCTGCTTTTGAACTAACTGTTCTTGTGTGCATGTGTATATATACTATATTTTGTTTAAAATATTTTTATTTTACTAGATCCTGAGTGGAAAATTTTATTTCTCTCAGGACAGTGCAAACAGAGCATCAGAGCCAAAAGCTGGCAGCTGTGTCCTCAGAAGCAGAACCAGAATAGGGAAGGGGTGGCAGGAAACTGGGAAAATTCTGGAAACCTCTGGAAAATTCCAGGCTAGTCAATCTTCAGTGGTGACAGAAGCCCTCTTACCCTCCCTCTGGTTTCCTAACAGGGGCCAAGTGAAGGCAATACAGTAACAGTCCTGCAAACTACTAATCTTCTATCTTCAGGAAGGGCTGCCTTTACTGAATTCACCTTTATCAGGGCCTGCTGCTGTGCTCTGTGCTGAAATACTGAGGCACAGTCCCTGCCCTTCTGGAGCTTAGAATCTAAAGATAAAGTCTTTCCCTTTAAATTCCACTTACTCAGAATTTCAAATATTTCTGGCAACCATTTTCAAGCATGAAATGTTTTCTGGAACCCTGAGATTTTTGTCAGACGTGGACTGTATCCTCCAGTATGTAGATCCCAGGATGCTAGGGACTGAGTTGTCTTCCTTCTCCCTAAATTCATATGTTGAAGCCCTAATCCCACATGTGACTGTACCAGAAATAGGGGCTTTAAGGAGGACTAAGGTTAAATGAGGTCATAAGGGCGAAGCCCTAATCCAACAGAACTGGTGTCCATGCAAAAAGAAGAGATACTGGAGCTCTCTCTCTGCATGTGAGTCCCAAGGAAAGGTCATGCGAGCACACAGTGGGAAGGCAGCTGTCTGCAAGTCAGGAAGAGAGGCCTCACCAGAACTCAACCATGCTGCACCCAGATCCAGCCCCCAGAACTCTGAGAAAGTAAATTTATGTTGCTAAAGCCACTAAGTATTTTGTACTTTGTTTAGTAACCCAAGCTGATGAATATACAGGAAAACTTCCAGACCATGTCATATTGATGAATACCAAGCTTGCTTGTGCAGTGGGGAGCTGGAGAAAGAATCGTCCTCAGTGTGAGGCTGTTGGCGTCTCATCTTCACTCTTGTCTTCTGAACTTGCCTAGTGCATCTGAATTTGAACAGTAAGGCCATTCCTTGGGAAGCAAAACCTAGAAGAAAAAGACAAGCTAGTACACTTTTTCAATATGCATCAAAACTTGGATCCTAATCACAGCTAAGAAGGAGAAACCCTCTACGAGGAACTCTAAGGTGGTTAGTGATCAATGAATTAACCAGGTGGTCTTCCCTAATTATAGAATCTATGAAGAGGAAAACAGTAAGGCGTATGTGTAACCATTCTGCATGTGAAGTTCTATATGGTTGTCCCTTGGTATCTTAGAGGGATTGGTTCCAGAACCTCTTACATATGCTAAAATGCCTAAGTTCTGATATAAAATGATTTAGTATTTGTATATGACCTATGCATATCTTCCCATATACTTTAAATCATCTCTAGATTATTTATAATTACCTAATACAATATAATATATTGTATTATATATTATATGTATTATATGTATAGATGCATTGTATATAATACCTGATATAATGTAATACCTAATACCTTCCTGCTAAAGGGAACACAGTGTTCCTTAAAAATCTCTCTCACCATCATCTCTCATCATCTTTCTATTATCAATCAGATCATCAGCCGGGCGTGGTGGCTCATACCTGTAATCCCAACAGTTTGGGAGGCCAAGGCAAGTGGATCAACTGAGGTCAGGAGTTCAAAACCAGCCTGACCAACATGGTAAAACCCCATCTCTACTAAAACTACAAAATTAGCTGGGTGTGGTGGCACATGCCTGTAATCCCAGATATTTGGGAGGCTGAGGCAGGAGAATCACTTGAACCTGGGAGGCAGAGGCTGCAGTGAGCCAAGATCAGATCAAGCCATTGAACTTCAGCCTGGGCAACAAGAGTGAAACTCTGTCTCAAAAATAAAAAATAAGATCATCAATGGGCTGCATAGATACCCATGCACCCTGTGCATAGTAAGTTCTCAATAAATATTTATTGATAATAATGACATAATAATTTTACTCTCACAGTTGCCCTTGACCAATGCCAGCAACAGCATCATTCAGTTTGGAATTTAGAAACCAAATCTTCATGGGATCAACCCTGGATGTCTCCAACAACAGATTTCCTGGAAGTTTTGGGATCTTGCTGATATGACCTCTCGTTGGTGCCAAATTCTATCAACCTTGAACACATCTCCAGAATTTTGTGACTATTCTAAAGAAGACTTTTGTGCTGAGGATTATTAAAAAGAAACTTCCTGTGACATCTCTAGTCCAGTTGGAAACAAAGCAATCTTACTCCTGCTAAGCAGATATGCTGCTCCAGGCTCTGAGCATGTAGCTGGAAGGGTTTGCTGCTCCCTGCAGGCAATCCCCATCCATGACTGCACTTGCAGCTGGCGCCTGAGACAACTGCTCCATCCTGGGAAGCAGCCTTTCTATACCTTTCTGAGAGCCCTGCATAACACACAATAACATGTTGGATTATTTAACATTACATGTAAAGGTCAAGGGGAAAAAATGGTAATGCAATGCTAAGTCTAAATGACAATTGGGAATGAGTAAATCTGGTTGTCTTGGTAGTTGGATACCTGCTTTCTGCTCCTAATAGTATTAGGTGGCTTAGCCACCTAAGCTGTCATCCCCTATTCCATTAGATTCTCCTATAGCCTTATGCTCTATCCCTAATCTTTTTAAGAATATGCTACTAGCTTCTGAAGGACAAATATCAGAACTATGAAGGAGACAAAGGAACTCCAGTTATAATAAGATAAATGCAGATGAAAACCACACTAAGACACCATTTCTCAATCATCAGATAAGCAGAAATATAATATTAGATAACATACTCTCTCTGTTGGCCATTCCAAGGGCTAATAGGCATTCTTATACATTATCAGCAGGAATGCAAAATGGTATAACTTCTATAAAGGGTAATTTGGCAATATCAGGCAAAATTATACATGCATTTACCCTTTGATGCAGCAAACCCACATGAAGACTCTATCCCAAAATAAAAGAACATGAAAAGACTGGAATAGCACCACTAAACAAACCCTAATGAAATGAAGGATCTAGACAATGATCACCAGCAGCTGTTAGGAACACATAAAGAGAGACATCATGTGCTTCCTGGTGAAGTTCACAATAAACCCTGTAATGTATTATTGCAAAAAAATCAAACTGAGTCAGACCAAGCCTCTAGATTTAACTGTCAAATTATAGGAACTATAAGGGACAGAGGAACATATTAAACAACACTTTAGGCGATGCAATGAACAAAATCCAGACTGTAGGAAACAGTATAGGATAAACAGTCTGGCTGAGAATCTTCCAGAGTTCGTGAAATATATGAATCCTTAGATTTAGAAATCACAGTGAATCCTAAGCAAAACATATAGAAAAAAAACTATATTTGCACACATTGTATTGAAAATGGTAAAAACAAGATCTTGAAAGCAGCCAGAGGGAAAAATATTATCCAGAAAGCATAGCTCATGAAAAATAGGAGAAACTAACAGATTGAAACCAAAATCTATTGTTTTTAAATGACATACAAAATCTAAGGTCCCCTTCCCAGAGACGGGCTACCTATTGGCAACAAGGAGAAATAACATAGATACATAAACTCTCTGCTTAAAATCACTGTTTGTTTCAAAATCACTCTTGGATGGGTGCAGTGGCTCATGCCTGTAATCCCAGCACTTTGGGAGGCCAAGGCGGGTGGATCACTTGAGGTCAGGAGTTTGAGACCAACCTGGCCAACATGGTGAAACCCCATTTCTACTAAAAATACAAAAATTAGTCGGGTGTGATGGTGCGTGCCTGTAATCCCAGGTATTCAGGAGGCTGAGGCAGAAGAATCACTTGAACCCAGGAGGCAGAAGTTGCAGTGAGACAAGATCACGCCATTGCACTCCAGCCTGGGCAAAAAGAGTGAGACTCCATCCCCTGCAAAAATAAAATAAAATAGAAATCACTTTTGCCTATTTTTCTTATTTCTATTAAGGCGTGGGAAGAAACTGTGTCCAGGTAGGAGAGTTGAAATTAGATGTCACTATTAGTCCTTGATTTCTGCTCTTAGGAAACAAATAAAAGCAGTTAGCCAGCCTTCCTTGCTTGGCACGGTCACTTTGTTGCGCTTGCAAAGATTTGGTTGGGTTCTGAGCGACAGCTCTGGTGTCTGCCATCAACACCAAGTGGGAGATACCACCCCAGGGGTGAGGATGGTTTGCACAACTAAAGAAGCCACTATTTGGGCTGAAGACAGGAGCAGCGGGAGTGGTGCATCTGATAAGATAGGAGATCAGGCAAGTGCAAAACTCTTCTGGCTGGTCTCTGCCTCCTGGGATCCTACAACTTCTATTATGTGAAATCAAAAAGAACCACAGTACAAACTGCCTCAGAGAAGAGAAGCAGTCTTCAATTTGGCAGACCCCAGAACCACTTCTGTGATCATTCAGGCCTCACTGAACAATCAACCAGAGCAGGACAATACCTGCTCTGGCTTGGAAAACCACTGAACCATGGCACTTGGTGGGCCAGCCTCAGCCAAGGCCATAGGGACCTTAACTGGCACAGACAGAGATCTGAGCAATACGGCCCCTCAGACAAAGGCTTCTACCATCCCTGACAACAAATCACCCCATCTCAGCTTGGGCTGAGACTTTCACTTCCTTCCCTTGTGAAGGGAAGGAAGCCTTCCCTTCATGGCACATGAGCCATGGAAAACCAGCACGGTATGTACCCAACTCAGTGCATGCAATTATCTCATTTAGTTCCTACCCTGTGAAGTCGTACCTATCCCCATTATATATGGGAAGAAACTGAGGCTGGGAGATACTAAATAACCCGTTGGTAAGTGGAAGAACTTGCAAGACTGGGTGACTGCAACACCCACATTCTTCACCACTGCCATAAAATGTTTCCACATATTCAGGCCAGCCTGGCGGCTCAAGCCTATAATCTCGGCACTTTGGGAGGCTGAGGTGGGTGGATCACTTGAGCTTAGGAGTTTGGGACCAGCCTGAGCAACATGGCAAAACCCCATCTCAACAAAAAAATAGCTGAGTGTGGTGGCATGCACCTATAGTCCCAGCTAGTCAGGAGGCTGAGATAGGAGGATCACTTGGGCTGAAAAGGTCAAGGCTGCAGTGAGGTGAGATCACACCACCGCACTCCAGACTGGGAAGCAGAGTGAGACCCTGTCTCAAAAACAAGAAAACAAAACAAAACAAAAAAGGTTTCTACATATTTAAGACTCCTGCTCCTAATGCCTTCGATGAAAGAAATTCAGGCTTGCACACCCCGGCTGATTTCATAAGCTTCATCTAATAATCTTTATCCCTTTTACTCTTAGAGAGAAAACTGTCCTACTGGCACCCTTCAAAATATTTACTCTCTCAAGAGAGAAGAGGTTGTCCTCCAACACTTTCTCAATCTTAAGAGTGCCTGGCACGACCAGGTGCAGTGGCTCATGCCTGTAATCCCAGCACTTTGGAAGGCCGAGACGGGTGGATTGCCTGAGGTCAGGAGTTCAAGACCAGCCTGGCTAACATGGTGAAACCCTGTCTCTACAGTCCCCGCTACTCAGGAGGCTAAGGCAAGAGAATCGCTTCAACCAGGGAGGCAGAGGTTGCAGTGAGCCAAGATTGTGCCACTGCACTCCAGCCTGTGTGACAGAGCAAGACTCCATCTTAAAAAAAAAAAAAAAAAAAAAAAAAGAGAGTGACTGGCACATCGTTCCTCCAAAAAATACAATAATTTTTTTCTATTATTTTAGAGATGGGTATCACCATGTTGCCCAGGCTGGCCTCAATCTCCCGGGCTCAAGCAGTCCTCCCGCTTTAGCCTCCCCAAGTGTTAGAATTACAGGCGTGAGCCACCACGCTCAGCCATAGAAGCATGTCTCCAGCCCTAGAGCTGGACCATTTACTTCAGTGTCTCTGGCCAGGCACACTGAGGATGATAAAGGCTGCTGATGCCACGGCACTGACTGCACCCTCAGGAGAGCAAAGCATTGCCAAAGAAGCCCAAGCTGTTCGGTGGATGAACAGATCCCAGGTACCTGGAAGGCTGAGATGGAGGATCACCTGAGCCCAGGGAGGTCGAGACTGCAATGAGCCATGATTGTGCTACTGCACACCAGCCTGGGTGACAGAGTGAGACCCTATCTCAAAAAAAAAAAAAAAAAAAAAAAAAAGGCCCGGCACAGTGGCTCACACCTCTGTAATCTCAGCACTTTGGGAGGCTGAGGTGGGCAGATCACTTGAGGTCAGGAGTTTGAGACCAGCCCTGCCAACATAGTGAAACCCTGACTCTACTAAAAATACAAAAAAAATTAGCCGGGCGTGGTGGCGCCCACCTTTAATCCCAGCTACTTGGGGGTGCTGAGGCAGGAGAATCACTTGAACTCGGGAGACGGAGGTTGCAGTGAGCCGAGATCGCGCCACTGCACTCCAGCCTGGGCGACAGAGAGAGACATCATCTCAAAAAAAAAAAAAAAAAAAAAAGTAGCAGGATATGCCCCGGCTGCCTGCTACTCTGTACAAATGATAACCAAAGGCACATTTCATCAAGGGGCTATTGAGAAACACCTGGTTTACAAGGTTTTGAAAAGTTTTGAAATAACCATCACTTGAGCTTCATTCAGCAGTTGGAGAATCAACCCAAAGATAGAAAGGTGATATTTGATGTCCTGTGACTACTGCATTTATTTCAGTAATATCAATATTGGCAGCAGGATGGGCCTAAATTGGGTGGGGAGGGTGTTTGCTTCTTAATTAAAGGCCCTTCCTCACCTCATATCTATTCTCATTAGTCAGTAACTGGAGACAGCCATCTATGAAAGATTTTGTTTTTCAACGGTGTTTTATTTTATTTTCCTAAAATGTCAGTTGGATGGCCAAGGAAATTTTTCCCCCAAGAGTCCTTGGAGATTATTTTGAGCCGAAATAGCCACCATCACGGTTGGCTGAGCACTAAATGAAAAATAGTGTTAGATGTCAAATTAATATTTTAGGACCGAAAATGTACAAACCCTCCCTGGCATGTCAGCCAGCGTCATAGCAAGTGTTAGCTACAAAACTGCAGGGTGACGACTGGAAGGCTGGAGCCACAAGTGGCCATCAGTTCAAGAGCTGAAATCCAAGAGCAGGAGAGAGAATTACAGGGAGTAGGTCTCTATTCATCAAATTTGGCAGACTAGAGGGGCAAGAAAAGACAAGAGTGATGACGTTTTTAAATGGATTCATTTTGTGAGATGACTGCTGGGTGAAAAGCAGTGGATTAGGGCTTTGTCAAAACCACAGCTGAAGCCTTAAGAGAAAAATATGATACTGTAGAAAATGACAATGGAAAATATAGCAATGTGACAAAAGCAGGCTACAAACCAAATGTACAACATTGTCCAATTTTTGAAAAATACCATGAGAGGGGGAGCACACACAAGTGAGTGCAAGAAGCCTGGTTTTGCCACAGAATGTTCTAGAATGTTTTCTTAAAAAATACAGATCCTTTGGCCCCACCCCTAGAGGTTCTAATTTATTAGATCTGGTTTGGGTCTCAGGTACATGGGTTTCTTTTTTTTATACTTTAAGTTGTAGGGTACATGTGCACAATATGCAGGTTTGTTACACATGTATACATGTGCTATGTTGGTGTGCTGTACCCATTAACTCGTCATTTAGATTAGGTATATCTCCTAATGCTATCCCTCCCCCTCCCCCCTCCCCCCACCCCATGACAGGCTCCAGTGTGTGATGTTCCCCACCCTGTGTCCAAATGTTCTCATTGTTCAATTCCCACCTATGAGTGAGAACGTGCGGTGTTTGGTTTTCTGTCCGTGCAATATTTTGCTCAGAATGATGGTTTCCAGCTTCATCCATGTCCCTACAAAGGACATGAACTCATCCTTTTTATGGCTACATAGTATTCCATGGTGTATATGTGCCACATTTCTTTATCCAGTCTATCATTGATGGACATTTGGGTTGGTTCCAAGTCTTTGCTATTGTGAATCGTGCCACAATAAACATACGTGTACATGTGTCTTTATAGCAGCATGATCTATAATCCTTTGGGTAAGGTATACGGGTTTTTAAAAGCTTTTTAGGTGGTTCTCTCTGATATAGAGCAATAAAGAGAGGGTTGGGGGGAGGAGAAAAAAGATCAGAGATAGCTTTATGGGGCATTCCATTTTTTTTTTCTTTTCTCTTTTTTTTTTTTTTTGAGATGGAGTCTTGGTCTGTCGCTCAGACTGGAAGCTCAGTGGCACAATCTTGGCTCACCACAACCTCCACCTCCCGAGCAAGCAGTTCTCCTGCCTCAGCCTCCCAGGTAGGTGGGATCACAAGCATGTGCCACTATGCCCAGCTAATTTTTAAAAAATTTTAATTATTATTATTTTTTTAGTAGCGACAGGGTTTCACCAGGTTGACCAGGCTGGTCTTGAACTCCTGACCTCAGGTGATCCACCCACCTTGGACTCCCAGAGGGTTGGGATTAGAGGTATGGGCCACCGTACCCAGCCTCATGGGGCATTTATGATTTAAATGTTTTGCCAGTGGATTTTCTATATTTACATATTGCTCCATGAATATGCATTGTGTTTACTCTCAGAAAAGGTTATTAGTACAAATTCTAACTCAACTTCTTAGGAGAAATAGCCTCTGGCCACAATAATAATAATGATTAATGCTTACAAAGTGCTTCCTGAATGCCAGACACGGTTTTATTAATGCTGCCATTTAGTCTTGAAAATAACTCTGATGTAGGCACCAGTGTTGCAGCCATTTTATAGATGAGAAAATCAGAGGCCAGAGATTCTAGCTCAGACAACTAGAAAAAGACACAGTATGAGCATAGATAGGGACTGTTACTGGGAGCCTGAGGCTTCACTCCCACATTCTATTTCATCCTAGTGAACAGGATGCTTCGGACAGGAAGAAGTCTGTGGTTCAGACACCCACCTGAGGCACTGAGGGCTCCCCTCAGATCACATCATCCCATGCACTCTGGCTCCTGGGCCTCAAGGTGCCTGCTTTGAGCTTCCCTGGGAAGTCATGGGAAGTTTCTCCCTGCCTTCCCATCAGTGTCCTGTTCCTTCCAGAGACTTCCCAGAGTTTGCTACTTGCCTGACAGGAAGAATTCTATCGCCAGGCAAGCTAAACAGAGGGAGAAAGTATGAAGAAATTGAACACCCCAGGACACTGGCTGGCTATTAAGGCATGCCATCACCAATCCTTTGAAAAAATTCTTAATTGGTTTTTTAATTGAAGTGGAGAATGAACTTCTGTGAAGTACCCCATACCATTGTACATGAGGATACAGATATGAAATCTACAGGGGTTTTGACTGGAGAGAGGACAGAGCATTCATTGAGATTATTTCCCCATTTTGCAGATGGCGGTGCCAAGTCATTAAGTAATGTCCTAAAAGAGAAAAGAATGAGTTGATGCCCCTCCCAGAACCAAAGGTCTTCACTAGTACAAAAATGTTGGGAGCCAGCCCCCCAAAACCTGGCCATAAACTGGCCCCAAGACTTGCCATAAACAAAATCTCTGCAGCACCATAACATGTTCATAATGGCTCTAATGGGCAAGCTGGATGGTTGTGGGTTTAGGGGAATGAAGGCAAGGAACACCTGGCCCGCCCAGGGCGGAAAACTGCTTAAAGGCATTCTTAAGCCACAGACAATAGCATGAGCATCTGTGTCTTAAGGGCGTGTTCCTGCTGCAGTTAACTAGCCCAACCTATTCCTTTAATTCGGCCCATCCCTTCACTTCCCATAAGGGATACTTTTAGTTAATTTAATATCTATAGAAACAATGCCAGTGACTGGTTTGCTGTTAATAAATATGTGGGTAAATCTCTGTTCAGGGCTGTCAGCTCTGAAGACTGTGAGACCCCTGATTTCCCACTTCACACCTCTATATTTCTGTGTGTGTGTCTTTAATTCCTCTAGTGCCACTGGGTTAGGGTCTCCCTGACAAGGCTGGTCTTGGCACAAAGTATTCTGTGGATTTTAAAGATTTTACAAAATCAGTAGGTATTTTAATTCATTCTCTTTCATGGTAAGGTTGCCAGATAAAACACAGCATGCCCTGTTAAATTTGAATTTTGAATAACAAATAATTTTTTGTAAAGTATGTCCCAAATATTACATAAAACATATATATATATGTTGTTGTTTTGTTTTGTTTATTTTATTTTGTTTTTTTGAGACGGAGTCTCACTCTGTCGCCCAGGCTGGAGTGCAGTGGCACGATCTCGGCTCACTGCAAGCTCTGCCTCCCGGGATCACACCATTCTCCTGCCTCAGCCTCCCAAGTAGCTGGGACTACAGGTGCCTGCTACCATGCCCAGCTAATATTTTGTATTTTTAGTAGAGACGGGGTTTCACTGCGTTAGCCAAGATGGTCTTGATCTCCTGACCTCGTGATCCACCTGCCTCGGCCTCCCAAAGTGCTGGGATTACAAGCGTGAGCCACTGCACCCAGCCAAAACATATTTATATTTTAAAATTATTTGTTGTTTATCTGAAATTCAAATTTATCTGGGAGTCCTGTATTTTTATTTGCTTAATATGGCAGCCCTATTTCATGGGAAACATGATTTATTTTCTCCTTGGAGATTGCTTTTTTTCCTCAGTGTCACTAGCTCAATGATTTGAAGAAGCATAAACCAGAAAATTAATCCCAGCCCATCCTTTTGTGCCAGACACCCACAGGGTCAGTTCTTTTGGTAGTCAGTGAGTATTACATATTGCAAAAGCACACATGCATGCACACTCACCCACACACCTTCAAGCACACATGCACACACTTTCACATCAATGTTCTTACACTCATACATACAGATACAAATGGATTCTGTTTCTCCTAATATCCTAAAATAAAAATCCCTCACTCCATTCAGATTTTCATGGCTTTCCAAACACATCATTCTCCTTTTTGGTCAGTGTCTGTCTGTTCAAGGAGAAAGTCATATCCCCAGCTTGCTTTGTGTGCTCAGCTACACTGACTCAGCTTCCCACAGAGTAGGCTGGCACTGAGACTTTATCTCTTGTATTTCAGAAAATTTGAATTCTCTTTTCTTGCCATTGCATAAAACTGCCTGTTTTAGTATAAAGGGATGAAAGTTGTCTTAGGATCAGATAATGAATGCAACTTACTAACAAGAAAAAGTACAGAACTGAGAATTGAAAACTCAAGCCATATAATGAAAACATTTGAAAATGAGAGAGAAGAAAAAATTTTTGTGTATTCACAGGAAGCAGTATAGCACAGTGGTTAAATCATCACTCCCATAGCCAGGCTCCTTGAGTTACTAGATGGCCAAATTATTTACCCTAATCCGTAAAGTGGAAATAATAACACCTGCCTCCTAAGGTTGTTGTGGTAATTAAGTAAATATATAGAAGATGTATGAAATTGTATCTGACACATAGTGTTTGCTTTTATAATGATCTTCGATTTGCCAGGCACAGCAGTAGCTTCTTCATGTGTATCCTCCCGTATAATTGTCGAAATAAGCCTTGAGATGTGTGGACATGAGGAAACTGAGGCTCCAAGAGGTTGACTTGCCCAAGGCTACACAGGTGGCATGCAGCAAAGCCAAGATTCAAGTATCAATCTCAGGACACAGCCACCCATCTCTCAATTACCCAGTATTAAGGCGACAAAAGGTGGAAGGTTGATGGTTCTTTAGAGAAGTGACAGCATTCCGTCTACAATTGTTGCTTTTGTGGGATGGTGGTGCATCTGGAGATGTTTGCAGTGGTGCTTTTGGGGGAGGACAGGACCCTTTGTTTTGGTTACAGACCTGACCCAAGTGTCTGCCAACCAGATGAGGACCTTACTTTCTTGTGACTTCTCCAAGCAAATCCCCAGGAAACGGGAAGCCCTGATCCCAGACTCTGCCTGGCTTTCCATCATTAAGGCAGTATAAGGCAGGGTCCGTCGGCATGCGGTGGGGGGACAGTGGTGCCAGCAGGAGCCCCAGGACTCTATCCTCAACTCTGTTCTCTATTTGCACGCTTACCATAGATCATTTCATTCAGTCCCTTTGTACCATTTATAGGCTAATGATTCCCTAATTCATGTCTCTAGCCTAGACCTCTCCCCTGAACTCAGACTCACAACTGCCTACTCAGCATCTCCACTAGGATATATAATAAACATCTCAGAGTTTACAAATCTAAAACTAGATTTTATTTAAAAAAGCAAAAACCTGCTTCACTTCCAGTGTCCCTGGGTCAATCTATGGCAATTCCATTCTTCCAATAGGGCAGTCCTAAAGACTTGAGATCACTCCTCACTTCTCTCTTTTTATGGCTTGACTATCCAATCTGTCAGCTCATCCCATTGGTTCCACCATCAAAATGCCTCCTGAGCCAGACTACCTTCCATCATCTCCACATCTACCATTTTGGACCATTGCAATAGACTCCTGGTCTCCCTGCTTCCAACCTTGCCTCCTGCCATGGTCTATTCTTCATACTGCAAAGTATTCCTGTTAAGACATAACTCAGGTTACATCACTGTTTTGCTCAAACTTCTCCAAAGCCTCCCATTTCAGAGGAAAGTCAAGATCTTCCATGACTTGAAAAGCCCTCCATGGTCTTAGCCTGCCCCAGCTCTCTCCAACCTCACTTCCCGTCACTATAACCAGCCCCACCTGCACCAGCTGCTAGGCCTCCATGCCAGTCCTTGCATAAACCAAGCACACTCCTGCATTGGGCCTTTGCACTTGCTCTTCTTCCCATGGGACATACTCCATCCACCACAAAGTCCTCATGCCTCACAACCCAATGTCCTTCAACCCCTGCTCAAATCTCACCCTAACAGAGAGGATTACCGCATCTACCTGCATAAAACAGCCACATGCCATCCTCATCTGAGCATTCCCTCTCCCCTAAACTGTCTTATATATTTTTTTCACAGCATTCATCCTTTATCAGCACCTGATGGGATCCATTCATTTATTCACTTATTGCCTCCATCCTCTGGAAGGGACCATCTATGTGGATAGAGATTTTGTCTGTTTTATTGACTGCTATATCCTCAGTGACTGGAAGGATGTGTACACACAGTAGGTGCTCAATAAGTACTGAGTGAATGGAAAGAGCCTTCTAGATAGTCTCGTGCCAGCTGAACAGACTGCTTCAGCTTCCCTAGCACACAATCAGGCTTTCAGAAGACTCCGTCCTGTACTCCTTTCCATCTAAGGAGTCACAGCTCTAGGATGATACTACATACAGTTTCTTTCTTCCTTTCTCCCTTTCTCTCTTTCTCCCTTTCTCTCTCTCTCTCTCTCTCTCTCTCTCTCTCTCTCTCTCTCTGTCTTGCTCTGTTGCCCAAGCTGGAGTGCATGATCATAGGTCACTATAACTTTGAACTTTTGGCTTCAAGTGATCCTCCCACCTCAGCCTCCCAAAGCACTGGGATTACAGACATGATCCATCATGCCCAGTCACACAGATCTTTTCTGATGGCTTGCTTTTGTGTTTTGTATCTCTGCTCTGTTTGATTTGGCAGAAAAGGCTCCTGCGCAAAGCCACGTGCAAGTCTCCCTGTATGTCTTGGCTGCTCCTGTGCTCCTGATGGAAATGTGTCGGGGGACATTATTCTAAAGGATCCAAATCAAGCCGCAAATGATGAAAACCTCATTGCTCAAGTAGAGAGGAAAACAAATCCATCCATCCTGACTCCCACTGCCATGGAAACCCCAAATGAGTTCAAAAGGCCAGTACAGGCAATGCTTGCAGCTTTTCTTATGCTCTCTTGTCATTTCAGGGGATTGTGTTTGCAGGCACATGCTGAGAAGAGGAGGCCTTTTGAATGGAATGCACCAAGGAGGAAGCTTTCCAAAACCCAGGCTAATCATCTGTAGCAGCATCAACATAATTATTATTATGTGAGGAGTTTGTAGCCAAACACTTCGGTACATCTATTAGGGACCCTCAAACCACACCAAGTGCTCAGCCTCTCTGCAGAAATTCACTCACCCCTTAATCAAGCAACGCTATTAGAGGAAAGCTTTGCTGATTCAGCTGGGAGGCATCAGGCAATCCTCTGGCTTCTGCAGCATCTCCTAACAAAGTGTTGCTTCTGGAACCCTAGAATGAACATTGAACATTCATTGCAAGTGTCAAATACTAGGACCTGTGATATCTCTGTACCCATTCCTAAAAAGACCCAGGTATATCCAATCAAAAGATCCAGGTAGGCTGGGTGCCATTGGCTCACGCCTGTAATCCCAACACTTTGGAAGGCTGAAGTGGGCAGATCACCTGAGGTCAGGAGTTTGAGACCAGCCTGACCAACATAGTGAAACCCTGTCTGTAATAAAAAAAAATAATAATAATACAAAAATTAGCCAGGCGTGGTGGTGAGCACCTGTAATCCCTACTTGGGAGGCTGAGGCAGGAGAATCGCTTGAATCGCTTGAACCCAGGAGGCAGAGGTTGCAGTGAGCTGAGATTGCGCCACTGCACTCCAGCCTGGGTGACAAGAGTGAAACTCCATCTCAAAAAAAGAAAAGGAAAGAAAAAAAGATCCAGGCATAGCAAAGGATAAATGAATATTATCCTCCAGAATTATTATTAGCAAAACTGTCACTAGGCCAGAGTGTCTATTAATGGGTCCCAGGTTCAAGAATGCATGTTCCATCCACATAAAGACAGTGCCCCAGTGGAGGTGCTTAACTCTGTGGTTTTTGATACTCAGATCAGCAATGGCACCTGAGTATTCCTGAACATTCAGCCAGCAGAAATTTCTAGCTCATCTTTTAAGTATATATAATATGTTGGCCAGGCACGGTGGCTCACGCCTGTAATCCCAGCACTTTGGGAGGCTGAGGCGGTGGATCGCGAGGTCAGGAGATTGAGACCATCCTGGCTAACATGGTAAAACCCCGTCTCTACTAAAAATATAAAAAATTAGCTGGGCATGGTGGTGGGCACCTGTAGTCCCAGCTACTCGGGAGGCTGAGACAGGAGAATGGCGTGAATCCGGAAGTCGGAGGTTGCAATGAGCCGAGATTGCACCACTGCACTCTAGCCTGGGTGACAGAGCGAGACTCCATCTCAAAAAAAAAAAAAAAAAAAAAAAAAAAGAAAGTATATATAATATGTCTGTGTACATCATATTTTATTTTATCTGTCATCCATTTTTAAGACAGACCATTATTTTGTGTAAAATTAAGAAAGAAAATGATTTTGTCAATTAAATTAGAATGAGTCATTGATTGTAAGATGCGTCCTGATCAGAGACTTAAATTGTAAAAACATAAAGCAATTGTTAAAGGTCAACATTCAGCAGGACACAATGAAATCACGTTCATGATATCTGTGTTTTTTATTCGCTTACCCCCATCTTTCATCTCATGCTGGTAGTTGACAGAACTAGAGAGAACATCAAATGTTACCAAACAGAACACATCAAACTCAGGGAGTTTGGCACATCAAACTCGGGGAGAAGAGCATTAACAGTTTTCCAAATTTATGCATTGACAACGAGCATTTTAAGGCTCCAAAATGCAGTTGATTGCTAAAGAGTAACTACAAGAGGCTTAGACCATTTACAGGATGGAATTAGAATGGCATAATTCAGCAGAGGGGATAGACCTCTTAGCAGGAGAGACAAGAGAAAGTATAAACCTACAAAAAGACACCTTCTGGGGAAGCACTCACATGTTTGAGCATGCTGTCTGGTTAGAGTAGGCCCAAACTCAAAACTTTTATTTCTAACCTGTGACCCCAGACATCTACACACCCAATCTGAGTCAAACAGAAGGAATTGTTCTTTTCTATTTCAAAACTTCATGGAGACCAGGCATGGTGGCTTACACCTGTAATTCCAGTACTTTGGGAGGCCGAGGCAGGTGGATCACTTGAGGTCAGGGGTTCGAGACCAGCCTGCCCAACAAGGTGAAACCCCGTCTCTACTAAAAAAAAAATACAAAAATTAGCTGAGTGTGGTGGTGCACACCTGTAATCCCAGCTTCTTGGGAGGCTGAGGCAGGAGAATCACTTGAACCTGGGAGGCGAAGGTTGCGGTGAGCCAAAATCATGCCACTGCAATCCAGCGTGGGTGACAGAAAACAACAAACAACAACAAAAACATCATGTCTCAAAAAACAACAACAAAAAAAAACTTCATGGGGGGGGAAAAGCTTTAAGCACCTAGCATCCATTCTGTAGCAAAAGCTAATAATATTCATGCACTGGAAACTTGTATTAATGAGGGTTCTCCAGAGAAAAGAACCAGTAGGATATATATACAGATATATTGAAAGAGACGTATTTTGAGGGATCGGCTCCCCAGTTCTCAGGGCTTTCAGATGCAGACTGGGACTTACACCATCGGCCTCCCCAGTTCTCAGGGCTTTGGGTTTGAACTAGAACTATACCACCAGCTTTTCTCGTTCTCCAGATTGTAGATGGCAGATTGTGGGGCTTCTCAGCCTCCACAGTTGCATGAGCTTGTTTGAATGAGAAAGCAATTGCTTGAAGCAACAGCAGACAATACAAAATTCACATTTTATATTGAATCAGGAAGAGGAAGCAAAAGTATAAAATGATGAATCTCCCCTGTTCCCCAGTTCTGCTCGGGCTTTGCCCACTCTTTCCTGCCTGCATGTGGATATTTAGAAAGTGCACAGAGGCACTGGCGTTCCAAACAGTCACCCACCGACTCGGCTTCTTGCACTCTGTTTGTAACTCATTCAGAAACTGCAAAATAGAGTGAAGAAGAAAAAGCAGGTGATTTTCCCTGCCTTCTTTTACCAAAGAGGGGGCATGCTGTGGCCTTATTTCTGCATCATCTTGAGCTGATAGAGTGTTCCTCAGTCATCCCCAAACCACAGCTGGGCTGCTCTTCCCTCCTGTACCCCTGCTGAAAGTTTCGGTCTCTCCATTTTCCTTAAGCTACTGCAAATCTTGTCACCATAAGGGCCAGACACTTTGCCCTGGCA
This sequence comes from Homo sapiens, assembly GCF_000001405.40. Classification (NCBI taxonomy): domain Eukaryota; kingdom Metazoa; phylum Chordata; class Mammalia; order Primates; family Hominidae; genus Homo; species Homo sapiens. The sequence goes on from NC_000012.12 coordinate 94,913,202, forward strand.
TGTGGAAAGACACAGGGCTTGATGGCACTTGCAAAGGGGACTGTACTAGTCTCCATTTGTCCCCCATGCCTGCCACCATCCTTTGCCCTCCTCTACCTGCCTGGGGGCCCCCAAACGACTGATCTCTAGGGCTGAATCACCCAAGCCCCTCTGTCCTCAGGTTAGACCTGGGGGAAGGAGGGACAGGAAGTGGTTGGAAAGCTGGTGGAAGCACGGAATTAGTAGGGCATTACACAGATCAAGGTTCTTAGTTGCAGACAATAGAATTCATTCACCATGGCTAGTTTAAGCAGAAAGAAATACATGAAAAACTTCATTTACTCCGATGTGATTATTATACATTATATGCCTGTATCAAAATATCCTATGTACCCCATAAGTACATACACCTACTATGTACCCATAAAAACTAAAAATTTAAAAAAGAGAAATACATAGAAAGAACTAAAGAGCTTATAGAATCTTTCAGAGGACCAGAGAACCAGGCTTGAACACTACTCAGCCAGAAACAATGCAGCCAGAAAAAAACGTCCTCTGATGGCATGCAACTGTTTCCATGCACACCCCAGCAGAACCAAGTGCTTCCACCACTAAGCTTAGCAGAGAATCTGTTCTCTCTCTGGGCTCAGCCACCACCTTGCTGCTGTGCCTCACACGTTGGCAGAAACTGTCGTGAATATCAATCTAGCTGCAAGGGAGTCTAAGAATGTAGTTTTTTGCTTTCCTGATCGAAAGTGATTCAAATACGTATTGAATGAGTCAACTTACAGTATCTGCCGCAATAATTTTAGGGCTCCTTTCCTGTGGCTTTATTAATATGATTTGTGCCAGAAAGACTGTGAGGTATGGCGAAAAGAATATGGGCCATGAAATCAGATAGAGGTGGTTCTTTCTTTTCCTTGAACACACCAAATTTGTTCCTATCTTAGGGTCACTGCATTTGTTCACCTTTTGCCTGAAACACTCTGCACCAGTATCTTCTCATGGGTCTTCAAGTTCCAGCGCAAATGTTACCTCCTCAGAGAGGCTGCCTTCCCTGGCCAGCCCATCTACAGCAACCCACCTCACCCTCACCTCCCATCATCTCACCTTTTAAATTTTCTTTTTAGGACTTCACTGCCATTTTCTTGCTTTTTGTCGTTTATGATCCAAGCTCCCCTCATCCCAAATAGAATATAAATTCCATAAGAGCAGGGACTTGCTCTGTCTTGTTCACAGCTGTGTCGCTGGAGCCCACAAAAGTGTCTGATACACGACAGTAATAGCATTGATTATATAATTACCATCTGCCACATATTGTTTAATCCTCATGCTACTCTTTATGAAATAATTACTGTTATCTTTGCCCTTGCAGAAGAGAAAATAGAAGCTGAGACAGGGTAATAATTATTTGTCTCAGGCCAGACAGCAAGTAAATCATGGATTCAAACCTAGGTAGTCTGGCTCCAGAGTCTAAACTCTTAACTGCTATAGCATGCTGAATATAGTAGATGTTCAATAAATACTTTGTGAGGCTGGGTGTGGTGGCTCACACCTGTAATCCCAGCACTTTGGGAGGCTGAGGTGGGAAGATAGCTTAAGGCTGGGAGTTTAAGAGCAGCCTGGGCAACATAGTGAGACCTCGCCTCTAAAAAATAAATAAAAATGTTGTGGCTAAGTGAATGGACACCTTGTAGTCATCTCACTGACACTGTGTTGCATTTAACACTGCTGGATTATCTATTTCTCCATCTCTCTCATGGGCTTCTCTTCCTGAAACCCCTTTCCCCCTTCCTTAAACACTAGCGTTCCCCAAACCTCCATCCTGTGTCAGCTGCTCTTCTTACTACCTGCTCTCTTGGGTGATATTATTCAGCATCATGATTGAACCATATTATATACTGATAAGTCCCAGCTCAACCATAAATCTCTAGCATCGACTCTCCCAGAGTGAGAGAATTAAATGTTCATGGCTTCCTGATACCACCCTTTTTATTTTTTTATTTTTTAATTTTTTTATTTTTTTTTTTGAGATAGAGCCTCACTCTGTCGTCCAGGCTGGAGAGCAGTGGTGTGATCTCAGCTCACTGCAGCCTCCACCTCCCAGGTTTAAGCAACTCTCCTGCCTCAGCCAACTGAGTAGCTGGGATTACAGGCTTAATGCCACCATGCCCAGCTAATTTTTGTAATTTTAATAGAGATGGGGCTTCGCCATGTTGGCCAGGCTGGTCTCAAACTCCTGGCCTCAAATGATCCATCCACCTTGGCCTCCCAAAGTGCTGGGATTACAGGCGTGAGCCACCGTGCCTAGCCTGATATCACCTTTTGAGGATGCTTTGGGCATCCCAAACTCAACAAACACAAGTTAACTTAATTTGCTGTAGGTACAGTCAGGTTAATCCCAGCCAGGCTGTGAAAAGCATTCCATTTCATCTTCCCCCAAACAAAATCTGCTCCTTCTCCCCTATCCCCCACCTCAGCCAATATCACCACCATTTATCCAGCTTCCAAGGCCAAGAGCCTGGCAGGCATTTTGGAGTTTTCCTCCCTCGCCTCATTGCCCACCTGTGACTAAGTCCTGTGGATTCTACGTCTTAAGTAGTTCTCCAATCCATCCCTTCCTCTCTATTCCTGCTCCCAGCGGGACTATTGAATGTATTCTGAAGATCATATATTACAGTTGTGTTGCAGGAAAGGGGTCCCGATCCAGACCTCAAGAGAGAGTTCTTGGATCTCACGCAAGAAAGAATTTAGGGTGAGTCTGCACTGCAAAGCAAAAGCCAGTTTATTAAGAAAGTAAAATGGTGAGAAGACAGCTACTCCTTAGACAGAGTAGGATGTTGCCGAAAGTAAGAGGAGGAACACATTCACCCTAGGGACAATGCTTGTATATATAGGGGGATGTGCTCTGCTACAAGGGTTTGTGATAAAGAATTAATTTTCTTCATTACTATGTTTTGCAAGAATTGATATTATTATCTTTAAAGCAAAATTAGGAATGCCTTTGTGCTCCAGATATTGGGATATCTGCACACTCCCAAGTCTGGGCCTGTTTAGCAAACATTATTAATTTGTTGCCCGAACCATAAACCTCTAGAGGCCAGGAATGCCTAACTTCTGAGAATGCAGCCTAGCCAGTCTCAGCCTCATTTTCCTAGCCCTCACTCAAAATGGGGTTGCTGTGGTTCGAATGCCTCTTACAGTAGCATCCTAACTTCTCTACCTGTCTCTGGTCTTGCTCCCTTCTATGTGTTTCCCGAATACCCCAGCATGACCTAACTGCAGTAGAAATCTGCTTGCTCGACTCTAGCCTCCCCAGTGGCTCTGCCATTCATTGCCTTCAGGACAAACTTCCAGCCTGTTAAAAATCAACCTTGATGCAGTCCCTGCCCACGCCTCCAAATGTGGCATCAAGCCTCCCTCCCCCGACCTTTACCATCACCCTATGCTTCAGAAATAGCCAGGTCACCGCATTTCCCCAGCAAAACTCACATAGAGTCATGCTTTTCTCCTTATAAAACAGTGATCAGGGAAAGCCAGTCAACTTGAGAGGAGAGGGATGGACATCATTAGAGCTTTTCAGTCCCCTATTTTAGTTTCTCCTTGAGGCCCAGCTGCAGTCCTGCCATTTTATTTCACCAGACACTCCAAGAGCTTTATAATTCAGACTCTTCATTTGCTTCTGCGAGCTCTCATTGAAGTCTGTTATTTGCAACCAAAAGAGTTCCAACAAATGCACTGATGAACTGAAAGAAAAGGCGTCTATTTACATGAAATGATTTGCATGAGAGGAAAGAAGGAGCCACTTCCCAGGAAGAGAGAGATGGGACTGGGGAGGATGGTCGCGCCAGCCCCAGGGATTCGTATCTGAGCACGGTGGCAAGAGAAGCTGCAAACAGAAGACAAAGCCTGTTTTACAAAGGCTCCCTCTTGAAGCACACAGTTTGTGTGCCCAAGGGACAAAGTGCCACACAGAGCAGGGCCTTCTTGATGCAGTGCAGCTTTGGCACATTTAGGGTTCCCAGTAACAAGAAACTGCTCTGGCATCTCCAGGGCTGGCTGTCCAGGGATCACTGGAAGTTGGCATTCTTGGGACAGTCTTAGGGTTATCCCAGGGGGCACCAGCAGTTTGGGTGGTGGAAATGCACATTCTCAAATGGCTAGCTGGGCAAAGGATATCTGTGGGTCAGAGCACAGGAAGAAGGCATCACATTACCCAGTAACTGTAGAGGATACACTTGTTTGCAATATACCCTCTGAGAACTTCCAGAAATAACTGAGTGAGACTTGAGTGGGGTACTTGAGGCACCCAAACCTGAAGACGTTAGATAAATTCAGCAAAATATGGGTTATCACCATTAATGTGCCCCCCTTTCAACCCACAGGCCAGGGGAACCTGAGGAAATCAGGTTCATGGCATTAGGCTCACTTTAAAAAATGAAAAAGAGAAAGAATAAAATAACCTACTAAACTATAAATGGAATTACATGCGGGGCTTTTATTCTTCCTTCAAAGTCTTCTCTATAGCTCTCAAGATATTTATGAAATGTCATCTGCTAAAAGAAGTAGTTTATAATTTAGCTTGTTAAGATTTTTCTTTTAATTCAGCAAAGTAGAATGGGATGAACTTATATTCCAGGGCCACAGGTCTGAAAGTCATAAAATTATGAAATTATAAAGTCAGCCAGGTGCAGTGGCTCATGCCTGTAATCCCAACGCATTGAGACACTGAGGCAGGAGGGTCGCTTCAGGCTAGGAGTTCTAGGCCAGCCTAGGCAACATAGTGGGATCTCATCTCTACAGAAAATTTTAAAAAACCGGCCAGACTTGGTGGCACGGGCCTGTGCTCCTAAGTGCCAGCCACTCAGGAGGCTGAGGTAGGAGGATCACTTGAGCCCAGGAGTTCAAGGTTACAGTGAGCAATGATCACACCACTGCACTCCAGACTAGTCAACAGAGCAAGAACCTAACTCTAAAAAAATAAAAAAAGAAAAAAGAAAAAAATCACGGGGTCTCTGGTTAATCAAAGAGCTCTTGCACATTTTCCTTTATCTCATTTTGGAAAGAAGCAGACAGGCATTTTTGTAAGCTTAGTTTTAGTCCCACATTTTATATTATATTGCTTGACCCAATGGTGAAATGGCACATTTTGCACAGGCTGGTTGGGATTAACCCAACTGAACATACAGTAAATCAATTCACCCATGGAATGGATGTCAACAGAGCCTTAAAGAGAAACTTTATCTCTACAGAAAACTTTGAACTAAATTCAACTTGACACTTACATATCCTTCATGCTCTTCAAGTGCTTTTTTATTCTTATTAGTAATGAGATAATGAGTTTTTCATTTGAGCTGATTCATTATAAAAATCTTCTTTTAGGCCGGGTGCAGTGGCTCATACCCGTAATCCCAGCACTTTGGGAGGCCGAGGCAGGCAGATCACGAGGTCAGGAGATCAGGACCACGGTGAAACCCCGTCTCTACTAAAAATACAAAAATTAGCCAGGCGTGGTGGTGGGCGCCTGTAGTCCCAGCTACTCGGGAGGCTGAGGCAGGAGAATGGCGTGAACCCGGGAGGCGGAGCTTGCAGTGAGCCGAGATAGCGCCACTGCACTCCAGCCTGGGCGACAGAGCGAGACTCCGTCTCAAAAAAAAATATATATATATTCTTTTAAAACATCTTAACTATGTTTATTCTTTGAGACGGAGTTTCACTCTTGTTGCCCAGGCTGGAGTGCAATGGCGCAATCTCGGCTAACCGCAACCCCCACCTCTTGGGTACAAGTGATTCTCTGCCTCAGCCTCCCAAGTAGCTGGGATTACAGACATGCACCACCACGCCCAGCTTATTTTGTATTTTTAGTAGAGATGGAATTTCTCCATGTTGGTCAGGCTGGTCTTGAACTCCTGACCTCAGGTGATCCGCCCGCCTCAGCCTCCCAAATTGCTGGGATTACAGGCGTGAGCCACAGTGACCGGCCAACTATGTTTATTCTTGTAACAGCCTGGAGACATGAAATGCAGGACCATTAGTTCACTGGAAGATTAAAAACTTGGGGAATTATGTTTTTCAAACATAAACTTTCAAGTAAATGAAATCCAGGAATTAAACTTGCTATGTGATAGGAATTGTCCACAGCAATTCACAAAACCTTATGAGAAAGACACTGTTGTTATCCCTAGGTCATAGACGAAGAAACAGAAGCTTGGAGAGCTTATGTAACTGACTTGCCAAAGACCCCACAGCTTGTGAGTGTTAGGGCAGGGATTTAAGGCAACCTGACTACAGAGCCCACATGTACTGATCAGGATACTCTGCAACCTCCCAGCTTCTCCTACCTCCTTTCTTGAGCTAGCGTGTGTGTCTTTGGGCTGTTTTGTTACCAACTCTGACTCCATCTATACGTGATCTTATCTTACCTAGCCCCTAAGAAAGTCTAACTGGCAGCCAAGTGCGGTGGCTCATGCCTGAAATGCCAGCATTTTGGGAGGCCAAGGCAGGAGGATTGCTTGAGCCTAGGCGTTCAAAACGAGCCTGGGTAACATAGCAAGACCCCGTCTCTATTTTTTTAAAAAAGAAAGTCTAACTGGTTTAGCTTGGATTATGGTCCACATTTAAATGGTGAGGACATGGGCTGGAGAGTCCCTTAAATGCACCCACTACATCTTGTTGAATTCTCTGCACTCAAGACTGGAACAACCACCACAGGCAATAATATAGCAAGAGGAGAGTGGCAGGAAAACTAACCAGTGTTGATTACCTAGTAGGTACCAAACACTATGCGAAGTGTTTTAAATGCATTACCTCATTTATCTTTATAACAACACAAGGGCTAAAGGAGACCAAAGACTACCAAAAGGTCAATCAAAACCATTTCTAAGGTTAAAGAATAAAGATAATGCAAGACATTAGAAAGCCCCAACAGCATAAGAGGAATGAGGATAAGAAAAATGGCACTAAGGAAGAGCCTTGAAAAAGGAGACTTAATTTTTTTTCTTAATTTATATTTTGAATAAATATTACAGTAATGGGGCTGGGCGCGGTGGCTCATGCCTGTAAGCCCAGCACTTTGGGAGGCCGAGGTGGGTGGATCACGAGGTCAGGAGATCGAGACCATCCTGGCTAACACGGTGAAACCCTGTCTCTACTAAAAATACAAAAAATTAGCTGGGCGTGGTGGCATGTGCCTGTAATTCCAGCTGAGGCAGGAGAATGGCGTGAACCCAGGAGGCGGAGCTTGCAGTGAGCCAAGATTGTGCCAGTGCACTCCAGCCTGGGCGACAGAGCAAGATTCTGTCTCAAAAAAAAAAAATAAAAATAAAAATAAAAAAATAAAAAAATAATATATATATATATAACAACAATGGTACAAAATTCAAAAGATATATAAGAGAGTTTTTTGTTATTTCCTTGTTTTATATAGTCAAAACAGTTTATTGATTGGGACCATAAACTTTTCTTTTCATAAAAGTTTCATAATGGACATTTGTCATTTGTGTCTGCCTCAAATCTTTTTTTGGTAGTTCTTCTATGTTGTGAATTCTCTTTTCCATAGGAAGAAAAAAAACAAACATGCCGGGTGCGGTGGCTCACGCCTGTAATCCTAGCACTTTAAGAGGCCGAGGCAGGTGGATCACTTGAGGTCAGGAGTTCGAGACCAGCCTGGTCAACATGGCAAAAACCCCGTCTCTACTAAAAATACAAAAATTAGCTCAGCATGGTGACATGCGCCTGTAGTCCCAGCTACTCAGGAGACTGAGGCAGGAGAATCGCTTGAACCTGGGAGGCGGAGGTGGCAGTGAGCCGAGATCGTGCCACTGCACTTCAGCCTGGGAGATAGAGTGAGACTCTGTCTCCAAAAAAAAAAAAAAAGAAAGAAAAGAAACAAACAAACACAACACATTTCTTTCAAGACCCTTTGCTGCTAGGATATAGACATTTGACTATCTTCCAACAAATCCAAACCTAAGCAACACTTGAAATATAGGTGACAGGCTGCAGACACACAATATTCTAGTAAGTCTGGACACAATGCTGCCTGGTTTTCTGCACGAACTGTAATGAGGGTCCTGGTGGTCAGTTCTGGTTTTATAGATGTTAAGCATCATCTGGCAGCAACAGCAGGATTTCTGCTAGAAGAGTCTTAGGATATTTGGGACATGTGTGGGATGCTTGGACATTCCTCCTGGCTGCTTCACTTCTGGCTGTGTAATATCCAGGCTTTGTTTCTCGGCTCTCCTAGAAATTCTAAGTAATACCATGTAATAAAGTTCTGCTGAAACTAGCTAGACTGGCTTGTTTTCCTGAAAGAGATTCCAAGGTATTGGGAATCTGGAATTGACTAGGTGACTTGGTTGGATTTGGAAGTAGTAAGGATAGGATACAGGAAAAACATGACATCTGGTGGCCAGGAAGTCACTAAAACCATTGTTAGAGAAGTTAGCATGACACTATTCCTGCCTCCATTTGTTTTTTATTTTTATTTTTTTAAGAGTGAGTCTTGCTCTGACACCCAGGCTGAAGTACAGTGGTGCGATCTGGGCTCACTGCAACCCCCCCCTCCTGGGTTCAAGCAATTCTCATGCCTCAGCCTCCTGAGTAGCTGGGATTACAGGAGTGTGCCACCATGCCCGGCTAATTTTTGTCTTTTTAGTAGAGATGGGTTTCACCATGTTGGACAGGGTGGTCTCAAACTCCTGACCTCAGGTGATGTGCCCGCCTCAGCCTCCCAAAGTGCTGGGATTACAGGTAAGAGCCACTGTGACCAGCCGCTGCCTCAGAGTAGATTGAAGCATCAACAGATTAAATCTCAGGATGCCAAAATTAGATTGAGACCAACCACCACACCCCCTCCCCCGCCACCTACCTCACCCCTGCCATGCAGGATTTAGAACAGGAGTGAAGGAGACCCTTTTCCACATCTCCTAGGGTTCTCGATGAAATCAAAGATACAAAAGGGGTCAGTGGGAAGATTTAGTAGAAGATGGTTGAGGAGATTGTTTTGAAGAGGGTTTTGCTCTGCTGTGAGCCCTCTCCCCTTAGGATGAGAGGCAGAGGCTCTGTCTCCCAACCATAAGCCTAGTGAGAAGGTTTTTAGTTGTCCACTGGGAGAGCTTTTAAACGTGTGCCTTGCAGTTGGAAGACACAGAAGACTGGGGCGGCCTGACTAAAGAGCAAGAAACTTAGAGTGCACCACGAACTGAAGTCCAACTCCACCAAGAAAATTCAGAATGTTTTCCTCCGTTACAAAGCTGGCTACGTGCTTTGGAGATGGAAGAACAAGCAGGGCTTCTATATTGGGATCAGCGGGCACTCCTGGAGTTTCCTGAGGCAAAGGATGAAGGAGACTTCCCAAGACCATATGGGGGTAACACAAGACAAGGCTTGAGTCCTGTCTACCAGGTCCTCTGAGAAGGACCTCAGCAGAAAGCAGCTGAGCACGTTCAGCTGGATACTCAGAGGCTGAGGAAGGATTTGAAAGAGACAAGCTGGAATAGAGATACATCCACTTGAGTCAAGGGAACTGCAGGAGAGCGGGCCTGCAGGGAGCCTCTCCAGCATTCCTATTCAAGGGCCAGAAGAGAAAGAATCAGCTTGAGCTATCGTCCAGGCCCCCTGGGGGTTACCAGCTTTAATCATCTGCAGCCCCAGAGAGCACGAAGCTACCAGATCAAGTAGTGACTCACTTACCCCTTTTTCCTCTCATCTCTACCCTACCTTCAACCCTGGAAGAGAAAGAAAATGACAGCTAGTGGGTAGAAGTGAGGGTGAGCAGGGAAGAAAAACCAGAGAAGCCATCAGAAGTTTCTTCCAGGGCTAGAGGAAGGCCCCTGAATAAAGTTTAAAGAGTTGGTGAGAAACAAATATAAAATCGCATTTTGATTAAATCATGAGTTGTGTTCATAGATGTCCACGTCATCCAGTGGCAGAACACCAAAATTATCACCTGTAGTGACACAGAATGAAGTGCCTATTGAAAGCAAGGCCCTGGGGGCTGCAGCGCGGGGATTATAAAGGCCACGAGGTGAGCAGTTACATCTAACTGCACGATGAAGTTTAAAGAAAAGAAATGGCATTTTCAGGGATTTAAATTCTCACTTCGAAGCATGGTCAGTGAATGAGAAAATTTCTGTGACTTCCTTCAAGTACTCTTTTATGTCATGCAGGTTCAAGGCTAATGAAGCTGAAAATCAGAGGCAGAGGCAGAGCCTGAAGATTGATGAATCTCAAAATTGACTGAATTCACAGTCCCGCTATGACTTTCTGGGCATTGATTGGGAAAAGGTGGTTTTTCCCCTGAGTATTGGAGTGGAAATATTTTGGAGGTGTTAGATAACGCCAAGAATCTGAAACCCCAGGACTCACAGAGCCTCGTAGGCCAATAAAATGAGAGCAGCCCTTCCTCCCTTTCTGATGAGGCTGGTCCTGTTTTATGCAGAGACCCTGTATCGAGCTCACTGAATGGTCACCTTGCAACGGGATGTGGCCCATGGGCCACGAGGACTCTGCTCATGGTCTCCAGATCCACAACTAGAGTCAGATTCTAGAATGTCCTGAAATCAAAACCAAACCTGGGAAGAGAAGACTTACGTACCAAAAGAATAGCAAGATTATGAAGAGGTTTACACTTCCTGCTTGGCTGTCTAAAAGTGAGACTCAATGGTGGCCTGTGCAGGAGAAGTCAGATGCCACACAATCCTTGATGCGCTGTGGAAAAAGGAACCCAAAGCCTTAGAGAGATACAAATGTTGGTGTATTAGTCCATTTTCACGCTACTATAAAGATACTACCGGAAACCGGGTAATTTATAAACAAAAGAGATTTAATTGACTCACAGTTCCACATGGCTGAAGAGGTCTCAGGAAACGTATAATCATGGTGGAAAGCAAAGGGGAAACAGGCACTTTCTTCACAAGGTAGCAAGAGAGAGAGAGCTCAGGGGAAACTGCCACTTTGCTTTTTTTTCTTTTTTGGGGGGGACAGAGTCTCGCTTTGTCACAGGCTGGAGTGCAATGGCACGATCTCGGCTCACTGCAACCTCTGCCTCCCGGGTTCAAGTGATTCTCCTGCCTCAGCCTCACAAGTAGCTGGGATTACAGGCACCGGCCACCATGCCCAGCTAATTGTTTGTATTTTAGTAGAGATGGGGTTTCACCATGTTGGCCAGGATAGTCTCGATCTCTTGACCTCGTGATCCACACGCCTCAGCCTCCCAAAGTACTGGGATTACAGGTGAGCCACCGCGCCCGGCAAAACTGCCACTTTTAAACCATCAGATCTCCTGAGAACTCACTCACTATGATGAGAACAGCATGAGGGAAACTGCCTGCATGATCCAATCACCTCCCACCAGGTCCCTTCTTCCATATGTGGGGATTACAATTTGAGATGAGATTTGAATGGGGACACAGAGCCAAACCTTCAGTTAGAGTGGATTTATAATCACTGATCTACTCACCCACCTTCAGAAAAAACACACATTGGTGAGAGAGGAGTTGGCATTCTTGAAAAGCGGATGCCCTCTGTAGGCCAGGGATGATGGTGAGAGATGCTTTGATGGAAAGAGGTTTCCTTGGGGGGCAAACATCAGCTTTAACCTTCAGGGGCAAGCACGTCCTGATTCCTGAAAAAAAGCAGAAGACTTAGATGAGATTATCAAAAGGATTTGACTCTAAGGGATATTTGAGGGTGCTTAATAGATCCTAGGGCCTTTGGGGCTGAAATACATGGACGCTAAAGTCTGACCTAATATGTATAACAACAAAATATAAGTCTGGGGAACAGAGGACTGACTAGTCGTGATGATGGCGAGTCCAGTCCTTCACCCAATGCCAGGCCTGAGTCACTTTCCAAACCCAGAGCCCTTTGAATAGCAGGGAGACAAGATGCTCTTGAGGAACAACCCAGCAATGACAGCACAGTGTGTACTGAAGTCTTCCTCCTATCCTTTCAGGAAGGCACTTGGGACAATTTACCAGGGCAATTGGACCCTGGGAAAAGGAACTCATAGACCTTTCAGGATGACTATCTTTTAACTAATGCTAATCCTGCAGGCCCCAAATGCCATCTGTGATTCTCTGGTAGGTGTATGGAATTTTATGGTAATAGCTGATAGCGGGGCTTACTCACAGCGGGGACTGTTCCCAGTGACCCCAGTGGGTCCTTGAACTCATAGTTATTTCCTCAGTTCTTGAGTGCTTAGTTGTAATCAAAGTACCGGCAGAATAGTCACACTGGCTCCCTGACCTGTGATGTGAATGTTATTACAGTTGGAAGTGTTAAGAGGAAGGCTCTGGAATGGTCCCTCCCTGCTGAAATAATAAACCAAATGCTTTGTGTCTATTAACTCATTGAATTTTCACAGCAACCCTATGATGTAGGAAATATGATCGTGCCCATTTACAGATGAGGAAACTGAGGCACAGAGAAGTTAAGCAATTTGCCCACGTTTACATGGCTGGTAAGAGTGAATTCAAATCCAGTCAAATTTTAGAGTCCACATACCAACCAAAAATCCTCAGTCAGGCTGGGCACAGTGGCTCATGCCTGTAATCCCAGCACTTTGGGAGGCTAAGGCAGGAGGACCGTTTGAGCCCAGGAGTTCAAGACCAGTAGGGGCAACACAGTGAGACCCTGTCTGAAAAAAAAAAATTAGCTGGGCACGGTGGTGCACGCCTGTAGTCTCAGCTACTCAGGAGGCTGAGGCAGAAGGATCACCTGAACCCAGGAGGTTGAGGCTACAGTGAGTTATAATTGTGCAACTGCACTCCAGCCTGGGTGACAGAGGGAGACATTGTCTCAGAAAAAAAGTCCGCAGTCAGCTGAGATGCTTGCTACAGGCAAAAGGGACATCAAAGGAGTGGTGGAGGAAAGATGTTATAAACACCAATTGCGCCCTTGTGAATATTGTAGAAACAAGGAATGAAGTAGCTATTCATGTTGAGTATAGTTAAGAGGCCCAGGAATAGAATTTGAAGTCAGACTGAATGGGTTCAGATCCCAGATTTACTGCTGAAGATGTTGAAAAATTTTCTTAACTTCTATTTGGCTCAATTTCCCCATAAGTTAAAAAAAAAAGTGGGGAGAAGGGAACACTGATAGTTCTTATTTAGTAGGCTTATTATAAGGATTAAATTAATTAACATTTATGTAAAGTGCCTGGAAGGCAGTGTTTGCTATTATTATCTTCCTTACTGTATCGAGTACATTTTGATGCAGTTAACTAATTTTCTATTTTATTTCTTTTTTTTTTGAGACAGAGTCTCGCTTTGTCGCCCGGGTTGCAGTGCAATGGCACCATCTCGGCTCCCTGCAACCTCTGCCTCCCGGGTTCAAGCAATTCCCCTGCCTCAGCCTCCTGAGTAGCTGGGACTACAGGCACCTGCCATCATGCCAGGCTAATTTTTGTATTTTTGTAGAGACGGGGTTTCACCATGTTGGCCAGCCTGATCTCTAACTCCCGACCTTAGGTGATCCACCCACCTTGGCCTCCCAAAGTGCTGGGATTACAGGCGTGAGCCGCTGCACCCAGCCTATTTTCTTATAGCTTTTCTCCTACTATTTTGTATAGTCTATGTCAACGATGGCCAAGTTTACAACTTAGTTCAGGGGTTATAGAATAACAAGATGGGCTGCTTCTTCTTCTTCTTCTTCCTTCTTCTTCTTCTTCTTCTTCTTCTTCTTCTTCTTCTTCTTCTTCTTCTTCTTCTTCTTCTTCTTCTTCTTCTTTCTTCTTCTTCTTCTGTTATTATTATTAATATTATTATTATTATTATTATTATTATTATTATTGAGACAGAGTCTTGCTCTGTTGCCCAGGCTGGAGTGCAGTGGGATCATAGCTCACTGCAGTCTCAAACTCCGGGGCTGAAGCAATCCTCCTGCCTCACCCTCCCGAGTAGCTGGGACTAAGGTGCACATCACCGTGAAGAGGGCTTATTATTAAACTTGAGGAGGAACAACCATCACTCAGAAGTCCTGGACTTGGAGAAAGATTCAGGAGCTGCTATGACTTCAGGTCTCTCCTTTAGGGAAGAGAGTGAACATGTTCTCATTTTTACAAGGGATAGTAACATCTCAAATTATAGAAAGTTATATGGCTTAAAGGTAGATTTTCTTTTTCTTTCTTTTTCTTTTTCTTTTTTTTTTTTTTGAGATGAAGTCTTGCTTTGTTACCCAGGCTGGAGTGCAGTGGTGCAATCTTGGCTCACTGCAACCTCTGCCTCCCAGGTTCAAGTGATTCTCCTGCCTCAGCCTCCTGAGTTGCTGGGACTACAGGTCTGCACCACCGCGCGCAGCTAATTTTTTGTGTGTATTTTTAGTAGAGACGGGGTTTCGCCATGTTGGCCAGGCTGGTCTCGAACTCCTGACCTCAAATATTCCACCTGCCTCGGCCTCCTAAAGTGCTAGGATTACTGGCATGACCCACTACACCCAGCCTTAAAGGTAGATTTGCTGTGGATGCTTTGCTTTTAAAAATTATGACTATGGTGAATGTTCATTAATATTCACCTATAGTTTATCCAATTAGTTACGATGCTGGTTACTGATGCTAATGCTGATAATAGCATCAGACTGTAGAGCTCATAGAATAATTATGTAATGTCATCTATTTCATTAAACTGTAAGCTCCATGAAGGTCAGGGTCTTTTCTCTCTTGTTTTCCATCATATACCCAGAGCTACTGCAGTGTGCTGCACACGGGATCTCTCAATACATATTAGAATAAATGACCCATTTATTTTGAGTATGACGATTGTATTAGTTACCTATTGATGGATAACAGATGACTACAAATTTAGCAGCTTAGAACAGCACGCATTTAATATCTTACCATTACTGTGGGTTTGGGTCAGGAGTCCAGGCATCCGTTTGTTGGGTCCTCTATTCCAGAGTCTCTTCTGAAAGCTGCAATCGCATTTCTGACCAAGACTGCAGTCTCATTCACACGGTTGTTGGCAGAATTCATTTCCTTGTGGGATGTTGGACTGAGGACCTCCGTTTTTTGCTGGCTGGCATTGAAGATTATCTTCAGTTCCTGCCACATAGGCCACTCCATAGAGCAGCTCAGAGCAGGGCACCTAGATCCATCAAAACCAGGAAGGAAGAATGTGTTAGCAAGAAGGATATTACAACCTTCTGTAACATACTAATGTACATGTAATCACATACATCGCATTATCTATCTACTAAAGGCAAGTGACAAGTCCCACCCACGCCCAAGGGGAGAGAATTACACGAGAGCGTGAGTACCAGGTGGCAGCGATCACTGGGGGCTGTCCTAGGATTCTGCCTCAAAATTCACCAAATACTCTCATCAGATCAGCTAACCCGGGGTTGTTCCCTAAGGAAGGCAGGATAGTTAACGTCTGCGAAATGGCAGTGAGTCCTCATTAGCTCAGCTCTCATTATCAAAGTCTTTGCGTTGCCAGGTTGCACAGGGAAGCGAAGGTCATCTTAAGATGAAAATATCACTAATATTATCAAATTAGTCCCCACTCTAGCAGACATTTCTCCTCTTAATGCTAGTTACATCCTTGTACATCCCATTTTTCCAGAGCAGCCGCATGCTAATTATATGAGTCTACAATGTAAATTCAATCAAACCAATTGCTCAGGTTCTTCAAAAGAAAATTATTTGAATATCAGGGGCTTTGGAGAGGCTTTTGAGGAAACTGATGAAATGCTCAAATAATTTTGCACGAATGATTTTTGTTTGAATCATGTTGGGAAATTTGAGTGTGGGAGATTATGTATCCTGCTATCATTTCATGTTTGGGAGAATACTATGAAAAAATTCCAGCAAAATATATATTTTTTTCATTCTAAGAAAATTACCTACATGCAAAACAACCTAAATAATTGAACCTTAAAAGTAATTTGGCCTGGCCAGGCGCAGTGGTTCACGCCTGTAATCCCAGCACTTTGGGAGGTCAAGGCGGGCGGATCACGAGCTCAGGAGATTGAGACCATCCTGGCTAACAGGGTGAAACCCCGTCTCTACTAAAAATACAAAACAATTAGCCAGGCGTGGTGGCAGGCATCTGTAGTCCCAGCTACTTGGGAGGCTGAGGTAGGAGAATGGTGTGAACCCGGGAGGCAGAGCTTGCAGTGAGCAGAGATCACACCACTGCACTCCAGTCTGGGCAACAGAGCAAGACTCCGTCTCAACACAAAACAAAACAAAACAAAAAAAGTAATTTGGCCGGGCACCGTGACTCACGCCTGTGATCCCAGCACTTTGGGAGGCCAAGGCAGGCAGATCACGAGGTCAGGAGATCAAGACCATCCTGGTCTTTAGCAGTGAAACCCCGTCTCTACTAAAAATACAAAAAAAAAAAAAAATTAGCCAGGTGTGGTGGTGGGCACCTGTAGTCCCAGCTACCCAGGAGGCTGAGGCAGGAGAATGGCATGAACCTGGGAGGCGGAGCTGCAGTGAGCAGAGATTGTGCCACTGCACTCCATCCTGGGCGACAGAGTGAGACTCCATCTCAAAAAATAAATAAATAAATAAATAAATAAATAAATAAATAAATAAAATAAAAAGTAATTTTAAAAATAACATAGTTTCATAGTTTTACTGTTTATTATAGTTTACTGTAAATTTTGGTCTCTTGTGAGTGGTGCTTTGATTCAAATCCTAGCTATGTCAGTTACTAGCTGTGTGATCTTGGACAAGTTATTTAACTTTCCTGTGCCTCATTTAACACATATATAACATGGGGATACCAATAATAATAGTATTTATAGCACTAACTACACCATTTGACTCTAGCAACAACCCTGTGAGGTCAGTGTTATGGCAGGTACCTTGGACAGAGTGACCTGTGGTTGGGATAAGATGACCAGATGTCCCATCTTAATCTCTAAAATATTAAGCCTTAGCATCATAAACCAGGACGCCCAAGTAATTAGGGAAGCTCAGAGGGTATCTGCAAGTTTTGGATAATTTCCTCATCCAAGTCTAACTGGTTTTGGAAAAAGTTCTGCCTAACTTGAATTCACCTAAAAGAGAAACCAAATGATATTCTCTCCCTCTCTTTCCTCTTCTTCAACTAAACCTTTCATTTCTTAGCTCTCCCCTGCTCCCAAACCCACCTCTTAAGTTCCTCCAGGGTGCTATCAAAGGTCTTTGAACAGTACCCTTAAATTCTCAGGAAAAGAGAAACAATCTAAATCAAAAAAGCAAATATACAAATATTGAACCACAACCACCTTCCAACTGTTTTGTTTGAACAGAGAGAGAAAAACCCAAAGCAAGACTCAGGAGTGTTAAAGTTCATTTTCAAAACACAGAACAAACAGCGTTCATTCTTAATAAGTCAACGGAGCGTAACAGAATTCAGAGGGACCAAGGAAAGGGTTACTGTACGACAGATCAGTGACACAAACATAAGCGGTGGAGTCCACAGAGGGGCAAACACAGGAGATTGAGCTGCTGCTTGGGGCAAGAAAGGCTCGTTGGAACTTGGGGTTCTGAGCATGAAACCTCGCATTCCCCATTCAAGCAAGTCACAACATCTCTGCTTCTTCAGATGTAGAGAATAACAAAATCCTTAGAGGCCAAGCTTGGGGAAAAGAAAAGAAATGGTGGTATGCAAGTAGTACTGAAGTAGTATTGCCTTTGGAAAGTAATAACTAAGGGAGAAAAGAAGCATGATTCCATAGTTGGTGCTGGATACAA
Organism: Homo sapiens; assembly: GCF_000001405.40. NCBI lineage: Eukaryota > Metazoa > Chordata > Mammalia > Primates > Hominidae > Homo > Homo sapiens. The sequence goes on from NC_000012.12 coordinate 94,930,867, forward strand.
TCTGAAGCATCTAATAAATTTATGTCACTGTAGAAATTTCGATTCCACTTTGATGGAAATGAAAAGAAACTATAGGTAACATAACACATGGTATTTAATCATAAGGCTTGAAAGAGGATAATCTCCTTAACAAAAGCACATGGAGAATTCAAAACCATGGGGTGGTATTTCTCGTCTCAGTAAGATGAGAAAAGGGGATTGGAGAATATTTACACTTCCAGGAACCCCAGAAAAACAAGAACCAATAAATATTTTCTAGATGGGTCATAGATCTTAAGTTCAAAAAGTTCTTATTATCACTCATAACTCTGATCACTACCATTTCAATATTTAAGGGTAAAAAAACTCTCCAATATAACAGTTTATTACATATGTGTTTAAACTCTCTAATATATAACCTTTAATCTTGAGTCTATGATATCTACAAAGCTTGTAAACCATGTCCCCGTTATAAGTATTAGAGTGTTATTTGTAGGAAATTAGATTTCCTCACTGTCTTGGATCACATTGCCTAGAAGCAGAGCCTGAGACAGGGATTGGAGTGTGCATGATTTGAAGGAATGCAATCGGGAGAAAGGGAGTGAGAGAAGGAGAAGGCGGGAGAAGGGGCTCAGCAAAACTGGGGTCTCAAGCCTGGAGAGGAGCTTCAGCCTGATCCTGCGGCCAGCTCTGCAGCATAGATTACAACTCAGAATAGGTCCCACATTGAGGCCAGGCATGGCTGACGCCTGCAATCCCAACACTTTGGGAGGCCAAGGCAGGAGGATCGTTTGAGCTCAGGAGTTTGAGACCAGCCTGGACAACATAGTGAAACCCTGTCTCTACTAAAATTAGCTGGGCATGGTGGTGCACGCCTGTAGTACTAACTACTTGGGAGGCTGAGGTGGGAAGATCACTTGAGCCCTGAAGGTCGAGGCGGCAGTGAGCCATGATTGCACCACTGCATTCCAGGCTGGGTGACAGAGACCCTGTCTCAAAAAAAGAAAAAGGAATTGAAGAATTGACCCACACTGAAGCAAGGGGGCCAGCCTCAGAACCTCGGTCATTGGCTACTGCTTGTGACTGGGGAGGTAGTGTAATTTCTTTATTTGGGGTGAGGCAATTCTCGAAAGAAGGGGAAAGCTGTGAGTGCTCAGCAGCCAAAACTGCAGCACCTGAGGGTGGGTGCACCAGCCAGGTAGAAGGCACCTGGGGGCTGGGCGTGGTGGCTCACACTGTAATCCCAGCAGTTTAGGAGGCCTAGGCAGGTGAACCACTTGAAGTCAGGATTTCGAGACCAGCCTGGCCAACATGGTGAAACCCCATCTCTACTAAAAATACAAAAATTAGCCAGGCGTGGTGGTGTGCACCTGTAATCCCAGCTACTTCAGAGGCTGAAGCACGAGAATCACTTGAACCCAGGAGGCAGAGTTTGCAGTGAGCCGAGATTGTGCCACTGCACTCCAGCCTGGGAGACAGAGTGAGACTCTGTCTCAAAAGTAAAAAAAAAAAGGCCAAGCGCAATGGCTCACGCCTGTAATCCCAGCACTTTGTGGGGCTGAGGTGGGGTGGATCACCTGAGGTCAGGAGTTCGAGACCAGCCTGGCCAACATGGTGAAACCCTATCTCTACTAAAAATACAAAAATTAGCTGGGCGTGGTGGCAGGCGCCTGTAATCCCAGCTACTCGGGAGGCTGAGGCAGGAGAATCGCTTGAACCCGGGAGGCAGAGGTTGCAGTGAGCAGATATCGCACCATTGCACTCCAGCCTGGGTGACAAGAGTGAAACTCTGTCTCAAAAAAATAAAATAAAATAAAATAAAGGCACTGGGTCAGCACACCAACAGCACCCAGTGCACTCACTACAGCTGCAACACGAGCTCAGCCACCTGTGACAACTAAGCCACTATCTACAACCTCACCAGCCTGTGTCAAGGAATCTCACTACTATAAATATGGAAGAGAGGTTCTTGGTTGTCTGTCACCAGTGTTCGCTTTTCCCATTGAAGCCTGTTTGAAATAAATACTTTCTCTGGCAGATTCAAATATAAATACAATGGGAATTGTTATTTTTCCACAGCCACAGGCAAAACCAATTAAAGATGGATAAAAGTAAATAATGTTTAAAAAACAAACGTTAGAAGACTGGAAGAAAGTTGAATTGAATATTTATCATCATTCTCAAAGGTAGATGATTTTTCAAACCTAGAAGTAAGGAGGAAAAAATCATGAAGGTTTTATCGTATAAAAATGTAAAACTTCTGGCCGGGTGCAGTGGCCCATGCCAGTAATCCCAGCAATCTGGGAGGCCGAGGCAGGCGGATTACTTGAGGTCAGGAATTCAAGACCAGCCTGGTCAACATAGTGAAATCCTGTCTCTACTAAAAATACAAAAATTAGCTGGGCATGGTGGCAGACGCCTATAGTTCCAGCTACTCAGGAGGCTGAGGCAGGAGAATCTTTTGAACCAGGGAGGAGGAGGTTGCGGTGAGCCGAGATTGCACCACTGCACTCCAGCCTGGGTGACAGAGAGAGACTCTGTCTCAAAAAAAGACAAAAGTAAAACTTCTATCCACCAGGGAAAAAAAGAAAAAACAACAGTGCATTGACAAAATTAAAAGGTAAACAACAGTTAGCAAAGAATATTTCTGCAAATTTAGAAACAAAAATTCCTTGTCAAATCAAAGTTGCTTGTGTGTTGCAGATAGTGTTTTCACAGCATGCTCCTTGGCCATATTCCGGAGTAAAACCCCCACCCAACGAAAGAAATGTTCCTTTTTGAGCGCTGTCAGTGACTAGCTGTGACCTTGAGGAAGTTACTTAATTGCTCTATACCTCAGTTTCTTTATAATGAGGGGACAATAACAGTACCTGCCTCTTTTTTATCATGAGGGCTGCAAGAGCCACGGGTCCTACTAGGAATTAATTGTCCTTATTTATTTATTTTAGAAACAGGGTCTTGCTCTGTCACCTAGACTGGAGTGCAGTGGCCTGATCATGGCTCACTGCAGCTTTGAACTCCTAGGCTCAAGTGCTCCTCCCGCTTCAGCCTCCTGAGTAGCTGGGACTATAGGCACACGCCATCATGCTTGCCTAATTTTTTTTTCTTTTTTTGTAGAGATAGGGTCTCACTATATTGCCTAAGTTGGTCTAGAACTCCTGGGTTCAGGCAAGCTTCCCAGCTTGGCCTCCCAAAGTGCTGAGATTACAGGCATGAGCCACCATGCTCAGCCTAATTGTCTATACTTACAGAAAGAGGAAATCAAGAGTTAGAAAGAGAAAGGGGAGCTATGGTGGGTGACACAGGACAACTACTAGGGAGGAATACACAGAGATAGGGTTGACAGAGTTCAAGGAAGTATAGCCAGCCAGGTTCTACCATGCTCTGGCATGAAGCTATCCTTGGCAGAGGTAAAGACTTAGAACTTGGGTCAGGGAGTTGTCAGGTGACCCTTAACACTCCCCTTTATCTACTATGACAGAAACAAAATTAGTTTCTTCTTCATCTTCCTGGGCTTCTTGTAGTGGATGTGGTCATAAGACCAAGTTCTGGTCTATGGAATATGAGTGGAAGTGGTGGGTGCCATTGCTGGGCTGACATGCATTGTGTTCCTTCCTTTCCAACAGCTGGAAATTGGATCTAATGACTCAACCTGGACCTTGCAGAAGGCAAGAGGCCCGAAGACAGGGCAGAGCCACTAGATGGAAAGAGCTTGGGTCCCAGAATTACTCTGCGGAGCAGAACTGCCAACCAACCTGGAACACCCACACTGGCAGTTTTGTGAGCAAGAAATAAACTTCATTATTCCTTACAGCACTAAATTAACAGGTCTTGTTACAACAATTTAGTCTGCCCTAATACAGCAATGTTGAGCTAAGCCCGTTGATAAATGGCACTAAGATCCTTTCCTACAGAAACATCCAAAGCATTCCAGAAGTTACCCTACCAACAAACAGCAGGAGACAACACATTCCTGCTGAAAGCTACACATACAATTTAAAGTCTACTGCTAGGCTGGGCGCGGTGGCTCACATCTGTAATTCCAGCACTTTGGGAGGCCAACGCAGGCAGATCACAAGGTCAGGAATTAGAGACCAGGCTGACCAACATGGTGAAACCCCGTATCTACTAAAAAATATAAAAATTAGCTGGGCATGGTGGCGCGTGCCTGTAATCCCAGCTACTCAGGAGGCTGAGGCAGAAGAATCACTTGAACCTGGGAGGCAGAGGTTGCAGTGAGCCGACATCATGACATTGCACTCCAGCCTGGGTGACAGAGCAAGACTCCATCTCAAAAAATAATAATAATAAATAAAGGCTACTGCCAAAAGCACTTCCCTTTCCCCTCTTGGCCTAAAGTAGGGGTTGGCAAACTTTTTCTAGATATTGTACTTGGCTTTGTAGGCCATTTAGTTTTACAACTACTCAACTCTGCCAGGGCGCCGTGGCTTACGCCTGTAATCCCAGCACTTTGGGAGGCTGAGGCGGGTGCATCACTTGAGTCCAGGAGTTCAAGACCAGCCTGGCCAACATGGGAAACCCCTGTTCTCCAAAATTAAAAAAATTAAAAATAAATAAAAATAAAACTACTCAACTCTGCCACTTTGTTAGCACAAAAGCCACCGTAGGTAATACTGAAATGAGTGGGTGTGGCTCTGTTCCAACAAGTCATGATTTACAAGAACAGAGTGTAGGCTATTTTTGGCCTGCAGGCCATAGTTTGCTGACCCCTGGCCTACAAGGACCCCTGGAATGTCCACTGTTAGACAATCATTTGTTTGGCCTATATGTAGGAGGGTCTTGTTAAAATATAAACATTGGCAGCAAACCAAATTGTAAAAGTCTGCATGTTTTGTGTTCTAATGACAGCCTTATGTTGCACCTGATTTTCTTGAGAAAGCTACATTATAATAGGTTGACACTCCTGACCAAGGGTCTAAGGTTAAACTTTTATAAAAATTATAGCCATCATATTTAGTCAATTAACTTTATACCTGCCCAATGTAATGCTTTCTAAAATAGATAAGCATACTTTAACAGAAAAATATTGTGAACACTCATATCAATTTTTTCTGAGACAAGGTCTCACTCTGTATCCCAGGCTGGAGTGCAGTGGTATGATCTCAGCTCACTGCAGCCTCCACCTCCTGGGTTCAAGCGATTCTCCTGCCTCAGCCTCCCAAGTAGCTGGGACTACAGGAGCAGGCCACCACGCCCAGCTAATTTTTGTCTTTTTAGTAGAGATGGGGTTTCATCATGTTGGCCAGGCTGGTCTCAAACTCCTGACCTCAAATGATCCACCCACCTTGGCCTCCCAAAGTGCTGGGACTACAGGCGTGAGCCACCACACCCGGCCTCATATCAATTTTATTTAAGACATTTCTAGAGAAAGTTACGATTGATTGATCTGCTACCATGGTCCAGATGCTGAGTTAGGAGCTTTAAATACATCATCACAAAAACTCCTAAGGTGCCTCACAGAGGGAGAAATTGAAGCTTAGAGGGGTCAAGTAATTTGTCCAAGATAACCCAATCAACTGATAAATAACCCGCCAGACATGTTTAGTTTCAAAGCCTCTATTCTCATACCACAGCATCCTGCCCAGGAAAAAGAAGGGCATGGGTTGAAATTTTGATGGGAAACTAGAGGCTGGCTAGAAGAGGCTACATGAGTTCTGCTTCTCAAGGCATAGGTTTCTATGGTCAAAAGTATCAGGAGAAGAAGCTTGGCCACTGCGCATTTGTCAATGGCCATTCCATGAATAACTGGCATGTATTCCAAGTGGGAATTATTGTAAGTACATGTGAGTAGCCTACAAAGAGGAGATATGAAATTAATAAATTTACTGAGTACCTACCATGTGTCAGGCAGTGTTCTATATACTTTACACGGATTCTATCATGTAATCTTCACAGTAAGGTAAGTGCTATTATCATCTCCATTTTATAGTTAAGGAGACAGAAGCACAGGGGGATTAAAGTAATTTGTCCAAGGTCAAACAGAAAATGGAAAAGCTGGCCAGGCCGGCGGCTCGTGCCTATAATCCCAACACTTTGGAAGGCCAAGTTGGGTGGATCACCTGAGGTCAGGAGTTTGAGACCAGCCTGGCCAACATGGTGAAACCCTGTCTCTACTAAAAATACAAAAACTTAGCCAGGTGAGGTGGCAGGTGCCTGTAATCCCAGCTATTCAGGAGGCTGAAGCAGGAGAATCGCTTGAACCCGGGAGGCGGAGGTTGCAGTGAGCCGAGATTGCACCATTGCACTCCAGCCTGGGCAACAACAGCAAAACTCTGTCTCAACAACAACAAAAAAAGACAGAAAGAAAGAAAAGAAAAAGAAAATGGAAAAGCTAGGCTTGATCCTATCAGACCTCAAAGACCACATCTTCATGTCCTATGCTATACTGCTTCCTGAAACAGCAAATGGTAAAATTCTACCTTGTTATAATTATTCTTATCACCATCCCTGTTCATTTCTCTAAATAACTTATCACAACTTGCAATGATGTGTATTTTGTTTTCTTTCTTGTCTCTTTAAATAGTAAGTACCATGAGGGCAACCGTGTCTATTTTATCCACCAGTCTCATTCCTCATACAATGCCTGGCACCTTGCAAGTATTTGATAAATATTTATTAAATGAGTTCATGGGCCAACAGGGGAACTCATGATAGGATAATGTCTATGCAATGGAAAGTGGTTCTTTTCCTAGTAAAACTCAAAACAAATAAACAAACAAATCAGAGTTGGAACCCTTGTGTATGGCTACTAGGATTATGTGATGGTACAGATGGTATGGAAAACAGTTTGGTGGTTTCTCAAAGTTAAATACAGAATTACAATATAATCCAGCTAATACTAGTATATATGTAGTAAGTAATAGCATTTAGTACACGTACAGTAAATTACTGGTTTAAATATTAGTAATTATTATGTATTCCACTCCTAGGTATATACCCCATAAATTGAAAGCTGAGACTTAAGCAAATACTTGTACACAGAAATTCATAGTGGCATTATTTGCAATAGCCAAAAGATAGAAACAATGCAACTGTCTACCAATGAATGAATAAACAAAATCTGTTATATCATATGATAGAATATTATTATAGAAAGGAAATTCTGATACATGCTACCACATGGATTAACCTTGAAAACATTGTGCTAAGTGAAATAAGCCAGACACAGGACAAATATTATATGATTCCACTTACATGAAGTTCTTAGAATAAGCAAATTCACAGAGACAGAGCATAGAGTAGCGGTTACCAGAGGTTAGGAGCAGCGGGGATGAGGAGTAATGTCATGGGCACAGTGTTTCAGTTTGGGATGATGAGAAATCCTGGAAATGAACAGTGGTGATGGCTGCACAACATTATAACACTGTAAGTATACTTAAGGCTACTGAATTGTACACTTAAAAATGGTTAAAATGGGCCAGGCACGGTGGCTCATGCCTGTAGTCCTAGCACTTTGGGAGGCCGAGGCGGGTGGATCACCTGTGGTCAAGAGCTCGAGACCAGCCTGACAAATATGGTGAAACCCTGTCTCTACTAAAAATACAAAAATGAACTGGGTGTGGTGGCAGGCACCTATAATCCCAGCTACTTGGGAGGCTGAGGCAGGAGAATCACTTGAACCCAGGAGGCAGAGGTTGCAGTGAGCCAAGATCACGCCACTGCACTCCAGCCTGGGTGACAGAGCGAGACTCTGTCTTAAAAAAAAAAAATTGGTTAAAATGGGCCAGGTGCAATGGTTCACACCTGTAATCTCAGCACTTTGGGAGGCAGAGATCGGTGGATCACTTGAGCCCAGGAGTTCGAGACCAGCCCAGGCAACATGGCGAAACCCTGTCTCTGCAAAAAAAATACAAAAATTAGCCAGTTGTGCACGCCTGTAGTCCCAGCTACTCAGAAAGCTGAATTGGGAGGATCACTTGAGGCCAGGAAGCAGAGGTTGCAGTGAGCTGAGGTCACACCACTGCACTCCAGCCTGGGTGACAGAGTGACACTCTGTCTCAAAAAAAAAGTTAAAATGATAAATATTGTTATGTATATTCTACCAACATTTTTTTTGAAATAGGAAATATAAAACTGTTTCCACCAGCACATCACTCAGGTCAGAGAGAGCCACCAAGCAGCAGGCCTGCTAGGGGCACATGGATCTGAGAGAACAGCTGTCCTCAGGATAAGGGTGCTGGTGTCTGCAGAGCCCAAGGGGGCTGAATGATGGCAGTGAGTCTCTGGCAATACAGATGATACTGATTCTTCATAGAGTTAAACTCTGAGCCACGGTAGGCAGAGCCCAGCTCATGCTGGTCATTATGATAAAGTCCTGGGCGCAAGGAAGTGGGCACTCCACTGCAGAAAGAGTGGTGAACCTCAGACACCATGGAAAACAGAAGATTCACAAGACAGAATCCTGCTGCAAACATTTCCATAGGATGGGGACAGAAACATGTCTTTCAACTACCTGTGGTATCCACCAATCCTCTGATAAGAAAGGACTGAAGGCTCATGCCAGGGCCTACTGCACGCGACACAATGTTGTCCAAACAACAAGTGCCTGGGACTACTTACTGAACACTGCCCATAGCTCCAAGAAAAGTGTTACACATTTTTATCATTAATACTTTGGCATGAATTAGCTTGCTAAGCAGATAAGCAAGTTAATGACTTTCCAAGGCCCGAAGAAAGAAGATCCAGGTGAATAAGTTTTTGTTTTTTGTTTTTTGTTTTTGAGACGGAGTCTCACTCTGTCACCCAGGCTGGAGTGCAGTGGCGTGATCTCTGCTCACTGCAACCTCCGCCTCCCGAGTTCAAGCAATTCTCCGGCCGCAGCCTCTTGAGTAGCTGCGATTACAGGCACCCGCCACCAGGCCGGGCTAATTTTTGTATTTTTAGTAGAGATAAGGTTTCACCGCGTTGGCCAGGCTGGTCTCAAACTCCCAGCCTCAGGTGATTCGCCCGCCTCGTCCTCCCAAAGTGCTGGGATTACAGGCGTGAGCCTCCGTGCCTGGCCCCAGGTGAATAAGTTTTGTAGGAGACAGAGATAGTATTTAGGAAGAAGCAAGGGATAGAGCCTAAGTGGATAGCCAGAGTGAAGCCCAAGAGGGCTGGAGGCCGCAGGAGGGGAGGCTCTGAAATATCCAAAGGAAGCTCAGAGGGCACAAAAGAGAAGGTCTGGCTTCTTTCCAAACGTTAGTGTCCATGAAATGGAGCCATCTAACCTCCAGAGAGTAGCGAGAGCCTCTCATCAAATGCCCTTCCCTAGCTAAAGCAGGGGCCCTGGAGCCACAGTTACACTCAGGCAAGCTCATTCTCATTTTTAGGCCTTATTGATGTGTATAGGTAGCAATGATATGACAATGAGAGGAAAGACATTGGGACTTTGGAGCCAGTCTTCAGGATGAATCCTGCTTCTTCCACTTACTGGCTTAGGAATTACTTAAATTCCCTGAGAATCAGCTTATTCATTCATAGAATGGGTTAATATCAACTTAAGGTAACACCATATACCATGGTAATTCCTATTAGGTAAGTAGGTGCTATGGATTGGATATTTGTGACACCCACCCCACCCCACCCAGAATTCATATGTTGAAATTTAAACCCCAATGTGATGGTATTAGGAGGTAGGGCCCTTTGGGAGGTGATTAAGTCATGAGAGCAGAGCCCTCATGAATGGGGTTGGTGCCTTATAAAAGAGGCCCCAGAAAGCTCTAGCCCCCATTCTGCCGTCTAAGGATACAAGAAGTTGGCAGTCTGCAACTCATAAGAGAGCCTGCCATCAGGCCAGGGATGGTGGCTCATGCCTGTAATCCCAAAACTTCGGGAGGCCAAGGCAAGTGGATCAGTTGAGGTCAGGAGTTCGAGACCGGCCTGGCCAACATGCTGAAACCCGTCTCTACTAAAGATACAAAATTAGCTGGTGGCGCATGCCTATAGTCCCAGCTACGTGGGAGTCTGAGGCAGGAGAATCGCTTGAACCTGGGAGGCAGAGGTTGCAGCGAGCCGAGATTGCGGCACTGTACGCCAGCCTGTGCGACAGAGTGAAACTCCATCTCAAAAAACACACACAAAAAAAGAAGAAAGCCTGCATCAGAAGCCAACCATGCTGGCACCCTGATCTTGGACTTCCAGTCTCCAGAACTTTGAGAAATAAATTTCTGCTGTTTATAAGCCACCCAGCCTGTGATACCCTGTTAGGGCAGCCCACTGCCTACAACAGCAGGTAATACTTAATGCCGTGTCCAGCACACAGTTACATGTTCCATAGATGTTCATGTCCTTCTTCCATCCCTAATTCCAGTCCTGTGCTCTGCCTACCCTGGAGTGAGCATGTTGCTGTTTCATTTATTCTGCTCCCTGAATTTGAGATGTCAGAGGTCAGTGCCTTCTTTTTAGCCAGCACTGTAAGAATTTGTAGCCTTTATTTTCACACTGCCCCTCCTCTGAGGCTCTCTAAGGGCTTAGCAGCCTCCAAGGGGGAAATGTAAACAATTTCTATTTTACCAAGAGGGAAGCTGGAACACAATGCAAGATCAGCTGTTTTTCCCAAAAAAAAAAAAAAAAGAAATTTCAAATTTTCTTCCATTCCCATGGTTCATTCCACTGTGTAAACGGCTGTCCTGGAAACCAGCCAAGAGCAGCCAGCAATCGGGGACCATTGCGGGCTCCTGGGGACTGCTGAGCAGGGGCTGGCTGGAGGAAGATTTTCAGTCATCGCATCTTCTGCAACCCTCTCAGACTGCCCCTCCCAAATGATGACACGTTCAGCTCAAGAGTCATTTCATTCTGAAACAATTGCCAAGCACCAGGCGTGCCCAGCCTGTGGATAGGAATGAATGACGTGCTTCCTCTGATCTATGTCTGTCCCTTTGAGAAAACACTCACTGCTAAGTGATGTTAACCTCTTGTATCACCTCCTATTTTTAGCCTCTTGAGTGAGTGATAAATCAGGTTATAATCTGACAGGATGTTTAAAGACATATTAGAATCAAATTAAATGACAGGGCCTCAGACATCATACACACTTTTAAAGAACAGAGCCAGAACACATTATCCCCGCCCAGTTTCAATGCATACCCATTGAAACCTAGTTTTTGTAAAAGGACTTGGCTTATGTCATAAGGTTGACTCTAAGATTAACTATGTCTCCTCCAATTTTAATCAAGCCCCATGTACCCAGCCAGCTCATTCCAAAAGCTGGAGACCGAGATGATTTCTCTGGAATATTATCATTATGCTGTGAGCTCAGACACTGCTGGTAGAAACCATACTCTCATCCATATCTGTAGGGAGCACCTACTTCATGACAGCCACTGCCTGAGGCACTGTGGGGACAGTGGTGAACACAGAAGACATCATTCTTACCCTTGTGGAGCTAGCTTAGTGAGGAGATAGATGTTAAGCAAACAACCCAATAAATAAATGGCTGGGTCACTGGGTTCCACTGCTGAAATTATGCTATTTGGCGTCTGTTTTAGTCTCTCTCTTCATCCATCCCTTATAGCTGTCTTCTATTTGGCTTCATTTTCCATAAGATTCTACATGACTAAGGTGGCCACTTGCAGCTCCTGACTACTGCGGTGCTAATGAATGATGACCCCAGAGCAATGACTGTCCCCAGAGTACCACCAAAGTTTCAAGGAGGAGGCTGACTGGCCCGATTCAGATCACTTGCCCGTTCCTGGACCCATTGTGGAGAACTGCAGAAGAAATAATCCGGCCAGCCCAGGTCGCATGCACACTCTCAAGGTGGGAAGAGGGAGGGGTGGTGTTGGTGCCCCCGGCACCTTATGGCAGAGCAGGATTCCGATGGCACAGGAGAGAGTGGTTTCCCAAATGAAAGGATGGTAGCTAGTGAATGTTTGTCCACAAGTGTTAGAGAGTTGATGTTTAAAGTTGGTCAAGTCAAAGAAGAAAAGAGGCAGCACTGTAAATTGTGGGTTTTTTTGGTGTTTCTTCCACCTCGTCTTGAGTTGTGCAACATGGTAGAAAGAGAGAGGCCTTCAGAACCAGGCAGATGTGGGCCCACATCCTGCCCCCATCACTTCTTAGTGGCTATGTGGCCTTGTGCAAGTCATCTAACCCTCTCTGAGACAGTTCCTTGCTGGTATCATGGCAATAGAAGCTCCGTATGGGAAGATGAAGTGATAGGATTTTTTTTTTTTTTTTGAGTTTTGCTCTGTCACCCAGGCTGGAGTGAAGAGGTGCGATCTCGGCTCACTGCAACCTCCACCCCCCAGGTTCAAGCAATTCTCCTGCCTCAGCCTCCCAAGTAGCTGGGATTATGGGTGCCTGCCACTAAGGCCAGCTAATTTTTGTATTTTTAGTAGAGACGGGATTTCACCATGTTGGCCAGGCTGGTCAAGTGACAGAATTTAAAGAAGTAGGCCAGGCGTGGTGGCTCATGCCTGTAATCCCAGCACTTTGGGAGGCCAAGGCAGGCAGATCACGAGGTCAAGAGATAGAGACCATCCTGGCCAATATGGTGAAACCTTGGCTCTACTAAAAATACAAAAATTAGTTGGGTGTGGTGGCGCACGCCTGTAGTCCCAGCTACTTAGGAGGCTGAGGCAATAGAATCGCTTGAACCTGGGAGGCAAAGGTTGCAGTGAGCAGAGATTGTGCCACTGCACTCCAGCCTGGTGACAGAGCGAGACTCCATCTCAAAAAAAAAAGAATAATAATAAGAAGAAGAATTTAAAGAAGTACCTCATTACTGGGAGCACTGGAGGTACCTACTGGATGGTGGGTATTTAGAAATCTCCCTGGAGTATCATGTCCTGTAACAAGCTTTGTAAATAGTCTCCAGAACTGTGCAGTGGGACGAGTGAGTGATGCTTACAGACAAGAGAAAGAAACAAAATATAAACAAATAAATAAATAAGCACTTCCATATTCTGATAAGTGCTCTGATGGAAATAAACAATGTGACAAGATGATACAGAGTAATAAGGGTGGAGGTCTCCTTAGACAGGTGAGACCAGAAAAGCATCCATGGGAAGATGACCTGTGAACTGAATCCTGAAAGATCAGAAAGGGATTGCTATGCAAAGAATACAGGCAGAGGATTCTAGACAGAGGTAACAGGAAGTGCAAAGACCACAAGGCAGGAAAGGGGTGGGCGTGTTGAAGAAACAGAAGGAAGGCCAGTGGTTTGAATGGTGAGATTAAAGAGGTGGGTAGGAAACAGATCATAGAAGGCCTTCTTCTTTTTTTTTTTTTTTTTTTTTTTTTTGAGACGGAGTCTCGCTCTGTCGCCCAGGCCGGACTGCGGACTGCTGTGGCGCAATCTCGGCTCACTGCAAGCTCCGCTTCCCGGGTTCACGCCATTCTCCTGCCTCAGCCTCCCGAGTAGCTGGGACTACAGGCGCCCGCCGCCGCGCCCGGCTAATTTTTTGTATTTTTAGTAGAGACGGGCTTTCACCTTGTTAGCCAGGATGGTCTCGATCTCCTGACCTCATGATCCACCCGCCTCAGGCTCCCAAAGTGCTGGGATTACAGGCGTGAGCCACCGCGCCCGGCCAGAAGGCCTTCTAAGACACAGTAAGAAGTTTGGGGCCAGGTACCAGGGCTCATACCTGTAATTCCAGCACTTTGGGAGGCTGAGGCGGGAGGATTGCTTGAGCCCAGAGGTCAAGGCTGCAGTGAGCCATGATTGCACCACTGTACTCCAGCCTGAGTGACAGAGTGAGAACCTACCTCAAAAAAAATTAAAGGAAAAAAAAAAGAAATAATTTGGGTTTTACATTGAATTATATATCTGGTTAAAATTCTAATAAGATAATTAAGGTTGTTGGGTACAAAAATAGGTAGATAAGGGCATACGTGGAGACCAGTTAGGAGACCATTGCAATTGTCTAGAGAATAGACAACTGGGGCCCAGCCTAAGGTGATGGTACTGGAGATGGGGAGAAATGAATGGATTAAAGATGTTTTTGGTGCGCCGGGTGCGGTGGCTCACGCGTGTAATCCCAGCACTTTGGGAGGCTGAGGCAAGCTGATCACTTGAGGTCAGGAGTTCAAGGCCAGCCTGGCCAACATGGTGAAATCCCGTTTCTACTAAAAATACAAAAATTAGCAGGGTGTGGTGGTGTGCACCTGTAATCCCAGCTACTCGGGAGGCTGAGGCAGGAGAATCGCTTGAACCCAGGAGATGGAGGTTGCAGTGAGCCGAGATTGTGGCGCTGCACTCTAGCTTGGGTGATAGAGTGAGACTCGGTCTCAAAAAAAAAGATGTATTTTGGTTGTAGGACCAGGAAGAGTCAGAGGTGGATTTGTACATGGGAAAGGAGTGAAAGGGAGGAATTAAAGATAAATCTTGACACTGAGGTATAAACAACTACCTGGGAGTATATGGGGCCATTTATTGAGATGGGGAAGATTTGGGATGAAGGAGATTTAAGATGTTGAGTCTGAGATGCCTATAGGGTCTTAGGTAGTAGTAGGGATTAAGACATCAGTTGGGCAAGTTTGGGTCTCAAGGGAGAGGCCAGGGCTGGGGTACAAATTTGAAGGCATGGGCATGGATGAGATCTCAAGAGACTAGATGAGAAGGGAAGAGGTGCCAGCCTTTAGGCTCACCTATCTGAGCCTCGAGACCCGTAGAAAAGCCAGCAAAAGAAAAGAAGATCTAGGAGGGAAATCAGGAGAGCTGGAGTGATAGAGACCAAGAGAGGAAAATATTTCAAAAAAAGCAAGCATTCAACTCTGGTTTAAGATGTTGAAAGACTAGTGAAATGAGGACAAGGAAATGAACTTTAAATTTAGAAGAAGAAAAAAAATCTACCCTTTACAGTGGTACCCCCAAACTGGACCCTTCTAAAACAAATCTGATCATGTTTCTCCCTTGATTAAAAGATTCAAGCCTGGCACAGTGGCTCAAGCCTGAGGCAGGAGGATTGCTGGAGCCCAGGAGTTCAAGACCAGCCTGAGCAACACAGTGAGACCCTATCTCTTAAGAATTTTTAAAAATTCAGTGGCTCATCACAACTTCTTATTTTATTTTATTTTAATTTATTTTTGAGACCGAATCTCGCACTGTCGTGCAGGCTGGTGTGCAGTGGCGCGATCTCGGCTCACTGCAAGCTCTGCCTCCCAGGTTCACGCTATTCTCCTGCCTCAGCCTCCCGAGTAGCTGGGACTACAGGCACCCACCACCACGCCCAGCTAATTTTTTGTATTTTTAATAGAAACGGGGTTTCACCGTGTTAACCAGGATGGGCATCACAACTTCTTAACAGCTTAATTAACAATTTGGCCTCCATCTGCTGTCATTCCACACCCTACTCTGCCAGCTCTTCCAAAGAGCAGTGACCAGATTCCTCCTGCCTCGCTCGGCACCCTCTCTGTGTCTGTGCTTACGCTGGATCTCTGTCTGCTTGGCCCTTCTCTTGCCCTGGTGGATGTGTACCCCTGACTCAGCTGAGCTGCAACTCCTTAGGTGAAAACTTCCCTGATTCTACCTCCAGACAGTGTTGTTTGAGCCATTCTCTAGGGACTCACAAACCTTCTCCATGGATCTCTGACATAGTATAGTACTTCTCAGGTTCCTTTTATTTTATTTTATTTTATTTTATTTGAGATGGAGTCTAGCTCTGTTGCCCAGGCTGGAGTACAGTAGTGCAATCTCAGCTCATTGCAACCTCTGCCTCCTGGATTCAAGTGATTCTCCTGCCTCAGCCTCCTGAGTAGCTGGGATTACAGGTGCCCACCACCATGCCCAGCTAATTTTTGTATTTTTAATAGAGGCAGGGTTTCACGGTGTTGGCCAAGCTGGTCTTGAACTCCTGACCTCGTGATCCGCCCGCCTTACTCTCCCAAAGTGCTGGAATTACAAGTGTGAGCCACTGCCCCCGGCCTCAGGTTGCATTTTAATCATTTTCATATTCATGTCACCCATCAGACTATGAGCACCTTCACAGTGGGGAGTGTGTTTTATTCATCTTTAGTGCCCAGTACAATACCTAACCCAAAGTAGATACTAAACAGGTATTTGTTGAATAAATTCCCAAAAGACCACTCTTTGAAACAGACATTCTAACCATTATAAAGGAAAAGCAAAGTTAAAATGTATCTTTTGAACTTGAATATACACACAAGTTCCCATCACCCAAAAAATCATCTTAGTGGTTAGAAACATATTAATACCTGTATTATGGGTTGAACTGTATCTCTCCCACCCCACCCCCCAAAATATTGAAGTCCTAACCCCAGTACCTCAAAATGTGATCTTATTTGGAAATAGGGTCTTTACAGATGTAATCAAGTTAAAATGACATCAGTAGAGTGGGCTCTACTTCAATGTGGCTGGTGTTCTTACAAAAAGGGAAAATTTAGACATGGAGACAGACATGGTCAGAGGAAAATCATGTGAAGACCTGGAGTTGTGAAGACAAGGATTGAAGCAACGCATCTACAAGCTAAAGAGTGCCTGAAGCTACCAGAAGCGAGGACAGAGGCATGGAATAGTTCCTTCCCTAGCCCCTTTAGAGGGAACACGGCCCTGTCCGCACCTTAATTTTGGACCTGTGGCCTCCAGAACTGAGACAATGAATTTCTGTTAGTTTAAGCTGCTCAGGTTTTGTTTTGGCAGCCCTAGGAAGCTAACAGACCTCACAACATGACAGAAGCCAAAATATATTTGCTTTGCTTTACCCCTTTGGAACTCTGAAAATTTAATTCTTTTCTTTTTTGGCTGAAAAATTGTTTTTATGCTGAAAAAAATCCAAGAAAACCCAAATAGCACTCTGTGCAATTTTGCCTAACAGAGAATTAAGAAGAATCCCAAAAGATCTCACTTTAATTGGGTTTAAATTAATCTACATTTTACATTTATAATGACATTAAATTAACCAAATGCATTTTTATAATAATAATGCATTCTGAAGGGTGGAAATTGGATTATGTTAATTAGAGTGCTCTATTTTTATTTAGTAAAAGAAAGTTATGCATCTTCTGCTCATTTCATAACTCTGGATGAGCCTCATTATAAAATAAAATAGTCTATTAATTAAAATGTACTCTATGAAAACTGTAGAATTCTGGACGGAAAGCAACAGGATGGAGGTAAGTGGTGAAAATTTCCAGAATCCACAGGGAGGTGACGGAGAAGGTGTCACTAAGTGGTTTTGGCAGTGAAAAAAGAAAAGAAGCTGATATGTTGGGGAGGAATTGGTCAGTCTAACCAGAAAACAAAAGCCACTTTAAGTGTCTTAACAGAGGGAATTTAATCCAGGGAAAATAGACATAATGGAAAAGCTACACATCCAAAGGGATAGTGAGGCAAACCTGAAATTACAGCAGAAGGAACCACTGCTGGCTTCAGGCTAGAGCACTTTCTCAACCTGGGCACTCTTGACATTTCTGCTGGGATAACTGTTTGTTGTGGGCAGTTGTCCTGTGTTTCATCACATGTTTAGCCTTCATCTCTGACCATTATCCACTAAATGCCCCTCCCCAAGTTGTAACAACCAAAAATGGCTCCAGACATTGCTAAACATCCCTTGGGTGTATTTGTGTGCAGCGGCTGGGGGTAAGTAGTAGACAGACATGCTCCCAGCTGAGAGCCACTGAGCTAGAAGGACAAAAGGAGAAGTAATGACCAGAACCCAGGGCCAGGGTCACCCAAGCAAGAAGAGCTGGAACCACGAAGCAGAGAGGTCTGTCCAGTAGAGAAGGGGAGGCCTCAGGCAGAGAGGGGAAGGGACAAACACCCTGGCTTCTCCCTTGTCCCCACGTTCTCCTTCAGGTGGCTGTTGGCTTCCTGCCATACAGAGCAGAGCAAGGGAAAAGAGAGGAGTGGCTCTGAGAACACAGGCCAGGGGCAGCACTTTGCTTCTGAATAAGGACAACAATTTAGATTTCAGATCCAACTCAGACTGGTGCTCCTTCAATTTGCCAGATCCCCAGACAATGGCTGCTTCACACAGGGGTCCCCGGATGACGGCCGCTTCACACAGGGGCCCCCGACTGACGGCTGCATCACCCGGGGCAGACCTACTGTGAAACTAAAGGCGCCTAAACGCCAAGCCCCTTACTTGGGCAGACTCAAGGTCCTTGGAGGGCTCTGGTAATATTTTCCTCATGGCCTCACATTTAGTCAACTTGGCATCACACTTCCCCTCCTGTTGAGTGGGACTGAAGTGGGTGTGGGCATCTGTTTAAAGGAAGGTTGAGTTGGGGATCACACTGCCCTTGGACCTGGGCAGCAGCGGCTCCTGCCCTGAACCCCACACTTAGGAGGGCCTCACCCTGGTTCTCCTCCTGCTATACCCCTCCCTTTAGGTTGAAAAGCCCACAGAGTCCAGGAGATATGCCACCCAAAATGTACACACCCCTCATCCCCAGTTCTTGCCCATACTTTCAGTACCTAAGACCCCAGGATTCTCTGCTCAAAGGCCCTGAGTCTGCCTCCAGGATGTACAGGGTCCTCTCCCCTGAGTCCAGCCTTCCAAGAGTGGACCATGCTGTCAGAGTGCACACCCTTAGACCCAGGAAGTGGCCAAGGCACCGCTCTTTGCTGGAGGTTGTGGATAAAGCTTGGACATTGTAGACTAGGGTATCCACATACATGTGTGAGAGGCTGCTCATAGTATGAAACGGAGTAGGGAGTAAGAAGAGAATTGGGGGTTCAGAAATGAGCAATAAAATCAATAGAAATTATTCTGGGTCAAGCACTATGGTTCGCACCTGCAATCCTAGCAATTTGAGAGGCCAAGGTGGGAAGACCACTTGAGCCCAGGAGTTCAAGGCCAGCCTAGGCAACATAGGGAGATACCATCTCTACAAAAAATGTAAAAATTAGCCAAATGTGGTGAAGTGTACCTGTAGTCCAAGCTACTCTGGAGGTTGAGGTGGAGGAACACCTGAGCCCAGGAGGTCAAGGCTACAGAGAGCCATGATTGTGCCACTGCACTCCAGCCTGGGCAACAGAGCAAGACCCTGTCTCAGAAAAAGGAAAGAAGGAAAGAAAGAAAGAGAGAGAGAGAGAGAGAGAAAGAAAGAAAGAGAGAGAGAGAGGGAGGGAGGGAGGGAGGCAGAGAGAGGGAGACAGAGAGAGAGAAAGGAAGGAAGGAAGGAAGGATGGAAGGAAATTATTCTGACAATGAGAAGCAAACTGTAAGCCAAAATATATTTTTTTTCAAATTATACCCAAAGTATAGTAACTAACTCATTTAGAGGAAGAAAGGACTTTCAAACAAAGAATAGGCTTTTATATTGTTTGATTATCTATTTATTTTTTATCTAACATGAAATACTGATACCATAATCCACCAGTTCAATGGGGTTACCAATGACAAACTGGCTAATGAAGGTCATCAATTCAGAATACTTAAGATCAGTCCCTCTGTGAGAAAACTTGAAATGTACATGAAGTCTTACAGTTCATATATGAAAGAAATTTTCTGTGGAGTTTCCCAAATTTGGCAACAATTTTTTTTTTTTTTTTTTTTTGAGACGGAGTCTCGCTCTGTCGCCCAGGCTGGAGTGCAGTGGCGGGATCTCGGCTCACTGCAAGCTCCGCCTCCCGGGTTCACGCCATTCTCCTGCCTCAGCCTCCCAAGTAGCTGGGACTACAGGCGCCCGCCACTACGCCCAGCTAATTTTTTGTATTTTTAGTAGAGACGGGGTTTCACCGTTTTAGCCGGGATGGTCTCGATCTCCTGACCTCGTGATCCGCCCGCCTCGGCCTCCCAAAGTGCTGGGATTACAGGCGTGAGCCACCGCGCCCGGCCGGCAACAATTTTAAAAATTTACATGACTTACCAATAGCCAGTTCTGAGGCTGAAAATCTTTTCTAATATATAAATATTTTAAAGGAAGAGTATTCAACCATGCTATAGGGAAGACTGAATTCTCTATCTCTAGAAAATGATATTACGAAATCATTGCATGTGAAGAAGCACATGGAGGTATGCAATTACAAAAACAGAAAAGTGTAAAGAGAGTGTTGAGTAGTCCAATAATAAAGATATTATTTTTCTGGATTTTTGTACTATTTGTCAGCTTTTAAAACTTTGTAACATGCTATAATTTCTTTTCCCATTTTAAGTAAAATATTCAATTTCATACTTAATTTTATATTTATAACTTTGCATTCTTTTTCCTAGGGAAGGAGCTCACCTCCCCACAAATTGTATAAACCTTAGTTTCCACAAAACCTGGATCTTCCCTGGCATCATCATTTATTATGTGAGTTGTTTGGGTGTGGAGAGGTGAAGTGAGAGGTGCTTGAGGGCTATGTCTGGGGAAATTTATAGAAAATTATCTGAAAGGGCAGCTTCTGCTGACCCATAAGATGTCAAGATGTATTATTTTGAGGTAAACATGTCAGCAACTGGTACTTCTCGGATGCCTTTTCAGATGACTGAATTCTCTCCTCATTTCTCCTTGTTTTTGTTGTGTAGTCATGGTGGCAGCTGATAAGAGGTGAGATAATGGGGCCAGGGACAGATACCTTAGCTGTCACCTCACAGTCTCCCACACCATAGAGAGCAAAGAAAGACAATGGTAAAAAAAAAAAAAAAATCCCACCCAGGAGCCCCCCGGAACACGCCACTCATCCTGACAAAGAGCTGGTTTCCAACTGGGACAGATCCCAGAAGCAGACCAAGCTGGGGTGTGGGCCCCAGGGCAGTAGGAGCCAAACCAACTTGTTTCCTCTGTGAGGCTACAGGCTGCAGAGCCAGGACTATTCTTCTCATGGAACAAAGCACAGGGATTAATTTGCAGGATGAAATTTATTATGTCTTTTACAGTAAAGACATTTTGCCCTGAAGCTTATTAGGTTTCTGAGTGCTCACATTTTCTGAAAAATAGCCACTGCAATTTGCAGATTTAATTCCAACCTAAGTTGGTGTGGTTCAGGGATGTGTCCAAGACAGGCTACCCGGGGCAATGCTGCGCATCCATTTCCCAGCAAAGCTTCTTTGATTTCTGAAAGACTTTACCATTAAATATAGTGAGTTGAACACAGGCTTTATCTCTTCTCTCTTCTGAAATCTCAATCACATGACTGTAAAATAACAAAATCGGTGTGAAGTAGGTATAAATCCACGCAGAAAAAAAGAATGAGAGGAAGATAACAGCAGACTAGAGATTCAACAGAATTCTGGAAGCTGGAATCCTGAGAAGTGGGACTTGCAGGGCAGAGAAAACTGGATCAGAAATACTCACCCTGCCCCTGCCACATTAGGCCAGAACAGAACACCTTTCACAAAGTAATTTTCAATGTATATGTTATGAGATTATTTTCTAAGATGGATCACTTATGATTATAAAACAAAGAACTTTCCTTTACTAAATAGGAGGAGCTAATCAGGAGCAAGTTCATTGTTATTCTATGTCTGCTCTCCAATCCCTGGCCAAGAAATTCTCTTTCTGGAGAGGGTGAGCCCGCAAATCCCTGACTCAGGAGGACTTGGGTGAGATGTCACAGTGCAAACAGAGGTAAAGGTGGAGTTGGCTCTATCTGAAACACAGACTGAAGAAGAGAAGAGTGGTTTCCCCAGAGGAAAAGAAGAAAAGTGGGGTAAAAATAATAATAATGTGGACAGGAAGCAAGGAAATACTGGGTAGAAGAGGGTGGTTCCCTGGCAAGGGCCCCACTCTCAAGCCTGGAAACCCACGGGAACAGGCATTCTTGTTTTTGTGCCCAAATGTTGCCTTTTGGCCTGCCACGCCCCCTATCTTGTACTCATATAAACCCCAAACTCCAGGTTCCACAAGCAGATGAGAAAACAGAAGAGCAGCAGAGTGGTGCAACAGAGAAGGAGAGAAGAGAAGGAGCATCTGAACATCAAGAGGAGTTCAGCTGGGGACAGTTGGTTGGGAGATCAGCTACAGGACAGCCAAACTCCAGGGGAAGATGATCTTCCCACTCCATCCCCTTTCTGGCTCCTCATCCATTCTGCTGAGAGCCACCTCCAGCTCTCAATAAAACCCCCACATTCACCAGCCTTCAAGTCTGTGTGTGATCTGATTCTTCCTGGATGCTGGAAAAGGACCTGGGTACCAGAAGGACAGGGTGTAAAAGGCTGTCACCCTGACTCTCTACTGAGCTGGTGTAGCAATTAGCTGTCCACAGATGACAGCTACTAAAAGGGCATAAATTGTAACACCTTCTTAGATGCCACCATGGGGCCAGAGCCCAAAAGTGCTCACCCCAGCTCCTGCATCTGCCCATCTGTGTGCTCCCCCTCCTGTAAGGTGTTTGAGTGCATGGTGGTCGAACATTTGAGCCATACTCCTGCTGCATGTCCTGCCGGGGGGTCAGGGAACTCTCCCATTTCAATAAGAGTTTATATATAAACCTGTACCAAATAGTGTTTAAAACACTTTCTATACACTAATTCAGTTAATTCTTACACGACTGTGTGCTGGAGGTGCAAATATCACTTAATTTTACATTTCATGAGACTGAGACACAGAGAAAGTAAATTCCCCAAGGTCACACTGCTGGTAAGTAGCAGAGCCAGGAGATGAACCCAGACAGTCTGGGGAAAATGGTTCCTGGGTGACAAAAACACAAAAGTTCTGCCATAGTTAATTTTGCGGATGGTACAATTTTACCCGGTTTCCCATAATTAGAAAATGGGACGAGGAAATGCCATAAGGTTAAGCTCGTTCCTCTGAGCAGATTCTTTTCTGCAGCAGCAGGTCCCCCTATAAATATGGGTCTGTGATAATCTGAGTAATGGCCCCCAAAAGATGTCTGTGTCTCAGTCCCTGGAACCTGTTACTTTACATGGTCAAAGAGACTCTGCGGATGTGATTAAATGAAGGATCTTGAGATGGGGAGATGAGCCTGGATGGGTTCTCCAGTCCTCACAGGAGACCCCACACCCCTTTCCACTTCCAGACCACGAGGGGAGGGGCTCACAGACTAGAAAGCCCTCTGCAAATGCTACCCTGAGCCCATATCACTATTGCAATCACTGGTAAGAATCTGGGGACAAAGGTGAGTGGGATCTCAGACAGATATCTCTCCAAGTTGGGATATAACTGAAATCGGCACTGATTACACCTGACATTGGATACCCATATAACCAATGGTTTATGATCACAGAACAGCAAACTCTCCCATCAAAATCAGGGTAAATATACCAAGATATTTGTAGAATTCAAACACCAATCTAACTTGATTTCATTCAGGAAACACAATGTCTAGAGTGTTAAAGACTTTGCTGTGGTTTCAAGGAAAGAATCATGAATAAAGTCTGGCTCAGCCATGTCTATAAAAAGGATTAAACTTTATGAGTCATGGATGAGAGCTGGTGTGTGATCAACAGCCCACCTGTTCTCTTGGTGTAAATCATGTCTTTTCATTTTTAAGCTACTTTTATATTGTAAATCTATAATTCTAAAATGACCTTTATAGCTGGAGGATTAGAGAGGAACCCTATTGTTCTGGAATGGGCCACCAGAGACTTGAGCAGATGGGAGAAGCAAATAATATAAGCCAGGAAGGGCACCAAGAGAGTCATTTGTCTTAGGGTATGTCAATCATTTCAGGTCTGCAACAGGACTCTGTGTTCCCTAGATAAGGAGCAGAAGTTTATTGGGTACACCCATATGAGTCATGAACCAGGAAAACACACGTTCAGCCAGGAGCTGCAGGCAGACATTGGGAGGCCATATGACTGTCAGAGGTACTAGGCTCAGACCTTGACTTAGAACAGAGACATCAAAAACATGAGGCACACTCCCCATTCCATGTCCATGGCAGACATTACTAAGTGATCACTGCATACTTTCTTGCTGAGACCAGAGACAGCCTCAGAATCTCTCTTAGCACAGATCCCCATTATCTATCTCCTACTACCTATTTTGTTGTTGTTGCTGTTGTTGTTGTTGTTGTGAGACAGGGTCTCACTCTGTCTCCCAGGATAGAGTGCAGTGGCATGATCATGGCTCACTGCAGCCTTAACCTCCTGGGCTCAAGCGATCCTCCCGCCTCAGCCTCCCAAATCTACTACCTATTGAACAGAGTTGACCCACAAAATAAAACCTATTTGTTATTCCTGGTCCAGAACAAAAAGAAAAGGAGGCAAACTTCAGTTGGAATAAAATCTGCATTAATACCTGTCTTGAGAATGCACCAAAGGCACGTGGCATTGAACAGAGAGCTCTGGACAAGAAAAGAAGGGAGGATTTCCGGGCGCTGAAGCCAAGGAGGCATCCAGGGAGTTGTAGAAGATGACACTAGCCACGCTGAAATCTAGATGAGCTTTAATACTTCCTCATGTCTCTTTGGCCTTAATGGAATCAAGTGCCCATCCTGAAGCAATCACTGTAGTCAGATGCAAGGGCTTTGTTGATCGGCTTAAGTTAATCAGAGCCCACCCATGGAAAAGAAGGAAGGCATGTAAAGGAGTGATGAGAAGCAGCTGTGTGAGCTCAATGGGCAGAAAACCCGTGCATTACAGAGCAAGAAGAATTTGTAAGTAAGTAAAAAGGGAGCCATCAAAAGAAAGCAAGCTGGAAATCCGCTACAGTGTCTTTACAAGTGGCATCAGGTGGGCTGATGTGGAACTAAAGTCATTCCCACCTAAACCACATGACTCACAGTGGGGGTGAGGTGGCGCCTCACAGAAAACTGGGGTACTATTACCATGAAGAAGAGGAGAGGAGATTTAATGCCAAGGAGTAAATAACAGGCGGCATTCACAGTAAGGTAAGATTTCCAAGGACTGGAGTGAGAGAGCTCTACTCGAAGTACAGGTATCTACAAAGCAGGTGCAGAGTGGCCTGAAGCCCAAAGAAATCATTTCTGGAGACCAAATGGGAAGCACTTTCGTTCTCTGAGGAGACCTAGGGTATGAAACCGGCCATAAAAATGAGGAAGCAAATTTAGGTTGTAACTCAGAATGCTCCCAGGACTAGCAAATGTGCCGGCATGAATTTTCCTGGAGTAAGTGGTTAAGGCCAACCTTCCAATGTCATATGAGAAAGACACCCTAGAGCCACTCAGGTTTTTCTTACTGCACCTAGATTCATAATAGACCACAAAGACCCTAAGAGCAAATGATTTCTACAACCTGTGCAAACACCCCACGTTTGTAATTCTTCCCTGGATATTTCCTTACAGTGGTTAGCAACAAATTGCTGAAGTCAGAAAGCTCCAAAGTGCTTGCCTTCTAGGAAAGAAAGTAAGGAAACTGGCGGGGGGTTGTGCCCCATTTCTTTGTCATTCCTAGAAACAGGAAAGTTCCCAGGGATGAAGAGGGAGATGGCAACGTTGAAAAGAAAAGGATTCAGGGCTGGGCGTGGTGGTCCATGCCTGTAATCCCAGCACTTTGGGAGACAGTAGATCACTTGAGGTCAGGAGTTTGAGACCAGCCTGGCCAACATGGTGAAACCCCATCTCTACTAAAAAATACAAAAATTAGCCAGGTGTGGTGGCAGGTGCCTGTAATCCCAGCTACTTGGGAGCCTGAGGCAGGAGAATCGCTTGAACCCGGGAGGCAGATGCTGTGGTGAGCCAAGATAGCACCACTGAACTCCAGCCTTGGACCTATGGAAAAGAAGGAAGGTACATAGAGGAACGATGTATTTCTTTACAACTAGCATCAATTGGGTCATGTATCTTTTAGCTTTAAGCATTAAAAAACCTTCCCCAAACTGGCTTAGACAGAAGAACTTATTGGCTTACGAAAGAGAAAAATGGAGAATGAATTTTAGGCAGGGTTTGATCCAGCAACTCAAGGGCATCCACGTCTTCCCATCTCTACTCTCTTCATCCTAATGTTGGCTCTCATTATTGCAAGATGCTGACCAGTAGCCCCTGGGGCTGGGAGAAGGGGAAATGTGTCCTCATTAATATCAAAGAGAAGAGAAAGGAGTCTGTGTCTCAGAATTCTTGTCAAAGGACCTCGGATTGGACTAGCTTAAGTCTTGTGCCCGCCTTTGAGCCAATCGCTGTGTCCATGGGGAGGAAAATCAGGTTCTAACCAGGAGATGGCTATGGAGCCAGCCACATAAAACCTGCAGAGCTGAGAATGGTGGGAATGAGTGCTGGTTTCCCCAAGAAAATAGGATATTGTTATGATGAATGAAGAGAAATAGAGGCTGGACAGCCAACAACAGGTCTCCTAGCATCAGATGTACAGGGGAAGGTGGAATGTGTGTACTGCACATTCTAAATCAAAGGTAAAGTTAACAGCTGAAGTTTCTCCCTAGAAGTAACTTTTGCTTGAAAAAAAAAAAATGCAACAGGAAGAGAAGGCTCCCATGATGTGATTGTGACCATGCTCAGCTGGGTAGCAGCTGCTCTGCCAGATGAGACACAGGGATAGCCAATGCACATGAATAATCTCTGAAGATGGATCTGATACATGCACTTTACCTAACAGTCTTGGAAGGACTCATAGGATACACCCCAAGGAGTGAGTTAATGTTGTGTGCTTTATTTATTCACAAGGATGGTTTCCTCCTGAAACCCAGCACTGTGTTAACATTCTGCATGTCACTTTGGTTCAAGCAAGTCCCAGGAAGATGGATCACTATTTATTCACTGAAGAATTTCCCAAGTTAAAGAAGAGATACAATTAATAACGTTAGAGTAGCCCAGCTAGAAACTCTAACAAGTTATATAACATAGAAGACAGAGAATAATGAGAACAGTTATTCCTTTGTGCTTCAAAGAGAGTAGTAAAATAGACTCGATAGCATGAAAATTTTTCAATAGTTTTTTTTTTCCCCACTCTTGGCCTAATGGGCCTTGATTCATGCCAGGGGTCTATGGGGCTGAAAGAGCCAACATATCTATCTGAAATAGAGTTCTCCAACCATTATGTCAGATATAACAGTAGTTTTCAAAATCTTGTCTGATAATGAGGCGATTGTTTAAATGAGTTATGATATACACCTACAGTGAAATTGTACTCATTCATTTAAAATGATGCTGTAGGCTGGGCATGGTGGCTCATGCCTGTAATCCCAGCACTTTGGGAGGCCGAGGTGGGCATATCACTTGAGGTCAGGAGTTCGAGACCAGCCTGGCCAACATAGTGAAACCCCCTTCTCTACTAAAAATACAAAAAAATTAGCCAGTGTGGTGGCAGGTGCCTGTAATACCAGTTACTCAGGAGGCTGAGGCAGGAGAATCACTTGAACCTGGGAGTCAGAGGTTGCCGTGAGCTGAGATCATGTCACTGCACTCCAGCCTGGGCAACAGAGCAAGACTCCATCTCAAATAATAATAATAATGCTATAGATAAAAATGCATTAATTTTGCCTAATGTTTACAATTTATTACTTTTTTCTTTTTCTTTTTTTTGAAATGGAGTCTTGCTCTGTTGCTCAGGCTGGAGTTCAATGTCGCAATC
This sequence comes from Homo sapiens, assembly GCF_000001405.40. Lineage (NCBI taxonomy): Eukaryota > Metazoa > Chordata > Mammalia > Primates > Hominidae > Homo > Homo sapiens. The sequence continues at coordinate 94,958,184 of NC_000012.12, forward strand.
TCAGCTCACTGCAACCTCCGCCTCCTGGGTTCAAGCGATTCTCCTGCCTCAACCTCCTGAGTAGCTGGGATTACAGGCATGTACCACCACACCCGGCTAATTTTGTATTTTTAGTAGAAACGGGGTTTCACCATGTTAGTCAGGCTGGTCTCGAACTCCTGACCTTGTCATCCACCCACCTCGGCCTCCCAAAGTGCTAGGATTACAGGCATGAGCCACCGCACCCGGCCACAATTTATTTATTATTGAGCGAGAAAAGCAGATTAGGAAACAACATGGAGAGGTTATAATCATACTTAACTAAAATATTAAAATATTTACATTTTACACAGAAAAACGAGAAGATATACTCTGAGGTATTAACAGTGGTTTTTTTTGGATGCTCTAATCATGAATATTCTTGAATCTTTTCTTGTTTATATTTTCTAAATTTTCTATGATGTACATGTATTGCTTTTGTAATAAGAAAAACACATCAGAGAGATTTTATTTTAAAATTATGCTTGCTGCATCTGTAAGTCTTTAATTGTGCTTATACTTTCCTCTTCAAAACTTTTGGGTGGCAGCTCATGCCTGTAATCCCAGCACTTTGGGAGGCTGAGGTGGGAAGATCATTTGAGGCCAGGAGCTGAAGACCAGCCTGGGTAACATAGTGAGACCTCCATCTCTACTGAAAACTTTAAAAATTAGCTGGGTATGGTGGTGTGCACCTGTAGTCCCAGCTACTCAGGAGGCTTAGGTGGGAGGATCACTTGAGCCCAGGACACAGTGGGCCATGATCGTGCAACTGCACTCCAGCCTGGGTAGCAGAATAAGACCATCTCTTAAAAAAAAAATGGCATTCTTTCTGTCAGCAGCGACAGTCATCTGTGGATTGATGTAGGGGAGTAAAAGGATATGCGCACGGAAAAATGAATGAATGAATAAACACAGCACCAATTAGAGCAGTGAAGGAAACTCAGGAATCCAGAGGCCAACCCCCAGTTCCCTTCATTCCATCTAGCTAACATCTAAATGAGATCCTGTTCCAGGCTATCCTCTTTCCAGTCACTAGAAGGGACAGTCCGCAGGAGGCATTTTAGTGCTTCCAGATCTGGAGATGGCGTTTTCTTGCTCTCAGGAGGGGCATCTTAAGAGTCTAGACTCTCAGACCCTTCTAAGGGGTCAGCCACCTCCAGCCTCTACCCCTTGAGGAATTTATCTTTTCATTGATCTCTAGATCCCTCCAGCCTCCCCAGGTGGGGCCACAGCTTGTCTCGGAAGGAATGCCATCCCTGCTGAACCTCAGGGGCTCCTTGACCTTCACCCTGTCTCAGTCACCTTCTCCAGCGTTGCCACCCCCACACAACCCTCATTAGTGGCCACCATCACCACTGCCGCCGTGCTGCAGCCCTGTTAGAGACGACTTCCCTCCTCTTCAGTCCTGAGCAAAGAGACAAGGAAACACCTTCTCAACAGCCTCGTGAGTCTAGAAACACAGAGGTCCCATTCACGGGGCTTTTCCCAGGTAGGGAGGAAGGCGTGGACTCATCAATCTTCCATCTCGGCAGCACCCCTTCCTCTTCTTGTTAACCACCCTGCTAGCTTGAGGGACAGAAAGTGACAAAAAAAGGAGGCGAAACAAACTGAAAGCCTGCAATTAGCTTAAATGAGCTATCCACTAGATGCTGAGCTGTAGTGGATTGTTGCGAAGGGCCCCATGTTGACAGGTTTGGTTTTTTGTTTTTTTTTTTAAATTTTTCAAGAATAAGCAGAAATCTAGATTCTTATGTATAGTCTCCCAGATTTTAAACATTGGTGACTCATTTTTTTTAAGACAAAAGTCTCTCTCTGATGCCCCGGCTGGAGTGCTGGAGTGCCGTGGCACCATCTCTCCAGTAGCTGGGATTACAGGTGCCCACCACCACACCCAGCTAATGTTTGTATTTTTAGGAGAGATGGGGTT